>NC_000008.11:134464222-135089222 GCF_000001405.40 Homo sapiens
ACATGCACACGACGCCCTGGAGTACTCGCCCTGCGACGTATCGATGAGCACATGCACATGACGCCCTGGAGTACTCTCCCTGCAGCGTATCGATGAGCACATGCACACGACGCCCTGGAGTACTCGCCCTGCAGTACTTGCCATGCAGAGTATCGATGAGCACATGCACACAACACCCTGGAGTACTCACCCTGCGGAGTATCAACGAGCACATGCACACGACGCCGTGGAATACTCGCCCTGCAGCGTATCAATCAGCACATGCACACGACCCCCTGGAGTACTCGCCCTGCAGCGTATCAATGAGCACATGCACACGACGCCCTGGAGTACTCTCTCCCTGCAGCGTATCGATGAGCACATGCACACGACGCCCTGGAGTACTCTCCCTGCAGCGTATCGATAAGCACATGCACACAACGCCCTGGAGTACTCGCCCTGCAGTACTTGCCGTGCAGAGTATCGATGAGCACATGCACACAACACCCTGGAGTACTCACCCTGTGGAGTATCGACGAGCACATGCACACGACGCCCTGGAGTACTCGCCCTGTGGCGTATCGACGAGCACATGAACACGACGCCCTGGAGTACTCGCCCTGTGGCGTATCGACGAGCACATGCACACGACGCCCTGGAGTACTCGCCCTGCAGTGTATTGACGAGCACATGCACACAACGCCCTGGAGTATTCGCTCTGCAGTACTTGCCCTGCAGAGTATTGATGAGCACATGCACACAACACCCTGGAGTACTCACCCTGCGGAGTATTGATGAGCACATGCACACAACGCCCTGGAGAACTCTCCCTGCAGCGTATCGATGAGCACATGCACACGACACCCTGGAGTACCCGCCCTGCAGCGTATCGATCAGCACATGCACACGACGCCCTGGAGTACTCTCCCTGCAGCGTATCGATGAGCACATGCACACGACGCCCTGGAGTACTCGCCCTGCAGCGTATCGACGAGCACATGCACACGACGCCCTGGAGTACTCGCCCTGAAGCATATTGACGAGCACATGCACACGACGCCCTGGAGTACTCGCCCTGCAGTACTTGCCCTGCAGAGTATCAATGAGCACATGCACACAGCACCCTGGAGTACTCACCCTGTGGAGTATCGATGAGCACATGCACACAACACCCTGGAGTACTCGCCCTGCAGAATATCGATGAGCACATGCACACAACGCCCTGGAGTACTCGCCCTGCAGCGTATCGATGAGCACATGCACACAACACCCTGGAGTACTCGCCCTGCAGAATATCGATGAGCACATGCACACAACGCCCTGGAGTACTCGCCCTGCAGCGTATCGATGAGCACATGCACACGACGCCCTGGAGAACTCACCCTGCAGTGTATCCATGAGCACATGCACACAACGCACTGGAGTACTCTCCCTGCAGCGTATCGATCAGCACATGCACATGACGCCCTGGAGTACTCGCCCTGCAGTGTATCGATCAGCACATGCACACGACGCCCTGGAGTACCCGCCCTGCAGCGTATCGATCAGCACATGCACACGACGCCGTGGAGTACTCTCCCTGCAGCGTATCAACGAGCACACGCACACGACGCCGTGGAGTACTCGCCCTGCAGCTTATCGACGAGCACATGCACACGACGCCCTGGAGTACTCGCCCTGCAGTACTTGCCCTGCAGAGTATCGATGAGCACATGCACACAACACCCTGGAGTACTCCCCTGTGGAGTATCGATGAGCACATGCACACAACGCCCTGGAGTACTCGCCCTGCAGCGTATTGACGAGCACATGCACACGACGCCCTGGAGTACTCGCCCTGCAGTACTTGCCCTGCAGAGTATCGATGAGCACATGCACACAACACCCTGGAGTACTCGCCCTGCAGAGTATTGACGAGCACATGCACACGACGCCCTGGAGTACTCGCCCTGCAGTACTTGCCCTGCAGAGTATCGATGAGCACATGCACACAACACCCTGGAGTACTCGCCCTGCAGAGTATTGATGAGCACATGCACACGACGCCCTGGAGTACTCGCCCTGCAGCGTATCGATGAGCACATGCACAGGACACCCTGGAGTACTCGCCCTGCAGTGTATCGATGAGCACATGCACACGACGCCCTGGAGTACTCGCCCTGCAGTGTATCCATGAGCACATGCACACGACGCGCTGGAGTACTCTCCCTGCAGCGTATCGATCAGCACATGCACACGACGCCCTGGAGTACCTGCCCTGCAGCGTATCGATGAGCACATGCACACGAAGCCCTGGAGTACCAGCCCTGCAGCGTATCGATGAGCACATGCACGCGATGCCCTGGAGTACTCGCCCTGCAGCGTATCGATGAGCACATGCACGCGACGCCCTGGAGTACCAGCCCTGCAGCGTATCGATGAGCACATGCACGCGACGCCCTGGAGTACTCGCCCTGCAGCGTATCAATGAGCACATGCACACGACGCCCTGGAGTACTCTCTCCCTGCAGCGTATCGATGAGCACATGCACACGACGCCCTGGAGTACTCACCCTGCGGAGTATCGATGAGCACGTGCACACAACACCCTGGAGTACTCGCCCTGCAGTGTATTGATCAGTACATACACACAACACCCTGGAGTACTCACCCTGCAGAGTATCGACGAGCACATGCACACAACACCCTGGAGTACTTGGTCTGCAGAGTATCAATGAGGACATGCAGGTAACACCCTGGAGTACTTGCCCTGCAGAATATCAATGAGGACATGCACACAACACCCTGGGGTACTCACCATGTGCAGTATTTATCAGCACATGCACACAACACCCTGGAGTACTTGGCCTGCAGTGTATCGATGAGCACATGCACACAACAGCCTGGAGTACTCGCCCTGTGGAGTACTGATCAGCATATGCACACAACCCCTTGGAGTACTTGTCCTGCAGCATACCAATGGCCACATGCACATGGGAAAGGGAGGGAAAGAACCATCTGAAAGGATGAAAGGACACAGTGCCTGATGACAGCATAGGACCCCACCTCGCTCACTGACTCTGGGTGCAGAAGAAAGCAGAGACCAGTTTCCTGACCTGGCTTTGCTACTACCTCATCGGTGGCCCTGGGCAAGACACCACACCCCGGTCTCCATTTCCTCATGTGAGAAGCATGGGCTTGGTCTGGGAGACTTCCAAAGCCTGTTTCCCTCTGCAGGTCATCGACATAGAGTGGCAGTCTATTCCTGGATTGGGTTTGATGCCACTGTTTCCTGTGGTGGAGAAATGAACTCTGCATGCACAGAGCTGCCTGGATTCACTGCATCAGTGCTCAAAAATGGTCACTGGTCCTAAGGCTCTGCTGCTGAATGGACATGACACAAAATGGTGACTCAGTGCCCGGTGGCCACTTCCCTCCACAGGCAAGGCCCTGCCTTGAGGAGATATCTCATCATTTATAGGAGTTAAAATAAAAAGAAATGACCCAATGTATATCCAGCAATAGGGGAGGAGTTAAGTAAACTCCAAGGAGTCTGTGGAAGAGCATGCAATGGTTTAAAAAGAATGTGCCCTGCAGCAAGCTCTCCATTCTCCAACATATATGGATCTCGAAAAGCAGGTTGCCGAGCAACAATGAGTGACAATGTTGATGCTTGAGAAAGATACAAAGATTATGTGTATTTATTTTTAATATATGTATATATAAAACATGTAGGCATAAAAATGCATTGAAAAGAGGTCCATTTCCCACAGAGCTGCCAAGCATTCCTTTCAAAACGTAAGTCAGCTCATGCCACTCCTCACTCCCAACCCTGCACAGGCTCCCAGCTCACTGGGAACCAAACACACAGTCTCTGATCCTCTCTCTCCAGCTACTCTCCACCTGACTGTGCTGCCCACTGTCCCTCCCTCCGTGTGTGCAGCCACCTGCCTCCCAGTGCCCCATGAGCAGACTGTGCCTGTCCCTGCCTGGCGCCTGTACCTGGTGGCCCCTGGCCAGGTGTCTGCCCACGCCCTCACTCCAGGCAGCCGTGGCTGACCATTCCATCTGAAATAACACTTCTTCCCCAGCAGCTTCTCTCTCTCACCTTGCTTTTCAATAGAGCACAAATCATCATTTAACGAATTTTAATCTCATCTTCATGCTTGCTTTTAGTTTCAGTCTATAAACCCTTTGAGTTTTATAAAATGTCATATCCCTAGGACACAGAGTAATGGCAGCACAGAGTAGGTCCTCCATAAATATTTATTAAATGAATAAATATAATATAGTAAACCACACCCGATAGATGCTTCATGGGGCTGTTCTGGAAGGTGGTTAAGGGAAATCCTACCTCTACAGTCTAAACTGTCTACAGTGAGAAGGTTATCGTGGATTGCTTGTGAAATTACTACACATTTTAGAAAAAGGCCACTATAATTCACTGTAACAAGTCCTACAGTGGTACTGCCCTGGGAACTCACAGGAGTCTGCACTGGGGTAACTGGGAACTGCAGGTGGGGCAGAGGAGAGGAGCGCAGAGTGTTCCAGGCAGGAGGACCAGCGGGAACGAAGGGCCAGGGGTGGAGTGAGCTCGCCCACCAGCCCTCCCTAAGGGGATGGAGGCACTGCCAGGCCAACAGTCAGGTTGTGTAGAAACATGTGACTTGCCCTCTATGGCAATGCCACCCAAACCACTGGGCCATGTGGGCACAGGGCGCAGGTGACAACATAGAAGCATAGAAACCCATGCACTCCTTCCCTGCTTCCTTCATTGAGAATGTCTCAATATAAAACAAACACACAGAAATTCTCTCACGGGAATGCACAGCACTCTTGAGTGATGAGGCCAATTTTCATTCTGGCCTGGAGCAGCTCTTCCTCTCACCACAGATGGGAGCAAATGGTCTGTGACCTGGGACTAGGCCTCAGGCTCCCCTGAGCAGCCTCGGAGAGTCCACCTTCAGTCACGGGCTAAGGAGAGTGGCTGTGTGGGTGGTGTTGGGGGGCTGATGGGAAGGAAGCGGTAGAGACTCAGGCTGTGCTGTGTTCAGAGCCACCCAGCTGGGACATACCAAGCCCCACAGTCACTCTGGATTTCTGAAGAAGCTCCCCCATGCCCTCCCTTATCCCCTTTCTCTGCATGCCTTCCTGGTCTGACTTCTTTCTTGCCTCTTCAGGCCTGTGTTGTTTCCTTCCTTCTCACTGTTTCCCCTGGGTCGTGCTCTCGCTGGCCTCCAGATCTCTGTGTCTGCCATATCCTTCATCTGCTTGATCCTGGACAACTTGGAGGACTTGGCTTGGGAAGGCCCAGCACCTCAAGGAAGCCTCGCCTGACCCTCCTCAGGGCTGCCACAGCCCTTGGAGAAACCTTTAGGCATTACTCGGTTTTGTCATTTCCCAGTGATCTGGGAGCCTGAGTGAGGACTTGGATGGAGTCATGTTCAGCTCTAGGTGCCCATGTCTCTGGACACAATTTCTCAGTAAATACTGGGTACATTTTAAAAATTAGATGGAATGTGCTAGAGTCAGTGAGGAAAACAATAAGCAGAATATTCCATCTACTGCCTGGGGAAGTGGAGAGTGCATCTCACCTGCAGGAGGCAACCCCTGCAAGGCCAGGACAGGACAAAGGAAAGGCGCTCTGTGTTGAGGTTGGGATGCCACAGGTAGGGACAGGAAAATCTGGGTCGAAATTCACATCCCACCCTGACCGGAGCTGGGGGTTGAGTGGATCTATTGGAGTGTGAGGGGTGGGATCTGTGGAGCTCAGAAATACCAACATAGAGTCTGAATTTTAGGACGTTCCCTAGCCTCGCCAGGAAGGCAGCTGAACCAAAGAGTCCCCACCCCTGGCTGGGGCGGGAAGCATTAATTGCTTTTGCAAGCTTGAGAAAAATCATACAACTTAATTAAGATTGGCCCATCCTGAGAACATCCATCAGCTGTGGGCGCAGCAGGAATAGGAGGGTGGCTTGGAGTGGGGGAGAGAAAGGAGACCCAGTGGGGAGTGGTTGCTGCAAGGAGACAAGACTCTCCCAGCCCCCCATCAAAGGGTTTGCTGAATGTCCCTGGGGGTCAGACCCCTGGTATCCACCATCAGGGAGAGCAGGGAACAGAGCAGCCTCTTAATTAATCCACAGAGAGAGCTGAGGCCTCGGCCCCACCCTGCGTTTCAATCACTCAATCCTTCTAATTTCCCAGCAATTTAATTAAAGGATCTTCCCCCTTACAATAATGTCTCATTTCCTCAGAGCAGCTTTAAAAGAATTAGAAGCTGCTAAAACTGATTGGATTGTAGCTGTTTCCCTGAGACTTTGGTCTGGAATCTCAGGATATAAAGGTGCTAAGAGGATGAGGCCACATCCCAAAGCCCTTTCCACACAGTAGAAGTTGAGGCCCAGAGCAAAGAGGGGTGCCTCTAGGGTCACATGCAGAACCAGGGGCAGAATAAGATCTTGGTTAACCCCATCCCCTCCCATCTCCCATCCATCATAGCAGAAAGGTCTCTACTCTTCAACCAGTGACCTCAGTTTATTCTTCTTTAAAATGGCATGCCATTTGTAAAAATTAAATTTGATTATGAGTGTAAAAGTGCTTGGTTGGTGGAAATCAAAATATAACACAAATACCCTGGAAATTTCTGTGAGTCTGGCCCTGGAGATCAGAGCATGTAGGACAGGGGTCAGTAAACTATGGCCTGTGGGCCAAACCTGGCTCACCACCTATTTTTATAAATAAAGCTTTATTAAAACGCAACCATACTTATTCATTTGCATACTATCTATGGCTGCTTTCATGTTACAATGGTGCAGCTGAATAGCTGCGGTGGAGACCATATGGCCAACAAAACAAAATATCTACCTGGCTCTACCAAAAACATTTGCTAAACCCTACATGGTTGCAGAAGGCCATGACTCTATCAAGAATCCTCAAAGGATCGAAAAACCAAAACACTGTCTTTGAGCAAACAGAGTAGTATCAGCTATCAAATACTGAGTACATGCTGTGTGCTAAGTATACTAGATGACAAGGTGTAGAATACTGTATCAACTCTACAGATGGTGCAAACATCCCCATTTATAAACGAGCTAACTGAAGCTCAATGAGACTGAGCATTGTCTGAGGCTGCGGAGCCAGCAAGCTGGAGAATGTAGCTTCATTCCATATCCATCACCCCAATCCCAGACTCCTCCATACTGAGTTGACACCTTCCTTCTCCAGGGCTAACACCAACCCACAATGCATGAGAGCTGGGTGGGACCTCGGAGATCCTCCAACCCCAAACCCCTGACTGTATGCCAGGGAAACTGAGGCCCAAACAATGCAAGGTCACTCAGAGAGTCCATGGCAGAGATGGGGAAAGAGACCACAGCTCCTGGCTCCCTAAAAAACGATGTCTTACTCAGGTGAGCACCTGCTCTGGGTCAGGTGAGGTGCTAGGCAGGTAACAGATCTATACAACAGCTGTAAGCATGTTAGTACCTCCATTTTTCAGAAGAAGGCACTGAGGCTCTGAAATCAAAGGCGATGTGTTCCAGAGCACACAGCTAGTAGAGCTGAGGGATGGATGTAGGTTCCTCTGAGTTCAAACTTGTTCTCTTCTCACTGCCCAGGCTGTGAAGTGGGGCCATCCGAGAAGCAGAGAAGGGCCACACTCCTCTGCTCTTCAGGGCAGTCCATGAGTCCCCCACATCCACTTTCTGCTGGCACCCAGCTGGGGTAGGTCGGCTTGGGTGGGGGAGCCCCCGCGGCTGAGGCTGACGTAATCAGCACTCAGGGAACACTGTCATTGCCATCCTTCAATGGAAGGAAGCTGCAGTGCCAACAGCTCAAATGACTTGCCCAAAGCTGCACAACTAATTTAAATTAGAACAAAAATCCTTCACTTGGAGCCCATGAACGCCTTACAACTGTGCTTAAGTTTTGTGTGTGTACACAGTTTTCTGGGGGGTAGGTCTATGGCTTGCATCAGAACCCGCAGAGCTGAGCGGCCCTACAAAGTTAAGAGCTGCTGTTCAGATCCAGGGTTCATGGCAGGCGTGCCCAGCACATTAGCTTCCAACGTCTGTGGGACTCTCCTCCTCCCTGCTCCCCTTAGCCCAGAACATTCTCCCAACCACAGCCTCCTCCAGTCCTCCCTCTCTGACATCTAGGATTTGGTGGAAGGTCTGTGACTGGCACAAGCTTTATCTTTTGAGCCTCTGGAATCCAGGTGTCATGAGGGCAGTGAGTCAGCAATAGCCAGGAAGGAGGCTACTCTCAGAGGGTGAAGCACAAGGGACAAGCCTTCCCGGGACTGCGGCAGGAATCTCAGACCCTTGAAGACACACGCCTCACTAATGGGCCCAAGCAGGAGTGTCTCAGAGAGTCACTTGCTCTGTGCCATCAGGGGATCCCCTTTCCCTCTTGGAGTCTCAGTTTGCTCATCTGTGAAATGAAGCAGCATGACTGTCTCCCTCAGTCCCTCCGGCCCTGGCCTTCTGGTCTTGCTTCGTAGTCTCCGTTCTGCATTCACATCGCTCTTTGACCATCGCTCCTGATCACTGCAAATGGAGAAGTCCCTTCCAGGCTCCCCCAGCCTCTGGGGCTCCTGCAAGGGAACTCACCCTCCAGGTTGTTCTGCCACTCATGCATCCAACATGGTTATTATAGAAAACAAATGATGACAATACTCACAAGGACTGTAAGTTAACCCTCCTTGGATGCCTGCACATGCTGGAAAATTGACATGCATCATCTTATCGAAGCCTCACAGCAATTTGATGAGGAAAGCGCTACTGTGATCCCCATTTTAGAAATGGAAAAACTGAGGCTCAGAGAGAACATGCGATGTTCCCAGCTCTTACGGGGTGAACCGATGACTCCAACCTGGGATTCTGACCTCAGACACGGCCACGATTCAGTCGCTCACGACATAGCTACACTTCTTTTTTTTTTTTTTTTTTTTTTTTTTTTTTGAGACAGAGTCTCGCTGTGTTGCCCAGGCTGGAGTGCAGTGGCGCAATATCTCGGATCACTGCAACCTCCGCCTCCCTGGTTCAAGTGATTCTCCTGCCTCAGCCTCCTGAGTAGCTGGGATTACAGGTGCGTGCCACCATACCTGGCTAATTTTTGTATTTTTAATAGAGACAAGGTTTCATCATGTTGGTCAGGCTGGTCTCGAACTCTTGACCTTGGTTACTATAGAATACAAATGATGATAATACTCACAAGGACTGTAAGAATTAACTTCATTAACTGTTGTCACTGATGATTTTCCCCTTGTTCTTCAGTTCCATCTTTCAAGGCTGAAGAAAAAAGAGCATTTGATTCCAAATCCATCTCCCCACTCCACCCCTTTTAAAATTCAAAATGAACTTTCCATCCTATCCTCTGAGGGCCGCCTCGGCCTCCCAAAGTGCTGGGATTATCCACACTTCTTCTTTACAGAGTGCCAGCTGATAGGCTTCTAGATATGCCTGGACTGGGTGGACTCTATTAGTTATTACAGTCAATAATGCTATAACTATGACCTACGCAGGACAGAAGCTGGGTGAGCACCCTTCCCCCAGGCCCTGCAGAATCTGTCTCTTGAGGCCAACTGCCCTCTAGGTATCTGCATGTGACCTAAGTGTTCACTGCAGGCAGTTCTGTCCCTTGCAGCTCCTTTATCAGTTTCACCTGGCCCATGACAATCCCCTGGGGCCAGGGCTGATGTCTGGGGCATCTCTCTATGACCCATAGGTCTGATTCTGGATGCTCAGGAAAGAGATGCAGAATGGAGGAGGGGAGGCAGCTGGGGACCCTCTCTCCAGCTTGGTTCCCCCGCCGCCTCTGGCCTGACACAACCTTCTTCTGTCTACACAGACCTTTCTTCTCCCTTTTGTCTGCTTTGTGATAGTTAATAAACCAAACCATCACTGCCTTCTTAGCCTGCAGGAAGTATAACAACTGTTATCTACCACAAACCACCGAAGCCTTAAATTGCAGCAGGAATGGTGACAGTGATAGATTAGAATTTTAAAAATCAAACCCAAACATGTCTCCATCATGGCTAACAGAAGGGCTGAGCTGACTTGAAAATGATGTACTTAGAAAATGTTGTGATGCATGGTAAATTAAGTCTCCCCCTCAGCACTTTTTCCCTTTCCTCCAGCAGAGTATTAGTCTAGTTAATTGATTCCCAAAGATTTCCCACTATGACCTAAAAGTATTCCCACTGTGGGTAGACTGATGGAATCCTGGATTTCATCCAAGGGCAGGATGGACAGTTCATTTTGAATTTTAAAAGGGGTGGAGAGGGGAGATGGATTTGGAATCAAATGGTCTTTTTTCTCCAGCCTTGAAAGATGGAACTGAAGAACAAGGGGAAAATCATCAGTGACCACAGTTAATGAATTTTAAATACTTATTACAAGAAAAATTAATTTGTCAAATTAGCCCCATAGATACAGGTTATACAATGAGTCACTCTCTCCTCAAAAATGCAAAACTCAGAGCAACTAACGCATCTCAAACTTGCTGTTGCACAGCCAGGTCGCAAGGTCACGTTCATGTCTGAGCGCTATTAGGTGGGGCAGGAGCCTCTCCTCCACCCCAGAGACTGTGCTGAGCACATCACAAACATTATCCCAGTAATTCTAACACTACGGTTGTTTGATAAACTTGTACATCTATGCACTGGATGATAACACCCACCCCTCCCAATGCTGTCCTGAGAAGCAAATACTCAAGGAACAGAAAGTTTTTTGCAAGTCCCTGATGCACAAGGAGCGTTCGTGCCTCTCAGCAATTGTTACCTTATCACCCCCATTGCTGATGGGGGAGAGGTGGCCCAGCCTGCCCAAACTGACACACCTGCTAAGAATGAGGCTGGGCCAGGTTTGTCTTGCCTGCGCTTCAGCTCTTTAATTCAAAGACTGCCCTTCTCCCCTTCCTCAGTAGATGAGAGTATGGGGGGCAGCTCACACGACAGAGGCAAAGCCCATCCACGTGCGAGGTGGGTGTCATCTGTGAAGATGCATCTGTGGGAAGTGCCAGGGCTCTTCCCAGGGCTAGGCCAGCTGTATGCTGCCTCGGCCTCCTCCCCAGCCCAAGCATTACAGAGCACTCCAGGCTGGGCCCCAGCTCCTGCCTCCACCCTGTCTCTGACCTTGGACCAGCCCTGGGTCTCTTGTCCTTGCAATGACTTCTGCTCACACTTGGCCACGTGGCCCTGGACTTCAGCTCCCTGTAGCCACCCTGGCACCTCGCCTCTGTCCTCCATGTCCTGGGCCTGCACTGTCTACCTGGTGTCAGGGCTGACAGGGAGACAGGATGGCACAGGGAGGGCAAAAAGTACCTGGGGGAACAAGAACTTCATACCTGCGTTCAAGTCCCAGACACATCCCTTTCTAGCCTCAAGTGTCCCCCAAAACAGGTTACTTACTGAGCCACCATCTTCTCAGCTGTAAAAGCAAGAAAAGAGTTAGCAGAAGGCACGTTGGTTATGAGTGCAGATATTGCTTGGGCTCAATTCCTGGTTCTGCCACTTCCTGTGTGACCTCAAGCAAGTTACTTAACCTCCCCATGCTAACAGTTCCCATCAATAAAATTCTAACAAGAGCACCAAACTCACTGGGTTGCTGTGATGAGAACACCCATACTCCCGACATAGAGTAAGCTCTATAGAAGTGCCAGTCTTCAGTCTTAGGAAGACACAGGTGGACAGGAAGTCTGAATAGGAAGATGCCCATGAAAGGGCCTCGTATGGTATCTGGCACACAGCAGGTACTTTACACACATTCTAAAACAGGGAGGTAGAGAATTCAGCCTTTTAGCACAAGCTTTTACCTTGCCTGACACAAAAAACACCTGGAGTCAAAAAGCACCCGAAAACAACAGCCAAGGGGGTCGGGAGCAGTGAGAAGCTCCATCTCACAGTCACATGAACGGACCACTGGCTTTGAAAGCTTCCCCTCTGAGCCCAGCATCAGCTCCCCAGGAAAGAACCACGGAGAACCAGGCCTCCTGCCTGCCCCACCCACACACCTACCAGGCCTGGTCAGCCAGGACCACAGGCAATGCTTCACCTCAGCTTCCTGCATTTCCTCGTAATCCAAGAGGACAGGAAGGGAAGGGAAGTACACAGGGTCTGTGTGTCCAGGCAGGGCAGGCTCCGCATTCAGGCTGCGCAGAGCACAGAGCACACCCCAGGAGTCCTCCCAGGCCACCTTCACGGCCTCCCCCCCCCACTACCTTATGCCCTTGAGGGAGGAGTGTGAGGGATACTCATGTTTAAGACCCCCATGCCAGGAATACAAGCAATCTGTGATATTTCCAGAGTGTGGGCCAGGACACTGCTAACAGCTTCAGGGGCTTCACTCATTTAATCCTTTTAATCATCAGGAGTCAGCGATTATCCTCGGACCCATTTCAGACATGGGTAAACTAAGGCTAAGAGGTCTGGTGGCATGGCAAGGTCACGTGGATAAGTGACAGAGCAGGGTTTGAGCCCAGGTCCTCTGCCTGTGAGCTGGGCACTCACCTATCTCAACACAGACCACACCGATGCATGGGCAAGATGTCTCATTCTGGAGAACCACCCTGACCTCCTCACCCTTCCCCTCCTCTATCAAATGCCACTGCCTGCCCCACAGCTTACAGAGTAAAATCCACATCCATCATTTCACATCCCTGCTCTTCTAGGATCTGGCTTCTGCTGATTTTTCTGCCCTTCCCTTTAGAGTTGCTCCCAGCCAAACACAAATTCTCATGGCTCAAGTCCATCTCCCACACTGCCCACCCCAGGGGGCGCTGTGACTCTTCTTTGGAATTCCTTTCCCACTCCCTCCCACCCCAATCCCTGGAGGTGCAAAGCCCATCTAGGTTCCCAGGCCCTATCACAGGTCACCTCCACCGTGAAGCTTTCCCTAACTCATCCCAAGTCAGCAGTGTTCTCCCTCTTCCTTGCTTAAGGCAAGGAGTCACTTTTCTACTTGAATCAGAGAAGCAGCTTTTAAGCTTCTCCCAGGAGGTGCCCTCAGGCCCTGCTGGGGTGAGGTGAGAGGGCTGGTAACAGGGAGGGCCAAGTGAACTCTGCCCTCTTCAACAGGGTGGCTACTCTTTTATTTGCTTCTAAACCTGCATCAGATTTCATTGCAAGAAAGGGTTCTCGGAGGAAACAAACCTTGACCTCAGGGTGTCAGATGTGAAGATGTCAAGACACCCCAGGGCCAGGCTGGGTGTATCAGGACTCAAGTCAATGCCCCCACAATGCTGTGCACAGAGCAGGAGTTCCAAACATATGGCATCTATGTTGAGCACCCAGACTAGAAACCTTGGTCACATAGTCCTGTGTTATGACACCTCTGATGGTCATTGCATTGTTCCTCCCAAATACACAGTGGACAAGAGGGCACTGCCACTTCTTGGCTGGCAGCAAATCAAATGCTGGGTGCCAGGAAATGGAAGGTGAGATCATTAACGTCAAAAGGTTTCCAAAGCAAACCTAAATGCAGAGGAAAGAGCACCATCTGCATTTTAAGGGCCTGGGTTTGGATGGGGTCCTTCTGGGTGGGCCCCAAATCCAAGATTTCAACTTGGGAAGGGGAAATGTAAGCCATCCCGCCTGAAGAACCAAAGCATTCAGACAGGAACTGTTTTTATTCCAACCACCTCACCTCCTTAGAATGGGAGGCGAACAGTGAAATAGTGCATTTATCTTAAAAGTGAAATAATTCCAGGATGGTAGGGCGAGACCCTGTGATGGGTGAATTTACCTCACTTGATACCAAGGGCCCTTAATACTCGGGGAAGTGGGACTTTGTCGACAAAGCCAGGACAATCCCCCTACCCCCACCCCACCCAGCAGTGATTAAAAACCCGTACGGTCACTTTCTATGTGATGGCTGTCTCCCTCTCACCAGACTGCATAGCGGTTGCAGATGAACATTTGGCACCTAGATGGGGGTCAAGGAGCTGGGGCTGTGATTCAGGGAAGATGCTGAGGGGGACTGGGAGTCTCTGTTTGAATCTTGAAGCAAGGGGTGAAGGTGTGGGGTGTGTGTAGGGGAGCTGACACTGAAGTCTTTCAGGAAGCAGATGGTAAGGGTCAGGGGGTGTGTGTCTATGCTGGGGTGAGGGTCCTGTGGTATTGCTGGTGATGCTGACTGCCTTGCCCACCCCAAGTTGGACTAGGAGAGTCCTATCAGGCTGCTGGGCAGGGAGGGCAAAGGAGAGCACCATTCTGCGGGTAGGGCAGGAAGGGTGGCCTCCCCACCCTGGGTGCCTGCAGAGCCTGGCAGCCCCGCCCTGTGGCCATCCGATGCCACATGTCCTCTAGAGTTCCTGGGCCGGCTGCTCCACAGCCTGCTCCTCCACAGGCTGCATGGCCTCCTGCACGTAGACGATGAACTCCGAGGCCTCCCCGCCCTGCGTGTAGACAGTCACCGTCTCAATGCCCTCCACGTCGTCGGAGGACACCACCAGGTGGTGCTGCTCGGCAAGCTCCACGGACGCTTGCTGGACCGTCTCCTGGATCATGACCGTGTGGTTGGAGCTGGGCTCCTCCTCGGTGACCTGCGGGAGGAGGGCAAGAGAAAGGTCACCCAGCGCCTACTTCCCGGTCCAGCGTAACAACAAAGTCACAACTACAGTTTAGGAGGCACCAGTGCGCTGCGGGAGCACGTCCATTCTCCACGGATCCTCTCTACCAGGCTGTGCTTGCTCTCATGCCCATTTTACAGCTGAACAGAATGAGGTTCAGCAATGTAGGGCAACGTGGTCAGGGTCCCCAGCCGTGGCAAATGGTGGAACCTAAGTTCAAACCCAGAGTCCGAGGTTGTTTCTGATGCCGAGCTGCTTCCCGGGGCTTCCAGGAGGTGTGGGGTTACCTAGAGAATGAGGGCTGGAAGGCATGGTGGGGGTTAGTTACTGCAGGTGTCAGTGGTAGGGGTTGGCGGTGCTCCTGGAAATTTATAGCTGGTCCATCTGGCAGTGATAAAGGCACTACGTCTATCCTGGGCTCTCTGTGTTTCCACACTCAGGGAGCTTGCCTCTGTGTGAAGATCTGTATCACACTAGGAAGGAGCAGACGCCTGGCAGGCCTGATTTTCCCCAGGTGTCGTCCGTCCAGCAACACTAATGCCTTAACTATTTGGGGGAAGGCCTGCTGGTGGAAACTCACTGCCACAGGGCTGGACAGGAGAGCCTTCTGGGTATCCGTCAGGGGATGGGACCTCATGGATTCTATGGCCAGGCCTTTCTCTGAAGCTCCAAGCTGCCAGATTCCAGGCAAGACCAAATGCCAGCTGGTGCTAATATCCCACATCCCTCATGCTGCCAGCTCTGGGCTGTTTTTAAATAACAACTGTCTTTGATCTTGAGATGAGAAACAAAAGACATGGAGTTGAGACCTTAGAGCTGCAAAAATGAGTGAAGGATTAGAAAACAGGCACAAGAGGAAAGCAAAGGGGCCTGGAATTATCTAGCTGGAGGATAAGAGAGTCTTCAGACTTACAGAGGGGTGTCAGGGACACCCATTCATTTCCAGGTGAGTCTGAATGGCAAGGTGGGGAGAGCACGTGCTTTGTCCTGCACTGACCGGGCTTTGAGCATCAATTCCACCATTTATAAGCTACGAGGCCTGGGCAAGACACTTTTGCCCACAACCTTCAGTCTATTCATCTGTAAAACAGGGACTAAAATGTGTTCTTCAGAGGATTCGTGGGAGAATGGAAGGAGATTCTATATGCAAAGTGGGTGCTCAATAACAGTACTGACCTTTTAATCCCTTCATTCAACCACACTTTTTTTTTTTTTTTTTTTTGGAGACAAGGTCTGACTCTGTTGCCCAAGCTGGAGTGCAGTGGTGCCATCTCAGCTCACTGCAACCCTGCAACCTCTGACTCCTGGGCTCAAGCCATCCTCCTGCCTCAGCCTCCCAAGTAGCTGGTACTATAGGTATGTGCCACCACACCCAATGAATTTTTGTATTTTTGGTAGAGACAGGGTTTCTCCACATTGCACAAGCTGGTCTCGAACTCCTGAGCTCAAGTGATCCACCCACCTTGGCCTCCCAAAGTGCCGGGATTACAGGCATAAGCCACTACACCCGGCCTCAACCACACTTTCTTAAATACCTGCTGCTGCCTGGAAAGTATTCTAGCATGTCAATCACTCATTCTTTCACTCTACAGAACTTTTGTCATCTTACCAGCTACCAGTAGACTGCAAGCTCCACAAGGGCAGGACCATGTCTGCCTGGTCACAACTGTTTCCCCAGAGCCAAGCTGAATGCCTGGCACACAGCATGTGCTCAATATTTACTGACTGATGATCCACTAGGTGTCAGATGCCACGCTGTGCACTAGAAAACCACAGTCCTCTGAGGAAGCCGAGTCTCATGTTGCAGGCACAGGGCACAGTGAATGACTGTGCTGTGGAGTAGCTGGGCTCTTGCAGGGGCAGCCTATGCCAGTTGGGGTCCCAGGAGAGGCATAGAGATGGGCATAGGGACTGGGGAGCCATGACTCCCAGGAGGTGTAGGGAGCAGCAAGTGTGTTCGGGCAGCCTCCATGAGGTCCCACTCACGACATGTCCGGGTCCTTTCCTGGCCTGCAAATTGGCATTGGGTGGCCTTCTACTCCCCACCTCTTCTGACTCTGCACTCTCTCTGGGGACGGCCCAACTGGCTTGGAGGGTCTCATCCTGACCCTGTGATTATTCCAGTCTCCATGAGTGAGAAGGGCTGTGTCAAAAGGTGGGTCATGTTTAATTCAGAGAGAAAAATGGAAAAGGTTCCTCTGGGGTGAGCTCCGGAGGTTCCAAAATTATGGATTGGAAGGAACTTTTGATTTGGACTGATAGAATTCACCCGGAGCTGGAGAGCTATTCTGAGTGGAAACTATCAATACATTTAGACTGATTTGTTTTTTTAGAGTGAACTGAGATCTGTTTTTTCATCTTTTCCTATTTGTTTCAATTTCATTTAACTGGGAAAATGTACCATGAACCAGGATTTTAGAAGTAAATATTAATTTATTTCACTTTGCAAGAGAGAACCTGACAGAAGACTGGGAAAGGGAAGGCAACATGCAGCTAATCTTTTCTCCTCTTACCTGTCAGTAAATGCCACACAAAGGAAAGGGTGAGGGGATGGGGATGGTTTACTCCCAGGTCCCCAGGGCTTCACATGTGCAAACAAGCCCTCCACACTTCAGGTAAACAGACCACACACAATACAGGGAGACAAACCCATCCATGAGCTTTAACACAGGCTCTGGGTCATGGCACCATTCTGTGGACATAGTGACTGCCACCGAAGCGAACCCTAAAGAGGACAGTGACTCCTTCACTGATGGAAATTTTCCACTGGCTAAAAACTCCCACCCTTTAAAAACACTAACACCACAATGCCCAAGTATGGACAGTGGCTGAAATCACTGCCAAGGACAAGGAGAACCACGCCAGGACCAGGCCTTTTAGGGGCAGCGGCTGCAGCCTCCTGTCCCCTGGCAGCACAGGGGACAGACTCCAAGTTCTCAGAACCAGCCAGGAGGAAGCAGGAGTCCCTCGCTGGCCTGGAAATGGCTGCTGCCCATAGACGCCGCAGAGGAGGCCAGCGTGCCTGACCTGAAGGTAAACGATGTGTTAGTAACTCTGCAGCAGCAGCGCCTGGGACCACTTCTTGGAAGGTGGCATTGGCCACAGAGGGTCTGTGGTGGGAAAGGACATCACAGGCGAGAGAAGAGAGTGAGCAAAGAACAGGCGTGTGCCCTACAGCCCGACCAAGGCCACCGGCCACCTCCCAGTCACCAAACCCACTGGGCAGAGTCCCATTTTCACTCTTCCAGAGCGTTCTCTACCATCCGGCATGAGACGCTCTTCACTGCTTTCACCACTCTCCTCCCCAGCACTGGGCTCTGTTCCGCGCCCTCTCCCAGACTGCAGGGTGGCTCACTGCTCTTCTCCTTCTGCCCATCACTAAGCCTGGAGGATTCCTGGGTCTCCCACCTTGACTTCTTCTCTGACCCCCCGGGCACTTTTACTCCCGGCTGAGCCAGACTCCAGCCACCACTCCTGAGCTCCAGATCATACCTCCGTCTGCAAGTGGGAGGCGTTTAGGGATGTCTGTCAAACAGTGCATGAACAGGGCTGTGCAAAAGTCACAGGAGAGAAGGCATTTGGGGCAGAAGCAGCAGATGAGGCCTGAAACGAAGTTCGCAGGCGGATCTTGAAAAGCCTTGGTCATCAGCTGACAGATTGAGCCTTTATTTTACAAAGGAAGGCACAAAAGGTTTTCAAAGAAAGGCCCTGCGTCATCCAATCTGTGACATTTATGAATCAAAACTTGCCCAACATGAGAAGCCCTCCTGAGAAGTATGCCTCTCTCATTAGTCCTCTAAATATTTATTTATTTGCCCACAGTATCTTTTCTAAGTATTAAATCTATTTAAAGATAACCTTTCTCCATTTATTTTGTTTTGCTTTTTCAATTTTTAGCCTCCAGGGTTTGTCCAACAGAATCCCCATGAAATTCATCCACTGCTAATTATCAGAGTACAAAAAAGTTTTCCAATGTCATTCTTTGGGCTTAATTCACCAGAAAAAGCGATGGAGGCAATGGTGATGTGTATTTCCCAAGTCCTGCGAAGAGCAGGCTTCCTGGTGTGCACAAATGTGACAGGGAGGCACGCTGTTGCCCTGTCGTGTTACTGAGCGTCCAAGACACGCAGGGTTCCTGAAGGTCCCCTGCAGCCTCCTGTTGGGCCTCCTTTACACTCTCCCCAGTGTTCACAAGTGGCTCTGCTGGCCCTGCAGACGCTGCCCACACAGATGTCCACGTCACAAAAAGCTAACGTGTAGAGAGGACGAAGGAGGGAGAGTGGGTTGCTTTACAGAAGGGGTTCATAGGGCTTTCTGCAGAGTGCACCCCCTTTGTGCATTTCATGGTATATGATCACACTCTGTTTGCTTTTATGCAGTTTTTACAAACCATGCACCTCCTTCCTTGCTCCCACGGCACCCAATATCCACCCAGCCATTTGCAGTTTACTGAACATTCTCCCATGCCTTGTCCTGATTCTTTACACACAATGTCTTATGCCTTGGGCATTTGTGTTCCCATTTTACAAATGGGGACACTGAAGCTCCTCCTGGCCTCGTGACTTATGTAAGGTCAAAAAGCCAGAAAGTAGCAAAAGCTGGAACTTAGTCTGGGTGGTTCAGAGACCTCCTTCAGCTGGTGTAGTGTGACAGCCACTATCAGGATCCCATGTTATGGGTTGATATGATTAAATTATCACTCTTTACTCCTCCTGATTAGTCTCAGGCTGGCTGTAGAACTCTCAACCACTCTCTTTGTTCAAAATAATCACTCTAGTCGCTTAATCTATTAGCACAGGCTTAAAATTGTTCTTCACCACAGAAATAATATGGCGCTCACAGTGTCATTATCCCCTGAGATGAGTACTCCATTTTCCCCAAATGCCGTATCTAACACATCTATCAGAGAAATTAGCAGCAGCATAGATAGCTCGATAGAAACCCTTAACCCCTGGGACGCAGAAATCATTCACTGAATCAGGCACCGTGTTCTGCTGTTCCGCTGTCTCCAGTGTTCTGGAGTCTGGACAAGATCACTGTCAGGACCGGCACTTTGCTGGGCTCTCTTCGTGCTAAAAGGCAGCTTCCCCTTGAGACCCCATGTCTTCCTTGGCTTTAACCCATCGTCATCCATTCATCCAGCAAACGCTGATGGATCCTCTGCGGTGCGCCAGGCAGTGGCTACGGCTCTGGCTGCCTCATTGTCTCACTTTCTTCCTACTCCCCTGCCTGTTCTGCCTTCTCCTTCTCCTCTAGCTCCTCTCCTCACTTCCTTCGTAAAACCCATTCCTCTCAGGTTAAGCTTTCTTCCCCCAACATTTAAGAAAATCCCAGAAGTTCCTCTAGCTCAGGACACCCTCCTTAAGGAAGGTGGGTCCTGCATTGCTCCCACAGGGCTCCAAGGGTGCCCCGAGGAGCCAGTGCACAAAGGCTATTACAATCCACCTCTGCACAGATCTCCCCAGAAGCAAGCACAGCACCGGCTCCTCTGTGCCCAGTCCAGTGCCACGCTCTTGGTAGGCACATAGTAGGTGATGGTGATTTAGGCTGGTGCAAAAGTAACTGCAGTTTTTGTACCAACCTATAGCTGTAGAACTGCCCACATGTAGAACCTGTAAGTGATGATAAAGAGAACCATCTGGAGCAGCCATGGACTCCAGGGCCAGCTGCTGCCTGCCCTTGGTTCAAACTCTGTCTGGCAGGAGCCCCCCAGATGATCTGAAAGTAGGGAAGACGGTGCATTGTCTATGGAGGAGAGTCCCTTTTGGCTCCAAAAGTCCCAAAGGTCCAATCACCTTATTCTATGGAAGGGAAGTCAAGGCTCAGAGAAAATAAACTACCCAGGGCCACACTGCTGGAAATAGAGCACAGATTTTTTGACTTCTAGTCTGCAAAATTCCCCAGTCTGCATGAGGCAACTTCACACCAAGCCACACAGCACTTTGGTTACTGGGAGAACAGAGCCAGAATGTCTAGCATGGCACCTGGGCAGGGGCGAACGCCAAGTAGATTTTCCCCGGAATAACAATATTATTTATAATAGTTGTAGTGATTATTATTATTTTGAGACAAGGTCTCACCCTGTCACCCAGGCTGGAGTACAGTGATGCAATCACAGCTCACTGCAGCCTCAAACTCCTGGACTCAAGAGTTCCTCCCGCCTCAGCTTCCAGAGTAGCTGGGACCATCCTTGGATGAACAAAGAAAGCAGTAAACACACAATGATGATGATGATGGAGACATCATCATCAGGACAGATCTAGGGCTCTGAGATTACAATCTGGAATGATAAGAAGTGCTTGTTGTGGGTCAGGTGCTGTGTGAAGAGTCTACGTGTATTAGGTACTTAGTCTTCACGGCACCCTAAGAAGTCTTAGTGTCCTAGCTTTAGAGAAGAGGCAGACTCAGGGGAGGATGACAAGCTGCCCTGGGGGGCTCTGCCCACCCACTGGGTCCTGGGGAGTTATGTAGTTGCTTTCCCCCTGCTCCGCCTGGCCTCTGAGCCTGATGGTCCCAGCAGCCAGGCCACTGTGCACAGCTGTGGGCTTGGCCAAGCAGGAGGCTGCAGTGTCAGGGTCCACACAATCTTCTTGATTTTCCCATTGGCCTCCTGCATTTGACCCCAGCACAGTCTTTTTTCATTCCTCTCTTTCCTCTCTAATGAGAAGACACTGATGGACTCCTCTGTCAAAGTACCCTCTGCCTGGGAAACATGTTCTCAAAAATGCCCGGAGGCTGGCTGAAGCAGGAAAGACAACCCCTCCTCATCTGACACACGTTTTCTGGAATCCTTGACACTGATGGGGAGGTGTCTTGCCAAACAGGAAGACTGTGGGGAAGGCAGTGGCCCGTGGGGACACTTGACCTTAGTGTATAACCTGGCCCACAGCCTCTGAAACCCAACTCCCTAACATAGGTCTTTCTGTGTCAGAGGCTGCACCAACACCCCTCCCCAGGACATTGAAACAGCCCCAGGACACATTCAAGGACATCAAAATATGACAAAGACTCATTAAGAGGAGAGAGCTGAATCTTATGGCTGAATCCCACAGAGGTAGCAACAAGAAAGGGAAAATGTTCTTACTAGCTGGGTATTTAAAGTAACAATTGTTTAAACTGCTGCTGGAATACGATAAACACCACAAATTCGCATCACAGCTTTCAAAACAGGGTGCGAAGAACCTCCTGGTGCCCGAGTTCCCCACATGCCTGTGCAGAGGGCTGGGGCCGCCTTCCTGTTCAGTCCTGACAGGGGATTGGAATTTCCAGGGTTTCATCAGACCACGCAGAACCTACCAAATTATTTGAACTTAGCTCTCAACACATAAATAAGTGATGAATAAAGGAATTTAAAATAAAACCCGTTGGCCCTAAAATGAAAAACCAGAATGACAGTGGGATGGCATCAGTTAACCCCTTACTGGGTTTGCATCCCTTTGAAACAAAGCTGCCGCCAACGCAGCTGCCTTTAGATGCTGCCCACATTCCCAGTGCCCTCCCGCAAGCCTGTGCCCTCCGTCAGGCACTGGGAGGAAGATGAACTGCCTTCACTTCGGGAATTCCAGCTGGGTGGTCTCTTTAGGACAGGAATCATCCTTTATGTTTTTCAGGGGAAAGAAACTCCACCGACACCTCTGTCACCGTCGCCACCACCACCAAGAGGTCATTTCGCTTCAGGCATCCTTCATGTTTCAAATCCATTTTTAAATAAATTGAATCAGGTTCCTATTTATTAAACCATGTCTTGGAGAACAGCCCTCTCGTAGATGTCATTAATGTCCTTGAAAGGGAAGGCACCCGGGGTTGTGGCTCAGGAAATGAACAGAGAAGCCACTCTTTCTTCTCCTCTTGTTGGCACTCCTGTTGTTCTCAGGATCAGTTCTCAGAACCTGCTGGGAGGCAGCCCCAGATCCAGATCCAGCCTTCCGTGTTTCAGGGGAGGAGGACGGAATGCAGAAAGCCACCAGGAGAACAGAGCCACTGTCAAGATCATCACCACAGAGAATGTAGTGAGCACCACGATGAGCAGGACTTGATGAGATCAGGCATGGGAGAGGCAATGATGCAAAGACAGGAGCCAATCGAAGGCTAGATGCAGGCAGTGTGCATAGGGGTGAGGGGCGTGTGTGAGGGTTTGCTATGTACACGTGCATGCCTGTGTGCAGGAACATGGGTGTGCATGTGTGTATATGTGTGTTCATGTGTATATCTGTATGTACAGGTGTGTGTCCATGTGTGTATATGTACATATGCATGTATATGGGTCTGTATGTGTCCATATATTTGCATATGTCTACGTGGATATCCATGCTTATGTGGAGGTTTATGGGTGTGTGTGTACATGAATATTGTGCACATACATGGATGTGATATGTGTGTATACATGTACGCAGGTATGGGCATGGCTTTGTGTCCATTGCTACACTTGTGTATCTCCATCTTTAAATCTCAACAAAGGCCTGCAGGTAAAAGACATCTCTCCTGGCTCATGCTTCCTTTCCTTCTTTCTCTTCTGTAGCCTGTGACACTACTTGCCCCCTGGTTTACAGTCACTTCTCATAATGACCTGAAAAGGTAGGCCCCTCCCAGTTTACAGAGTGTTTGTGGATGCTATACCTCCTGTAATTCTCATGGGGCCCTGTGAGGAAGGCAGGGTGAGGGGATTCCCATCGCATCCCTTTGAGAAGGGGTGGCTCAGAGAGTCGATGTGAGCCCTCAGCTAGTAACAGGTGATTCTGGAATTTGAAGCCAAGTGAAAAACCTCCAAAGCCCACAGCCTTCTCTATAATATTCACGGCTTCCTGTAACCTTCAAAAGAAAAGCCAAGCTCCCCTGTTGGACAGGCAAGGCCCTCCCTGCCTCACTCCTTCCCCCACACTCAATTTTGGTTCCTGAACACACATGCCCTCTCGCCTCTGAACTTCCAGCTGTGCTGGTCCACCATCTTTTCCCAAAGATCCCTTCTTGCCCTTGAGAACTCACGTCCATGCCCTCTCCTCCAGGAAGCTCCGTCAGTGCCCCCTACAACGCTGTGCTGACTCCTGTTAAACACCAGCAGCACTGGATCCCAGCTAGCACTTCATGCCGCTCTGAGGAGGTGCAACCTGTGTCATGCTCTCCCTCGCCTTCCTGGCACAAAGGTGAACAGTGAATGCTGCTTCTCGAATGAATCACTGGGATAAAGAGTGCAGAGTGGAAGTCTTGCTCAAATCACCACCAGATGAGGCACAGCTGAAGAGGAGGGAAGACGCCCCACCAGGACTTGACCTCCGTACTGAGCAACCACAGGAATAAGAGAGAGTTAGAGAGCGAATGAATGCAGCAAGCCCCAAGTAGGGTAGCTCAGGCACTGCGGTTCCAGGGGGACGTCTAGGGAAGAGTGGAGGTCTGACTTCAGGAGGCACCTCACGGCCCAGATGCTACTCAGTGGGGCCTTCATACAGGTAAACGGCACCCCCATGCTGGGCATTCGGCGGCCCTTTGCTAATGAAGTTGGCAGATAGGCAGGTTGGTGCAAGTTTGCTGGGGCTGGAAGTGACTGAGAAAGCAGAAGATGGATAGAAAACAAGGCTAACATGGGGAACAGGTGTGAAAGGCCAGTGCTTGTGCTGAGCTGCTAGACTGGAAAGCTGTCACTCTCCTTGGGTGGAGTTAGGAACGTGAAGTTACATAACATCAGCACCTGATTTGCAAGACAAATCGAGGTGGCCTCTGTGTTTAGACACCGCTAAGAGATGGGCCATTTGTTGAATAAGCCATCTCTGAAAGCCACCCACTCTCTGCTTTGGAGTGTCACATCTCTCATGTGTTCAATTCCCACATATACTTCAGACAACTTCTAGGCCCTCTCTTCTGTCCACTGAGAATTTAGCATGTGTCAGATGCTCTGGTGGAGGCTAGAAACAGAACCATGAGGCCAGATGCAGTCCCTGCCACCAACAGGCTGCAGTTCAGGGAAGAAAAGGACAGGGGGCTTGTCCTGGGTTGTCAGGGTCGGGGGAAGGTGGGGTGGGAAGCAGCTGGTGGCCAGGGATGCTTTCCTGAAGATGATGACACTGGTCTGTAACACTGTGGGATTCCTACGAGTCTGAAGAATGGGAGGAGGTGTAAAGAGATGGGGAAAAGCACCGGGCAGAGCAAAGGGTGTAGCAACAGCCCAAGGGCTGGACAGATGCAATGAGATTCAGTATATCCAGAGCACAGAACAAGATGCAATGAGATTCAGTAGAGCCAGAGCACAGAACAAGTGGGGGGTGGGGGTGGGGAAGAGATGAAACAAAGAGGAAAAAAAAAAAAAGACTAGAGAGACCATCAGGAACCAGATCATGAAGGATCTTATAGGAATTTTAGTTTTACTCTAAAATTAATGGGTGCCTCTCTATTAGACAGCAGAGACCTGATCAGACCCCCAAGCTCACTCCCCTGAGGTGTAGGAGGGGACTATGGGGAAGAGGAGGCAGAAAGCCTCCAGGTAGGGAGGCCAGGGACAGTCTGGTATCCCGTGAAGAGGATGGGCCTGAACACAGCAAGAGGGTGCAGTGATGGGGGCCAGCAGAGGAGCCTCTATGGTCTATCTGAGCCCTGCCCATTCCCCCTCAACCCATTCTAGGAGGCTCTTAGGCCCAGTGCTCCCCAGGCCTGCTCTCTTCCAGAGTGCAGTGACTGCCACCCTGGCCAGTCCGACCCTCACAGCTCAGTCTGCACCTTGCTCGGCCTCTGCAGCCTCCAGCCCTCCCTTGCTCCTCTCCTGGGCCATTTTCTTCACTTGCCCCACAGCACAGCTCCCTCCTCAGCGTCCTCCGTCCTCTCTGGCTGTTCTCTCTCCATCTCTGCCGCATCTGTCTCCGCTTCTGGACCTCTAAGTGGCATAGGGCCCCAGCGTTCAGCCCCAGGAGGGCTCTTCTCTCTCCACATCCCCTCCTTCCATCATCTCCGCCAGGCTCATGGCTTCAAATATTGTCTTCAGGCTGACAACTCCCAAATGTATGTCTAGACCAAACCCTTCCCCTGAAATTTAAATGTGTGTAGCATATTTCCTACTAGACATATCCATGTGGGTGTCAAATAGTCATTTCCAAGTTAACAAAGCCAAAATGGAACTAGTCACTTCCTGCCCACCCAACCTGCTCCTCCCTCCTGTCCTCTTCTCGGTAGAAGGCACCACCATCCACCCTCTTCTCAAAGCAAAAGGCTTAGGCATCAGCCCAGATTCTGCTCTTACACACACTCCACGTCCAAAGCATTGCGGGATCTGTCAGCTCCACTGTGAAATGCAGACCAGAGCGCCCCAGTCCTCCCCTCCCCAGAGGGCTACCCCGGCCAGGCCACGCTATTTCTCACTCTAGGTGTGACCACAAGAGCCCTTAAGCGACTTCTTAGTTATGTGGAACAGCATAGAAGTCTGTGCCTCAGTTTACCACCTAATGCCACAAACATAGATGGGAGACACAGAATCTGAGAGTAGAACATGTTAAAGAGATCCAGGGGTTTGAGGTGACACCAAGATCAAGGTGAGTGAATGGTGAGCGTGGTCACTGTAAAGGCAGCTTAGAGTTCACTGAAAAGAGGGACAAAGTCCCATCCCAATCTCTTCCAACTGTCGTCAGCTTCAAACCTCCCCTGGAGTCCATGCCTGGGTTCAACCACGAAGAGGACTAAAGACTCATCAGTCAACATTCCAAGAAGGCTGACCAGTTCTAGAAAAAAATGGCTGGGGTACTTGGCGATGTCTGGTCTACAGAATAGAAGTTGCAGGGCCCAAAAGATGCCTGTGCCTTCAAATACACAAGGAGCTGTCACATGAGGGGCCATCAGATGTACTGCTGGTTCTGGCAGGGGCCAGAGCTGACAGAGGGGCTACGGAATACAGCGGGCTGCTGTCTGGAATTGATATAACCAGCTCCCCATTACTGAAGTTATGCAAATAGCTGCTCCAAGACCATCAGGCTGGATTCTTCCTCAGGATGGACACTGAAATTAACAGGAGAGTCTGCCCTTTACCCCTCCCTGCATTCCTAAGTCCATAAAGCAGGAATTCTCACCCTTTCAGAAGTCTGAGAGGCAAGTCCTGCCTCCCAACTACCCTCTCACATCCCTCCCTCAGAGGGTCTGGAGAAGAAACCCAAGCCGGTGTCTTGGCCTCCTGTCTGCCTTGCTGTCCTCCCCCTGCCTAGAGCTCTCCTCCACCACGCCTGAAGCCAGTGCACCTCAGCGGCAGAACCCTCCATCCCTTGTAGAGATCTTTTAGAAAGCTGCAGGTGTGGGCAACAATGCATCAGAATGTCCCTCACAACCAAGAATTGTTCTGTTCTCACCATGACTTCTAAATTTTTCTCCCAAACAGTCACAAGGATAAAAATAAACAATAACAACAACCTTATTTATGATGATCTGAACCTAGAACCTAACTGTTTCACATGTAAACACAGAGTACTGAGTCTGTGTGCTGCATTCTTCTAGAAATACAACTTCTGTTTCCAGCAAGGGAAGACTGTACTTCATTTGCTCTACGAAAGCCCTCCGGCATCAGCGATGCTGCTCACACTAGTAGTCTCACCCTCAAGTCACAATGTGCTCTTGGCCTGTGCTTGTGGCTGGTGCACCCAGAGTGGACACTACGCTTAGGAGAAGGCACCTGACCACATTGTTAGGTTTTTATTTCATTTTCTTATTGTTGCTTTAACCAATTACTAGAAATTTAGCAGCTTAAAACAACACAAATGTATCATTTTTCAGTTCTAGAGTTCAGAAGTTTGAAATGGGTCTCACTGAGCTAAAATCAACATTTCAGCAGGGCTGTGATCCCGGCTGGAGACTTTAAGAGAGAATCCACTTTCTTGGCTTTTCCAGCTTCTAGAGACCCCTGCATTCCTTGGCTTGTGGCCTGCTTCCATCTTCAAAGCCAACGACATTTGGTGGAGTCTTTCTTACGATGTCATCTCTCTGGTTCTGACCCTACTGCCTTCCTCTTCCCCATTTAAGGACACGTGTGATCACACTGAGCCCATGTGCATAATCCAGGATAATCTCCCCATCTTGGATTCAGCTAATTAGCAACCTTAATTCCCGCTTGCCATGTAAAACTTAACATATTTGTAGGTTCTGTGGATGAGGACGTGGACATCTCTGGGGCACCACTGTCCTGCCAACCACTGTATCTTGGTATAGTCATGTCTGAATATTAAAATACTCAATTTTTTATTTTATAATTAATAACTTTCCATTTACTTCTTGTTATTTCAGTTAGGACACTAGAGTTTTTTTGTTTTTGTTTTTGTTTTTTGTTTTTTTTTTCAGTCATGCATGTGTAGGAATCTATGAATTTCATTTCAGGTGAGTAAAAGGAGTGTTATAAGGTAGTCATTATTCAAGGGGAGTCCTGGGTCCATCGGGCTGAGACTCCACGTGCTACGGCAAGCAACTGCCCTCCTAGGAAGAGCTGCCCTGCTGTTGCCCAGCCCTGCATGTGACTAGATGGCTCAACTGGTCTCCAATTCCTCTTCCTCTCCTGTTGTTCTCATTACCATCTGATTCACTCATGTCTTGTTTCTCAGATGCTTCCATACCTCGAGATCAAAGGAAAGCGTGCAATTCATTATTTCCTCCCAAATGGCCAACATCTTCTATGGTCCCTTCCACTCAGAAATTCGTAGACTCCATGTTATGGTAAGAATTAGAGGACTGCAGACAAAAGTCCAAATACAACCTAACAACAAGAATGAAAAAAGAATCTACCTGCAGTCGATTCTTACAGGTAGAATATTCCCCTGTGTGTGTTTAAGCTCTGGGGAAGAAGCCTTATTTTTTCCAGGGATTAGGGCTTCACTCACTGCTTAAATTATAACCAAGCAATAGCTTCCTTTTCATTCTCAAAAGGGGGACTGGCAGGACCATTTTACAAGGTTAACAAGTAAGGACATTTGCTTTCACAACCCTAGGTGAAGAGTGGAGTTGTATAAGTCAGAAACAAAGGGAAACAGCAAACACAATCCTGAATTTATAGAGGAAAGAAAATGCATAAATGAATGTGGTTTGTAAAAAACATCATAAATTCCTAACTCCAGAAATATATACCTGCACAGGACAAAAAGAAGGGTGTTCTGAGGGGGCAATATGTGCAAGAAACTTGTGGAAATATCAGGAGATATTCACAGGCAGGAAGAAGCCATTCCATACATCAACGGAGATTTAAAGCCTTTTAGGGAGGAAAGAATGCACAGGAAGTGAGGAAGGCCATGATTCATCCCACTGTCAGGCTAGACACCTTTCATGGAGGAAGACAGTATAATGCTGCCTCTCCACCCTATTTTTTGTCTTGGTTGTAAGTAGACAGCAGACATATTTTCTTTCCCGAAGGTATCAATCCCATGCACAGTGCAAAGCCTAAGCTGTAAAGGCCACCTGCTAATGGCAGTCACCACCCATTTCCTGTGTCACCTGGGTCTCTGCAACACTGAGACTCCACTACCGGCCAACACAGCTGCAACCCTGTTTCCTAAGCCCCAGGCACTGGAGAGCTCTGCTGCCACCTGCAACACGGACTTGTCCACCAGGTCCCTGGGCCTGAGGGGAACGGGAAGGGCCAGCTCTCTTCATTGAGAGAGAAGGGCCTTCGAAACAGGCTGAGAGGAGCAATGCAGGCTTCCTGGCCTCAGTGCTGTAAGAAGAGGATGAAAAGGTTTCCATACTGGCCAAACCAACTCACTGGGCAACAGAAAGAGGATGCCCATGACTAGAACATCTTGTACCTCTTGCATGTCTCGGCAGTCTAGGCATTGCTTAGTTTGATCTGAATAATCATTTGACTAGAAAAGGAAACCTTCTCTCGTAAATTGTGGGAAACTAGAGAGCTCCACATGGTAGAGAGAGTGCATGGGAATGAAGAGACGGCGGGGCAGGGGGCAGTGCCTGGCACAGGGCAGGTGCGTGAGGCACGGCACTCATGACTGCTTCTGGATGCCGGCCCTCCTTGGAGGAACGGTCTGCTGCCCCCTTCCCTCCCCGGCTGAGCCAAGCTCCCATGCACTTAAGCTGCTGCCCGTGTGCTTCACATATCCCCTCCACACCATCATGCCATGGCCATATGGCACCCAGCTTATAGTAGGCACTCAATAAACACTGAATTGAATTATTCAAATGTGGACCCCAGGAGATATTTCAAAGCTGTGCTAAAACAGTTCAGAGCAGATTCACTAAGAAAGGGAAGGAGGCAGGCAGAGTTCCCCCCTCCTCACAAATATCTTTTGATATTTAGACACATTTATTGTGCATAATACTTGACTTTCTTCCCCTTTAAGTGCACATACACTGAATCTCTATTTGATTTAGTGCCAGGCCTGGCGTGGCAGCTCTACAGCATTGCCCGGTCCTCACACAGGGAGCACTCTCTTCCCTACACATTCTCCTCCCTCCACACCCCTGCCTGGTGATCCCTGCACAGCTGTGCGGCTGTTGGGGTTGGGCAAACCTTTCAGCTTTTTCTCACCCAAGTCCCCTCCACTGTACTTTAGGAGTAGTTTCCTTTGTACATTTCCACCTGCCTGACTTTCACAAAATCACCCCCGTGACCATCCTTGCAGGCCCCGGCCTTTCTCTTTGCTGGTGGCTTTGTCAGCCTGAAGGGCAGCAGGTGCTCGATAAAGCTGCGGGGACAGGATCGATCCGCTGCCCTTTAGTGGGCCATCTCGAGGACACTGTCTCGGTGCCTGCTGGGGAAGCGCCTGGCTCCTTTCCTCAGCTGACGCACACTCTTCTCCCCCTAATTAAGCAATCTGCTTCCACTAGCAGTTTCTTTCCCAGTACTTGAACATGAGTGACCTGAAGCCTCCACGGAACCCCACCAGGGCCTTGCTGGTAACCGAGCAGTGAAGGAAAACGGAGCTGGCAGGACCCAGGTCGTATTCCTCCCTGGATAACCACAGAGCAACAGCCCTTGCCCAAGGTAGAAAAACCAAACTCCCAGGAATAAAGTGTTTTTATTTTTTGTTTAAAATATGTTTATCATAACAAAACATAAACCATTTAAATCACTCATCAAACTTATCGAGGTAAGTTCATTAGTAGCAAGTACATCTAAGAACAGAAAAAGAAACTATCTCTTCTTGTTTTGAGCACCAGTGAAGCTTTGACATTCACCCTACTGGTGTTGACATGACAGTCTCCGATCTTATGCTGAAACCCCAGAAAGACACCAGCTCCTGCTCTTCAAATCCACATGACCCACGTACTTCTCTCTCAGAGTAGGAAGATCTACTTAATTCTACTTAATTCGACTCTCTTTTGGCCTGGTCTTAAGTCTCTCTCACACAGAACCACCACCTGCCCAGCTCCCCTGACTTTGGGCAATGTCCCTCAGCATCTGCAATTCCAAAGCAGCCTGGTCTCAGCTCAGGCTGCTGTCACAAAGCAGCACAGGTTGAGTGACTTATAAACAACAGAAATCTATCTCCCATAGTTCTGGCGGCTAGAAGTCTGAGATCAGGGAGCCAGCATGGTTAGGTTACAGTGCGGGCCCCTCTTCCAAGGGCAGATTATTGACCTGTAATTGTGTTCTGACATGGTGGAAAGAGAGAGATCAAGCTCTCTCCTCTCTTATTAAGGCACTCATCGCATTCATGGGGCTCCACTCACACGACCTAATCATCTCCCAAAGAACCCATCTCCAAATACCATCATTTTGGGGATTAGATTTCAATCATATGAATTAAGGGGGGAACGTGAGCATTCGGTTCATCATCATGCCTCCCCCAGGGCCTCCTCTAAGGGAATTACTCACAATGACTCAACAACTGGAGTTTGTAAGGGGTCAAATGATTTTGAGCCACAATCATGTTAATTTGTGTAACTATGTGTTTACCTCCCTGGACCAAGCAATAAGCTCTGCCATGAGAGGTGGTACCTGGCACAGTGTGGTGGCTCACGCCTGTAATCCCAACACTTCAGGAGGCCAAGGTGGGCAGATCACTTGAGCCCAGTAGCTCGAGACCAGCCTGTGCAACATGGCAAAATCCTGTCTCTAGAAAAGATACAAAAATTAGCCAGGCACAGTGGTTCATGCCTTTGGTCCCAGCTACTCTGGAGGCTGGAGTGGGAGGATCGCTTGAGTAGGGGAGGTTGAGGCTGCAGTGAGCCATAATCACGCCACTGTACTCCAGCCTTGGTGACAGAGTGAGACCCTGTCTCAAAGAAAAAAAAAAAGTTGGTGTCTTATCCACCCTGGACTCCTGATGCCAAGCATAGAGCCTAGACAACACCAGCATCAGCACTCACCTGCTAAATGGAAGCGACCAGAAGCAGAAACAGCTGTGGCTGAATTCTACATGCACAGTAAGAGGAAAGGAGCTATGCTGTTTCCATGATCACAGGAGCTAAGATTTATTGACTCAGCCACGTGCCAGGCACAGGGCCAGTGGCTTCATTTTGCATAATTAGGTATAATGCATACAACAGCCCCTTGGAGTAAGTTCCATGATCTTCCCATTATACAGATGGGGAAACACAAGTTCAAAGAAGAGAAGTGTTTTGTCCAAGGTCACACACTATTATGTGACAGATCCAACCCAAACAGTCTGGCTGTCTTTTAGCCCCTTGCTACACCACTGGCTGTGCCAAGGACTCCTCCATCCACTGTGACATGAGCTGGGGTGACTCCCATGAAACGGGCTTCTCCAGAGATAACCCGTTGTGCTGTCCATCCGGGGCAGGGGAGCTCTGTCCCAGAGGCCTGCAGCTCCTGTGGTAGGGTATGCACTGCCAGCCTGGAGAGCATGAGGCTGCTCAGCACAAGTCACACCCAGGGCAACTGGGCCCCACTAGCTCAGCTTCCCAACATCTGATCTGGAATTCACGGTTTTGAATGCGTATGAAGCCTCTAAAATGTACCAGGCCCTGAGCCAAGTGCTAGAGATCCCAGAGATGGGTGAGACCAAATTGTCACCTGCTCTCATGGAGCTTCCAGTTTGCTGGGGGGAAAAGCCATGTGTATAACCAACCACACTAGATATGGTTTGTGACACAGTTCCTAAGAACTGTGACGGGGTGAGGGAGGGTACTCCTCCCCGTGGCCCCATCTTCACCACTGCCTGGAGAGGGAGGAGAGCTTCTGCCCCTCTGAAAATATTCCCTTCCTAATTGCCCCCTCAGGGCAGGAAGGACCTGACAATCCAACAGCTGAAGCTGACCACCGGGTCTAACCTGATGTGTCCTAACGGGCAGGGGTTATCCTGACATGCAGGGACCCCCGCCCCCATAGGTCGTGCTCCTTCTTGGAGTGTTTGCTTTTATGCAGAGGCAGCTGCTCCCGGATCTTGCGCCTCCCACAGTCAGCACGGGCGGGGTAGGTCTTCTTGAAACATCCCACCATGAAGCAAGAAGGAAAGTGGAGGGAAAGAGGTGGGCACCTTGCTGTCAGGCCTGGTGGGCGATGGAGAGCTTCTATTCTAAGTTTACTGGAGACGTTCTGAGTTATTGGAGGATTTTAAAGTAAGGGTTGCTGTGATGTAATGATACTTCTAAAAGATCGCCCTGGCTTCTATGTGAAAACTGCATCTCAGAGCAGCAGGATGGAAAGAGAACAGCATCCTCTGTGAGCCAGAGGAGGGGGACTGACAGCTGAGAACAGGCTTCTAAAATTCTAATGTGCAGGATGCCCCTGCTGCTGGTTACACACAGAGCCTGATTTGGTAGGGTTGGGGTGGAGCCGTGATGCCCCTGCTGCTGGTTACACACAGAGCCTGATTTGGTAGGGTTGGGGTGGAGCCGGGATGCCCCAGCTGCTGGTTACACACAGAGCCGATTTGGTAGGGTTGGGGTGGAGCCGGGATGCCCCAGCTGCTGGTTACACACAGAGCCTGATTTCGTAGGGTTGGGGTGGAGCCGTGATGCCCCTGCTGCTGGTTACACACAGAGCCTGATTTGGTAGGGTTGGGGTGGAGCCAGGATGCCCCCGCTGCTGGTTACACACACAGCCTGATTTGGTAGGGTTGGGGTGGAGCCGTGATGCCCCTGCTGCTGGTTACACACAGAGCCTGATTTGGTAGGGTTGGGGTGGAGCCGGGATGCCCCAGCAGCTGGTTACACACAGAGCCTGATTTGGTAGGGTTGGGGTGGAGCCGGGATGCCCCAGCTGCTGGTTACACACAGAGCCTGATTTGGTAGGGTTGGGGTGGAGCCGTGATGCCCCTGCTGCTGGTTACACACAGAGCCTGATTTGGTAGGGTTGGGGTGGAGCCAGGATGCCCCCGCTGCTGGTTACACACAGGGCCTGATTTGGTAGGGTTGGGGTGGAGCCGTGATGCCCCTGCTGCTGGTTACACACAGAGCCTGATTTGGGAGGGTTGTGGTGGAGCTGGGATGCCCCCGTTGCTGGTTACACACAGAGCCTGATTTGGTAGGGCTGGGGTGGAGCTGGGATGCCCCCGTTGCTGGTTACACACAGAGCCTGATTTGGTAGGGTTGGGGTGGAGCTGGGATGCCCCCGTTGCTGGTTACACACAGAGCCTGATTTGGTAGGGTTGGGGTGGAGCCGTGATGCCCCTGCTGCTGGTTACACACAGAGCCTGATTTTGTAGGGTTGGGGTGGAGCTGGGATGCCCCCGTTGCTGGTTACACACACAGCCTGATTTGGTAGGGTTGGGGTGGAACTGGGATGCCCCCGTTGCTGGTTACACACAGAGCCTGATTTGGTAGGGTCGGGGTGGAGCTGGGATGCCCCCGTTGCTGGTTACACACAGAGCCTGATTTGGTAGGGTTGGGGTGGAACTGGGATGCCCCCGTTGCTGGTTACACACAGAGCCTGATTTGGTAGGGTCGGGGTGGAGCTGGGATGCCCCCGTTGCTGGTTACACACAGAGCCTGATTTGGTAGGGTCGGGGTGGAGCTGGGATGCCCCCGTTGCTGGTTACACACAGAGCCTGATTTGGTAGGGTTGGGGTGGAGCTGGGATGCCCCCGTTGCTGGTTACACACACAGCCTGATTTGGTAGGGTTGGGGTGGAGCTGGGATGCCCCCGTTGCTGGTTACACACAGAGCCTGATTTGGTAGGGTCGGGGTGGAGCTGGGATGCCCCCCGTTGCTGGTTACACACAGAGCCTGATTTGGTAGGGTCGGGGTGGAGCTGGGATGCCCCCGTTGCTGGTTACACACACAGCCTGATTTGGTAGGGTTGGGGTGGAACTGGGATGCCCCCGTTGCTGGTTACACACAGAGCCTGATTTGGTAGGGTCGGGGTGGAGCTGGGATGCCCCCGTTGCTGGTTACACACAGAGCCTGATTTGGTAGGGTCGGGGTGGAGCTGGGATGCCCCCGTTGCTGGTTACACACAGAGCCTGATTTGGTAGGGTCGGGGTGGAGCTGGGATGCCCCCGTTGCTGGTTACACACAGAGCCTGATTTGGTAGGGTTGGCGTGGAGCTGGGATGCCCCTGCTGCTGGTTACACACAGAGCCTGATTTGGGAGGGTTGGGGTGGAGCTGGGATGCCCCCGTTGCTGGTTACACACAGAGCCTGATTTGGTAGGGTCGGGGTGGAGCTGGGATGCCCCCGTTGCTGGTTACACACAGAGCCTGATTTGGTAGGGTCGGGGTGGAGCTGGGATGCCCCAGCTGCTGGTTACACACAGAGCCTGATTTGGGAGGGTTGTGGTGGAGCTGGGATGCCCCCGTTGCTGGTTACACACAGAGCGTGATTTGGTAGGGTTGGCACGGAGCTGGGATGCCCCCGTTGCTGGTTACACACAGAGCCTGATTTGGTAGGGTTGGCATGGAGCTGGGATGCCCCCGTTGCTGGTTACACACAGAGCCTGATTTGGTAGGGTCGGGGTGGAGCTGGGATGCCCCCGCTGCTGGTTACACACAGAGCCTGATTTGGGAGGGTCGGGGTGGAGCCGTGATGCCCCCGTTGCTGGTTACACACAGAGCCTGATTTGGGAGGGGTGCGGTGGAGCCAGCGACTCTGCATTTCTCACAAGCCCCCTGATGCTGACACTGCTGGCCGGGGGACTACGTTTTGAGTAGCAAGGGCTTAACTGAAGGCGGTAAGGCCGGGGGCCAGAGGGACATTTGAGGCCCCTTGTGAAGCAGGAGGCCACCACATGTGCTGACAGGGCAGACGTCCGGTGGGAGAGGCAAGGAGGCAAGAGGCCCTCCACCAGCTGGGGACACCAGATGGATAGGAGGAGTAGGAAGGAGGGGGACACTAAGAGTTCTTGTTTCCGGGAATCCCTCCGGCCAGGATGGAGACTACTGTTCTGGTGGGAATGAAAAACAAGGGCCAGCCTGAGGCAGGACAAGTCTACAGAGGGCCCGCAGCGCTCTCCTCCATATGCGGGACAGCTCTGCCTCACTCCCGTCAGGGCTATTACAGCCTGGCCTTGACCCCAAACTTGAAATAGACCAAGTGATCTCAGCCAGCAAGGACAACTTCCCAGGGTGAAGCTGCCTGGAGGGGAGATGTCAATTAAAACCGACCTGCCTTGGCTAAGGACATGGGTCAGGAAACAGGCACCAAGCAAACAGTAATAAACTCAGCAGTATTAAAACTCAAATAAAGTGGGATTCTGCAAATAGCACCAACCAAGGCTGTAGCTTCTTGGGGCATAATAACAGAAAGATGGGGACTTAGGAAAAGGAAGAAAAGTGAAGTTGGATAGATGAGCATACTCAGGTTAGCTAAGGATGGCTTGCATGGGAAAAAGGCACCATAATGAAACAGAGAATAACCTTTGTTCTCTATGTTTTCAGACCATTTCTCATATGGCCACAGATATATCATGGGGCCTATTTTTACTTTAAAAATTTCACAAAGAAATGGAATTTTCTGTAACTACTATGGTGTAAGAGAGCTCAGCAAGTAACAAAAGAGCTTTGGGAAAGGATGCAATGTGGAGTAGCAGCCATCCAAAGTCATACCAGAAGCAGAAGTCTCTGAAAAAAGTTTTAGTTAAGACAAAGAAAAAGAAAAGGTTCAAACAACCACAGGAGAACTAGGAAAGGCCTACAAAGGACAAGAGCTGGCATTAAGTGACAAGGGAGAGTAACCTATTGCCAAGACTCTGAATGAACTTTTTGTTTCTGAATCTACATGCTAAAGATCACCATTCCGCAACAACAGAAAGAACATTATATAAGGAATGCCAAGTATGAGAACACTTTTAAGAGGCTACCTGCATGTATAATTAGGAGTTTCATACAATTAAAGTTGGCAGAGGCCCGGGATCAAATAAATTGCACTGCAGAGTTCATTAGGCAGGAGCCTAACCTCACCAACCAACAAAAGCGTGCAGCTGAAAAGTGGTTGTCATTACAGTAAGGGCTAGGATATAGGGAAAAAAACAAAGTCATCAGTGAGACTTCAGTATTTTACAAAGATCAAAAGGACTTGGCATTAAAAGATAAAAGTGAAACCTGGATTATAGGTATCTATTAGAAATCCTGAGCATATGCCTAAGAATCTAGTATTAGATCATCTGAGGCCTAAGAAGCACACTGGGTGCCTATGCTCTCGGTCCTGGAGATACGCAACCAATTTGCCCGCCTACAGAGGACACATGCAATTCTCTTGCCTGGGTCTTCCACAGGCCTTTGAATCCATCGTGACTCATTACACTACAGAGGCTGCAAGGATGGAGTGGGTGTGACATCCAAATACAATGAAGAGTAACAGAAAATACAAGCAGTTATGGCAGATGGAAACTGCTGTTACCATCAATTCTTTTACAATTATACATACTCTTAATCTTCTTGGAAGGATTTGATTCCTTAGATGAGCCACAATAATGACAGAAAAAAACCGTTACGGGAAAGTGGAGTAAATGATACAACTGAAGATGCTAGGGTTCCATTACGGTGCGAGAGAATACAGGTCTGCTATTGTAATGTACCACACACGCACAGGCAAGATGAAATGAAGTCAAAGGAGGCTTTGAAGGGGAAAGGTGAGTGGAAAGAAAAGAGAAAAGCCAGCCAGTGACTCTCCTTTTATCTGCACTGTGAGAATTGTGTTGAAGTTAGGGAGAGACTTGTTTATAGTAGAAGTCAAAAAAGTGCCTCTGTGGGAACAAGAAAAGGAAAATTCCATTAACTCACCAGTTATTCGAGCTTAGAGGGTAACAGAAAAATGGGATGGACTTCACTCAATCCTTTTTGTGGCTAGGATTAGAGAAGAGATCTCATCTCGGTCCCACTTTAAGACAATTCAGATGGCCAGGCTCTCTTACACCACAATCTGTAAAGAGTTAGAAGAGTATCTTGCACCAATGTGGTTCTTCTTTCAGATCTTTTGCTGTGTAGCTACAATCACAGTTGTAGAATAGAGCGCTTGTTTTTAAAAGTAAAAATAAAAATAGATTTTGAAGCCTCATAGAGTCACTTTCTAGATCCCCCCTCCTCATTATTTCACCACAAGTCTTATAAAATGTTCAACATCTGCCCCCCGATGGGAGGAGGCCAGTCTGAGCATCCCTTCAGGTGGCCCACAGGGCACCAGGCTTCTCTCAAGCCAGAGGCTGCACTTGAGAAGTCCCTTCTGCAGAGCGGCTTCTCCCTACCAGGAGCCCTTGTCCAGATGGGCAGTGAGAAAGGGGTCAGGGGACCACATTACTCAGTGCCTTAAATTAAAACACGACAGATTGGACATGCACTTCCTTGCAAACAGGCAACTGGTGTATATGGTCTCCACTGAAGTAGAGTGCCTTTTCTTGCAAAAAACAATGAACTGCAAATAACAAACAGCAATTCCAACCCTGGCTGGCAACCAACATATGTCTTCCAGCAAGAACTGCTACTTAAGCTCCCTCTCAGGCTTCACGCTGTATGCTGAGCCCAGGGTGGGGGCTCTGCCTGCTCTTCTCCCAACACTGCCAACCATCACGGGGACCCACTTGAAGGCTGAAGGTGGCAAAGGTTGTGTAGAAGCAGTTGGGAGAAGAAGGTGGGGTGATTTGGGCAAAGCTGGAGTTCCTGCTTGGTTTTCTGTTTGTTTCGTTTTGATCAGTGGTTAAAGCATGTCAGAGGAGCACTTGGGATTTTGAACAAGATTAAGGCAGAATAATTCTGTGCTGTGCCCGGCTAAGGGCCTTCATGGGGAAGAGGTGGGTGCCCATGGGTCTGAGGCAGTCCAAATTGCTCCTTCCCACTGAGGCCCCAGCACACAGTGTGGAAGCATCTAGCACATTGCAGGAAAACAACCAACAAAAGAGAGGGGCAACCCCAGGAGGCACTAAAACTGGCAGGCAGTGTGTGTGACACCCCATCCCCACCCCAGGCTCATAAGCCAGGGCAGCCAACTCCTGGGCTGCAGGGGAAATGCCTGATGTGGACAGAGACAAAGGCCTGCCACGTAGAGTGCTGCTAACACTAGTTCCTACTAGACATCTACTCCCATGGGGGCAGTGGCAACAATGGTTTGCTTACTCATGGCCAGGAGGATTGAGTGGAGTGCTGGTGCTCCATGGAGGACTCCTGGGGGTTAGTGTGCCATGCTGGCACAGTCCTCAGCTGTCACTCTCTCAAGGATACACAGGATAGAGCTGATTCCTGAATCTTGAACCAAAATCTCAGCTGTGATAGAAATACGGATCTGCCAATGGATGTGTTTTCTGGAAGCTACTAAATCACCATGAAATCTGTCCACCAAAATTGTCTCTGTGAAACTGAGAATTTCACCCTTGAAGCAAATAACAGTTTTTCACTGACAAAACAGACACTCATACCCTGAAACATATTTGTACATGTGTAATAGTTCATTTTATATGTCAACTTGACTGGGCCATGGGTGCCCAGATATTCGGTCATACATTATTCTAGGTATGGCTGTGATGGTGTTTTTGGATGAGATTAACATTTAAACTGGCAGACTGAATAAAGCAAATGGCCCTCCCTAGTGTGGGTGGGGCCCATCCAATCAGCTGATGGCCTAAATAGAATTAAAAAGGTGACCCTCCCCTTTTGAAAAGGAGGGAATTCTTCCTCCCAACAGCCTTCAAGCCAGGACACTGGTTTTTCCTGCCTTTGATCTCAAGCTGAAACACTGGCCCTTCCTGTGTCCTAAGCCTGCCAGCCTTCAAATTGGAGTCACACCATTGGCTCTCCTGGGACCCCAGCTTGCTGACAGCAGACATTGGGATTTGTCAACCTCCACAGTCACATCAGCCAATTCCTTCTTTTGAACACAAACACACACACACACACACGCACACGCACACGAACACACACACACCCCTATGAGTTCTGTTTCTCTAAGAAACTCTGACAAACACAACGTATTTCTTATCAGGTCTCAGTAAAGCAGGAATGGTGGCCGAGTCACAGAGAAGCAGGCTTGGTAAAGTGCATGCTGCTGGACAGCCTCACTTGGACAAGACTGCATCAGGTAAGCTCTTGTACACAGGGGAGTGTCCTGGCCATTCGTATGTGCACATGGACTGAAAAGTAACTTGTACAATGAACGAATGACCCACACCACTTCACTGGGAGCCCAACTCCCTCCCCCACCTCAGAGGCTGACACCCCACAATGCCCTAGCACCCCCAGTCTGCTGTTTAGGGCAAACCCTCAGCAGTAAAAACAATACAAAATTAACACAAAACTCAGAAAGACCGAAGATTATCATAAAGGCAAACTGTTCAATCATCCTGACCTTCTTAAAAAGAAGATGCTGTGTCATCATAAGGTGTACTTATTACTTAAAACACCCCCAGGGAAAGAAGAAAGGGCACGGTGCAGTAGCTGGCTCGGTGAACCCAGGAACAAGAGGCCAAGACAAATGTCAGTGACAGTCTTAGACAGGCACTGATTGTTCTGCTAAATATCAAGGGGCAGGAATGCTCAGTGCAGGTTCACTATTTGCAAGAACCAAGAAATTGTCATTTGTTAAAAACGCCAACATGACTTCAAGAGGGTAACATAGGTCAGGAAGCCCATGGCCAAAGGACATTATGCCCTAGGACATGCCATAAGGCTATAAACTGCTTGGACTCCAAGTGGGCAGAAGGGCGGAAGGGAGAGACCAGGCTGAGATACTTCCGAGACTTGGAATCCTTGGCCCATGTTACAACCAGGCAAGTCATTACTCTATGCAGGCCCTCTTCCACCACCCCTACCTCTGCCTCCAGTCACCCAGCTGGCGCCAGCCACCAGCTCCTGTACCCACTCCTGCCTGGAGCCCTGCTCCCACCCTACACTCACAAGGCCTCCCTGCTCAGCACCTGCCCCCACCCCAGACCCAGGTACACGGGCCCCTGGTGCTCCCCACAGCACTCCTGGGTCCCTGGGCCACCTCCCTGAAGCATTCATCACTCTCGATCGGAACTGCCTGTTTAAGGCTGCATTTTCCATACCTCTTGACCAGTTCTGATTGTTCTTTTTTCCAGTGTACTTTTTGCCTCTAACGTACTATTATAATTTACTTATTACATGTATATGGATTGGCTATCTACCCCAATTAAAACGTAAGCTTCTCGACCATATCATTCACCTGATATGTTCACTGAAATATCCCAAGTGCTGAGAACAGTGACTGGCTGGTAAAAGCAGCTCAAGGTATATTTGTTGCATGAAAAAATAAGTCATTTCCCTTGTTAGACTATTTGCCTCTTGAGAGCAGGAACAATCTTAATTCTGTAGCCCAGTGTGGTGGGCACAGTAATGCCCGCACCCCTCAACCAAAGCTGTCCATGTCCTCATCTTTGAGGCCTGTGAATATGTTGCCTTATATAGCAAAGAAGAATGTGTAAATGTGATCACATTAAGGAGCTGGTGACAGAGAAGCCATCCCAGGTGGACAGTCCTGGATTATCTGGGTGGGTCCAATGTCATCAGAAGGGCCCTTTAAAAAGGGAGTAGGAAGGCTGGCAATCGCAATTTGCCCCTGGAAACAGAGGTCAGAGTGAGTGGATGTCAGACCTTAGCCTGCCGTTGCTGGCTCTGGGGATGGAGGAAGGGAGCCTCGGGTCAAGGAGTGCAGGTGGCCTCTAGATGCCCAAAAAGGCAAGAAAGGAATCTTTCCCAGAAACACTGTAGCTCTCTCGACACCTTGAGTTTAGCACAGGAAGCACTGCAGACTTCTGACCTCCAGAATTGTAAGACAGTATCAGTTTGTGTTGTTTTAAACCATAAATTTGTGGTAATTTGTGGCAGTGGCAATAGGAAATTAACACAACCAGAGACTGAACACAGAGTGGTTGCTCAGTAAATGCCTGCTAAATGAGTGCCCGTCAACCATACATACAATGTTACTTTGAGTCTAAAATAAAATTTAATCATAAGAACATCCATCAGTGATTTAAGCCATGAGCCACTGGTGATGACTATTGCTGTTATTTTCTTTGGTTTTTCTTTTCCTTTAAATAACTAATTTTGACTCAGAGATGCTCATGATAGCATTTCCTGTGCGGCTAGCTGTCTTCCATTTACCTTCTTAGGCAGTTCTATTTATCAAATACAAATTTCCTCCTCATAAAACCTTAACGCAAGATTTAACAACACTAACAAAAGTAATCACCTTATTTAATGAAAACTGTCAGGTTTAACAAACACACATTTAGTTGCACTCAGGTTCTCATCTGGGCCCTTCTGCCAGGCTGGAGTGGGGCACGCAAGCATGATTCTTTCTGAGCGTTGGGAGATGCTCGGGCCCCATGAATCTATTTTTAATGCCAACACTCAAGAAAAGAGGGAAAGTGACAAGAAGTCGTTGAGGACAGATTTCTGTGTCCAACAAAGAATTTAAATGGTCTCAATTATGGGCAAAATCTTTTCCTTGTCTCTTTAAAGACCAAGAAGCAAACAGTTTTTTCCCAGCTCTCTTCTCTCCAACACTGCCAGCCCCGTACCAGGCCTGCCATTACTTTCATCCCAGAAGCTGAAAACCCCAGAAGACTTGGGATTAATCCCTTTCAGTGATTATTGATGAATTTTGATATATAAGATTCTTTTCAATTAACATTAACAAGTCATGAAAAATTGTAAATAGAGTATATATCTATTTGTTTATGAGAAATAAATTTTGAAATGTTTAACCATCCAGAAGCAACTTATGTACAATGTAGAATTTGTTTTGTTTTTGGTCTTGTGGAAGATGTATATAAAAGAGATCCAAAAAGATCTCAAAAGATGCTATCCCATAGTAATCTGAAACATTGTTCTGCGATATACATCACATACTTTATGATGAGGAATTCTTGCTTTTTTCTCTCCGGCAATACTGATTTGTAGGATACAATTGAAGAATCAAAACCTCCAACATAGTCAATTCTATTTCATAACATTTTTTAAGCAACTACTATGTGTGATGTCTTGGGTTTGAGCAAGAGAAAGCCCCTGACATCAAGGTCCCTCCCACAGGAGGAAAAGCTTTCCTCTTTCCAACTGGTGCAACAGAGTTCACATTTCATTGCTTCAGCACAGTTATTAAGCAGATATAATTTCTTGACTGAAAAAATCCTAAACCAGAGTTTAATTAAAAGAAAAAGGTTGAAACCAATTTTTCTAATAAATACTGCTATATTTCAATTTAAACTATACGACAATGGAATTCAGAGGGCATCCTTTCACCTGGGAGAGCCTGAAACACTTCATTTCCTTTGCTATAGGAGTGGTGCTCAGCGTCTACCCGCCCATCAGTCTGTCCACCCACTCTCCTCTCTGTCATTTATCAACAGCCACCGTGAGCGAGGTGCGGGGCCAGGCAGACAAGATAATGGCCAGGACATACACCTTCTTGGGGAACATTTCCAAATGCAGTTCCCCACGACTGTGTTCAACAGCACCACTCTTTGCTGTGTTTGCAATAAGAAAGAAGATCCTCAGAAGGGCGGCACTGTTTTCTCCTCCCGCAAACACATTTAGCTTGTCGACACTGGTCGTTCTGGATGCTTATCTGCCTCATCCCTTGTGGTGCTGTCAGTCTGATGCCTCAAAGCATATCTAAGCTATAACCCAACCCCTGTGACCTCGTGTATCACTGCATTGCCTGCGAGGCTCAATAAATCATGTCTCCCAGCAGCAGCAAATCAATCTAGTTCTCAGAAACAAGACACAAGTCACAACCAGAAGCACCTTCCTGCACTCTCAAAAGGATTTTGCGTGTATGAAACATTCAAAGTCCTCCTGATACCATCCCAGAGAGACCCTTCCTAAAGTACCAGGTCCAGCTGGGGACTCCACATGTCAAGATGCAAATGAGGAGTTTCAGAAGATATTTATAAGACAATCTGAAGACTGCAATCTAGTAAACACCAAGAAAAGCTAAAAAGGTACTTAGCCTGGAAGTGTATGAATCTTTTCTCAGCCAACGCAGATACCAGGTTGCTACAGACTGAAGCATCCCCCTGCCTACTCTCCAGCTCGACTCCTGAGAGAAATCACACTGTGGAGGAGGGATTTTAGGACATGTGATCCAAACATTCATCTAGATATGCTAAGTCTTGTCCGTAGGTCAAGAAACCCAAGAGGTGAACCTGAATGTACTTACTAATTCCCCCAGAGAACTACTTGGCCTGAATTTCATGCTTTGCATTGTGCCCTGGGCACACTCAGGGGACAGTTGTGGAGACAGCGCTGGGATGTCCCCTCCTGGCTCATGAGGTCACCAGGCACACATCACTCAGGCGTCCTTATGTGAGTGCCTCATTAAGAAATATCTTATTTGTTAGTGCCAAGAAAAGCTAACCCCCTTCCTGAGTTAACTGTTTAACGTCTCCTTTTTGTTTTCTGTTACACAATTCAGTAACAAATTTAGTCAATTTCAGACAACTCTAGTAATACACACCTCTTCCAGGTCTCTCCTCGGATGTCAGAGATCTTCCCCAACAACCCTTTACAAAATCACCCCAACCCACACTCCTGGACCCCACTCCTCTCCCACTTCCCTTGCTTTACTTTTCTCCTGGCACTTGTTCACCATCTGACATCCTTTATGTCATACTGGTTTATTCGAGCTTTATCCTTTTCCCCACTGGAAAATAACCACCATGATGGCAGACACTGGTTCTCTCCTAGATCCCAGCAACTGGAACTCTGCCTGACAACAGTAAGCACTCAATAAATACCAAATGAATCAATACAGGACTGGCTAAATGTCAGAAACTCCATGGTTTGCATTTCTTCTTTCTCTGTGAACTTGAACTTTGATTTCAGATTATATATTTCCCTGGTTTTGATGCATTTCCTATTTTGGTTTTCTGTTTTTTAAAGTATTTGTGTAAGCCAGCTAAAATCTTTTGTAAAATGAAACAGGAGGTAGCAGATAGAGACACAGGTATAAACAGATAAAAAGGATGACCTAATTATCAAACACATTGCATTTTAACAGATGGTGAAGTCTCCACTGAGGGCAGAAAAGGAAATGAGCCAAGCAGATAAAGGATTAATTAAGTGGAGTAACCTTTATTCCAAAACTGATCATCTCTTCCTACCAGAGCAGTATCCTGTGTTGATCTGATCGGGTGGTTACTATTTAGGAAGGCCAGTCCACTGGGAAATCCTCCTGGCTTCTCCGGCTACCCCCATGCATCCTACTAGCTCAATTTACTAATGGCGCCTTAGGCACTGAGAGCTGTTTTCATCAGAGATGTGTCTCAATGGTCCACATCATGCTCATTTTCACTCTGGGACTCTTTGAAAGAAAATGAATGGAGAGTTTCCAGAATTTTTTTTTTTAATATACTATATCTCTCCCCCAAACACCTCCCACATATAGAGCTATTGAAGAAGCACTCCCATGAGATCAGAGGTAGAATAAGAAAAGGTATGAGACTAGACCAATTTCATTCCAAGTTCTACCTCAGGTAAGTTAAAGACTTAGAAACACAGGGAGAAGGAGAGAACCTGACTGTGAGACACACAGAGATGAATAGTTACAGAAGGAGGGTCCCTACCTGCTTAACCACAGTCACCGTCCCTGGTGCCATGGCAACCACCGAGGCAAGGGCAGTGGCGTCATGGGTCTCGGCGCCCAGCTCAATGATCTGCTGCAGGATGTTCACGGCCGTGGGGTCCAGTCGGTCGCCTTAAGAGGAAGAAGCAAAGAGGACACCATTCAGGCCACTGGTGCTGAAGGACATGGAATGCAAAACCAGCCTGTCTGTTCTCTCGGGTGACGCCTTCTCCAGAGGATGCATGGGCTCTCCGTAATCGCTCAGTTTGACAACAGAAATAATCTGTATAGTGCTTTATAGCTTACAAAGCATTTTCTATAAGAACATCTCAAAACCCCAAGCAACCCTGTGAGGATGGGACATTGAGACGTTATTTGCATTTTGTAGAAGCCTCATTTGGGCCACTGAGTCAGTTACACCACAAAGCCAGAACTTGAACCCACGTGCTCTGAGTCCTAACATGCGGACATGTGGCTGCCCTCGAAGCTGAACTCCTGGGAGCACCCAGCAAGCCCGTTCAGCCGCAGACTCAATGAAAGTGTGTGCCAAGAAATTCCACAAGTTATGGGCAAAACATCCAAAGATGTATCAATTATTCAACGAGTAGGCTTTGGAACTCCAAACCAATTGAAGCTGGGGGTTCTATTTTAACCATCTCTAAAGACGGGATTCTGCATCATCAGGCAGCTATTTAGTATCCCCGCCTGCTCCCACCATCTGCCAGGCCATCTGCAACCGTCCTGAGCACACCCTGACCCTGATCACTAATTTACTAAAAGAGAAATGACTGCTTGATCTCCACCTCAGCATGATATTATGCAGTCTCTGCCAACATTTTCATCCTCATGGGCAGCTTTCTGTGGGCCGTGTTCCAATGCGAGTCAATCAATAAGAGATCAGAGAAGGGGAACTCAACGTGTCTCATGCAGAAGGTAGGACAAGCCAGTGGCTGAGGCAGTGGCGGACTTATATTCACAATGCATCGCCGGCACCCCCAAACACATGCCCCTTAAGGGAAATGGTGCAAATGTACCTTGCAGCCAACCACTCCGAACATGCAAGGACGAAAACATTTACCTGTGCAACTTACTGAGGCGAGGTTCTAATTCCGCATCCATGGACTCCCTTAATGACCCTTTATCAAGCCCTAGCATTATTGCTCCTGCTAAGAATAAAGACAAAGCCCTACCCCTTCCCCCTCACCCCCCGACTCCTCCCAGGGCTCACAACCTCCTAAGCCAGACTGTAAGCAAATCCTTACAGCACCTGGCAGCTCCCATGTCAGGAGTGCAATTAGGAAACAGTGCAGAAAAGGGACGGGGTTCTCAGGAGGTGACCTGCAGTCTGAGTACTGAAGATGAGGATGAGTTTGGCAGAAAAAGGCTGTGAGGGAGAAGAAACCAGGCCATACCCCAGGGAGCACTGGAGCGTGTGTCCCTTCTGAGAGCTGCAAATCTGGCAGAGGGAAGCACAGCCCAGGAATGGGGTGGCAAGAGACAGTGACAAGGCCAGGCAGGAGCCAGAGAAGCTGAGCCTGGCCTTTTCAGCTGCAAAGTTAAGAGCTAGGAAGAGACATCGGAGGGCCTTAGAAGGAGTGAGAGAGTGAGTGAGTCTGAGAGTGAGAGTGTGTGTGGGGGGTGTGTGTGTGCTCATAGGGGATGAAGACAGACAGGCTGCATCTTGTAGGCCATGAGCAATCACTGATGTCACTGGACATCATGGAAGGAAACTCAAGTTCTGACAGAACCTCAGTGCTGAGAGCCACATTTAACAGCTGGGCCTCGACTCTCCCGTCTGCAGAAGTGGAGGCACTGCCTCCTGAATTCCCTGCAGCTCAGCAGGCAGTGAACACAGCCCTGTCCATTAATCTTCCCTAAACCAACTGGCCCACAGGAGTTTTCTGTGCAGCTTTCTTACAATCTGGAGTTTGGGGTTTTAGGAACTGGGTAAAAATGGTGTCTTTCTAACTCCTATTTCCTATCACCGTTTCATTTCACCTAATGCTTCCCTTTTAACCCAACCTGCTTGACCTCTGCCCTCCAGATATGTACAGGGCTGTGGTATGAAACATTAACTTGTGTTCTGTTCATCTTTTAAAAAGAGCATCAAGAAAAACTGTTTTCTAAGCATAATGCCCCAACTGCCACTAGGCTGGTACAGTGGCTTGTTTTTTTTAGAACTGATTTAACATTTGAAAATCATGACATTTGATGTAAAAATCCTGACTGGGCCTTTTGGGAAGGACTTGGAGAATGAGCGATCCTGGTCTTTCAGGTCTGCAAAGTGACCCCCTGCACGCCAGAGTCTCTGCTACTCTCTACCACCCACTGAGCCCACACCACCTCCTGTCACTGCCTGCCTGGCCCCTGTAGGCCCTGGAGGAGATGTCCCTGAGGAAGCATGGAATGGGATGATGCCGTGACAAGAAGTTAGGAGACCCAGATTCCAGGATGAGCTCCAACACCCTAAAGTGGGTGACCCTCAGTCAACCACTAACAACCATTAACCATTAGCCAACCATTAACAATGAAAAGCAACCTTCTGCATCTGTGAAGTGAGAATAGTCAGATCTCCTCCCCTCACAAGGCGGTTCAGAGAATTAAATGTGGTAAGAGATGTGAGGGACTCTTGCGGCCCTGTTCGAAGGCTTTCCCTCTGCTTTGGCTCTGTTCTAGAGCATTTCTGGAGGCAGAGATCTCTGGGGGCTGGCAATGGGGCTGCTTCTGCAGTCTGAACGCTGGGTCAGGGATTCGGAAGTAGATCACCTGATGGACATCATTCATCTGCAAACGCATTCATTCAGCATGTCTAGGAAAGACAGTTCTGAGATGGCAAAGGAAGACCAGGCGTCCTCACCACTCTCAGAGGTGTATCTCAGGTCCTGGAGCGCGGCCACCGCTGCCTGTGTCCCTTGAACGTCTTCTTCGGCCTCTGTGATGTGGAGATACTGGGTGGAGGGCTCCTCAGGAGCTTCTGTTGCTGTCTAAATAAAAACATAGTACCTAAGTCATCTCCTAAAAGATTGACTGTTGCCCAGAAGTTCCAAGATAACATACTAAGATAGAACAAACGCATATAAGAAAGCAATACATTGCAACATCTCATTTACCTGGCACCCCTGAGAAACCAGTTGCTCCCATACACTTCTCAAAGAGAAAATTTCTCTGTGAGGATCAAGACCTTTAAAAACTAGCTTTGGTAAAAAGCCCCTGCTGTACATTTTTGTGGTGGGAAACAGAGTATGTATGCTGTTCACAATTAGAGATTTGACCAGTTCAGATATTCTTGCATACACTTAGATTCTAACGGCTCCTCTGTTTCCTCCCACTGCTACCAACATCACTTCTAATCTGTGCCTTACCCTGGGGACTGGGTGCCATGTGGCCAACAGAGGAAGGGGCACAGCCATGGGGCAGCTGACGGTGGAAGGGGTAGGGTGGGTGATTACACAGAGGAAGGGGCACAGCCACAGGGCAGCTGATGGTGGAAGGGAGAGGACCTGTGATTACACAGCACGTGGAGAGCACAGGTCCCAGGTCCCAGCAGAGTAAGAGTTCAGAAAATCTTAGCTATTTGTGCTTTTTTTTTTTTTTTTTTGAGACAGAGTCTCGCTCTGTCACCCAGGCTGGAGCGCGGTGGCGCGATCTCAGCTCACTGCAATCTCTGCCCGCCAGGTTCAAGCGATTCTCCTGCCTCAGCCTCCCGAGTGCCTGGGATTACAGGCACGCACCACCACACCTAGCTAATTTTTGTATTTTTAGTATTTTTAGTTTCACCATGTTGGCCAGGATGGTCTCGATCTCCTGAGCCTCCCAAAGTGTTGGGATTACAGGTGTGAGCCACCACGCTCGGCTGTGCCATTCTTATTCGAACATGAAAGTGTAAGAAATAAAACTGACTACAAGAAATATATTTGCACAAAATCAGGACTTGCGAGGGTAGGAGGAGTTAAAGTGGCATTCACAGGTACCTCGTGCCTCAAAGAGAGAAGAGGTGGAACAGAATTTTTACAGAACTAGATGTTAATAATTATCTCTTTCTGGAAGGGGCAGAGAGTGCAAGCAAAACTGTAAGGCTGGATGCATGAATGTCACCAATCAAGAAGAACAAAAAGAAGGACTTCAGACAAAATCTACAGGTGCCAAGTTATGCTCTATAAGCATATATCAGTAAATGACATAGAGGTTCAGAATAGCATATAATATTCCTTCACAGCCAACTGGCCAAGTCCATTTAGGTGTTTCCATCCTGACATATAGTAGTCACCCAAAAAATATTCAATGAATGCATAAATGAACAAAAAGAAGAACATTTTGTTCTCAGTACCATGAGGCAACAGATTAGCCGACAGTAGATCCAGGCAATGCCTGAGCCCGTGAAAGGACAGGATGCAACCTGAAAGGTTCCTCCTCATTCTGGGGAAAGCATGTCATAGTTGCTGTCAGGAAGGCTGGTACTCGTTGCAAGGCATTCCTGGGAGCCAGGTGACACACACATTGCTGGAAGAGGTGGCTTGTTACTCCACTGGTGACCACTTCATGGCAGCTTCCTGGCTGTTCACCATCTCATGGAGATGAGTATGGAGTCAACTACCCAGTCTTATGTCAACTATTTCTGTTGGGTTCACGGCTCTGCATAAAGTGCTAGCATCAGCTGGAAGCGAGGCTTTACTGCATGCTTTTATAAAAGCACCGACTGACAAGATAGATTGAGTTTTACATCAGTAATTGACACTCGAGTGTCTATTTTGTTAATGAAGAGTAAATTCTTCCAGTATGTACTAATACTTGAAACACTAGGTGACTAATTGTTTTTGCATAGATGAAGATGTAAAAGTGATCATCATCAACATCCGCAATAATCATAGCAGCTGCCATTTTTGAGGGCCTCCAGGGGCTCATTCAGGCCTCAGCATTTTACAAATGGTTTCTCTCAGTGCTTCTGAGCTCTCAGGGATTATCAGCCTACTGTACAGAGCAGAACACTGAGCCATGAGGGTTAAAAAATGGCTCAAGGGCAAGCAGTTTATAGGTGACAGAGGATTCAAAGTTAAGTCTGTCAGACTCCAAAACTCTTACTTTTTAAAAGAATGTTTATAAAAAAATTTTCAATACACAAGAGCAGAGAGACGGGTCTAATAAACCTCCATGTGTCCATTAACCAACTTCAGCAATTATCAATCATGGCAAGTCTTTCCTTTTTTAATTATACTCTAAGTTCTGGGGTACATGTGCAGAACATGCAGGTTTGTTACATAAGTATACACGTGCCATGGTGGTTTGCTGCACCCATCAACTCGTCATCTACATTAGGTATTTCTCCTAATGCTATCCCTCCCCTAGCCCTCCACCCCCAACAGGCCCTGGTGTGTGACGTTCCCCTCCCTGTGTCCATGTGTTCTCATTGTTCAACTCCCATTTATGAGTGAGAACATGTAGTGTTTGGTTTTCTGTTCCTGTGTTAGTTTGCTGAGAATGATGGTTTTCAGCTTCATCCATGTGCCTGCAAAGGACATGAACTCATCTTTTTTATGGCTGCATAGTATTCCATGGTGTATGTGTACTGAATTTTCTTTATGCAGTCTATCATTGATGGGCATTTGGGTTGGTTCCAAGTCTTTGCTATTGTGAATAGTGCTGCAATAAACATACGTGTGTGCATGTGTCCTTATAGTAGAATGATTTATAATCCTTTGGGTATATGCCCAGTAATGGGATTGCTGGGTCAAATGGTATTTCTGGTTCTAGATCCTTGAGGAATCACCACACCGTCTTCCACGACGGGCAAACTAATTTACATTCCCACCAACAGTGTAAAAGCATTCCTATTTCTCCACATCCTCTCCACCATCTGTTGTTTCCTGACTTTTTAATGATCACCATTCTAACTGGCGTGAGATGGTATCTCATTGTGGTTTTGATTTGCATTTCTCTGATGGCCAGTGATGATGAGCTTTTTTTCATATGTTTGTTGGCTGCATAAATGTCTTCTTTTGAGAAGTATCTGTTCATATTCTTTGCCCACTTTTTGATGGGGTTGTTTTTTTCTTGTAAATTTGTTTAAGTTCCTTGTAGATTCTGGATATTAGCCCTTTGTCAGATGGATAGATTGCAAAAATTTTCTCCCATTCTGTAGGTTGAATCATGGCCAGACTTTCTTGGACTATGTTTCCATGTACTCCATGCCCTGCCCCAGGATTATTCTGAAGCAAATCCTGAAATCATTATTTGCCCCATAAATATTTCATACTGTCTCTCTAAAAAATAAAACTCATCCAAAAAAGAACTACAATGCTCCTGTCACACTCAAAAACTTTACAATAAATCCTTAACATCATCAATGGTCTAGACAATGTTTAAATTTCCCCAATTACCTCACTTTTTAGGTTTGTTCAAATCAAATCTAAATGAGGTTCACACATTAGAACTGATTAATATGTCTCATAAGACTTAAAATCCATATGCTCTCCCTCCATTTCTGGCTTTTCTCCCCTTGTAGTTTATTTGTTGAAGACAGCAGGGTGTTTGCCTTAGAGAGCTGTCAGCAATCTAAGTTTCGCTGATTGCATCACCATGGAATTGACCAATGTTCCTCCATCCATGGTGTTTTCTGTAAATTGGTCACTGGATACAAATACAAAAGCTTAATTAGATTCAGATTCCTTTTTGCAAAGAATGCTTCATGGGTTATATTGGGCAGTTCTTTCAGGAGACACGCTTTGGATGGTGGTCTCTTTTATGTAATGTTAGCAGTAACTGATGATCATTGCTAAACCCATGACATCATTAGAAGGTTGCAACATGGTAATATTCTAATTTTTCATGTGTTAGTTGAAATATTTCAAAAGAAAAAACTTCCCCTCATCGAATGTTTGGTTATGTTTACATAGGGTTTTGTTTTGTTCTGTTTTGTTTTGTTTTTAAAGGTAGAATAGGGCTGGGTATGGTGGCTCACACTTGTATTCCCAGCACTTCGGGAAGCCAGGGTGGGAAGATTGCTTGAGGCCAGGAGTTTGAGACCAGCCTAGGCAACAAAGAGAAATCCTGTCTCTATTTTTAAAAAATTTCAAAAAATTATAGTGCTTGCCTATAATCCTATCTACTTGGAAGATAGTAGATAGGACTATCTACTGTCTCCTGAGGTAAGAGAATTGCTTGAGCCCAGGAGTTCCAGGTTGCAGTGAGCTATGAAGGGAGGCTCCATGGCATGCCGGCCTGGGTAGCCAGACCCTATCTCTCAAAAAAAACTAAAAAATAAAGGTAGAACAATGGCTTGATTCTTGGTCTTAATTTACCAATTTTCAAAATAAAGAGTTGATTCTCTAACATTCTACAAAGGTGACTGAATTGTTTTTTCCAAATATCATTATAAACTTACAGAATTAAACATATTTTATGTGTTTCGCTGTCATTATTAAACACTAGTAACAGCCTCAGAATCACAATATTGTCCTTACTACCAACAATACTTGATAACTGCAGTTTTTGCAGTTTGTTTTGCCCTTAGGTTACATCCCAATCAAATAACTGTTTTGAAGTCTCTTGAAATTGTTCCTCTCCACGTAGTCACCAATTTGATATACAGTTAGAATAATTTATTTCATTTTACTCACAATGTTTAAGACTTGCTTTTTAAGTTTAATTTTGTTATTATTATATAAAATACTTTTACAATATTTTATATATAATCAGAGTCAAATCTACACAGCAGGGTATTTTGAGAAATTTAGCTTCTCCCCATCCCTTCCATCTTGCTCTCTGTCTCCTTTCCCTACATATAATGACCCCATTTCTTATCTTTTGTAACTGCTTTACTTTGAAAATAATTTTAGACTTACACAAGACTTCCAAAGATGTAAAGTGCTGCAACAGAGAGTTCCTGGAGACCCTTTACCCAGCCTCCCCTAATCTTAACATCTTTCGTAATCATGGCGCAATGATCAAAACAAGAAATTAACATTTGGATACTATTACTAATTAAACAATAGGCTTTCTCCAGATTCCTCCGGTTTTCTCATTAATGTTCTTTCTCTGTTTCAGGATCCAATTCTGCATCCCACAGCACATTTAGCCATCATGCCTCCGTTGTCTCCTCCTGGCTGTGAAAGTTCCTCAGACTTTCCATATCTTTCATGACCTTGACGCTTTTGAGGAGTACAGATGAGGTATTTGACCACACCCATCATTTGGATTTGTCCAATGGTTTCTGATAATTAGGCTGAGGTTGAAGATTTCAGTTAAGAATACCATGAGATGAAGTGTCTTCTCATCTGATCACATGGTATCAGGTCACACATGATGTCAGCATGCTTCATTACTGATGATGCCAACCTCTACTGCTTGGTGAAGGTGGTACCTCCACCATAAAGTTCCTATTTTTGCCTTCTGTAATTAACAAATATTTGGAAGGAGATATTCAGAGTTTATGTGAATATCTCATTTCTCCTTAAACTTTTGCCTACTAACTTTAGCACTCATTAACGGATCTCATCTGCTATGATTGTTCCTGTGGTATTCTAATAGTAACTTTCTATTTCCCTCATTCCTTCTACATTTATTAATCATTATTTTTTGGAGGAAATGCATAGTTCCTTCTCCCACATTTATTTATTCAATCATTTATTTATGTCAGTATGGACACAGTGTCCCAGTGAAACTTTGGGATGGTTTCCTAACAGTTGGATTATTGAATTAATGGATAAAGAAATGCAAATGTAATTTTGTTACATATTGCTATTCTCTTCATAAGGCTGGGCCATTTTACATTCCCACCAGCAACGTATGAGAGCAGATTTCCCCACAGCTTTTCCAGCAGAGATAATGTCAAACTTTTGGATCTCTGTCAAGCTAGTAGGTGAGAAATTCCATCCAGGGCTAATTTTAATGAAAATTTCTTTCCTTACATGTGAGGCTGATCATGTTTTCAGATATTCGATGTTATTTACATTTTCTTTTCCCTGAACCTTTCTTATCTCTTGTCCATTTTTCTAAAGGGTTGATCTTTCTCATCACTATTTTTATAGGCCTTTTATAAAGATATTAATTTTTTCTATATAAAAAAATATTTTTATCATTTATCTTTTTACTTATTTATGAGCTCTCAGTTTATAGATGAATTCAATTATGCTTTCTTCTAGTATTTGTAAAATATTACTGTTTCTATATTTAAATATCTGATCCTTTTGAAATTTTTCTCATATAACTTTATATGTTATAGTAAACAGATTCAATTTTATCTTTTTTCAGATAGCTATTTAGCTATCCTGTGTCACTTATCAAAAAGCCCACCTTTCTCCTACCAACTTGAGACACCATCTTTATCATATACTAAATTTCCATATGTCATTGGGTCTATTCTAAATTTTCTGTTCGATTCCATTAAACCATCTGTTCATGCACACTTAGAGAGATTTCATAATATGTTTTAATATCTGGTAGGATTCTCCTCTTATGGTTGTTATTCCCAAGGGTTTCCTAGTTAATTGTACTTACTCTTCCAAATGAACTTTAGAAATCAACTTGATTAGCTCCAGAAAAAATCTAATGGTATTTAGATTACATGTAATATGTAATAGATCATATTACCTTGATAAATTATTGTATAAATTACTTTCAGGGGAATTAACATCTTTATGATATTGAGTATTCCCATTAATTTCCTCAACTCTAGGTTTATGTCTCTTTCAGAAGTGTTTTATAGTCTCCCATATTTACATTTTGGGCATTTTTTATAAGGTTTATGCCTAGATTTATCTTGGTTTTGTTTCCTGTATCAAATGGGGGTTTTGTTTCCATTGTAACTGATTTTATGTATGTATATATGTGTGCATATATTAGCATATACATATTCTTATATTTACACATATGTGTATACACATTCATATGTGCAGGTGTACATGTATCTACAACTAACTGTTGTATGTTGATATTTTAATCTGCTGCTTTTTGTTTGTATTAGCTTTTCATTCATTCTTTTGGATTTTCTGAAAATATCATCCTATTATATGTATAGAGAGATACTTTTTATTTCTTTCCTTCCAGTTCTAGGTCTCCATCTGCTTTGTCTGGTCTAGCCACACTCACTGATGCCTCCACATGCTGTTAAAGAACAGCAGAGCCACCGGGCACTCTTGTCTGCTTCTGACTTCTGTGGAAACACTCTAGTGTTTCCCAGTGAAGTAAGATGCTGGTGTTTGGATGACACACATTTTTTTTTTTATCTTAAGGATGTATCCATCAAATTCTATTTACTCTTTTTCATCAGTGAACACTGAATTTTGTCAAATGTCTTTTCTGCATCTATGAAGGTGACTGTTTCATATTATAATGGATGTTAACATGTTACCTTTCCAAGAGACCACTTGTGCCTTGCATTCCAGAATAATCCCCACAATGTCATGATGTATTATTTTTTTCATATGTTGTGGATTCTGTTTAAAAAGCCTTCTCCCAACCACTGGATGCTCTGTAAAGTCCTTAGATAAAGTGAGGGTGATTTTTACCCCCAGGAAACACTGAACATTGGTAATGTCTGGAGACATTTTTGGGTATCTCAACAGGGGATGGGGTTGGGGGGATGATGCTACTAGTAACTTAGTGGGAAGAGGCCAGAAATGCAGCTAAACAGCCTGTAGGGCACAGGACAGCCCTCCACAACAAAGGATTGTCCAGATCAAAATGTCGACAGTGCTGAGTCTGAGAAACCCTGCCTTAGATAACTGCAATTAGTCCGTGGTGGCAATACCTAGTATCTGAAAAGAGAGATGGTTACTGGCTCTTATAATAAAGGCGTGTTTTCAGCAGGTGACTGGTTCCAACTCCTAAGGGAAAAAAAACAAAAAAGCAGCTAGGAGCATGAGCTCTCCACAGAAAGAGAGCAGGGCCTAGATTCAGGAAACAGAGCCTTTTCCAATTCTCTCGGTGAGGATGGCAATACAATAGAATCCTTGCCTTCCATTCTTTCAGATGCAACATCTGAAACTCTGGATTTGTGAATAACATAAGTAAAAGTGTCAAGGAGGTCAACACAAACTTTCACAAGAGAGTCTAAATTCAACCCAGAATAAGAATTCACAGGCTTGGCCCAGATCTTAACCCAGTTATACCCCTCAGACGCGAGACATCATTTGAAAACGTTTCAGAAGTTCCCCAAACAGAAAATCTAATGTTCTGAGGAATGATTGTCCGTGCCCAGTATTTGGGTTTGCCTGGTTTGTCATCTGTGTTTTGAAATGTCAAGATTAATACCATACTTAAAAAAATTACCTCCCACTTGGGGTCTCCATCAATTTCCACCACCTTCAAGCCATGTTTGTTCTTCAAGTGCCTATTGAACTCCCATTTGGTGCCATATACAAAGCTGCAAACAGGACACTTCAAACCACCTGAAAGCACAGACAGAGGTTAAAAAAAAAATGTGTTCGTAATACAGAAAAATGCAACAGTTCCTCCTCCTGTTCAAATGCTTCAAATCTAGTAAGTATTATTTTGTCTCCAGCACTTGTATTCAATTCAAGCTTACCTTAGTATTGGAACACAATAGCAACAGTATATGTTTTTTCAAGGCAGAGATTTTAAAACTTCATGTACTTTTTTTATTTGTTGAATAAGCTTTTGTAGACAGCCCAATATGTGCCCAACAGTTTAAATGGCAGAGAGAACTAAGATAAGTAACATAATTCCCTTGGCCAGTGGGTAAGTGGCTTAAATCATTCTTTCATTTTTCACTTGTAAGTAACAAATAATTTAGAAAACGAGAACAATGGAAAGGGAGTGTCTGCTTTTCTTAATCTCCTTTGTCCCAAAACACTAAGACCAGGAGCCTGATTCTCAGTCTCCTTCACGTCAGAAGCTAAGTCATTAGCATAAATTCCCATGCAAATTACCCAGTAAAGAACAAATTTAAAAGCTGGTCACATCCTGAAACGTCATTATTTATTGAACTGATTAAATTTTGCACACGTTCCAGGAAGTGTTTAGATGCTTTAATTAAGAGAATGTACAACTCTAGGTTTAAAAAAAAAAACAAAAACTGGAGAGTCACACAAAAGAATATCTTTCTACAATTATACAGAAGCAGCAACTAAACTGCAGCCTGTACAAAAGTCTCTTTGAACAGATTGTGCCTTCAGAAGCAAACTCCAGTCTCAGGAGACTAAGGGTAGTGCTGGTGCCAGGCCTCTAGTCTACTGGCCTGAGCCAGGCTGATGCTGGCACCACCGGGCCGCCACCCTGAGCTGGGCCAGGGGAATGAGCCCTCTCACCAACATCCCCAACACCACAGCTGTCTGGAACTGTGAGCTACCCGATTCCAGCAGGTCATTCCCTAGTCGCAAACTCTGGCTTCCCATCCTTCTCTGCCATGTCTTCTCTGTGGTCCACATGGTCTCTCCTCTATGCCAGTGCTTCCGCAGCATCCTGGAATCTCAGACCTTCTGGCCAACAAAATCCCCAACATTCACCTTGCCAGAGAGCGTGTTCTTTCCCTGTCTTTCTTTGACCACACTCTCCGCTAAGTCCTCCCAAGTGGAGGCTGCTCATGCTCTTGAGCCCCAGGTAAGGAGGATGCCAGGCCCGGGCAGGGCAGCAATGCCACCTCCACGGTAGAGCAGGAGCATTTCCCCATCCTGTCCCTGCTACCCACAGTGCCAGATCCATCAGACAATTTGGCACCTGGCCCTCTCCACTTAAATACTGTAACATCCATTGACTTTAAGGCCAATAACCTTCCCCACCATTTCACAATCTGTGGAGTTTCATTCAGTCACCCATATGATTATTCAGCACCACCCATGGGGCTAAATCCAAGCATCCCACTCTGACGACTATCGGCCCTCGGGCCATCTCTTACTTTCACTATCATTATTCTTCAATTTCTGGAGAATCTTCAGTTTGCATCCCCTCCCATTTTCTCTCAGCCTACCCCTAACTATGCTCCCCTCTCCAAAGAGCACACTCCAGAGCCCAAAACTTACAACTTTTATTGGCAAAGCCCTCCACGTCCTCAGCTACTTCTCTTTCTCTCAAACCTGCCTGGCAAATCCACAGCCCAGCATCAATCCAAGCCCCAGCCCTCCTTGCTCTGACCCTGGGATGCTGAGACAAATCACAAAGCCATTATTTATTCTTATGGCCACACTTCCAACCTCAAGTATTTCCCTAGTCAACTCTGTCCAATTATCCAGAAGAAGAACTGCAATTCTCCATCCATCTCATTAAGTCCCCTATACTATTGTCGACTTCCTCTTTCAATCTCAGCCTCAGTTCTTGTCTCCTGCTTCACAATGAGAATATCAGGTAAGAACTTTCCAGACCTTCCTGTACTATACAATTCTGTCCCTCTGCTCCTGCCTATGCCTGGCCTGACACCAGTTGTGGGTGAGAGTTCCCCTCCGCCTTCCAAGACCCCTTTCTCCTCTTTCTAGAGCACTGATCCTCAGCCCTGTTAGACTCAATGCCCCTTTCTACAACAAGCAGTTTAAGATTCCTCCATCATCCTGAAGTTTTTTAAAAGCCCCTCAAGTTTTGAAACCCTGCATGGGTGCAAGTACCACTCCACTGAACACTCTGTTCCTCCAGCCTCCACACCTTTATGCTTTCCCTGTCCCACGGCTGGGTGGCTGGGCCCTCCTACTCTGTCCCGTGTCGCCTAGGCTCGGTATCCAGACATTCTTCAGGCTCTTCCTCCTGCCCAGGACATATATTATCCACAAACTAATGACTTTCCTATTTGTAGCTCCAGCCCAGACTCCTGCCCCAAACTCCAGCCTGGGATGCCTCCCCACAGGTAGACAGGACTGTGCATCCCAGTGTCTCCCACGCCTCCTGGCCAGGCCACTGCAGTCTTCTGCATAGATGGGAGCAACCAGCTCCTAAGTGCTCTCTCAGCAGCTATTGTCTATCCTCCACTGTTGGTCCACTTCCCACCCAGCACACAACATGGTCTTTCGAAAACACAGACTAGATCACAGTCTCAGAGGTATAAACCCTTCCAATGGTCTTCTGTCTCACCTACAATAAAATCCTGACTCCTCCCTGTGGCTGGCAAGTCCCGCCTCCCTCCCTCTCGCCTTCATTCTCTCCCTTCTCTGTCTTTTGCACTGACCAAGTTCATTCCCTTCCTGGGATAACTGCTGTGCCTCCTGGTTCACAAACTCTTCCCCAAGATCTCCATTTGACCTTCTCCTCATCTTTAAGCACCACCTCTTCAGAAAGGCCTTCCTGGGACTCCTAGAGAAAGCAGCCCCACCAAACACATAGAGCCATCAAAACTCTCTAATGGATTTCCCTACTTTCAGTCTGACATTGTATTATTATCTTTCCTACACATCTTCATTGTCCTTTCTCCCTTCTAAAGTGGCACCTTCCTAGAGCGGGAACTTCAGGGGCATCATCCACTTATTCTCTGTTCAAGTCCCAGCACCCGGCATCTAGCTTCTCCTCAATCACTCTGTCTTGCGTCACTGACTCTGGGTCTTGGCAAGTCCTCTTCTTTCTTGAGCTCCTTCTCCAACCATCCCCCTGCTCTCCTTGGACTTCTGCACCTCCCCTCTGTACACATCTGTCCCCTCACCAAATAAGTGTGTTCAGTGTTATCCGAGGGCCTGCCTTGGTGCCGGTCTATCTTCCCCTTTCCTTCACAGCCAGGATTCTGTGGAGTCTCCACTTCCAAGAACTCACTAGAAAGAGGTGCTGTTAGTGATGCTCTGGGGTGGACAACAGGCTGGGATGCAAGTGGAGGAGGCCAGCATTCACATCTCCTCCATCTTTCAAATTTTATTCCATGGGAGAGTAACTGCCCTATTCAAAATAATTACTGAAATTAAGATTATAAATTTAAACTAGAAAAATAATATGAATTCTTCACTTCCCTGTCTCTCTTCATTACTTAGGCCAGTGGTTCTAAACTATGGACAATTTTCCTCCCAGACAGGCAATGTATGGAGGAACTTTTGGTTGGCACAACTGGGGGGTGCCCAGGGCATCCAGTGGGTAGAGGCCAGGGATGCTGCTACATACCCTACAACACACAGGACAGCCCCCAAAACAAACACTGGCCTGGCCCCGATTGTAAGCAGTACTGAGGTTGAGAAGCCCTGCCTCACACCATAGCATGCTGCTTCCTGCACTCAGTCCTCTCCTGGTATTGCACATGTCAGGATCAGCTAACATCCTCATTGGTTAATCCAATGAATACTCTTCACTCTTTATCTTACCACTAGTACCACCACCAACACTACTAATAGCAATAACAACATATGTCTTCCACTAACTGGGCAGTTACCATGCATCAGGCACCTCATACATCAAGTCATGGTTTCTTCACAACAGCGCAATGACACAGGCATGCTTAGCTTGTTTTATACAGAGGCTTGGGATGGTGAAGTAACCCTACTGAGGTCACACTGGCAAAGTTAAGAACTGAATCTAAGTCTAACACACATCCTTAACCCCAGCCTTTGCTATTGTCCACTGTGACTTCTCTGCATTATATGGCGATGCTGACCACATTCTCCAGTCAAGATCTAGTTTTTCAGGGCTTCTGTGACACCACTCACTCCTGGTTCTTCTACCAAGCACCTCTCCAACTCAAATCCCTGTACAGCCTTCTCATCCTCTGTGTGGAGTCCTAAAGCCTCACAAACAGTCCCCTCTATATCTCTGATATGCAGGTCCAGTGATGTCCCAAAGTATCCCACCTCCCCAATATACATGTGAGCTGAACAAACCACTAAGATGCTTATACTTAGGCAACGAAAGAGCTGAGCTGACCACTGAGTGTATCTCAGGCTGCTATGTTTATGTATTGCTCATTAGGGTACTCGGGAAGAAATGGAGGAATTCTGTCCTGATATCAAGGTTGTCTGGACAAATTATACCAGATAAACCTCACGGGGATGTGGCCCACATTTAGTCATCTCCCAGATGCAGTTTTGATGCGCTCAATCTCCAAATCAATTCCGTGTCAGTGGAATCAAGACAGAGCAGTGTTCTATTATTGGGGTTTCTGTTCTATCAGCTGAGGTTGTGGGTAATTTTCCAAAGAGTCACTAGTACAGAGGCCAACCTGCCAGCCACATGCAGCCCCAGCACCTCCGCCCACTGCTTCCTGGCCCCAACCCTGGTGGAGGCAGAGGAGGGCACCGAGGCAGAAGGCGCCCGCTGTCAGCAGAAAGACTGGCAACAAACACTAAATTCTTAAATTCTAGAATATTCTGCTGAAAAGACAGCTCAGATGGATGTTTATTTTCTGAAAGTCAAACATACTGTGCTGTTTTTTAGGCAAAAACAAATGAGCTTCTTTCTTGCCCAGAGGATAAACTTCATTTTTAACTTCCTTTGTTATTGCTTTTTTAAATCAGATAAAATCATGTCTTTTCCTTCAATCACCTTTTAAAAACCTCCAAGTTATGAAGACCTCCACTTTTTGTTGTTGTTGTTGTTGTTAAGCTGATGTTGCTTCTCCTATAAAGACTTAATATGTGATGATGAACAAAGGCAAACTTTTAAAGGTTAAACTTAGGCTTTAAAATGAAATTAAAGGTTCCTTCTGGGATATTCTTTAGTGGAAACTAATTCAGAGAGGAAAACATTCTTATATTATATTTAAATTAAACTTAATATGATAATGCCCCCACATTAATTAAAACTTCAGCCTTTGCCACAGTGACTTTAATTAAAGAACAACAAATGAAAATATGTAATCTAGACTGAATGTATAACTATGCCAGTTAATTGACATCAAAGCTGAGAGAAATTAATTTCTATTTGGATTCATTAAATTCTTAGGCAATGCACAGTAAAGGTCAACGGAAGACTTGGTGAATTTACTCATGGCACTGATATTAAGTGCACACCATAAAAACCAGGAGTCCTCAAATCACAATTTCCTCCCACGGACTGATTAATCAGGTGAAAATATAGAATTTCAAGAGAAATTTAAAAAAACTGATGATGGTACGCTTTGCTCTTTTTGGAATGCAATATATTCTGGAGCAGTTTCAGGCATTAAAATATCTCTGCTCCTTTGTGGTGCTTGACGTTATTGAAAATTCAATTTCATTTTCAATAATATAACTCCCAGAATGGCATACAACACTGGGTTGGGCAGTCACAAGACCTGAATCTGGCACTTGCTCAGGTAAGCCAAAGCTTCCTGAAACTCTTGGGTCTTGGTTTTCTCTTCTATGAAGGTGAAGATGCTAAAGTTCATATTCTTTTTTTTTATTTTTTATTTTTTTTTGAGATGAGCCACTGCAATAAAGTTCCTATTCTTAAAAAAGGCACTGAGTACAGTAGGCAGAATAATGAGTCCCTGAAGACAGCCACATCCTAATCCCCAGAACATGTGAACATGTTACCTTACATGGCAAAAACGATGTGATTCAGTTCAGGATCTTGAGAGGGGGAGGTCATTCTGGTTTCTCCGAGTGGGCCTAATGCTATCACAGGGGTCATTATAAGAAGAAGGCAGGAGAGGGCACAGAGATGCAATCTGAGAGAAGCTCCACTGGCCATTTCTGGCTTTGAAGGTGGAGAAGGGGGTCACAGGGCAAGGAATGTAGGTAGCCTCTAGAGGCTAGAAAAGGCCAGGAAAGGGATTCTCCCCTAGAGTCTCCAGAAGGAATATTTGTTAGCACTTTGATGTTAACTTGGTGAGACTCATTTTGGACTTCTGGCCTTCAGAACTAAGATAATAAAACTGTGTTGTTTTAATCCACCACGAAGTGTGTGGTGACTTGTTACAGTAGCTACAGGCAACTAACACAGGCACTGACAGATACGAATACGGATAAGGACAAGGAACAAAAGCAGGTAAATTATCCAAGGAAAGTGGATATGGAAAAATTGTATTAGATTAACAAGTGAATATGGAATAGAATTTTGCTGACATTTGCACTTCCTACTGTCTCTTAACTCAGTGTCTGTCCTAGGCCCAGCCAGGGCCCCAGTTCAGAGCTAGGAAGTGCTTAAGGGTAGAAATTAACCGGAAGTCACATGCAAGCACTGAGGTGGAGGGTTCCTGGTGACATGGCATGCAATATTAGATCCTACCTGGGACTATCTGAATCCTATTTAAATCCCAGCCCCTCTTCCCACAGGATCCTCAAGAAAAAGAGCAAAAGGGAAAATGCAGCAGAGGAAACAAAGTGCATTTTATTATCAGCCAAGCTGATATCCCAAACCCAATAAGAAACACTTGGCAGAGGAGCATAAGCAAGGTCTTCCCATCCGCCCCCTCCCCTCACATACGCCCCCAAATCTTGGGATCTGAGACACTCTGGATTACCATAGGGAAGGACTTGCAAAGAAATAGGTTTCAGAGTCAGTCTTGGGTCAGATTAGCAATTAGCCTCGGGGATGAAGAAATAAGAGAAAATAAACAGTATCCATGTGTGTGACTTTTCCACCAACTACCAGCAAATGTGGCCCAATTGCTTAAGAGATGACCACGCCTCTTCCTTCTCCTCCTCTTTCTCCTCCTCCTCTCTAATAAGTGCAAACATCTACAAACTTTAGGGGACATCAAACATGGGAGTGGCAAAGGCACAGACGTTGAATCAGGAGACTGAGTTTGGCTTGGCCACTTGCTTGCTTGGTGTGACCTGAGGTCAGTCATTAGCACTCCCTTCATTTCTTTATTTCACAATAGGAACGATTATGCCAAGCTCACAGGGCCATTGTGAGAGATAAATTAACACATAAAATAACAATCAATAACACAGCATTATATCACATCACTAGAAGCATGTGCCAAGAACTTATTGAATCTGGGCCCTAATAAAAACAATTTTAAAATTAAGATGTCTAAAAATCAAATACATCACCTGTGGGTTACCTCACAGTTTCTGGATTTCCTGCTATGCTATTTTCCCTGAATCTGGTGTAAAAAACTAATACACAAATATACATCCAAGGTACACATGCATACATATTTACATTTTTCTAATATAGCACTTCAAAGTAACATAAAGATTCTAGCAGACGCCAAATACTAAGACGTCTCCTTGACACTTCTCCTCTTATTGCTTCCTCTTCCTCCAGTTACCCACCCTTACACTTCAATGACTCTAAAACTGGGGGACACAGCCCTCTGGGAGAAGCAGCTAACTCCGCTCCAGGGCACAGCTGAAGGGGATGTATTCCTTCTGCTGTAATTAGAATACAGAGCTTTGGCGGGAGCTGCCTAGCCCTGGTCCGCAACCTGGGCAGGAATAACAATAATACCACCAACGACTGCCTTGTTTGACACCAAGTCCCAGTGCCTAGCATGGTTCCAGGCACACTGTAGGCGCTTGAGAGATACATGCTCAAAGTAGAAATATGCAGATAAATGTAATAGTGGATTTGAGCCATTCATCAAGAACTTACTGTCGGCACTCTCTGGGAATCTTAGAGAATGATATCTAATCTTTGCAACTGCTGTGGAGGTAGGTTATGAGCCTTCCTCTTTGGTGGTATATAAACCAAGATTCAGAGAGGTTAAGTACCTGGTCCAAGGTCCACAGTGATCAAAAATCCCGGCCCAGGTCCATCTGACTCCCAAGCGTGTGGTCATTCCAATAACCTAGAGAGACTTGAGGGAGGGCTTGGAAGCCACTGGAAAGCCCACTAAACCCCATCCTCACCCTGCTACATGCTCTAGGAGTGAGCAAAAGATTCATAAAGCTTAGCACCAAAGTATCTGATGCCTCTCACAGCCTGTGATTTACTGAACCAGTTCTTGAGCTAGCTTAATCAGGTGTATTTTAAGGGGAGGAAAGGGGCAGGCCCACTGAAGCAATACAAGTATTTCTTCCTTAAACAGCATGAAACGTGCATTTGTGTGGGAGAATGCTTCAAATCCATATTAATGAAGAAGTGATGGCTAAGAGGAATCTGTCTTCAAAGCATCAGATGCACATAAAATATAAGCCAGGAGTATAATATTTACATAGTGCTCAGTACTACCTTAATTACTACAAAGTATCAGAGTACTGAGGGATCAGTACATCCAGACAGGCCCTGGTGGCAGACACCTGGCAATGTCACCCAGTGCCCTCAGGGTGAAAGGTACGTGGGAACCAAGATACGCAAGCTCATAAGCCAAATGTGCACATGTCCCCGCTCCACGTTGAGGGACATCATGTGAGCAGCTTAAACTTGGCCATGGTAGAAGTATTTACACTACAGAAATTGGCAAATTCTACAAGTCATGTTTCCCCTCCCTCCTACTTGGGAAGAGCCTTAGCAGCCACTCTTCCCAGCAAGCTTTGGGAACACACTGTAAACCACCCAAACTCCATGGAGAATGCCATAGTACCTTCCCTTAGAAACCCACACAGAACAGAAGTATCTGATGTGGGAACCCTCAGCTCCTTTTAGGCCATTTTCCTGACCTCCTCTGCAGCACTGTGCACTGAACCCCTCCCTGGAATCCCAGGATCCCTGTGGCATAGCAGGCAGGAGGGTCTTTCCTAGGAATCAATAGCTTTGCACATGTCACAGTGTGACACTGTTTAACACAGCTGATACACAAGGAATCCCTGCACATGGTTTAAAGGAGACTGTAAAATCCTTTTGAGAAAAATACATGTTATTTGTGTTTTTTATGATGTTATTTTAAGACATCTTCCTCTATATCAAAACATGAAATTATAAAGTCTCATGAAGATATTTTTGGGGGAGTAGAAGAGGAAAATAAAACCAAATAGGGATGGAGAGAGTTACTTGAAATTAATCAAAAGAAAATGAAAAATTCCAGTGGTTCCAAACAATTCAACATTTCCAAACAGTAATTTAATCTGGTTTCATGTTCTCCTTTCATTCTGCTCCTCTCTCCTAGACATAAGAACAATGTGAACTTTGTGCTTCTGAGATTTCAAAACTGTGTTCATACTCCACCATCCATCTGATTTCAGAGACTGTTCTCCTGCCAGAGCACAACGGCGCATGGCCTCTTAAGAGTCAAGAGATGCTGGGTTGTCTCCTTCTTCAACATGTCCCTTGAAGGGAATGGGGGGATAAACATATATACATACATATGCATACACGTACATATGCATATGCAAATGCTACATCTATATATATATGTACAGATGGCCCTCCATATCCATGGGTTCAACCAACTGCAGATTGAAAATATTCAGGAAAAATAAATAAAAAATAACAATATAAAAATAAAAAAATAATACAAATTAAAACCAAAGTATAATAACTATTCACATGGCATTTACATTGTATTAGTTATTATAAGTAATCTGGAGATGATTTAAAGTACATAGGAGGATGTGTGTAGCCTTTATCCAAACACCACGCCATTTTATATAATGGACTTGAGCCATCTGTGGATTGTGGTTATCTGCGGAGGGTCCTGGAACCAATCCCCCATGGATGCCTAGGAACAACTGTGAATATATATCTGTGTGTGTCTGTGTGTGTATCTCTGAAAGAGGAACCAAAAGCAACCCTGCAAAGATAAAATATAAAACCCCGCTCCTGTCAGGGAATGCCGACTGATTACAGAGAGTCTTAGGAAGTTAACTGGAAACTTAGGGCATGAAACAGTTCAACCTCAGCACATTTTTTCCAAGGCAATGATGAAAGTTTGGAAGCATAGGGCAATGATGGTATCATCACTCAGATCCTCACACCTGTCCCAACAGCCACAGTAAACATCTATTTCCTGGCAATCCAACCCAAGAGTGTGAAGGATGCGAAAAAGAATCCCTAACCTGCAACTCTAGTTATTTACTGGGGCTGTAAGCCAATCTATTCTCCCCTCTGTGATTCCTGGACATGGGGCATTGGCGTGGGTCATAAAAAATAATGCGATGGCTCCACAATTCCTAGATGTTCCGAAAAAAATATACAAAAGCAAGGACTGAACATGTACTGCATGCACGTGTTTTTCCATTTAATCCTCTCCACCATCGTGGAAGATGGCTGCTGTGAACTCCATTCTACAGGTGAAGAGCCTAAGAGGGAGAGCTTGGGTAACATGCCCAAGATGGCACAGCTAAGAAAGAAGAATGCAGATTGGAGCCAGAGACCTTCCCACTGCATATCCTGCTCCCCAGCTCCATAAAACTGCCATTAAGAAAACGAAGGCACATGCTCGCCGTTACCCCAGATGGATGGCTTTAAAATTATCCTGAGTTTTCTGTGCTGCTCATCTATTTCCGTGCATCAGCCCTGTCACTGAAAGTGCTGAAGGGTATAGTCAATTCATTTGTTTTACATTAAGATGCATTTCATGGCTATTACAGCGAGCGGAGCTTCACGCTGAAACAAAACTCCAAGCATCCCCAGCTGCAGCAGTCTACAATTCCACATCTCTGTTTACTGGGGGCAGATTTCTAAATCTGTCTTCAGCTTCAAATAGTCACAGGACTTAGGAAAGAAGAGCAGCTAACTGTGTGCTGCAATCATTTTTTAGCTGAAGTATTGAAGTGTAGATATAAATACAACAGAATTCACTGTATGGTAACAGCACATAAGCTAAGCCCTCTCCAGTGGGAATGTGATTATTTATTGAAATAAAACAACAAAAAACCCCACAAAGTTTTAATAATTTAAAATGAAGAGAGGTTTTCATCAATTCTCATTAGTTTAAATGTTCTAGAATGTCTTTTTTTTCTTTTCAGGATGAATAAGTAACAAGCTTACTTAATAAATATTTTTAGATATTCCAAAAAAGTTCACCTATAAATATGCCTACAATAGCATTAGTTATAACTGCAAAAAAGAAAAATCTAAAAATCCCACAATGTTCGATAACAGAATTGTTAGTGTTTCCATTTAACATTGAATTACAAAAAGCCCTTGGAAATCATAATTAGGAAGACAGTATATCAAAGAAAAACAACATGTTCCTGCTAATGTGAAGTAAAGAAAGACAACCGAACTTTCATCTCTGCGAACTTTACGCACGGACAAAGAATGGAAGGCAATGCTGACAAATCAGCATTGTGGAGGGTAGTAGAATTTGTGTGTGAATTTTTACTTCTGCTATTTTAGACTTCCACTAAGGTTGTTGTCATATTAACCAGGCAAGAAGTAATGCTGACAAACAATGATAAGGACGATGATGACAACAATTAGGACGATGAAGAATGAACATCACTGGCACATTTATGTAGCAGAACTGAACTGCAGGATGTCAGCAGCTCTTCCCAATGGGGGACTTGGCCTAAAAGGAAGCGGGCAGGGCCCCAGCTCGCTGGCCCCTCGCCTACCTTGCTGGATGAGCACCTCCGCTGCCAGCTCCCCGGTGCCCACGTTGGCATACTCCTCATTAGGGTGCTTCCTGTTGTAGTGCCGCTTCAGAGAGCCAGATATGTTGCAGGAGTAATGGCAATGGGCACAGCGGAAAGGCTGCGGGGACAATGAGGAGGGGTTAGGAAAGGTGAGCCCCAGATGTCTGCCTTCGCTGCTGCTCCCACCTGGTGAGCATCTGACACCCTGAAAGCCTGAGATGAGCAGGCCCCATCACCTGTGATATGTTCTAGGGAAAACCACTAGGGCAGGAATGCTGAGACCTGCCTCTGCAGTGACCAACCAAGGGACCGGGACAAGGTGCCCCAGAGGAGGAGCTGTCTCTACTAAGTGAATTTGCTTTTGTTACTTCTTTTCTTTTTTCATCCACCTCAGAATTTAGTTTTTGTTCAAGAAGAAGACAAAAAAAGCAATACACTAATCTATCATTTTTTTAAGTGAATGACATTAAAAGTAGCTCTCATTACAATTGGTTCCCTGATATACAGTCAGGTGTCACATAATGACATTTCACTCAACTACAGACTGCAAACACAACAGTGGTCACAGCAGTAGGTTCTACCACACAGCCTGCAAGTGCAAGTACGCTATACCTTCTACAGCTGTGTAAGTACATTCTATGATGTTCTACAACTAAGAATTTGCTTAAGGACACATTTCTCAGAACGTATCCCTGCCATTCAGTGATGCGTCACTGTATTTGCTTCTTTAGCTAAATGAATTCCTCCGCAGTATTTGCCTGCAAGCACTGGCATACACAAGTGTCAACCATCAGGGAAGTCCAGCAGGTAAAATCTATTTCTCATGCCCACCTGGTCAAGACAAGACACTTTCGGGATGAGGCCACAAACGAGTCATGCAGTCCTGCCTTTCCTCTTGCACAATGCTTCGGAGGCTGCATAAATAGTGGGGCTGGGGAAAGAAGCACCTGCTGGGCCCCTGGGGAAGCTCAGTGAGACCTGGCCTTTGGCTGGTCGACGGATGGGCATCTCCATCACTGTCAAATTCCATGCCACAGCCCCTGGTCAGGAGCTGCCAGCATGCCCCTGTAATCCACATGCTGTATGATTCCGACAGTGCTCCAGGGTCATTCAGGGCCTGTTTGATGACCCAGCAGCCTTCTAGCCCAGGAGGAGCAGAAGAGCATGGAGCAGCCACAATGGAAGCAGCACTCTGCCTGGTGCAGGGGACTCAGATGGAGCAAGTCCAGCCACACCTCTGGCCTTGACCTATGATGGAACCTCAGGCAAGTCCTGAAACTTCTCTTAGCATGGATCTTTTCATCAGGGAAATGAGGCTCATGCCCATGTCATAAGGTTGTTGTGAGAATTAAATGGTATCATATAAACTGATACCTAAAATGCCATGCAAAGTGTTTCTTATTGATTTTATCAACAATTCTATCACAATTCTTACTGTGCATCTGGAAGCTAACGTACCACTGCATCTATTAAGACCTCAAACACTACCTTTACTCCTCCACTGTCCAATTCATCAATCTTTTCACCACTGTTGCCCAGAAGAGCTAAACCAGCAACTGCAATGTCTGAATGTGAAGTGCACCAACAGAGAGAAAATGTCCTCTCATCTTTGAAGCTTAGATCAGCTCCTCTTTCAAGGTTTCTTCCCTTCAAGTATAAAACTGTGATGAAGTAGCCCCATAGAGGCAGATGGGAGAGAGGGAGAAGGAGAGGAGGAGGAAGAGGGAGAGAGAGAAGGGAGAGAGGGAGAGAGGGAAGAGAGGGAGAGAGAGGACAGGGGGAGAGAGGGAGAGAGGGAGAAAGGGAGACAAGAAGAGAGAGGAGGAGAGAGAGGGGAGACAAGGAAAGAGACGGGGAGAGGGACAGAAGGGAGAGAGAGAAAGAGAGGGAAAGGAAGAGGGGGAGAGGGAGAGAGGGAGAAAGAGAGAGAGAGAGAGAGAGAGGAGGGAGGAAAGGAAGAAAATGAAGAGGAAAATCTTCCACCTCACCCCCTGCCTAAGTCACACTCCTTCCTCGTAGGCCCCTTGCCCACCGCCTGCTGCAAGAGCAGTTCCCCCTTCTCCCTTCATGCTGTCACCTCTCTTTCTCAGGCTTCTGCCATCTCCTAGCAAACAACTCCTGGGGATGCCCCCTGCTCAGACCTCATGCTCCTCCATCCTATCTCCTTAGGCTGGCTGCCCCATCCCACTGTGACAGCTGTGACATTGTCATGCCACTGTCACCAGGTTCTGCCAGGGCTCAACCTCCTAGATTTATTTACAAGATCTGCAATCCAGGTTTAATGTGAAATGCTGGATCTCTCTAAGGTGCTGGTCTTGGGCTGGATTTGTTCTTCTGTTCTGGTCCCAATTATCATTTTTGCATTGTTGATTGGTGGATCTATATGTTTTGTTGGGTCCTCTCTCCTGAACCATACACAGGAATTTTCAACTGCCTTCCAGGTATCTCCACAGGGATGTTCTATAGGCACCTTAAACTTTGGACTCACATCTTTCTGCAAAATCAGTTAGTCATCAAAGACAGAAACCCACAGCCATCTTTCATTTTTCCTTCTTTCTTACTATTCAACTGATCACAGAGTCTTGTCCAGCCTTCCTGGGAAGCCTTTCCAGAGCTCCCTCTCCCCCTCCCCCTCCCCCTCCCCCTCCCTCTCCCTCCCTCTCCCTCCCTCTCTCAATCTGGTCAGTCAACCTGCTCTAAAACATTCCCCAGGGACTTCGCCCTACACCAAGGCCACACTCTGGTTACCGGATGCTTTGTGCCGCACCGCATGTGCTGTGTTTCTACATTAAGTCCCTGGGTAAGGAATCCTTGGAGTTTGGCCCACAGCATTTACTAAACAAAAGGACCTGGAACAAAGGCAAAATTTGTCGGGCTTTCTCATCTATCTAGTGCGCAGAGAACAAAAGGTCTAGAATTCTAATATATGATTACTGCAAAGTTAAAATAAAAGCTAAACCATTTTCAAATGCTTTCATCTCTAAATAAGCAAATAACATGAAGATATTATTTTTGGAATGTTAGCATTTACATACAAATCAAAAAGAAAAAGTGAAAATGCTATATTGCCAGCATCGGGCAGTCAGTGGGCATAAAAGGCAGGAAGAAAAAGGGCGATGAAAATAAGAAATGGTCCTGCAAACCCAGCTTCAGACTTGAGAGCCAATTTCACCCTTCTTGCAGCAAAGCAGATAAACAGCTTCCTGTGAGTTCAGCTCGCTTTCTTCCCCATGCCCATCCATTGGCAGAATTGCTAACGAGAAGAAAAGTTGCCAAAATGTAAGCATATTGGCAAAAAATGTGTGTGTGAGCCCAAATGAGGATTCAGTCTCTTGAGCTAGCAATTTCTATCAAAATTTTCAATTCTGAGAGTTGAAAGAAACACTTGACTTGGCGAAATCTTCCCTCCATGAAAGACTTTCTTCTGTAGCCTCTCTAGCAGTCTGCTATCTACTTAGCCTCTGCTTTGATGCAGGGGGTTCAAAACATCCCCCAGCAGCCTTTTCACTGCTGACCAGTGCAGGGGGAGTTAGGAAGATAAATCTCCCAGACTCTTTCCTTCATTGGTCTTGCTTCTACCCTTCACATCCATTAGAACCTCTATATGAAGTCAATTACCACCCATTTTCTGCTGGGGATCTTCTCTCCCAAAGTGTGGGAACTGAGCCTCATCTAGGCTCTTCAAGCAAAACAAGTTCTGACCTGTGAGGCACTGCCACAGGCCAGCAGGGAATTCTCCTGGGGCTGATGCAGGGAAGGACACAGGCAGAGGTAGGGAATAGCATCCCTAACTGCAAGTCTCAAGATTTCATTTATGAAGCATATATTTACTGACCTCTGACTGTCCTCTGACCCCCAGGAATACATGGCAAATGAGGCAGATTTGTGATTCCCTAAATATATACAGGTTTTGGGACTTAAATATCAACTCCAAAGATTAAATGTTATCTAGGCAAACTAAATCATAGACAGAAACTCGCAAACAACAAATGACACTAGATCTCAAAAGGGAAGTTATTTAATCAGAGCTTTCAGGACAGAATCCAGCCTAGAGTTGGGAGGAAGATATAAACTGGCTCCACAGCTCATTTGGAATGCAACATCAAAGTTCTTATCATGGTCCAAAAAACAAGACAGGGAGCCCATTAGCATAGCTATTATTCAGTGTTGCACAGAAGTTCTTAACCAAAGTAATGAGATCTAACATGATAAATATTACTGATTTCTCTAATTTTTACTGATAGCTACTATATGCCAGATAGCTCTAAATGTTTTGCATGGATTAATTCCTATAAGTCTCACATCAAGCTCATATGGTACGTGCAATTATTATCCTCATTTTTACAGGTAAGGAAACTGAGACACAGAATGGTTTAGAGACTTGCCATAGTTTCACAGTCTCCCAGCCTGGTTACTTGGTTTGCATCAGATTTGGGGCCCCAGGCCCAGCCAACAGTAAAGAGATGATTTGGTTTTCCACTGGCCATTTTTTTCCCTAGCATATATCTCCCTAAAACCCCAACTGAGAGGGGCACAGGTTGGTATTCTTGGGTCTCCTGGACATAAGGTGGCCCAGATCTAAGTATCAACCTCTAGACCGAGGAATCGCACAGTGGACCGGGAGAGATGTGGGCAGTTACTGGGCTATCATTAGGAGGCAGGGACTTGGCAGGGGAGAAGACGAGGGTCGATACCAGCCAGTGTGCTGTGTGCTGGGTCAGGAAAGTAATGACAGAAAATGGGAGCCCCTGGTAGGTGTCAGGTGGGACAATGGCCAACTTCCCATTTTGAAATATCACTCTGGATACCTGGAAGTTAAATGGAAAAATGGACTTGAAAGGAACAAGACTGGAGGCAGGGAACCAATTATCCAGTTAACTGCAGTGGTATGGACGAGAGATGCTAAAGGTCTAAAATGAGGCAGGGGAATAAAAATATGGGAAAAGAAGAGAACATTTAAGAGAGGTGAAGAAGGTAAAACCAGTCAGACCTGATGGCTGGGATGATGTGTGAGAGGGAGGAGATGGAGCCTCTAGGATGAATCCCAAGCTTCCAGTATGGATGGCAGAAGGCAAGGAAGGCCACCAGCAAGAAGGAAGTCATATGGATAATGGGAGGGAGAGGGTGTATTCCTAGAATTCTGAACATCCCACAGGGTGGGTCTAGAACTCAGAGGACAGCTCCAGGCTGCAAACACAGATCAGGGCACAAGCAACTAGCAGAGGTCCTAAGACTGAATGTGGCCATGGAAAGAGTATATCAAGTGAGAAGAGAAGCAGGATTGGATCAGCTCCCTGGAACACAGGAGCAGGCAGGCAAAAGGAGGTGGACTTGGAAGAAGGATGACAGAGGATAACAGGTGTGGGGATCAGGGGAGTCTGGAATCACGGGATCTGAGGAATAAGGTCCTCCAGGTAGGAGAGGATAATGAAGCTGAGCGCTCTAAATCCAACAGGAAGGGGCCTCCCCAGTGTCCACTGGACCTGGCAACCAGGGGGTGGCGCCGGTGACCTACCAAGAAGAGGTTCAGCAGCATGAGAAACACAAAAACCAGGCTTCAGCAAGTTGAGGAGAAAAGACGAGGAGCACAAGCTGGGCTTTGGGTCATGTTCCTTTTTCCAAAATGTGGCATCAAAAAAATCTTTCTCAAAAGGTATATTGGGCCAGGCGCAGTGGCTCACGCCTGTAATCCCAGTATTTTGGGAGGCTGAGGCGGGCAGATCACTTAGGTCAGGAGTTCGAGACCAGCCTGGGTAACATGGCGAAACCCCTTCTCTACTAAAAATACAAAAATTAGCCGGGCATGGTGGTACATGCCTGTAGTCCCAGCTACTTGTGGGGTTGAGGCACGAGAATTGCTTGAACCTGGGAGACAGAGGTCACAGTGAGCCAAGATTGCGCCACTGCATTCCAGCCTGGGTGACAAAGTGAGACCCTGTCACAAAAAAAAAAAAAAAAAAGATAAAGATTAAAAAGACGTACATTGAAGATTTACAAATTGAGTTGAGAGAAAATGAGATTGAATGTGTTAAGGCTGAAATTCTTTAAGTCCTTATTTTTATGTCAAGAAAGCAGTTAAGTTGTCACCACCATAGTATGAGTATGGGTGACAGAGTGAGACCCTGTCTCTTAAAAATAAAAAGCAGGTAAAATACACATTTTCATAGTTTGAGACTTTGCTGTTTTGGTTCTTTAAACAGAAAGAAAGAGAGTAGAAGAGGACAGGGAATATATCTCACCCGTGAAACTGGGTTCCGAAAAACCTGATTAGAAGACATCTAAAAACCTCTAACTACATTAAAGTGATCACATTTCCCATCAGCACCAAGGAAGGGACCTAGAGGAATGTTTGAAAGCAGATGGGAAGCTGGTGATGAGGTAATGTTCAAGGTCATGACATTGGCAACTGACTGCAATGTACAGGATGGCTTTTTGGCAAAAAGAGGAGTTGCTCTGTTGGCTCCTATTCGCAGCAAGCAAGAAGGCTGTCATCAGGTAATGTTTTTGCAGTCTAATTTGTGCAACCAAGTATGGTATTAAGGTGGCACATACATCAAAAGGCTCAAAGATCAGATGTGAATCCACCCCTTTGTTGATAAGCCTACCTTGGAGAGGGTGAAGAAGAATAAAGGCAAAACAGAAAGTGCCAGATGACACTAGTGTGTGAAATCTGGGGTCATACATCACTATTTCAACCTCAGTTTAACAACCTGGCTGATGTAGTAATAGAGATACAGACAGAGATAGACATACAGAAGGAGACTAACCACCCGTCTGGTATCAGAAAATTTGGATTCAAATGCAGAAAAAGGCCATGTAATGGTTATGACCTACATGAAGTGGACTAGTTGGTACAAGACCAGTTATACACTGCTGATAGAAGTGGTGTTTTTAGAATGCGGACAACTTTACAACACAGAAGGACCTTCTCAAGGACATGATTGCATTCTATGTCAAGCAAGGGTAGAAGAGCGGAGTGTGGGAGCATGAATGAACCAGGCGCAGGAGAAGAGGGTCAGGTGTTAGGCCCACCACTAACAGTGGAGTTACCCTGGCCAAGTCATTACAACTCCACTGCTTTTGAATCCATATCTGTGAAATGGGAGAGCAAACCTTCCCTGCCTACCTGACGGAGATTAGATGGGGCACCAAAAACACAAGAGTATGACTGTGCTTTGAGAATCATAAAACCCCATAGGTCTCACTACTGTGGTCTTTAATCAGTTCATTAGCATATTAGCACAGGCAACTAGTAGATGCCCTAAGACTGAACACAGCCATAGAAAGAGAGTGTATAAAGTGAAAAGAGAAGCAGGATTGGAACAGCACACTGGAATGCAGGGGCAGGCAGCCAAAAGGAGATGGGCTCGGAAGAAGGACAAGAGAGGACAGACAGTAGGTGGGAGGATCAGGGGAGTGTGGAGTCTGGAACTCGATCTCCTTCCTCTCACACATCATCTCAGCCCTCAGGACTGGCTGGTTTTACCCTCTCTATCTCTCTTAAATGTTCTCTTTTAACATGTTCACATATTTTTATTCCCCTGTCTAATGTGGTCATCTGAGGCTCCAAGAAACCTCCTGGTGGGTGTCCTCCCAATTTCTCCCATGACAAGAACATTCTCTTCCCTTCTAGAGAAGCTCTTCTCTTCATGTAGCCCGGGACCTTGTGTAGGAGGCTGCCTGCCTGCAGCATGCAGGCACAGAGTCCCTCCATCACCTTCAAAGGCTACGAAAAGTCCCACCTACACCACCATGACCCTATTAAACTGTACCTACTTATACATCAACTGCCCCGGACTCACTCCTCTAAATGTAAGTAAAAAGACTTTTAAAATGTTGCATGTTAAGCCACTTAGAAACACTAACCATCACTCTCATATGCCTTTATTCCTCAATCGCCATCTAGCGGACTGGGAAATTCTGAAAAAGTGAAAAAACTCTAACCTAAAAAATAGATTTCAAGTGTCATGAAATTTTTATGAACTATATCTAACCATCAATTTAGTTAAACTTTGGCCTGTAGGTATTTGTTCATCTTGATTTTGTAGTTTTCCTGTAGTTTGGGGTCATTTTTTAGGCTCATGAAAATGTGCTCAGGGTTCCGTGGATCAAGTGGCCCTGCCCACTGGCACCAGAGGGGAGAGGGGCCAGTTCTCGTAGGCCCAGCAGGACTCCGGGCCCTGGGTTCCACGTGCTGGCCAGGACAGCAGGCTCTGTCAGCGCTTCCTCACTTGACCTTAAGGGAAATCTTGGACTTCAGATTTGGAGATAGCCATGCATATAGTTTGAATATTTTTCCCTCCAGAACTCATACTGAAATGTAGTATTACTGAGTATTGAGGGGTATTGAGAGTTTGGGCATTTAAGACGTGACTGAATTATGAGGTCTCTGCCCTCATGAATGGATTTACATATTCAAGGATTGAAGGATTAATGGGTTGTCATGGGAGAGGAATTGGTAGCTTTATTAAGACGAGGAAGGGGACATGCACTAGTACACGAACACGCTCAGCCCCCTCACCATGAGATATCCTGCACTGCCTTGGGACTCTGCAGAGTCCCCACCAGCAAGAAGGCTCTCAAACAGATGCAGCCCCTTCACCCTGAACTTCACAGCCTCCAGAACTGTGAGAAATAAGTTCCTTTTCTTTATAAATTACCCAGTTTCAAGTATTACGTTATAAGCAACAGAAAATGGACTAATACAAGCCAATCATCAGTTAATCGTCATTTACCACAAGTAAAGAGACGAGGAAAGGAGGAAAGGAAGAAAGAAAAAAGGAAAGAAAAGGGAGAGAGGGGGAAGGGAAGAGAATGGAGAATACCAGTGTCTGAGTTTGAGGAATGACAATCGCAGGATCAATCAACCATGATCCACTGAAAGATAAGAAAAATAGGCAAAATATGTCATCAACTCACATAAAAATTAAATGCCAAATCATGCTGCCATTTCTTTCCAAAAAGATCTCTTATCTTTACTCATAAATAAAGTATCGGCTGAGTATCTACTACATGCCAAGCAATATGTCAGGAACTGGAGGTGGCTGGCGCCACATTCACAGGCATTCCACTAAATCCTTTTACCTCATTCACCACCTTCTACTGGAGGTCCTGAGTGTTTACATCTTACCTCCTCCCTCCCAGATGCCAGGACCTTGAAGGCCAGGCCAGCTGGTAACTTTCTTCCCTACAAGGCCTGCCTGATCCAGACTTGCCCACTTCTCTGACCACATTCCTCTCCATGGTCACCCTCGTTCACTGGACTCGAACCATACTGGCTCCTTTCTCATTTGCATTCTAACTCTCCCTCTATCCGGAACACCCCATCACCCCATCAGCAGATTTCCCTCAGGCAGCTGTGTCCTGGACCAAAGTCAAGTCTCCAAACTGCCCTTCTTACCCTAGTCTTGATCCTGCCATTCTCTCTACAACAAGTGTCTTTCTTTTCTTTCCAACTTTTATTTTAGGCTCAAAGGGTATGTGTGCAGATTTGTTACATGGGTAAATTGCATGTCACAGAGGTTTGGTGTACAGATAATTTTGTTACCGGGTAATTAGCATAATACCAAACAGGTAGTTTTTCAATCCTCATCCTCCTCCCACCACCCTCAAGCAGGCCCCAGTGTGTACTGTTCCCTTCTTTGTGTCCATGTGTAGTCAGTAAGTACCCACTTATAAGTGACAATATGTGGTATCACAGTTTTGTGTTATTGCACTAATTCACTTAGGATAATGGCCTCCAGCTTGATCCATGTTGCTGCATAGGATATGATCTCACACAAGTGTCTTTATCAGCCCCCTGCTCAGAGCCTTCAAAGTCTGCCAGAGCCTGTGGAGAGCCCCAGATGACCTGTCCACACCTCTTTGTAATAGTGAGCAAGGTACATGCAGGTATTGTACAGAAGTGAGGGCAGGGGGGCAGGGGAAGGAGAGCATGTACCAAGCCCCAAATAACCTCCTCACACCTCTCTGTGACACTCAGCCAGATACATGCAGTTACTGCACAGAAGAAGAGATGGGGTAATGTGCAAATCCCCAGATGACCTGCTCACACCTCTCTGTGATAGTCAGCCAGGCACATGCAGTTACTGCACAGAAGAAGAGATGGTGTAATGTACAAATCCCCAGATGACCTGCCCACACCTCTCGTGACAGTGAGTCAGGCACATGCAGTTACTGCACAGAAGAAGAGATGGGATCATGTACAAATCCCCAGATGACCTGCCCACACCTCTCTGTGATAGTCAGCCAGACACATGCAGTTACTGCACAGAAGAGATAGGGTAACATACAAATCCCCAGATGACCTGCCCACACCTCTCTGTGACAGTCAGCCAGGCACATGCAATTTCTGCACAGAAGACATGGGGTCATGTACAAATCCCCAGATGACCTGCCCACACCTCTCTGTGATAGTCAGCCGGGCACATGCAGTTACTGCACAGAAGAAGAGATGGGGTCATGTACAAATACCCAGATGACCTGCCCACACCTCTCTGTGATAGTCAGCCAGGCACATGCAGGAGATGTGCAGGAGCTTGCTCCAAACCATCTCACTCCCGCAGCTGCCACTCATGTTTTCAAGCCATTCCTTTTTGACTGAGAACACTCCCCACCTGCTCTCTCTACTTCACTAACTTTCAGGACAACTTCAGCACACAGGAGGCTGTTCCTGCCCCTTAGCGGATCTTGCAACTGTTGTATGCAGGCATCCACTTCTGTCCTTCTGATATTGCTCTATTCTACTGAGTTCCTTGGGTCAGGCTCTGTGTATCTTCCCCTCAATATCCTTGAGAAAGAATCTATTGATTCTAATACTAGATGACACCAAAGTGAGAAGGGGCTATGGTCATCTAGTGAAACATGCCACTGACTGTGAAAGTCAGCAAAACTTGTCTGAAGGAACAAGTTGATCACGTTGGATTCAATGCTGACCCATTCATTCCAAGCAATGCATCAAGCCTTAGATCCCCAAAGCATAAATCGTGGGATGACACTGTATAAATACCCACCCTCCCCACTTAAAACAATGCCCCCTCTTATGCTTTGAAAGAAGACAATATTATTATGCTTCACAGATTTGAGCCAAACTTGATGAGTTCAACGTTTTCTTTAACCTCAAGTTATTAAAAATGTCTACCCATTGACTTGTGGTACTAAGAGTGGGAATGTTGATGAGCTAGGCTCCCATCCATTCTTCACGAGCCTCATCTTGCTCTTTACTCCCCCTACCTTCACCCTGAAATTTTCCCTAACTCTCCCAGGAAGTTGTAAGTTCTTCTTCTCATCTGTCCCCCAACACCTGGTAAAGCATTAACCCCGCTATGGTGTAACTGCCACCTGCCTCTCCAGGTCCGCCCTCCACAGGCTGCAAATCCTTTGAGAGTAGAGTCCACATCAGAACCCGCTCACCTATGCTCCCCCAGCAGCCAGTGCAGTGCCCAGCACAGGCAGATGCTCAAATATAGTTATGTGGCTTAAAGAAAAAGGGAAGATTGCTTGCCTCTTTCTGTTAATGATTCACGTGTAGTTAGTCCAGCAAACCCTCCTAACAACAACAACAAAAGAAAAAAACTAAAAATCTGGTTGAAATTTTTTTTTAAAAAAATTAAATTTAAGAACTTTAAGAGACATCATAAAGAAAGTGAAGAAAAGCCAAATAAGGAGAAACTGTATTCCTAACATATAACCAAAAATGACCCACACTTAAAAGAGATAAAGAATTCCTGAAGACAAGATAACAACAAAATCACCCAACAGAAAAATGAAAAAATAGTTGAACAGATACTTTACTAGAAGAAAAGGTGGAGGAGGGAGGGAAGGATAGTAAAAGAAAGTAAAGAAATCCAAACAGCTAAAAAACATATGAAAAGGGGCTCAACCTCATTAACAATCATGAAGATAAAAGTAAAACCACATAGAAGGTCACTGCACAGCCACCAGACTGGCAACACGGAATGTTCACACCAAGATATGGACCAAGAGAGGCTAATGCATGCGGCTGCAAACTGGTGCAACCACTTTGGAAAACAGCTGAGCATCACCTAGCAAAGCTGAAGCTGTGCATCCCATAGCCTGCAAGTCCTCTGTGGGTGTATGTATCTTGGAGAAACTGGTGCACAAGCATACCAGGGGACACACACGTCATGAGTCCACAGCAACTGAGCTCATAAAAGCAACAAAACAGAAGGAACCCAATTATCCACTGCAATTGAATGAATAATTACATCATGCTAGGTTCACATGGTGGACTCATGTTTCACACAATGGTATATGTACTGCAAAGAAACGGGTGAACTAGGGCTACATGTGAGAACTGGTCAGTCTGACCAATATAACTCTGAGTAAAGAAGTAAACTTCAAAACAAATACACAAGGCCAGGTGCAGTGGCTCACACCTGTAATCCCAGCACTTTGGGAGGCTGAGGTGGAGAAATGGTTAAGCCCAGGAGTCCGAGACCAGCCTGGGCAACATACTGAGACTCTGTCTCTACCAAAAAATTTTTTTTAATTAGCTAGATGTGATGGCACACGTCCTCCTGGTAGTCCCAGCTAGTCCAGGAGCCAAGGTGAGAGGATCCCTGGAGCCCAGGAGTTCAAGAACAGCCTGGGCAACATAGCACGACTCTGTCTCTACAAAAAGTAATAAATTAAAAAAATGAGACATGGTTTAGAGATGCATACGTGGTTGGCAAAACTATAATGAAATAAAAAAGTATTAGGCTGATCAAAAGTAATTACAGTTTTTGCCATTAAAAGTAAGGCCACCCATGTATGCATCTCTAAACAAGGTGCTTTAGCGTGTGTTTTACTGGCAAAAACCACAATTACTTTTGCACCAACCTAATAATTGTCATTGAAGTCGGGACAGTGGTGACTTTTGGGACAGAGAAAGGGTGGGCTCAGGAAGACCCCACAGGACAGTGTCTGGCAATGGTCTATTTCTGGGCAGCAGCTATGCAAGTGTTCACTTCATAATTATTCATCACACCACATCTTCATGTCATATGTACTATTCTGGACATACATTCTATTTCACAATAAGAAAAGTAAAGAAAGAAAGACAGTAAAAAGAAATGTATGACCAAATGGGTAAATAGGCAACAGAGGCCCCCTTCACAAGGTTTTTATGACGACTATAGAGAACTTACATTAAATGCCTAGAATGATACATAGCATGCAACTGGTAGTTATTACTAACATTAATAACACTGACGACGACAACACTTATTGCAGCACATGCAAAGTAATTTTTAGGTTTATTTTCTTTCATCTGTGTGATAAAAACTGCATTGATACTATAACATATTCCAAAAATGAGGCTATAGTAGGAATTTCTCTCTAAAGACCCAGTGACAGGCCTAGAGGAAATATTAACTATAAATCTGGCATTGCCAAGCTTAAATCAAGTTACCCAGGTGGAGAGATGGTCTTGATCATGCAAGTGCTTCCCGAGGGGTTTTGGTGGTAGGACACCTATAAGATTTACAACAGCACTTCTGCAGCTGAGGAAATGCGACAGGAAGATGAAGTTTTTTTCATTAATGTCTGGAGTGGCCATCAATCCCCTAAAATGCAAGCTAGCACCAAGTCACCCTGAGAAGTGTGTAGCTGGGCTGGGGGAGGGCGGGATCCCAAGTTCTTGAGAACTTTGAATTCAGACTTAATTCAGTTACTTCTGAGACTTAGAAAGCAATTTCATCTAATCAGAGCCCGTAAAGGATGAAGTGATAGCTTCTTCAGTCTTACCTCTCTTTTATTTCTGGGGGAAAAAGACAACCAGAACAGATGCTTCTGAGAAATATTTCCCACCATGTACAGTGGAGAGGTCTGTGGCCTGTGACACTTCTCACAACCCCTAATTGGCAGGGGTTTCTGGAGTCAGACCTCAATCTAGCTCTACTGTCTAACAGCTTTGCAACTTTGAGAATGTTTGCTCCTTTTATTGCAAGGACTGGAGCTAATGTAAACAGAGCAGTCTGCATGGAGATGTTCATCAAATTATTATCATTGACAGTTTACACAAAGAACAGTGGAAACGCCTCAGTTAAAGGAACAGAACCAACGGTATTTCTTTTAACGTGCATTTGGAGTTTGAGCACTTCCTGTTTAAATTTGCAGCAATAGAGGAAGATGAGCTCAAGGAGGGGACCCCAAATTCACAACAGATAATGAGAGCTGTCACTGAGTTTCTACTACATGCCTCAGTCACCCAGGGTAAAGATGGAGATATTAACATTCTCATCTTGCAGACAAGGCCCTGCGAAGTTAAGCGGCTTGCTGAAGTTCATGCAGTTAGTCACCAGCCAAACTAGTGTTCTAGCTAAGGTCTGTTGGATCCTAATGTTCACGGCCCGGTCTCCTTGGCCGCTGGAGCACTGATCACCAAAGCTCACCACAAACAAGCTTCACTTCAGCAATAATCTCTCCTGCTAACGGATCAGATGGATGATTTCTGCAACTTTTGCTTTTATACTGTATTTTCAGTTTTGCAGATGACTTTGCATTTCAAATCACAGCATCAACAAGATGGTGCTGTTTTCACAGCAGCAATTCCAGCTCCCAAAGTTCTAGTAGCATAACCTTCTCACCATTTATTCCCCTTCCCTCTCTATTCCCTCCTCAGGACCTGGCTCTGTACAGAACTGCCCACAGAACTGTCCACAGAACTACCAAACACTGCAGGTCAGAGTTAACACCACTGCAGTAGTGAAGATTTATTATAACTGCATTTGCATAGATTTCCAAAGAACACACCAGAAACAGATTACATGAACTCCCTCTTACAGGAATCTCCACTGAGGCTTCTTGAACATAACAATAATGAAGTTAGGTTTGCTGTGCTCAACATAAGAAAACAATACACTTACAGATAGTAAACCTGCTCTTTGCTAAGAGGAGGGCTCCTGGTGGGCTGCAGTGAACCTCTGCTGTGATCCTTCAGCATCCTCCAGGGCCTGGCTCACTGCATCTGGTGAGTGTGAAGAATCCCATGAGCCTTGGGACCATGCTTGGTTATCCTGGGCTGAGCACCTCCTTTCTAAAGCACTTACACATGTTTTATCTTGTATTAACCTAAAGAGGCCTCTGGCAACTGTGAGAGGAGGGAAGAACTGAGAGCTCAAAGCCACAGAATGGAGTGAAGGACCAGGCATGGCCCAGAAACAGAGGATCTGTTGAACGCTGTTCCCTTGTGGCTCCAAGCCCTTGAAGGAGCTCAGAGTCCTACTTCCACCTGGAAGTTGGCCATGATAAATCTATCACAGTAAATTTCTACAGAACCTATTCATTTACTCATTTGTTCATTCAGCAAATATTTATTAAGCACTGCATAGGTGCTGGGAGTAAGACAAAAACTAAACAAAGAGCCTCAAGAATTTACATTCTAGCATTATGAACAAGTAAATATATAACCCATTGATGCTGTTAAACACATAAAAATAAGGCATTTGAGCCAAGACCTGAAGGAGGTGAGAGAAGCCCCGTGTGGCTACCTGGGAGAAAAGCAGAGTGAGAAGTGGGAAGAGCAGGTGCAACCAAGCACGGAGATGGAGTGGGACACGCCACGTCTGCAATGGAGGGTGGAGGGTGAGGCGGCACGGGAACCAGAGGCCAGGCAGAGCAGGTGCTTGTGGCCACCTGTAGGATTTCAGCTTTAACTCTGAGTGTGACCAGAAGCCACTGAAGTGACAAATATACATGGGGTTCATTATACTATTTTCTCTACTTCTGGGTTCTCTGATAACCAGTGTTTCCCAAAGTCTGTTTCACAAAATGTAAGTGCTGGCAGGCACTTTGGGAAAAATAGGAGGAGAGGGACTTCTCCAGCCAAATGAGATTGAAAATCACTGCATACTGTGTCCCTACCACCTAACACCTACTGACATCCCAGGGAACTAATGTTCTAGAGGGCACACCATGGAAAACATTGACTTATGGCCTCTTCCAGGGAGGGTCTATCTTGTCTCCTAGGTAAGCTGAGCTTCCTGAGGACAGAAGCCATGTCTTCTGCTACTGCTGGGTTGCACCACAGCCAGTGGAGCACTGGGCACTAGAGACTCAGAACGGAACACGCGAAAACAAAAGCCTGATTGGCTGACTGCCCGACTCACGTCACTACTCCACGTTAACTGTGCCCACGAGAAACTTCTTTTCCACTCGGAAGAATTCCATCACATTGAATCTCTGAACTCCAAGGCCCATTATCTACCCAGGGTCACCCAGTAAAGCTTGTGACTCTTCCAGAATGTTCTGGATGATGACACAGGCTGACAGACGGAAATGTTTCATAGAAATACGAGTTCAGACCGGGTGCAGTGGCTCATATCTGTAATCCCAGCACTTTGGGAGGCCGAGGCAGGCGGATCACGAGGTCAAGAGATCGAGACCATCCTGGCTAACATGGTGAAACCCCGTTTCTACTAAAAATACAAAAAATTAGCCAGGCGTGGGGGCAGGCACCTGTACTCCCAGCTATTCAGGAGGCTGAGGCAGGAGAATGGCGTGAACCTAGGAGGCGGAGCTTGCAGTGAGCCGAGATCACGCCACTGTATTCCAGCCTGGGCGACAGAGCGAGACTCCGTCTCAGAAAAAAAAAAAAAAAAAAAGAAGAAGAAGAAGAAATACGAGTTCATCCCCAGAGGCTGCTCAGTGCCTGAGAGTCACTGCAGCAGAGCTGCATGAATGCTCCCCACCCCGCAGCAAGAAGAATACTGATCACTAGGCCCATGGCCAAAGATCTGCACCCCTATACTGGGCAGTGGGCAACTCAAAAAAAAATGCATATTCATAACAAAGGACCAAGACTGTAAATTACAAGATACATGGTGGTTCTCGTAAGGAAAATTCCTAAAGAACATTTGCACCTAGAATGCTCACCTTCTTCTCCAGCCTGAGCTCAGTGGGATTGTGAACCACATGTACACAGGACAATGTGGGAAACTGGTGCACTCCACCTGACCCAAACAAACACACCAGACCCCCGTGACCCACTGACAGTCACAGGAGACAAACAAGGGGAAAGAAACACAGAGGCAGAAGCCAAGAGATATCAAGAGACAAACGCCCGAAAGGAAGAGGCCCTCGGACCTCTTCAAGGACCTCAGGGAGTGAGGGGGAAGCAGATTTTCATGGGCTCGTGTTAGCATGTAAAGAAGTTTGTACTAAAGATTTCAAAGTAATGTTGATGTTTACGGGATATCAGGTGAATGAGAACATCATTCCCTTCTCCTTTTCCCAGTGGCCAAGTATAATTCAGGCAGATTTGGTAGGTCACACTCTGGTCTATAATCCAAGTCTTCCTGAAAGTGGAGAGGCTCAAGGCCGAGTCCACCGGGCACCACCCATGCTGGGAGATAAAAATCTTTTAATATATTTTTTGCTTTATCGCTTCAGGATTTATAAACCTGAGAACATGAAGCTGGGACTTACATTCCATCCAGGGTTGGTCACAACGGAAAAAAAAAAAAAAAAAAAAAACAGCACAGGGTAAAGATCCAGAGAGAAAATGCCAGGCCTTCATATCATTTACGAAGCACAAACCTATCTTGGTTTTAAAATAAGGCCAGAGACAAATTAAACAATTTAAGAGAATAAATGTTTTAAAACCGTGGCATACCACAAGTTCAAAAATGGCTTGTGTTGAGGCAATTATCTCATCACAATAAATAACAGTAAATCAATCCACACTAATTGCCTTTTGTGCAAGCTTAGAAGACTCTTTAGCGTTCTCTGATTATTGATTTGTTATCGCTTGTGTCAAAAATGCAGTATTTCCAGAGAATATATTGCACACTCTTAGACAGGATTTTAATTTAACATAAAACAATCCAATTTCCTTTTTTTTCCAGAGGTGCTTTAAACATCTAAAATAGAATGAAGCTGAAGATGGCACTAAGAGGTTTTTAGCAGAGACTTTGCATTTCAAACCAATTTAACAAATGGCCCCTGTTACCACCACCACATGGCCCTGCCATGCATCCCGCTCCCAACCCCACCCGCCACGTTCAAAATTAACAAGAAAACCATGTGTAATCTCAGATTCCTCATTTTCTTGCAAATTTGGAACTGAAAAGCAAGACAAACACCACCAACAGAAACTCTATGCTTTACTTCTTTCCCTCTGCCCCTTGGTTCAGTAGTTTCCACTGAACCTGGAAAATGTTCTGGCTGCTAACTTTACACTCCATCAGCATTTTGATTGAAGATTTTGCTCGAGTCTTGATAGCTAAACATACAGCTGCAGGCTTAAATAGGCATAGCAGTGAGGGGAAAAAGGACAAAGGGGTAAATAAGTTCCTCTGCTTCACTTGAAAATGAGAAAGCGTGGACTAACGCGCAGAGAGTAGTTTTCACTACAGAGACATGGATCAAAATCCCAACTCTAGCTCATAGAAATTGTGTTACTCCTGAGCACATTACTAAAATAGACTGTGGGCCTCAGTGTCCTAATCCGTAAAACGGGGATGTTAATTACCTACCTGGTAGAGTTTTTCAGGGCAAAATAAGGTAATACACAGAAAACACCTGCGTAATGCCAAGCACATGGCTATTACAAAGAAACCAGTCCACCCGTCTTATTCATTCTAATGCTAGATATTTAAACATTCAACCTTGTGGTGGAACTTTCTTGTGGAAAGATGAAAACGTCTTCTAGGTAACAGGAGGAGTTGTAGTATAAATAAAACTGCAATGCCATAAGCAATGCCAGATGACTCAGCATTCTGAGGGGGTGCTGAGACTCTGAGACGATTACTTTGAACTATTTATAAATGTGTGGCTTCCAAACAATCTGCTTATTTGAGATCATTTTATTGCTTTCACTTCCTTGCTGACAAAGTTTAGATTGGAAACTAGGAGCAAATTACACAGCCACATCCTCGGCTGACCTCATCCAAACATCACCTTTGTTCAACTGAGTACCCAAGCCCCTTATACATTCTAGGTGCTCAGATGCCTCGTGTATTTTGTACATACAACCATTTCCCTTTCACACCGACACATTATAAAGGCCTTCAGGACTTATTTCATCATCAGGAATGCAAAAAGAGGTTACACTAATTCCCTTTGACTTGTGGGTATCAGTCAATCAGAGAGCTTTCTGGTTGCAACGGGTTTTTTAAGTTACAGGTTTTACACAACAGGATAATATATTAATCCAATTAAAACATAATTTTTAAAAACTGATAAAGTTGGAATAATTAGTTTGCTGGTTTTCTGGGTTCCCACAGCACCTTGTACATAACTTTTTGTAGCACTTAACATATTTGCTGTTACTTTTGATGTCTATTTGGTTCTCCCCAGACTTGTAACCCTGGCAGACCAGAGGCCTGCCTTCATCCTGAAATCCTCTGCCCCTGTCATGGTGCCTGACACAGAAGTGCCTGGTATTCAGAAAAAAAAAATGTGTTGAAAAATAAGTAAACATTTCATATGCTTTGCATCAAAAAACCAAATGAATAGTTAGCACTTTATTTGTACTTATGTTTTTTCTTAAAATTCTGAATGTCAAATTGTGGTATCATGTATTCTATATGGCATTCTCAGGAAAAGTTTCTCAATGATAATGAAATCGGTGATTGAGATCTCCCTTGCCTCTCACTAGTTTTATGAAAATACTTTTAGTTATGCAAATTTTAGGCTGACAACAGGCAATAGATTTCTCCAGCTTCATGGTGCACATTTTTGAAGATTCAATTGCATTTAGAGATACATCAAACATAAACTTTAAATAGTGTCTTTTCAAGATGATGGCGTGGATGGTTTCCCTTGTGAAAGAGCATACTCATCTATACCAAAAGGCTGATGGCTACAGAAGAGAAGGCCAGTCTCACCTTCTGGAGGTCAGGGACAGAGGAGTGATCTGAGCTATTTGTCAAACAGCAGAGAGGGTTATTCTGTTTCAGAAGCAAAAGCGTCTAAAGTAAGAAGGAAGGGTCAGCATGAAGTCACACTGAAGAATCTCCAAAATGCACAGATTTCAAAAACTGTGGATTTCAGACCTGAATTCCCTTTTTGTGGACTTGCACATTCACACACCAAATTTTGACATGCTTTCCATAAACCAGGAAAAGCTCTTGGTGCACTTGGAGCTTCACAGAGGAATGAGCCAAAGGGCAAACTTCCTCCAGTGCTGGGGCCTTGTGGCATGTCCTGTGCGATGCAAAAAATGGGTGAGAGGTAGTGATGAGGAAAGAATGGTGGGGCAAGGGCAGGGCAAGGCCCTTCTGCAGGAGAATCACACTTTTTGAAAGCATACGCAGCAGGTCCAGCAGTGAAGGGCAGGGCCACTGAGGAGAGAGACATTCACTGTTAGAAGGAGGCTGTTTATTAAGAACTCTGGGTGGGAGACATACCTGGTAAAAGCTTCTCAGCCGGTGCAGTGACTCATGCCTGTAATCCCAACACTTTGGGAGGCCGAGGCAGGTGGATCAAGAGTTAGGAGTTCACGACCAGCCTGGCCAAGATGGTGAAACCCCATCTCTACTAAAAACACAAAAATTAGCCGGGCGCGGTGGCAGGCACCTGTAATCCCAGCTACTCAGGAGGCTGAGGCAGAAGAATCGCTTGAACATGGGTGGCAGAAGTTTCAGCGAGCCGAGATCGCGCCACTGCACTACAGCCTGGGCAACAGAGTGAGACTCTGTCTCAGTGACATATTTATGTGGTCAGGTACATCATGAAAGAATGTGCCACATTAGTGGAATTAAGTGAATATGACTGTGTGAACAAACAGAACATGCCACAGGCACCAAGAATCTTAAACAAAGTCATGAAAGAAAGGAAGATTGTAGAGTCAGGACAGTCCTGTGATGAAAAAAGGAAGAAACCAGGATGGAGTCTCTACAGAACTAACATTTGAGAACAACGTGACAAGCCCTCTTTATTTACTTCCTGACTAATCACAATGTGTATAGTGGCAAGAAGAGGTACTTCTTTTATCTCTGTGCTACAGGTAAGCTGCAGAGGGGAGAGTGCTTGCCCAAGGCCACCCAGGCAGTAAGTGGGAAGCCAGGATTCTATGATAGTCTGACTGTAGAGCCACAATCTCTAATGTCAAAAAAGGAAGGTCTTGTGCTGTAGGATACAGGCCTTCCATCAAACCTGCACACTGTTGTTTCTCTCATGGGGACAGTCCCAAGGGTCCATGAATCTCCAAGTCTTTCCTGAACTACCCACGGGGAATGCTGCATTGATAATACCCTTGCATGACAGCTGGCAGAGGACTCTCTCCTCGTGACTCTGCACCCACCCAGATTACTCACATAAGCCACAGTCTGCTGTCTCAGTCACCCTCCTTGCTCCTGACTCCCAGCTTCAAGTTCTGTGTATGTTGGAGCAGGGGCAATAGGTACATCTGACAGGCACCCACATTGTGCAGACACTGACAGGCACTGTCAGAATCACAGGGGTGGAGTATTCCTGCTCCCAGCTAGGATGCAGAAAACCACAAGAGACCACTGATCTCACACTAACAACTTGACGGATCTATCAGATTGCCAAGGATACAAAGAAACCTAAGTGAACTAATTCTAGAAAAAGACAAGAGGTGGATAGGTCGCTATGCTAGAGACCAAGGTATCCACCAGTTCCTTTTGTCCTACTTTTATCTCCAGCATAGTGACCCATCAACCTCTTCCCTGTGAAATGGAGAACTTCACCAAGGGCAAGAGGGTTGGGGGCTGAAGCTGGCGCCAGAGATGAAAGAGGAGAGGAAAGCCACTCCTTACAAAGTACACAAGGCCTTCACCAAGTGCACTGCCAACTCTCCAAAGAGTTCCCCAGGCAGAGCAAGGCAGGAGAGAGATGCCTAATAAACAGAAAGCCCGGGGTGGAGCTGGAGAGAGACAGAAACTCTGCAGCATCCTGAAACGCTGGCAGCTGACCTGCAAAGCTGGTAGAGCGCCTGTATGATTGAGAAGGCCAGTGCTGGGCTGTAAAACACAACATGATTTCTGGAATCTCACTGGTGCTCAGATGCTCAACCTTGCTGAAAGCAAAGTCCTTGATCCTCTTCTCAGAATATTTGAAGATAGTGAAAACCAACCCTAGAGTTGTTCAGAGCCCAGACCCAGACCCAGCTCAACTACAAATGAGATTTATTCATTCTTGAGTTGGGGGTTACCAAGACCACCCTCAGGTTCAATGACTCACTGAGAAGACTTGCAAGACTCAGTATATAGTCATACTCATGGCTACAATTTATTATAGTAAAAGAATACAAAGCAAAATCAGCAAAGGGAAGAGGCACACGGGGTGAAGGCTAGGGGAAACCAGGTGCGAGCTGCCAAGGGTCTTCTCCAAGTGGAGCCACACAGCACATGCTTATCTCCCCAGCAAGGAACTGTGACAATACTTATGAAATGCTGCTGTCAACCAGAGATGCTCGTTAGAGACTTAGTGACTAGAAACTTTAGTGATGGCTGATCATGTAAGTACCCTCTGCCTAGCATGTACCAAAATTCCATACTCCCAGAAATAAAGGCAGGTATTCAGCATAAATCGCATTGTTTGTATAAATGCTTTAGAAAGTGTAAGCTCCTCTTAACAGTGAGGTGCTATGAACTGTCTTGGAAGTCCATGTTCTCAGATGCCAGCCCAAGCTTGTAAGCAGGTCTTTCAAAGGAGAGCAGCCAAGCCTGCTATATTAACTCTTTTCTACACAATCCACCACACTAATAACATATACTTTCCCAAGGCCAACTATTGTTTACCTCAGTCTACTGTTTTTTCACATATAATGTCTGGCATTCAATTAAAACATTATGAGGCATGCAAAGAAGCAAGAAAAGATGACCTCAAACCAAGAAGAAAAACATCTCTGCAGCCCTGCAGGGAAAAAAAGAAAAAGAAAAAAGAAAAGAAAAAAAGTCAATAGAAACTGATGTGCAGGTGCCCCAGATGTTAAAATTATTAAACAAAAACACTGAAGTAACTAGAACAAATACGTTAAAAGCTCTAGGAAAAAAAAAATAAAAAACATGTGTGAACAGATGATAAAATGTAATAGAGAAACAAAAACTACAAAAAGAAAGTGCTACATGGGAGGCTGAGGCAGGAGGATCATTTGAGCCCAGGAGCTCAAGCAAGATACAAAAAGAAGGAAGGAGGGAAGGAGGGAGGGAGGGAAGGAGGGAAGGCGGGAGGGAGGGAAGGTGGGAGGGAAGGAGGGAGGGAGAGAAGGAAGGAAGGAAGGAAGGAAGGAAGGAAGGAAGGAAGGAAGGGAAGGAAGGGAGGGAAAAAGAAAAGGAAAAGAAAAAGAAAAAGAAAAGAACCAAATGAAGATCCTAGAAGTTTTATTAAAACATCACATTTGGTGGTCTTAATAGCAGATTTAATATATCCTAAGAAAGGATAAGTGCACTTGAAGAAAGGCAAATAGAAATCATACAAACTATACAAACTGAAACATAAAAAGAAGAATTAAAGGGAGAGAGAGAGAGATCACCAGAATGTGAGGTGCTATTAGTGCCTCACATATATGTATTAATACATATGTGTTAATATATGTGGTATTGTAGTCCTAGAAGGAAAGGAGAGAACAAATGAAGCAGAAGGAAGAAAGAGATAATGGTTGAGAACAGTCCAAAACTGATGAAGGATATCAACCCACAGAAGCTCAACAAACCCCAAGTAAGGTAAATATAAAGGAAACCACACCTAGACTTGCTGATGTTAATATGATGAAAACCAAAAAAAAAGAGGAAAATCTTAAAGCCGGCTAGAAGAAAAAGACTCATTACACATAGAGAAACAATGATAAGGGTTAGAAACAAGAAAGGATGAAAAGGGATGGAACATTTTTAGAGTGATGTCCCCCTAGAAGTCTATGGCTATCAAAATATTTTTCAGAAATGAAGACCACATACAGACATTCTCAAACAGACAAAAATCGAGAGAATTTAATTCTAGCATACCAGCACACAAGAAATGCTAAAAGAAGTTCTCCAAGCTAAAGACAAATGTATCAAATAGAAGCCCAGATCTGCGGGGAGAAAATGAAGAATACCAGAAAGGTGAATTATGCAGGTAAATGTATATTTACCCTTTTAAAAATATTTTAATATTTTAATTAAATGCTTTTTTAATTTTAAATATTTTTAAAATTTTAGTTTCATTATGTATTTTTAAAATATTTTATAAATATTTACTGATTACAGCAAAAAATAACAACACTATATTGAGGAGTTCATAACATGAACATGTGTGACAACAAAAGCACAAAGTGTAGGAGGAGAGTAAATGAATTACAGTGTTTTATGCTTCTTACATTGTTCATAAAATAATATAATATTTGAAACTAGAATATGTTGTAACAAAGATAAGTTAAGGTCTACAGCAACCACTAAAACAAGACGAACACAAAAAAGTATGGTTAAAAGGTCAGCAAATCCAAACTGAGGGATATTCTATAAAATGACTGACCAGTATCCCTCAAAACTTCCAAGGTCATCAAAAACAGGGAAAGTCTGAGAAGCTGTTAAATCCAAACAGATCCTAAAAAGGACATGAGGACTAAGGTACTGTGGTATCCTAATGGGATCCTGAAATAGGCAAATGCCATTAGGTACAAACTAAGAAAATCTGAATAAAATATGGACTTTAGCTAATGATAATGTATTAATATTGATTCACTAGTTGTAACAAATGTTCCGTATTGATATTAGATGGTAACAACAGGGGAAACTGGGTGTGGGGTATATAGAAACTCTCTGTACTATAGTCACATTTTTTTCTATAAATCTACAACTGTTCTAAAATAAAAAGTCAATACAAGAGATAAAATGGAATACTAAAAAATACTTGATTCACTCAAAAGAAGACAGAAAAGAAGGAAAGAGAAGCAAATAACTTATACAACACATAGAAAACAGACACCAAGATCATACTCTTAAGTTAAAAGATGTTGATAATTACACTATATGTAAATGGACTATGCACTCCAATTAAAGGGCAGTGATTGTCACCCTGTTACACACAGGTACATAATTCACATACACACATGTAGGCACACACACAGACACAAAAAAGAACTAGCTGTGTGCTGTTTACAGGAGAACATTTTAAGTAAAAATATTTGAATAGGGCCTTTCTTTGCAGAATTCAAAACCCAGTACACTGTCTAGCAGATTATGGGCTGTGGGGCCCCTGCATCAGAACCTCACAGGGAAGTGTTCAAGTCAAGGATCCTCGGTTGGGCTCTAGGCTTACTGAAAGCATCTTCTGGGTTTAGAAATGCATTATGTGAACATTTATCAAGATCCCAAGGTAATTCTGATGTTGACTAAAGTTACAGAAAAGTCAATCTTGCAGGAAGGGTGGCAAGAGGCCAGAGTTTCTCCTTGTAAGAAGAAAGCCCCCTAACTCTCTTCATGAAAGAGCAAACCTGAGGTCCTCCCCAGCACCCCAGCACTTCCTCCCCAGGAATGGCTTGGCAGGGCTGATGGGCCAAGCCTTCCCAAAGCTGTGTGGAGACATTCCTTCTGGTCTGTTCCCTCAAAGCAACTCCTCTTTCAAAGCCTCTGAAATAATTATATCAGTGTTCATATTTTTCAAATAAGAAGACAGAGGCTCAAAAAGGTAAAGGAATTCCCAAAGGTTAACTAATTAGTAAGCAGCAGCATCAACATTTTGGCCCCAATCTGCCTAACCCAACAATTCCGAACAACAAGAAAAAAGTAAAACAACATCAATATCTAAAAATTTATAAAAAATACAATATAACACCTAGAAAAATATTTAGAGTGAGCTATTTTTAAACATAATGTAATCTCATCGAAAAGTATATAAACCACGATCAGGCTGGGTTATATTCCTTGCTGTAGTTCTTTCGAGAACTAGAGTCATTTTCAAGAGATAGGGGAGGAAACAAGAGCCAACAATTTTTGATCACCTGCCTGGTACCATGTACCATACTTACTACTCATAAAAAATGGTATTGCTTTTAATATCTCCAACACCAGAAGACAAACATCACTATCAGCATTTTACAGATCATAAAATTTGTTAAATAACACAGCCTATAAGTGGTGCAGCCAGAAATTGAAACTTCATCTGCCTGGTTCTAAATCCTGTGCTTTGCTATGAGACCTCATCACTCTCAGAGATTTTCAAATGCCAAACAGAATCTCAATGAAATTCCAAAGGCAATTTGCACTATCTTCATAGGATGGTATCATGGATAAGAAACATGTTTACATTCTGCTTTGACTTTAGATAGTTTCTAGGATAATATTCTTATTTACTACGTTGCTGTTTTTTACTTAAATTATTGAATAGGTAAAGCAATTAATTGACATGGTTAAAATATATATATAGGGAAAAGTCTCACTCTCAGCCCTGTCCCTCAGTCTACCCAGTTCCAACCCTCACCCACCTGCAACAGGTTATGTTTCTTTGTTTATTTTGCATGTATTCTTGCAGAGGCTTGAAAGCAAACATAAGTAAATACAAATATGGTTTTGCCCTTTTTTAATCTTACTTTTTGCCCTTCCTCATATATCTTAAATATCTTTCTATAGAAGTAGAGAGATCCCATATTCTTTCCTGTAGCCACAAAGCATCATTCTGTTGTTTGTGTGCCCCATTGCCTATTTAACCCTTACCCTAATTCACAGACATTTCAGTTGTTGCTAATGGATAACCCTGCACAGTAAGCATTTCATGCATCTGCAAGTATATCTGTAGGATAAAATCTTACAAGTGGTGAGTCGAAGAACACATGCATTTGCAATTTTGACAGATTCTGCCAAACTGACCTCCACAGGGTCAAAGGCACTAACACTCCCACCAGCAATGTGTGAGAATGGCTGTTCCTCATGGCCTCATCAATGGAGCATGCTTGCAAACTTCTGAATGTTTACCAATCTGATAAGTGAAAAATGGTATCTTAATGTAGTTTTACTATTTTTTTTTAATTATCAGTGAGGTTGGACAACTTATCATACACTCAAAGTTATTCCCTTCTCTGTGATCTGTTCTTTTTATATATCCTTTGCCTATTTTTCAACTGGGTTACTGGTAGCAGTTTATTTTTAATATGAGATATTCATAAAAATAAGACAAATATTAAAGAGCTAATATCATATGAAAATAAAAATAATTCCAGCTGTCCAGTCAATATTTTTTTCTTGGATTTTGAAAGTATTATCTTAAAATCCATTCTCAGGCTTTGACATCTAACAAATATGCTGAGAGAAATCTAGCATAGTTTCCTAGAATGAATGGGCCATTCAATCAATCTACCAAACTATCTGGGGAGGGAGGCAGAGAGATTCAAGATCAGCTAAAATGGCAGATCTCACAAACCATTTTGGTATGGGGTTGTGATGTAAGCCCTAGCAAGACTTTCCTCTCATGTTCATCTGTTTTTCTCCTCTCACTCTCTCTCTCTTTCCCTCCCTCTCTATCACTGACACCACCCATCCCAAACTCAATGTCTCTCACGACAGCATTTTCACAGGTTGTATGAATCCCATGAACTCAACATATAACAACTTTCAAACTTAGTATAGAATGATATATATATAAGGTTAGCACAAAGAGGTATCCTCTTTAGATGAAAATGAGTGTCCCTTTTAAATGAAAAGATAAAATTTTATTTTAAAATAAACTCACTTTTGATTCATGTGCAAGGAGAATGCCACTGAATCGGCTCTGTCATTGAGAACATTTCTATCAACAGAGTTAGGGGTCCAAAGGAGCCAAATGAGAAAGAACTCCACAAGGTGATTCCTGCCTAACTACACTGCCTTACATAATGATACGTGGACTTATCTATTTGGAAGAAAGCAAAGAGTTGAATAGCTAGATGGAAGGATTTGGAAGAAAGCAAAGAGTTGAATAGCTAGATGGAAGGATTTGGAAGAAAGCAAAGAGTTGAATAGCTAGATGGAAGGATTTGGAAGAAAGCAAAGAGTTGAATAGCTAGATGGAAGGGTTTGGAAGAAAGCAAAGAGTTGAATAGCTAGATGGAAGGATTTGGAAGAAAGCAAAGAGTCGAATAGCTAGATGGAAGGAATAAGCCTATTTTTGTTTAGAGAATCCTAGTTCAGCAACATTCATCTTGTCTAAGTATCTTCTCTGGCACCTCTTTTAAGGTTGAAAATATCAGTTCCATCCTAGGGAATGCATTTTAATTGCATCTGCAAGAAGAGAAAATAACATCTTTACTATTTGTGAATTCTCAGATGTTTGATGGGCTTCACCCAACGTTTTATAGCTATTTAGATTTCAGGATGACATGGAAATGCTTTTGGCATAAAGATATCCACTGCAGGGTTACTTATAACAACAGAAACTGGGAATGACCAAACTATCCAATTGTGAAAGGAATGGTTACACTATGATAATCATCCTTAAGCAGCCATTAAAACTAGTTTATAAATACATTTTCATAAAATGGAAAACACCTACAAAATGCTGATTTAAAAGGCAATATTAAAAATTGCATATAAGCTCTCCGGCCCTGCCTTTCACTGGTAAAGTACCCTAGCAGCAAACCATCAGGCCAGTCATCTAAGCCACATTCTCCAATAGAGCTTTATCAGTGGTAAACCTAGGCACCGATTTCCATCAAAAAGAAAAAAAAATCTGCATTTATAATATGACCTCAACCATGTCTAAATAATATCAAAAAAATTCCATATGGAAAGGAATCAACAAGTACTTTCCAAATCTTACTTAGTGAACACATTAATTTTATTTTTAAAATAAGTATACAAATAAGAAATATGTACTTTTAAAAGGCAATACAGGAATTTGCCCTTATTATAATATTCCCTAACACAAATCATATATTGTAAATTGTACATCTACATCTAGAAAAGCAAATTGATTTCATCTTGTAAGCCAATCACAATTGATTAGTAGCATCTGTGTGAGGATGTTGAGCTCTAATCTAAGATTAGTAAAAAAAGCGAGACTTGATTTCTTAGTAATGTTTGCCATTGGTATATGTATGAATATCATATATTTTCTGATCTTGCTGAAAATGATCTACCACAGAGTAGACGTAAAAGGAAGAAAAGTGGGGGGGTATGGTTGGCAGAATAATGGCCCTTAAAAAAGTCCATGTCCTAATCCCCGGAACCCGTAAATATGTTACCTTGCATGGCAAAAATAAATTAAGACTGCAGGCGGTATTAAGGTTACTAATCATCTGAGATTAAGATAAGGACATTCATTGTTGTGGGTTATCTCAGTGGGTTCAGTATAACCACCAGGGTCCTTAAAGGTAGAAGAGGAGGCAGAAGAGGAGAGTCAGAGAAGGAGACATGGTGAGAGATGCCATATTTCTGGCCATGAAGATGAAGGGAGTGGCCATGAGCCAAGGAATACAGGTCGCGTGTAGAAGCCAGAAATGCAAGGAAGTGAATTTTTTTTCCCAGAACCTCTAGAAAAAATGCAGCCCTGCCAACACCTTGATTTTATCTTAGTGAGATGTGTGATAGACTTCCAAACTACAGAAATGTAAGATAATCAATCTGAACTATTTTAAGCCACTAAATTGGTGGTAATCTGTTACAGGAGCAATAGGAAATTAACACAGAGAGTGGGAAGGGAAGACGACAGGGAGAGAGTGATTATCACTATTTGGATGAGGGGTTGGCATGAAGCAATTTCATTTTGTTTGTCAGTCCCAATTAATTGAGAAACACTACCTAAATTGATATGCATTTGATGAATACCCTAAGTTGTGGGATGAGAGAAACTAAGGCTGGATTTACTGTTTCTCACTCAGGTCTGAATCTCATTCCCATCTATAGTACCACTCAATAGGGAGGAAGCTAAAATCCACAGGGAGTCCAAGGGAAACCAGCCATGACCCCAGGTCCAGCTCAGTGCAGCAGGTCCTGAGGCCCAGCACCGGACACCAACTATGTAATGGCAGAAGTTAATAATACATATGTGAGTGATTCCTTAACTGAAACCACCCCCAAATCCATTTCTTCTGCACATAAACCAGATAGTCCACAATCTTAAAAACAAAACAAAACAACAACAATAAAAACCAGTAAGGATTTCAGGGCAAAAAGGCTGTTTCAGCTAGGTCTGTTTAGGGAAGGAAAATGCTTCACAGTGTAAACCAAGGAATGATTGAAAAGTCTAGTAGCAATGCTGCAAAAGCCAGGAAAATAATTAACCTCACTGGGTCTAATTTTCTCACCTCTAAAGTGAAATTTGCCTTAGCTCTCTATTCTCTAGCACAATAATTGCACTAGTCCCCCAAAGAAGTACACCTATATGCTGTGAAATGTGAAATAAAGCTCTTAATTTTAAATACGTACACAAATATGCATAACGCTAAAGACGCTTCTTGATTCAGACACTGCCACAATCCCACTAGGTGACATATGAGTCCTACCTAAGAAACTCACAGTCAGTACGGGTGGTTTTAAAAAGCAGCTATACAAGCAACACCTTTCAACATCCTTAGTTTCTCCAATTTCTCCCTTTCTGCCCCCAACAAGTAACTGAGAACATGTAGTGAGAAAAGCACAAGACTAGGAGTGAAAGGATGAAGTCCATGTTTTAGCTTCTTCACTTCCTGGATATTGAAGGCGTACCAGCAGATCCCTCCGAGCCTCCCTCTGACACTCAATGTCTTCAACTACAAGAGGGGGAACCATGAAAATTCACCTCCCACAAGGCTGTTCTGAGCATAAAATAAACTTGCCAGTGGGGAAGGTCCTCGTCACCTCAGAAGTGCTGAATGCAGGTGAGTCAATATCATCATGGTGACTGAAGTCAGTGGATATAGCCATGGCAGAAAAGACTGACAGGTGATCAGTTAGCTTCTCTGAGGTTTAGAATCTTCGTATTTCAAAGACGGAAGATAATATGTACCATGAAGGAGATTCTAGATGATGAACATGCAGTTCCTGGTACAGTGCCTGCACGCAATGGATGTTCAATAAACACAAGCTAGCAGTGTGCTGGTGTAGGGTCGCCCAGCTCCCCAGTGCTTTCTTTCTGTGTCCTGACCAAAAATCAGGGTGCCTTGACTGTTCTGTGAGCCAGCCAGCTGCAGGATTTCCCAGCAGGCTTGAACCAGAACTGAAGCCTCGAACATTCTCAGGCACCAATAAAAATATTTAGGTTGCTCATAGTGAAACCCCGTCTCTACTAAAAATACAAAAATTAGCTGAGCGTGGCAGCGGGCTACCTGAGACACCCTGTAGTCCCAGCCACTTGGGAGGCTGAAGCAGGGGAATCGCTTGAAACCAGGAGACAGAGGTTGCAGTGAGCCAAGATCGTGCCACTGCACTCCTGCCTGGGCAACAGAGGAGCAGAGGAGTGAGACTCCTTCTCAAAAAAAGAGGAGTGAGACTCCTTCTCAAAAAAAAAAAAAAAAAAAAAAAGAGTATCTAGATTGTTGCCCAAGACACCACTGAAAGAAACTAGCCTTGGCCCTGCCTAAGCCAAATTCCATTAAGGCTCATACAACTCCATACCCTGACCACCTTGCTGTGGACATATCCCAGTAGAACACCCCACGCCCTGTCCCCTTGCTGTCTGTGGCAAGGACTTAGTAATTGCTTTAAACAAATCACCCCAGTGTTTAGTGCTTCTTTCTTTGGAATCCCAACAGGCCCTATATCAGGACAGTTTGGGGCACTGCCTGGTAGGAACTCCACTGCCACCACTTTTGGGGTGATACCAGCTGCAAGTCCAGAGGGACAAAACAGATGCCCTGCAGTCCCTCCCATGTTCTATGATTCTCTGGGATGTAATGGTAGACATAATTTCAAAAACCATTTTAGAGCAACAAGTTTACAAATCTTGATGATTCCTTTCCATGTGTGCCATGTGTGCCATGTTGCTGTGCCAGCAACAGCAGTAATTCTCAGGGTCAAGTTTCCCCAAGTGCTGAGCAGAACTTTTTACTGAACACATTACTGGACCCTAGTGATTGTTGTCAATAATTGCATCATAAGCAGTGGCTAAGCAAGCATTACCACCTACACTGAAGAAACACAAATTAGAGGCATTAAAAGAATATGAAATGCCACCATCTCCTGAGCCCCTGCAACATGCTGGGCACTGTGGTGGACACTCCCGAACACAATCTCCAGTTTTTACAACTGCTTGCCGGGTGGGCTTCATCACACCTGCTTTATCGGGTGACTCACCTGCAGCAATCCAGGATCTGAAAGCAAAAATACGTGTCCCTAAAGCCTGCAAGCCTTCCTCTAAATCACTCCAGTGCTTTTATGCAAAGATCGTGCCTTTTCTTCTGTCTGCATCCTCTTACACATCTTTGACTTGGTTTCCAAATTACAGAGCAATGCTACGCTTCTGGAACGAGAGAGCACAAATAAGCTGCACTATGCCTCAGACTCCACGTGTACCAGCTAAGGGGGCCCCAAAGCGAAGGTAAAACCAACAAACAATGAAAGAATGCTCTCTCCATCTTCACTTTGAAAAGCAACGCCTTTTTTGTCTGAACATCTGCCTTCTTCTCCAGAGCCCTCTTACCTTGAAGGAGACATGCTGTTCCATGTGCCGCAGCAGCTGTGGCTTCTGGGCCGCTGTGTAGTCACACACCGTGCACTTAAACTGCTTCCCTGGAAAGAAGCGGAGGACAAGATGAGCGTCGCCAGGCCAACAGCTCCCACTGTGAATGAAGTGCCAGGCATGGAGCCAGGTACACAAAGGTGTTCCTTGCCATGTGAGGATCAGAATCTCAGAAGGGAACAGCGACGAGGTGCACAGGCACAATGCAGCATGCTCAGTCTTCAACAGGTGGGAGTGGAGAGGCACTCCCCAGGGAGGGAGAGGCACAGCCAGCTCCACCTGGGGAGGCCCCATGAGCAATGACATTCGATCAGGCTCCTAAAGAAAGAGTAAGGGTGTGTCCAGCTGCCCAGAGAGAAGGGCATCAAGGGAGAGGGGCACACACAGATGAGACTGCAGGGGAATGGACCACAGGGTGCTCAGGAAAGCGGAGCAGCTGCATCTTCCTTCCTGGAGAGGAGCAGCTGCATCTTCCTTCCTGGAGTGTGAGGTCTGCAGAAATTCAAGAGCTGAGCCAGAGAGGTTGCTGGCCCAGAATATCAAGGGTCTGGACCATCTCACAAGGACCTCAGACATAACCCTGAAAGTCAGGTGAGTCTGCAGGATGATGGCCAGCAAAGTGCAGGATCTGCGTTGCAGAACTCCTAACTCTGTTTGGAGTGCCAAAGGCATTTTGGGGAGAATGCTAGAAAGAAAACTAGGGAAAAGTAAACCACTGGTCTTAAAAAGATTAAGGTTTTAGGCCGGGCGCGGTGGCTCATGCCTGTAATCCCAGCACTTTGGGAGGCCGAGATGGGCAGATCACGAGGTCAGGAGATCGAGACCATCCAGGCCAACACAGTGAAACCCTGTCTCTACTAAAAACACAAAAAATTAGCCAGGCGCAGTCGCGGGTGCCTGTAGTCCCAGCTACTCGGGAGGCTGAGGCAGGAGAATGGCGTGAACCCGGGAGGTGGAGCTTGCAGTGAGCCGAGATAGCGCTACTGCACCCCAGCCTGGGCGACAGAGCAAGACTCCAACTCAAAAAAAAAAAAAAAAAGATTAAGGTTTTAGCAATATTTAAACATTCAATAATGGGATATGTTAAAACAAATTAATAGATATATGAGGTACCCTACATTTTGCCTCTGATTAGCATAAATAAAACCTCAACAAGCAATAACACAAACATGTGTAACCAAATGTAAATGTGGCCTACTTCGTATAGCAGTAAAGAATTCAACAAGTAGCTTCTAATGGTGTAAACCTCCTCAGGGCATTACACCCACAGCCACTGTGGCTGAGTTCCCAGAAGTGCTGGCTCCTCCCAGAGCACTCTTGCACCTTTCCCTCTTAGATATTCCCCCTCCCCTCTATTCACTGCCAGCTCACCTGGAAACCTGTTCCCACTATGATGCCAAGCCAATGGCAGATTTTGGTCTGTATGTTACTGGATGACTGTACTGCATGTGACTCCATTAATAGTCCACACTTTGGAAATCTTCTGTTCCTTTGACTCTGCAACAATACCACCTCTCTGGGCCTCTCTATTCATTCTGAGTACCCCTGAGGCATTCCCTCTCACCAGGGCAGCTATCATTAGGCCCTGATGTTCCACAGTGTTCCAGCCCACACTCCTACTCTAAGTCTACAAGCATCCTTGCATATAACTGACCCTAACTGACCCCTTCAGACTTTTGTAAACCTTTGATGCCAAAATCAGCATCTTCTACTCTGATCTCTTCTCTGAATCTGAGACTTGAGTATCCAACTGCCTGCTAGACCAGCCACTTAGCTGTCCCAAATGTCCTAAGCTGGACACATCTTCTTCACCAAATGGCTTCCACCTCCAGCCTTCCCAGTTTATCATCCATCTGATCACCTACATCAGATACCCAGTAGCCTTCCTCAAAATCTTTATGGCCCTAACTTACACTCACCTCATTTTTTCAGCACCTGATTTCATCTCCTAAATATTTCTCATGTCTGTCTATTTCTATTTCTAATACCTCCACACTGGTTTAGGTCCTCCTCATTTCTTTCTTAGACAACAGCAAAAGCCCCTAAGCTGGTTTCCTTGCCTTCATAAAACCCTACCAACCATCCATCCATCCATCCATCCATCCATCCATCCATCCATCCATCCATCAACCATAATCCACCCATCTATCCACACATGCATCCTGATGCCTCATCTTCTATCCAGATGATGTACAGCATAAACCATCCCACAGTCTAGCCATCAGAACCAACCAATGGCCCCAACTTCAGAGCAAAGTTGACGTTCCAGAGCACAGCAGAGAAGGCCCTCCAGAATCAGAACCAACTCTCCCCAACCCACCCCACCCCTCTCTCTGACTTTCTCTTGTGCCTGCCCCTTCTGTATTTAGGCTCATAACACTGAACTCCTTGAGTTCTCCAAACTTTCTGCTTTGCCTTTGCAATCTCAGACCCCTGAGCCTTTGCTAACATTTTCCATGCCTGGAATGCACTGTCTCGCAGCATCTGGTCATTCTTCCTGTTAATTCAGAACTCAAATTGAACACTCTGGTAATTGGGCCAAGAGGCAGCCCTCCATAGGCCCCCTACACACTGTCCACTTGCTTCAGTCTATGCCCCACCTCTACCGCCTTGTACAAGGCAGGGCTGCCTTCAGCTGCCCATGGGCAGGGACTACATCTTACTCATCTTGGTACCCCAGCACATGAGTGCACACACAGACTGAATATATTCCATGCATTTCATTAAACTGAACTGAGTGAAAATTTTGTACATCTTATATGAACATCAGCCTCAATAACAGCAGCAAAAGGAAACAAATATTAATACCACAGTTGTATCTATTATTCCAGGTGAATGAACCCAAAATTCTAAATTTTATTAATTCTGCAAGCCCAAAGTGTAAGGAAACTTTTTCACTTGTAAGTCACACAAGTTACAATTAGAGAGCAATTAGAACTTAAAAAAAATACAGTAACATCTTCTTTCAAACACAGGGCCACACATTTCTACACAGTTCCAGTTGAATCTCAGTTAAACACACTTCTCCACTGACACATGGCTCATGTGCATACAGCATCATTATTCTGGGCAGCCTGGGCAAAACTGTGCTGTGTTCTTCACCACTAGAGTGGGGGAAGCAGAGCTGATGGAACCATTCTCTAAGTTGATAAATATTCTGTCATTCATTGTCAAACACTTGGGTCAAAGAGTAACAGATTAAGAGCTAAAAAAGAGTCCTAAAATGAATAAATGGAACTGCCTCATTTGAAATCAAGAGTCAGCCTTTTATGGATGTACTTCCAAGGCTCTGCAAGAGACAAGAAAAGAAGGCAGAAGCTAAAAGCCATCCCTTACTGAAGCATCAGAGCCCTGGCAATAAATATTACTAATGTTTTCAGCAACCACTGCCAGCACCTATCAAACAGGCCTGGGAGGGCATCTGACATAATTATTTGCTGCCTAATTAAAATAATGGGATGCAGATTCATGACTAATCATAAAAGAGCAATACTTTGAGACCATCAGATGGCTTTCTATCAAGAGACTTCTGAGACTTACAAGCAGAGTCAACTGCAAAACCTAGTATTTACTCGAGGTGAGATTGACCTCAGAGTGCTGGGAGATGCACATCGAATGGCTGTACGTGGATGCGAATCTCCCAGAATCCCAGGGGAAGAAAAGAATGATTACAAAGAAAAGAGGTTGACTGATAAAAAGTAATGCCTTTTCCCTAAAATATACCTGGCTAGGTCTACTCACTGGACTACTAGGCATCATGAGTTGCACTGGGGCATGACGTGTAAAATCTTACCATGCACCAAAAACCCAGGAGGTGGGCAGTGTCACCCTTTCATGGATGAGGACCTGGTATCAAGACTCTGAGTACTTGCCAGATCACGAAGCTTCAAATAAGCTTCAAATATAAGCTTATTTGAAAATACAGCTTATATTTTCAAATAAGTGGCAGAGCCCAGATTTGGCCCTCAGTCTGTTGACCCCAACACCCCCATTCACAGCCACATAAGAATCTTTTCAGCTAATAAGGGTGTGATACAATTTCCGAAATGGAAGGAGGAATTTATACCAGCAATGGCATATCTGTGCCACTAACACATAAGGTGACTGCCCATCAGAAGGTGACTACCCATCAGAAAAGACTGCCCAAGAAGAGCCAGTTGCAGGGGAACTATGTTCTCTTTCTGGCCCTGTCCTGCTCACCCTGAGTGACCCTGGGTTCTTTCTTCTATGCTACTCAGAGGCCCCATTAGAAAAATGGGGAGGTAATCCCCATCTGCTGTGAGGATGGGCTCAGGGACTGGGCCTGCAAGCATCTGAAAAGCAGCCCCCTGAAGGATGAGGCTGCGGGTGCATACAGGTGACCCCACAGTGGACCTTTCAGCTGAGTGCAGTGCCCTCCAGACCTGTACCTCCCTGACACTCCCTGAGACAATCCAAATATTCAGTTCTAATTAAGCCAGCCTAAATCAGTATACCTAAAACAAAAAGCATAAAAGCAGAGCAAAGGAAAAGGTTTGTACAACTATATCAAAGTGTAAGTAAGCAGTTATAACAGCAGAGTTTACAGAAAACCTCCTGCTCCTCTTCCCAGCACCCTATCTGGCCTCACCTCCACCCAGAGCAAAAGCCAAGAGCTTCACAGTGGCTGCAGGGCACAGGGGTGTATGACTCCCTGTCACCTCTCAGAGCTCATGTACTGCCTTCACCTCTCTCCACTCCATAGACACAGTCCACGCACCTACCTCCGGGCCTCTGCACCTGCTGTTCCCAGAGCCCGGGGTGTCCATCCCAGATATGCTGTGCTCTGCTGCCTCATCTCCCTCAAGTCTCTGTTCAAATGTCACCTTCACACTGAGTCCTTTCAGACCATTCTGTTTAAAATCAGTCCCTGTGCCCCTTTACTGATTCATTTTTAGCATTTCTCAGCCTATATTTTCATACTGAAATGGAATCATTTCATATTTGTATTTTTATTTTCATCTCTCAATTTTCTTAATATTTTAGATGTACTCATATTTCCATTGTAATATACCACACACTTTGCTGATTTATAGTGTTTGTTATCCATCTCACTCACGAGAATTTTCGCCTCATGACAGTGGAGATTTTGGGTTTGGGCTTTGGTTGCAATCACCGAAGCAGTGCACTGATTCACCTTTGGTTGGTCCATCTGGCACCCTTGCAGGTTGTGGGTACTTTGAGACAAGACTGCAATTTTCATGCCATGTCCTCAGTGCTTGGAGGTGAGAGCATCCTGGAGGTAAGGCTAGCAGTTAATTTACAGGAGCACCCCATTCAGAAGTCTGTTCAGCCACCCTTTCTCCCCTCCTCATAATCAACATGGTCACACAGGGCATCACAAGGGCCAGTGATATGTCGTCATACCCACCATCTCCCCACCCAAAGTCATAGGAGATTGGACTACAGTGGACAAGAGACTCTAGCTGAGCCAGGAATCAGAACTGTCCAGATATGAAGCTTGCAACTCAGCAGTGGATGGGAGTTGTGTTTTCACTCTGTGGGTGAAACAAGTAAGCAAGCCAATCTGCTGGGGGTGAGAGGAGAGCACAGCGAAGACAGACAGAGACAGGACATCAGAATGAAGTAAGGAAGCAGAGAGGACCAAAGGTGGAGGATGAAGACAATCTCCTGGCTGGCTGTGTCCATTCACTCAGCGAGCATTCACGGAGGGGCTGCTGGGTGCCAGGACCATGCCTGATCCCAGGAGATGAGAGTGGACAAGACAGCAAAGGCCCTGCCTCTGGCACTCATCACCTAAATGGACAACCAGCAAGTAGTCCAACAAATAATTACCAACTGCAACACGCCACGAAGGACAAAGGCAAGGAGCCATGGTGGAGCATGAGGGAGTGTGGAAGAGGTGTGGCCATGTGGCCAGGCTGTCAGGGAAGGCCTCTGTGAGGAAGTGACGTTATACTAAGATGGAAGGATGAGGAGGACCAGCCGCATGAGGAAGAGGTGAACACAGCACTGGGAAGAAGGAACTCAAACACAAAGGCTCTGAGTCTCTGTAAGATCCCAGGTAACTTTACCATAAATGCCCCGTGGCGACTTCTGTGACCTCAAATGAGTTTCTGTCAACTGCAACCAATATGAGTTTCTGTCAGCTGCAACCAAGAGTCCAAGAAGTATAGCTGTTGAATGAACCAGTGAATGTATGACTATGAAACACCAAGACCCCAGAAACCAGGCAAAAATAGGTCTTGACCAAACAGCGTTCTCTAGAGAGGACAGAATGAGACTTAATTAACTGAAAAAAGTCCAATTACAGCACACTCTCCTACACAGCACTATGAACCAAAGCTACAAATGCTTTATGACCATTAACTCATTTAACTGTCACAATACCTGTTTGACTTTATGAGCTATCATATAAATAAAAAGTATAACATGGTAAGATTTGATACCCATTAAACTAAGAAACTAGACATTTTTAGTAACACAGTGTTAAAAATGGAAGAGTTAAGCTGGGACACTTTCTTATTTCTGGTACAATTTTTTGGAAAGGAAGTTGGCAGTGCAATGCACAATTAAAACCACCAAAACAAAATAGCCATCCCGCTCCTGGAAATGTGTCCTAAGGAGTTAATTCAAAAGAAGACAAAGTTTACATGCAAGAAAGAAGCCCCTGCCACATAAGTTAAAATAATGGGAGGAAAAATGAAAATAACACATTGTCCGAAAATAAGGGAATGGTTACACAACTCATGGATCACCTTAGTGCATCATACAACTCTTAAACTTGTTATTAATGAACTGTACAGCAACGAAGAATTATTATAATATTAATTTCAAGGCTGTAAGAATGATATCCTTTCATTACAACTATACAGCCATTCCATATGAGCATGAATAAAGATTTTTAAAGAATCATTTATTTGTTAGGTGATAGAATTGTGGGCATACTTGTAGGAAGCAGTTGGATTTTTATGAACATTGTTTTCGTGCTGTCTGTGCTCTAACAGAAAAGCATTTCAGATAATTAGCACCCATCTCTGAAAGGCTGAGATGTTTCATCCGCTACTGCACACAAACCAGAAGACAGATCTTTCAACGCAGAGCCATAAAATGATACCAATGGCTTCTGAACCTGAAAGTTCACTGTCTTTTAAAAAACAGCCCCCCAGCCTTGACTGGCTACGCACTGACTTACGGGTGCTCTTTCTGACCAAGCATCTTTCTCCCTCTTCTTCACAAAAAAGAGCCAGTGGCCTAATTGTGCGAATAATCTCAGGAGTAGTCGCTTCTTTTCCTCTTGGGCAGGATTTAATTTCTGTAAGCAGTCAAATGTCATTCTGAGCCACACCTTGTAAATAAGGACAAAGCAAAGCTGAGTCATACCACTTTTTGGAGAAACACTCTTGCAGAACACATGCTCCAAGCTGACTGCAAGAATATTGCCACGGTGGGGAAAAAAAAAAAAGCTGACTGTGGGAACAAAGACTTCCTGGTCAGAAATTGCAGAATTTAGAATCTCATTTCCTTATGAAATTCTTTATTTGACCCACAGGCCCAGATGGTAAAATGGTAAAACTCAAAATCATAACAACCTAGATGAATCTCACAAGCACAATGTGAAAAGGAAGAAGCCAGACATAAAAGAACACATATTGTATGAATCAACTCTATGAAGTTCAAAGACAGAGAAAAGCAAGTTATGCTGCTAGAAGTCAGGGCAGTAAGTAGTTACCTCTGGGGAGGAGAGACAGGCAATAATGTTGCAGGAGGAAGAAATTGCCAAGAGGCTGGCAGTGTGCTGTTTCTTCTCCTAAGCTGCAGTTACACAGGTGTGCCTCCTTTGTAACAATCCATTGAGCTGTACACTCCTGAACTGTGCATGTGTGCGTGTATGTGTGCATGTGTGTGTGTGCCGTGTGTGTGTGTACGTGTTACTTTAATTTAAAAAACGTAAAAATAAAAATAACACAACAAAACAAGAACCTTCCTTGGAAGGTTCTTGAGAATCGGCAACAAATTCGTTTAAGAAAGGAAAGATGTGTCGTGTAGTTCAAAGATAAACTTTGAAGACTGTATGGCAGTTTGTAGACTTATGCAGGCTGATGTTGCTGGTGGAGGGAAAGGGATCCCATCAGTGTTCCTGGCCCTGTAGTTTTCAGTTAGACATCTTTCTGAGTGCCAGGCTTGCTGGAGGTTTCCACTGCAGACACCGCAGCTCTTTCTGGAAATACAGTGTTTCACTAGCAGCTCCATTTCCCTTAAAAAATGTGTGATCTGGTTGAACTCTCCTTCAAAGATGGGGATGCAGGCACGAAAATGTCATTTCCATTGTTTCTGTTCATCTCTCCAAAGGTGAGGCATATCTTTGCAAAATCTCTCTCCACTTTCAAGTGTTCTTTTGGAAGGAGCCTCTTTCTTTGCCTAAGCATGAGTGCTGGGACTGCATGTCCATGACTGATGAAGCAAAGCTGACCTCTGTCCTTTGCAGCGCTGCCTGGGCCTGGCAACTGGATGCTGGCTGAATTCAAAGATCACCAGACAGTGAAAACCAGCACAGGGTCTGGAGTCAGAGAATCTGAGCTCTGCTCTTTACTCCAGCCTTACCCAGGTAAAACATTACCCACGTTGTCCTGTTAGAAAGGGAAGAGGGGACTTGAAAATAGGAGAAGGAAAGAAGAAACAGGAATACTTGTTATCCTAGCTCAGGTTAGAGAGATGTGACCGACCAAACCTACGAGAGTTCGAACTTCGCTTCCCGTTGACTCTCCACGTTGAAGGAAGGAGAGGGGGATGTCAATGTGGTAGGTGGGGGAGCCAGCAGGGTACCTGCCTTGCTGAAGCCCCTGGGCTCAAGCAGGAAGTTATTCCCAGCTGGATATGGAAGCACAAAGGCACCCATGTCGCCCTAGACCTCTGAAGCTCAGCTGCAAGGGAGCCACACTCTGAGCTCCCATTCTCTGCTCCTGAAAAGAAAGGCAATCGCTCCTGGCCTCCCGGCAGCTGTGGGCAGGCCACCGTGGGATCTATGAAGCCCCAGCCTGGCGACTTGGCACTAACAGTATGTGCGGCACCTGTTGTTCCCTTTGTTTCTTACTACAGCCTCATCTGCTTGGTGACTTTCCCTGAGGATGACTCCAGCTGCTTGCTTACTTTAGATAGAGTTCTATGTAAAACTAAGAAGGAATGGAATGGTAGGAAAGAAAAAAACTTAAAACGTCACCTTCAGCTTTTGGCATTTGGATTCCATCAGAACACAGAGAGAGACGGCAATGAAAAATTCCTTGGGATTTAAGGCAACTTGTTTGAAGTATCTGCTAAATTAAATCATCCTTGCCAAATCAAATTTTATGTGCACCTCAAACCTGAAAGAGCTCTAAAGTACTTAGAGGAAAGAATTTCTATAAATCTCAACTGTTATTAGTAATACTATTCTAGAGGCATAAAAGTAAAAATGCCTCCTTATGACTGTTTATCCAGTCTTACTGAAAAAGGTGGTATTTTACATAAGTAAATTTTCAAGAGTTTTTAGAAAATTGACTTTACCTTTTTTTCAGAAAACTGACTTTTACCCTTTCCAACAGTGATACTCTTTAAATATTAACTATTGCACTGTGCCTTCCTAATAGGAGAATATTTGAAAAAAAAAAGTGACTTAATCTTTCCTAATGATGTAAATTAACTGCTACAGATATCCATTCTTATACTGTGTCATTAAGAGCTACTGGTTCATGCACCAGAGGAATGGGTACATGAGCTGACATCCATAGTATGAACCCAATTAATCTTCCTGCAACCCCATGCTGTGGGTTGATAATGGCCCTCCCAAAGATATCCAGGTTCTAATCCCCAGAACCTATACATGCTATCATATATGGAAAAAAAATAAAAAGGAGTTTGCAGATGTGATTAAGCTAAAGATCTTGAGCTGGGGACTAGCCTGGCCTATCCAGGTAGTCCTAGTGAAATCACAAGGGTCCTTATAAAAGGAAGGCAGGAGGCTTAAAGTCAGAGAAGGAGTGTGGTGATGGAAGCAGGGACAGAAGAGATGGGAAGATGCTGGACTGCTGGCTTTGAATGTGAAGGAAAAGGTCCATAAGCCACAGGATGCAGAGACAGGTTCCCCTCCAGAGTTCCCAGAAGGAATGCAGCCAGGCTGACACCTTGATTTTAGATCGCTGACCTCCAGAGCTGCAACATAATACATCTGTGTTGATCTAGGTCGCTAACTTTGTGGTAATTTGTTACAGGAGTCACGGGGAAACATGTAACTTCCATGTTACAAATGGGGATCACTGTTCAAGACTGTTCAGGCAAGAAGTGATTCCAGCCTGGGCCTGCCTCTGGAGCACAAGGTTTTCCCTACTCTACCTCCTCGCTTCTCCATGTAGCCCAGCACACAGAGGTTTGCTGCTTCATGTAAGAAAAGCGTCCTGCAGGAAGCATAACAGGCATTTTGCAGCAAGTGTTTTGCAAAGCACACATCTTCACAGTTCTAGCATCTGTGGTGATTTATGCAGTGGCAAATCGAACAGAAATAGCTACAGCAATAAAAATACAGTTAAAGAAGTCTCTGTACTTTAAAGGCTGAACTTCAAGCAACTGCAGACTTAGGGCCTGATGATTCTCTGTAATTAGTACATCAGTTTTGATATAAGGAGGGATGGATCAGCATAAGACAGAGGTGGAAAGAAACCGAAGGCAGCACAAAGCCACATAAAGGACAGAGCACAGCACCAGGGCTAGATGAAAGTTACAGACACTGTGCCAGACATTTGCAGCTGAGACCCTCTACCTGGTGAGGTTTTAGGTGGCCAAGCCTCATTAAAAAGTTAAATCTGTATATCAATCTAAGCTAATTGCTCAGTAAGCTGCGTAGTTCATTTTATAGTATGGGCCCACTTATTCCCAGTGGATCTTGTGGTTTATAAAAACCTGAGAAAAAGAGCTACATATGAACACCAACAGGGTGAACCTATTAAACAGTATTTGTGGGCCCTGAAATTAGCCCTGCCTTCTCCTGCCCACCACCCAGACTCCAGCCCAGTGATAAGCAACAGAAATCTACCATGTTCATCCAGTAGCCACACTTCCACACCTGCCTCTTCACCTTTTCTCCAAGGGCAAGTAGGAGGAGGAACAAAAGGGAAAAGGATGCAGTGGAAAGACCAGTCTCACTGAAGTCTCGCAAGTTAACCTTGTAAGATCAATCCAGCTAGGTGCTCAGGGACCATTTTCTATTTACTTCCTGGTTCTGTTTTTAGAAGCAAAAGGCCATGGAGCTACTTTATCCTAGAGTGGCTTTGCTTTTTAGAGGACAGTGGAGGAAAACAAAACAAAACTCCATACTTAGATCTCCTAGAATATTTTAATTTGCAGCCATGAGATCTCTTATCATAAATTGAAGAAGGGACAGAAAAAAAGGGTACTTACTCCACTCAAACCTAATTTCCATACTCAACTCTCCACTTGTCTATTACAAGAGTGCTTGAAGCCTGGATAATTCTTTTCAAATTTTACCCAAAAACTTCTTAATTAAAATGTACAGGGGCAGTTTGGATCAGGGGGAGGGGAGAGACCCAAAGGAATTAGAAATAAACTCCAAAGACTTTTATTATTTCATGATTTAAGGATTCCTGTTTGATTACATAACATAAAGGCACTGTACAGCTTAACCTTCCCCATCTGCTATGGGTGGGCAGAATCGTGTATAAACCTCCAGACAGCACATCATGTCTAGGGCTTTTTAAAGTCAAAAGTGGGAAACTACATTACAGCATGATCTTTGCATTAAATTCTTACATCCTGTTGGCATACACACAAAGGGTTTAATCGAGCCCTTTATAGATCAATTTCTCTCTTTGTACATATTGACTGGCAAACTTTTTTAACTGAAACCTTCACCCAGAATGAGCTATCTTTTCTAAGGTACAGTAATGAGTTCCTTTGGGAAACAGGAATGCCACAGATAGGGATCTATCACTTTAAGCCAGCAAATGTGAAAAATTGGATTCACAAGTAGTTAGAAGAAAGGGTAATTGTAATTATTCAATTCCTTTTTACTTCATTAAAAAATGCCCAAGAAGATTCATTTAATGGTGAGTTCCTTGACCATATTTTAAAATACCTAATTCACAAGCATTTGATTTAACAGAATGATCTAAGATGAAATGGAGAAAATCACTGACACTTTGTGAGTACTACTATATCGCAACCACTTCATGCAAGGCACTTTACATTTTCCACTCATTCAATAAACACAAATTTATTGAGTGCCTATGATAAGCCAAGCCCTGTTCTAAGTGCTGAGGATACAAAATAAATGTAGTAAGTCGAAAATCTCTGCTTGTGAAGCTTACAATCTAGTGGAAGACACAAAACATCATAAATAAGGAAATTATACAGTACACTGGAGAAGGGTTGGTTTAAAGAGAAAGTAAAAAACATGAAAGAGAGTATGAAGTAATTAGTGGGACAGTTCCAGTAACAGAGACAAAAAAGTAGTAAATAAGGAAACTATATAATGCACTAGAGAAAGATAAGCCAAGGAGAGCAGCACAGGAAGCCACGGGCGTCTGGATTACTTGGTGGGGTATGGAGACCTTCCATACGTGAGCACCTAGGGAAGACTCATTCAGAGTGACTCGTCAATAAAGACCTCCAGGACATGAAGGAGGTATCCATTCAGACAGGGGGAAAGAACACTCCAGGAGGAGGGAAGGGCCAAAGCAAAACCCTTGAGATGAGCACATACCTGGCAGGTGTGAGGAACAAGAATGAAGATAGGCTGGGCATGGCGGCTCACATGTAATCACAGCACTCTGGGAGGCTGAGGCGGGCAGATCACCTGAGGTCAGCAGTTCGAGACCAGACTGCCCAGCATGGTGAAACCCCATCTCTACTAAAGATACAAATTAGTTGGGTGTGGTGGTGGGTGCCTGTAATCCCAGCTACTCGGGAGGCTGAGGCAGGAGAATCGCTTGAACCTGGGAGGCAGAGGTTGCAGTGAGCCGAGATGGCACCACTGCACTCCAGCCTGGGCGACAAGAGCGAAACTCTGTCTCAAAAAAAAAAAAAAAAAAAAGGAATGAATACAATATGTGTGGAGAGATGCTAGCTGGGGGAGAGTAGGAGAAGACATCAGAGAGATGGGGGGATCAAGCAGGTCATGGTGAGGAATTGGGCTTCCACTCAGAGTGACAGCAGATAGACAGGAGGGTTCTGAACAGAGGAATGGCACGACCTGGCCTTTGTTTCCACAGGATCACTGGCTGTTCTGTTGAGAATGGACTTGTGGGGACCAGGAGAGGTTCTAGGGAAAGCAGTTAGGAGGCTACTGCAAGAATGGAGGCAGGAGATGACAGTGGCCAGTACAAAAAGGATGGCATGAGGGTGTTGAGAAGCGGGAGAACTCCAGATCATGTTAAAGACAGAACGCACAGGATTTGCTAATGGATCATGTGTGGGGTATGAATGAGACAGTCAAGACTGACCCAATGCTTTTGACTTGAGCAAAGGAAAAGGAGTAGCCATTTCCCAAGATGGGGTACAGCAGGGGTTGGCAGCCTATGCCCAAGCACCAAATTTAGCCTACTTCCTGCTTTTGTACCGAAGTCTGGCTTTTACACTTTTCAAAGTTCGTAAAAATAAAAACTACAAAAAAGAGAAAACTGGATGTGGCACTCAAAGCCAAAAATACTTACAATCTCTTTACAAACTTTGGCAACCCCTGGGCCATAAGAGACCGGGTCTAGGGACGAAGATTGGGAGCTTAATGTTGAGCACGCTAAGCTTGGGGGGCCAGGTGGGCATCCAAATGCAGATGTTGAGTGGGCAGTTTCAGACATGGCAGTGCCAAGGCTGGGAGGAACAAGAGGGCTGGAAATACAAGTTTGGAAGCCTTCTGTATTAGTCCGTTTTCAAACTGCTGATAAAGACATACCTGAGTCTAGGTAATTTATAAAGAAAAAGAAGTTTAACGATTCACAGTTCCATGTAGCTGGGGAGGCCTCACAATCGTGGTGAAAGGCACATCTTATATGGTGGCAGGCAAGAGAAAATGGAGAGCCAAGAGAAAGGGGAAACCCCTTATAAAACCATCAGATCTCGTGAGACTTACCCCTAGCACGAGAACAGTATGGGGGAAACTGCCCCCATGATTCAATTATCTCCCACTGGGTCCCTCCCACATCACATGAGAATTATGGGAGCTACAATTCAAGATGAGATTTGGGCGGAGACACAGCCAAACCATACATCTTCTATCTAAATGGTGTTTAAAGCCATAAGACTGCGGGGATCACCTAAGGTGTCAAGAAAAAAAGAACACATGGTGGCTCATGCCTGTAACCCCAGCACTTTGGGAGGCCACGGCAGACAGATCGCTTGAGGTCAGGAGTTCAAGACCAGCCTGGCCAACATGGCGAAACCCCATCTCTACCAAAAACACAAAAATTAGCTGGGTATGGTGGCACATGCCTGTAATCCCAGCTATGGTGGGAGGCTGAGGCACAAGAATCACTTGAACCCAGGAGGTGGGGTTCAGTGAGCTGGGATTGCACCACTGCACTCCAGCCTAGCTGACAAAGTGAGACTCTGACACAGGGAACAAAAAAAAAAAAAAAAAGAACAATGCCCACAGGCTGAACCCTGTGGCCTCCGAGAGGTAATCAGAAAGCTAAGGCAGAACCAGGACAGGATGCCGAGGCAGGGCAGCCAGGAGAGCAGGAGGCCGCCAGGCAAACATGGGGTGCACTTCCTGTCTTTTGATCCTCAGACCCACTCAACAAGAGGGTATACCTATCCCAGTTTACTGATGAGGAAAGTGAGGTTCAGAGAAGTAATCTGACCAAAATCACCCTACTAGGAAGGGGCAAACAGATCCACACCCAAGCCTCTCTAGCTCTACCTACTCTACACAGCTTCTCTACAGAGCAACCTATTCAGTTATTACTCATACCACAAATACAACTAAAACCAAATAATTCCAGGCAGGCTGTAAGGCAATCTTGGCTTCTAAGTAAAAAGCTAATTCTATGGTTAAAGGCTGAGAGCCTCATCAAGACAACCAAGGCACCTGCACAAGCACAGGTGACCAATGGATTCAAAGCATGTTACAGACATCCTCAAAGAGCTCACAAGGTCATCCCCAGGGATAGTCCTAACTTGATGAACAATTCTGAAGTTTATCCAAAGGAATAATAACTAAATGAGAAAAACTATGTAAGCTTCATAAAAAAATTAACTTTATTGGATAAAAATAAAGTTAATTACTAGAACAGCTTGAAAAATAAGGTACTAGTACAAAAATCACTGACACAGACCAAAATCTCAGAATTAGACCCAATATCTTGGGAAATTCTGGCACTGCAAAATAAAATTGAAAGGACTGATTTCTCTATAAATATACTGAGTCAATGATAACTGTTTGGAAACAAAGATTCCAACCACATACCATACGCTAAAATAAATTGCAAGAATATTAAATTTCATAAATGTTATGTAATCATAAAATAAAACTCAAAGAAAAAGTAAAAGAATTTTGCCCCAAACTGAGGAAGGTTTCTTTTGACAGAAAGAATCATGGAAGATGAAAACATAAAGGAAAATAAATGAACAAAGTTATTTAACTTTGTATATAAAAAGATACCATAAACAAAACATAGAGGCAAATGATGACAAAGTATTAAGATACAAAGAGCTGTAAGACATCAACAAGATAAAATATGAGCACTACAGAAATAAGCAAGAGATGTAAATAAACTTTTTTCAAAGTTTCTATAATAGACATGTTATGGGAGAAAATTAAAAAGGAAATGACTCACCTATAGCTTAATTAAAGCTACATCCTAGATCAGCAATGGAGCTAGAACAAGGGGTCTATGACTCAGCACCCTGTTTACCAAGCCAGTCCCAGGCAAAACATGAGACTGGTAAGCGTCAAAAGAGAAACACAAATAATGAAGTACAGCAGCCCTGTGGGAAAGCAATCATCTGGAATTTAGAAATAAAGCTGTACCGGCCCCTCCTATTTCCATCCCTTTTGCTCTACTTTACCCCTTTCTTCCTAGAATCAGAGAATTGAGGCTGAAAGAAACCCAAGAAACGTGAAGGTATCATTTCTTTATTTTGCGACGTGACAAAACTGAGACCCAAGTAGTGGAAAAAGTTGGCACTGAGGCAAGCTACCTGTTCCAGTGGTCCTCTCATTGCACCTGATGACTGATGCCTTTCTTTTTTTTGGCAGGGGGGGTGTAGGGAATGGGTCTCACTCTGTCACCCTGCCTGGAGTGCAGTGGTGCGATCTTGGCTCACTGCAACTTCCGCCTCCAGTCTCAAGCAATCCTCCCACCTCAGCCTACCAAGTAGCTGGGACCACAGGTGTGAGCCACCATGCCCCGTTAATTTTTTGTATTTTTGGTAGAGGCAGGGTTTCACCATGTTTCCCAGGCTGGTCTCAAACTCCTTCGCTCAGGCAACCCACTCACCTCCCTTGGCCTCCCAAAGTGCTGGGATTATAGGCATGAGCCACTGTGCCCGACCTGGATGCCCTTCTTACCAGAGAACTGAAAAGTGCTGAAAACAAAGACATGACTTTACAAATACCTCACCCTCCCAAAAATGTCAGCAGAAAGAAAGAAAGAGAAACAATACAAATTCCCAATGTTTTGTTAGAAAATACTTCATAATGTTTGAATACCATTCCTTTTCAGGAGTTGCATTCCTGCTTTGACAACAAGACATCTTTGTCCATCTGAACTCCCTTTCCTGCCGAAGAACTCAGAGAATCATGACAGAGAGGATAGGCAGAGTGTGCTGCTGTGGACCCGTGATACCACCAACTACTCACACCGACCCCATCCCTCTATATCAGTTGGTCCAGGGCCTGACAAATTAAATGGCTTCTATCTGCTCAAAGGCTAAGCCCAGACTGCAGAACCAGGCATGAGACGACAGAACCCTGTTCAGTGCCTGTGAATGCCTTCTTGACCCTGTCACCGTGGCCTACTGGATACTCCAGGCTTCCCTGCCTCTGGGGACAGCTGCTCTTCATTACTGAAGGACTGCAGTAGTTATGTGCTATCATCATCTTAAGAAATGTAATTCTTGCCTAAACGTTCAGGCAGCTGAGCGGTCAGTAAGGCTTATTGTTTGTGGAGGCGTAGAATCATAAAAAACTACATGACTTTAATGCTTTCATTATTCAAGTATGACTGCTTTACTGTCATTGTATTTTTAATTTTGATTATGGATTTTTTTTAGAGAGAGTACTGCTTAAGTTTTAATACTTATGGCTCTGGCTCTTTTTCAGCCTTAGGCAAGCCCTTGATCTTTAATTCTGATGAATCCCAGCCAAGTATTCAGCCTTTGCACTGAGTCCCTCGAGCTCACCTGAATACTTGCCAAGGGCCCAACCCCCACACACACAACAGGATTGATTTTCAGAACAATCTTAAAATAAAGATAGAACTTAAGAGCTATATCATCCACTAAATTTTGAAATTAAAAATCACTGTTGAAATAATTTTGATTTCTATAGTAAACTCCAATTTTTATATATAATTTTGGTAAATAACAATACATTTATAAAGTTTATTAATCTTGTTACATGAAGTATTTACAAGTCCCTCACACAACCTGTCTAAGTAAAATCAAAAATGTTAAAAGTCTCTTACAGTTTAGCTGCCTGTCTTCCTAGAACAAATCTTCTTTCCCTCTATCCAGCCTGTGCCAGGGAGACTGTGCCCACTGCCCACCGAGCTCACCACCCACCTCGACCCATGCCCTGCTCCCAGGGCTCCCGAGCTCCCCTCCATCACTGCACTTACCTTTACCGTGGCCTGCCTGCTCTTCTGCCCTGCCTTCTAGATTACGAACTCCTTGAACGCAGGAACTTGTCTCTACTTGACCTGGTATCCCTAGAACCTACCTCCCTGTCTAGCACATATAAGAACTCAATCAATGGTTCTTAATGAATGAATGAAATTAGAAATCCACTTAAGTATACTTTATCTAGGTCAAATCTGCCCAAATGTTGGTTTTACTTTAGACTTGGTTCCACCACTGAGGTAGCTTGGATGATAAGAGACTCACTTGAAAAATCAGGCCAGGTGTGATCAAGGTTGCCCCTCAAGATCCTTGAGCTCCAGGTGGTGATGGAGGGCTAAAAAGGATGGAAACTTCGGAACCATGGATCAAGGCTTTCTGAAGACACCTCCTTTCCTGAAGCAGCTTCCCTCCCTGCATACCTCCACCACTGGCACCGACACACCCAGTAAGTGTTTATCCTGCACCTGCTGGAAGTGAGGCACTGAGCACAGGAATGGGAGGAAGTCAGGCCTGGTCTTCACCGCTCTTCCAGAAGCTCCTTCTAACGGGCAAGTGCTCTTTCCTGCCTCTGGTACAGCAAGTTTCTGACAAACTGGAACATCAGCTTCAAACCACACATTTAGAGGGGAAAGTTCACCTTGGGCCATTTACTCACCATCTGCAGTGTGAAGGAGTTTGTGACTTTTCAGTGTCCCTTTTGATTTGAATTTCTTGCCACACATGTCACATAGGTGGGTTTTCTCAGTGCTGTGACGATTCATATGAGCCTTGAGGTTACTCTTGCTACGAGTTGCATACTCACACAAAGAACACTTGAAGGGCTTCACACCTGCCAAGGGAAAAATGTATATATCTCTATATATTTACATACGTTTATGCATATGTGTGAATCTGAAGGAATATATATATCCATATCTAAATACACTTATAGATATGTATATATAAAACATCCGTTTTGAACACAGCAGTATACTTGCTTGGCCCTAACACACCACACACTTTCCACGCCAGGTTCTTCCCCAGGCTATGCCTTCGTCCTGGGATGCCCTTGCCTCCTGGTATACCAGGTGCCTCCACCCTGCAGCTTTCTCTGACCTTCCCTGGTAGATTTCCCTGCCTCCCTATCAATGTTCCCAACTCCTGTAACTCTCTACTAGCTGAAACGTTCACTGCACATTACAGTGAGTCCTTCATATCTGCCCTCTCCCCACAGTCTGGGAACTCCTTGAGGACAGAGATCCTGAGCAACCTGCAGAGCAGACAGTCACTAAATTCAATTGAACTGAGTTAGACTAAACACAAAGGCACCAAGGCCCTTTGCAAAAACTCAATGGGATCAGGCACCAGGACCAAATGTGGAAGCACATTTACTTTGTAAAACAAATCGAACTTTACCAACTGGTGGTTGATGGGCTGTTGACTCTGACTGTAGGGGCATCTTGGCATTCACCACTCCTTCATTCACTAAGTGTCTACTGAGGACCTATTTTCATAGTAGGAAATTTCATAGAGAAGAGTGAATCCCAGCCTTCACTGTCCGGTGGGAGATGCAGACAGGTAAACAGGCCGTTACAATATTGTGTGATGTGCTATAGGGACAGGGGCTGGGGCCGGGGGAAGGGGAAAGAGGGCGGGGAACAAACCTGCACATAGTAATGAAGCAGACAATTTTTAGTAGTAAGCCAAACGTTTTCACCCATTATCTACACTACCTATGACTTTGCAGTTGAGGAAACCAACGCTTAAAGAGGCTGAGGGCAATGTCCAGGGGCGCAGAGCTGAGTTGCACATTGGGGTCTGATGTGCCTTAGGGCCCACGCAAAGCCCAGCTCTGGTCTGGGTTTCTAGAGATGAAGTAATAATCTAACCATAAGTGTCAACAGGCTGTGTGCCCTTGAACTTATGTTTGGGTCATAGTTCTCATCTCTGTAAAATGACAGGACCAGGAATCACTTCCCACGAAGTCTTCAGAGCACCAGATCCCTCGTTCTGGGTTGGTCATTTACAACACACTCTCACAAGAGCAGGGCCACAGCTGTGGTGATAGCCTGGGTCAAGCAGCATCTTTCTGTATCTCGCATTACCCTCAGCAGGCATTTCAACCCCGAGTCAAAGCTACAGATGGCTCAGAACTACCACAACCACAGAGGAGAAGCCCACACAAACCATACAAAGAGGGAACATGGTGCATCCCTGCTGTCTTTAGATCCTTTATAAATGTGTGAACAGTTGAATATACTCAGGCACTATTTGACCTGGTGTTTTTCTAAAACATTCAAAGAACTCAAAAATGAAGACATGCACTGTCTCCCAGTCCTGGAGAAGCCAAATTCCTAATATCTGTTCCTCATTATGACTGGAAGGAGAAGAACCAAGCAAAGCAACACAGAGACTGAAGTATACATATTTCCATTAACATCTTTGCCCACCCACGGGCCGGCTGTGGAACCCTGGGGAGTCACCTAAACAGCTCTGCACTTCCGTGGACTCTGTGACATACGGTCGTGGAAAATGAGATGGTGCAGGTTAACTAGCTGTGGATCTCCAGATCATCCACAACATGGCATTCACCCCAAGGCGATATACCAAGACACTGTCTACTCTAAATTCTCCCCTAAGAGCCAGTGTTTAGAACTGCTGTAGTGGATGGGTCCCAGGTCCATTGCTTGACTATTAGGAAACCTTGAACAAAGTTGCAGGTCCTCTAAGCAACTAATGTCACAGGTATGCACAAAATTCTACACAAATGGTTAATTTCTGTGACTACAATCAATACCTGTGTTTTCTGTTTTTCTTTCTTTTTTCAATTTAATTTTTTGGGTTTTTAAATTTGTTTTTCTTGTCCTATGTTTTGAGAGTAAACGGAGACAAGGGATATTTTATGGTACAGGGGATCAATTCCAAAGAACCCCAATGTATGGTGTGTGTACTGATATCCTGTTTCCTTTGTGATTCCTTCATTACAGAGAAAGTTATAAATTAGAGAGGAAAAAAAAGATGCCAGGATACAGCAGCCTTTCGCTTTCTGAATCTTTATCAATTCTGAAGTCGCTAAAAATATTAGATTACTTTCAAATGGCAAATATGCAACATTACTGCATCATCACAAGTCTTTACTTAACACAACAGCATCAGCCATGTATTAAGTACCCAATATGTGCTAAGCCTTCTACTGAGGGCTTTACATAAATTATCTCGTTGATCCTTCTAACAAATCCCAAAGCAGACACATTACAGATAAACAAACTGAGTTTCGAGAGATGGAATTATTTGTCCATCATACATGGTGAGGGTGGGATTTGAACCCAGTTCTCTCACTTCTTCTCATGTGAGTACAATTACAGTTTGATGCCTTTATAAGCCCATGGTCTCCAGCCTCTGCTGGGCCCTCTGTGCTTCCATCAGGGTCAGCTCCCTGCTGATTCCCATGAATGCCATTCCAAGCCTGCCTTCTTGGCATTCTTTGCTGAGCCAACTGTGACCATCGGCTACGAATGCCTTCAACTTCATAACAAAGAAACAACACGTGTATATACACATACCTGCTACCACCCTCACCCCCTTCACTCCTGTCTCAGTGTAGGAGGTGCCTCCTCCTTCTGAAACAAGTCAGTTCAGAAGAGAAGAGCAAGGGTTTTGGAATCAGATGGCATTGGTTCAAATCCCAGTTCCACCACTTGTTAGCTGTGTGACCTGGGGCAAATTACTTCACCTCTCTAAGCCTCATTTTCCTCATTGGTAAAATGGGGATGGTAACAGCATCTGCCTTTAAGGTTGTTGAGAATACTGACTCCAATAACGTGAGTCAAACACTGAGCACTGGCATCTGTTTAGGTCACTCTTAGAGTGCTCAGGGCATAGGACTGCCATTAGCATTTGCACTTTGGTGTCCACATGCATCATAAACCTGTTCCCATCACTTGGCTTTCAGAAGGGGCAATAGTACCTACAATGTGACCATCACTCTCCTCTCCACACCTGGGTTGTTTGTACCAGGAGTGAACATTTGACACAAAGCACCCAGTCCATAGGCACCCCAACACTGTGACTGCCTTCTACAAAGGATTCTGCCTTCTCGGAATGGCCCTCTGGAGATAGAGTGTTCATTATATGCTGGTAAACAAAAAAGTAGCTTCCAACCTTGGAATTTATCTCAACTCCTTCTGCCTTCTCCGGGTTCCCAATCTGTCAGTTACGATTCTCATTACTGAACCACTGGTCTCTCTCTCCCTAATAGTTCCTTCCCTGGGACCTATAAATAGGTCATTTTATCCCATATTATAGAAAATACTTCATCCTTCATCCCCCTCTACTCTTGTTTTCCTATCTGCAGCATTCCAGGTTCCTAACTAACAGGCAGGGACCTGATGCAGGTGTCTGGAAGGGCTTTCCCTGGCCCCTTGTCTCCTACCCTAATCCCCAGGAGGGCCATGTCCTTATCCAGGGGGAGAAAACAAAGTTGACGGTCTGTTGCCCTAGTAGAATCTTCACTTCCAACTTCCCAAAGCCCTGAGAGTGGCCCCACACTTCCCTTCACAGGCAAGCAACCCAAAAGCACAGCCTACCTTCTTCTCTCCATTCCCTCATCTCCATTCTGCCCTTCCACCTTCTGAATTCCTTCTCCATAGCCTGAATGGTAACACTCCAAACTGCTGGAATGGGAGAACTACTTGCTGCCCTCCTTCCTTCATTCATAATACCAACATTTCTGGAAAACCTGCTATGCACAGGGCACAGGGTGGGCACTGGAGTTCCTGCCATGAATAAGTCTCCGGTGTTCCTGTTCTCAAGGTACCTACTTTCCAGCAGAGGAGTCATGGTGATTTATTTCACTACAATTGCAATGAGACCTATGAAGGAGTGCACACCTCTATTCATTGCAATTGCAACTAATTAAGTAATGGTTTAAATTACTGTTTGTAGCTGGTTGATGGACACATCTCTCAGTGTGCTAAGGAAATTCTAACAGCAGGGATGTGAAGATACGGCTTCCTCTTAATGTACTCCCAAAATGAAGGATGGAAGCACAAAATTAGAAAGGTGCCCAATTTGGAAAGATGAATACTCACCTTCATGAGCCCAAATATGACGCTGAAGGTCTGAGCCATTCTTCATGAAATAAAAGTCACAATATGGGCATTTCATGGCTCTCTTTCCAATTAGCCCTTTCAGCTGAACCCTCCTCCCGAGAACCTCAGAAATGGTGCTCATGGAGACCTCTAGAAGAAAAGCAGGATGTCAAAAGGAGTCAGAGCACCTCAGGGGAAGTTAGACATAAATAAACCTCATTGCTAAGCAGCACCCACAGGAGGAATCAAGGTGTGCCTCATGGTGTCCAGAGACAGGATTTTCACCTAAAAAGTAAAACCAGAACCAAATCGAGTCTCAGATCTCAGTATCTGTTAACATCATGTATGAGGAATGGAGAAGCAACATCACAAGGCAATTACCACACAAATGCAGAAAGTGAAACTGTCTAAAGGAAAAGTGACTCAGTTTCCCCCATAAGTCAATGTCATGGAAAAAAGCACAGCAGGACACTAGAGAAAACAAGAAACAGAAACATAATGAACTAAACCACTAGATGCAAATGCATGGATGCTGGTTCAAGCGAACCAACAGTTAAAAAGAAAAATCTTGGGGAAATTGGGGAAATTTTAAACAGACTGATAATAGGTGGCAATAATGAATGACAGTTGATCCTATTTGCTTTACCGGTAACATGGTGGTTATGTTGAAAGCAATCCTTATTATTTGGAGATGCATTTTAAACGTTTTTATGGAGGAATTACATGCTGTCTGGAATATACTTTAAAATATCCTAGAAGAAGAAAAGTGTGTGTGGTAGATACATGAAAAAGAGTTTGACAAAATGTGGATAACTGTGGAAGCTAAGTGACAGATACAGGAGGTTCCTGGCATTGTTCTGTGTGCTCTTGTATTTTGGGATTTTCTGGAATAAAAAGCTTAAAATAATAACAAAATAATGTCTTACATCTGTTCATCAGCAAAGGTTAGCTGTTTTAAGAATAACTTTGGCTCACATTGGATCCCATGTCACTTAGGACATGAGTTAACATGAGAAGGACAGAGCTGGGCCTTCAGAGAAGCACATAGCCCACACAGACGAAGGCCTCACAACTCTGTCCATTCCCAGCTGAAACATGAGTGTTAGTGCCCTTCTATTATTTCTTTATCTTCCTCCATTTATAATCAGTGAGTCAGTTCCCTTATACCAAGAGCAAATACAAAATAAAGAACAGGAAAAAAGAGACATGTACGAAGGGAGAGGCACATTTAGAAGAAGTACCTGTTACTCCCTCATAAAACACACAATACACTTGTCTGCTTTCCTGGGCCTGCCTGTAGAGGCACTGGAGATGAGGCGGGATAAGCCCCGACTCAGGGAGCCCATGGGAGTTGCTGGAGAGTCACAGTGACTTGAGCACAGCGGTCAGTGCGCCCTGTGTGACGTTAGCAGGGGTGCGGGGTGGACCCTCGGCCAGGCTGGAAGCTACAAAAGCCTCCCCAGAGGCAGGGCTCTGAGGAAGAATGCAAAGAATGAACAGGAATTAACCAGGTAGGGCAGAAGGGAAAATGTTCCAGGTGGCACGAACAGAAATGACAAGGTATGAACACCCAGGTAGCTGGTGCCTCATGCACCTGAGCAGTGTGGAATATGAGAATACCCGTGGTAATGGTCTCTCCAACTCAAGGATGCTCTTCAGCCTGGGCAGGAGCCAACACCCCTTACAAACCACCACTCTGGGTAACACAAGCTTATGACAACAGCCCTGCCTCATATGCGACCCATCGAAAGGCATGCAAAGTTCCCATTAAAAGGGGCAGAGGGTATCACTGAAATTGCAGGGGTGAGGGTTGATGCATCTGAAGACCAGATAAAAGAACAAAAGGAAATAAATAATTACATCAACTTCCCAGCGTCGAATAAAGATGTTTGTTTCCCATGAATATATTCACAGCTTCATCCCTTTTTATTTCTATATAGTGCAGTTAATGTAAAACATTGTTTTAAAATAAACATAAGCATTTTTAACATTAATCTTCCACTCCAAAATGCACAACCTTACCAGGATGGTTGGTCTTGATATGTGACTTTATCAATCGATCCTCTGAAAAAGACTTTTCACAAACAGGACAAGAATAACTCCTTTTGTCCTTAATAGAAAGAGAACATAATCAGTTGACTTTCTCATTTAAATCTGTGGTCTGTAAAAAATAACCATCATCATCACCATCATCACCCACCACCACCACCACTACCACTCACGCTATCAACAGTCATCACCACCACCACCATCACATCACCATCATCAATACCATCATCACCACCACTAGCACTATCAACAGTCATCACCACCATCACTACTACCACCATCATCACCATCATCATCACCACCACCAGCACTATCAATAGTCATCACCACCAGCACTATCAATAGTCATCACCACCACCACCACCAACACCACCACAACCAACACCACCACCACCAACAACAACACCACGACCACCATCACCATTACCACCACCACCAACACCACCACCACCAGCACTATCAACAGTCATCACCACCACCACAACCAGCACTGCCACCATCACCACCACCACCACCACCATCAACATCACCACGACCCCCCTCACCATCATCAACACTAGCATTCTCATCAGCACCATCATTATCATCAGCTTCATCAAAACCAGACAAAGTACATCCTTCCAAGCACATACATACACCCTCTACCTGGCGCTGCACAGCCTGGGGAGCTCGAGAGTAGGGGAATGGGGGAATGGCATCAGCTCCATTTCAGAAGGAAGGGATGGGGCTTAGAGGGGAGAGTTCTGTGGAGGCAGGTGGTACTCAACCTCAAGGCTGCGGGTCTACCACACACACCAGTGCTACTCTACAACCCAAGAGCATATTACATCCGCCAGCACTCAACGCAGGGATTGCATGGCAAGTGATTTTATTGAGACTCACAACCACTCACAAAAGATAGGCACAGTTCATGCTCATGTTACAGATTAAGAAAACAAGGCCCAGGAGATAAGCCCAAAGTCTGAGAAGAGGAGCCAGTGTTGGAAGTAGAGTGTGCGGACGCCCACCCAGGATGCCTCCTGCCCCTCGGTGTCCCACTGGGGCGCAGATAGGTTGTTCATCCTGCATTGCTGCAGCTTCACAGCCAGGGCCACCATGGTGTAACATTCTCAATTAGGAAGAAGCTTTTGTGAATTACCAAGCTATGGCTTTTGCTCACCTCCCTTTGCTCTCAGCGCTCACTTGAGGGCGATTTCATATCACTCTTTTCCCCTAGAGTGGGTGTTATTGGTTGAATTCTATCCCCTAAAAAATCATATGTTGGAGTCCTAACCTCCAATACCTCAGAATGTGACCTTATTTGGAGATAGGGTCTTTACAGAGGTAATCCAGTTAAAATGAGGTCACTAGGGTGGGCCCTCATCCAATGTGACTGGTGTCCTTATAAAAAGAGGAAATTTGAACACAGAGCTGCATGCAGGGAGAACACCATGTGCAGATGGAGGCAGAGACCAGAGCAATGCAACTGCCAGCCAAGAAATGCCAAAGACAGAGAGCAAATCACCTGAAGCTCAGAGAGGCATGGACCACATCCTCCCCCACAGCCCTCAGGAGGAAGCGGCCCTGCCAACACCTTGACCTCTGCCTTCTGCTCTCCAGGACAGTGTGACAGTAAATATCTGCTGTTTATACCACCAGCATGTGGCACTTTGATTGCCAAGCTTACCAAGCCCACAGCTTACAGAGAGCCAAACCCTGGTAGGGAGGACTCTGCGCAGATAGGTGAATAAAAAGTAAAAACAAAAAATTCAGAACTACCACTGCAAGGAAATGTTTTGGGCTGTGTGTGTTTTGGGGGAAGTTAATCCACTCCACGCTCACTTGGATTTACAGAAGGACTAATTCCCTCTACTTGTGGAGCCCCTACTGTGAGCTCCCCAAGGCACCAAGTGTGTTCCACGCCTTGTGTGATGAATGCTCTCCTCACTGTGCTCCCCACCGGGCAGTCTACTCCTACTCTAAATAATAAAAAGCACAAGAGCTATCACTTCTTAAGAACTCACTGGATGCAAAGTGCTTTACATTACCATATCCTATGAGGCCTTTAGAAACTTGCCCAAGGTTCACACTACACCGAGGGCAGAGCTGGACTCCAGAGCTCTTGCTCTTATGAGACCCTGACTAGCAGAACAGGTTCAGGGCTCAGAGCCCCTGGGTTCAAATCTTGGTTTTGCCCCTTGTTAGCTGTGGAACTTTGCGCAAATGATTTAACCTCTCAGTGCCTCCGTTTCATCATCTGTAAAATGGAAATAAAAAACAATGCCTCCTTCACAGGGTCACAGGAAGGATAAGGGAGATGAAAAAGACATAGAGTGTTTAGAATTGAGCCTCTCCTATAGTGAGTGCTCAATAAATCTGAAAGACTTTGCTGCTGTGGTTTCCACATTGCTATCATGCAACTCAGCCTGAGACAGCAGCCCTTCTCATGGGCTAATATTCCCTGGGAGTCTCCGAGAGCGGGATCTGAAGGAGCACCCTCCACCTCCTTTGGTGTTCCCCAGCGTACACTTAGAAAAAGTGTACTTTACATTAAAAACCAAAACCAAACCAAACCAACCAAAAGTCCTTCTGAACAACCAAATGGTTTCGATGCATTTCCCACCAAACATCTGAATACCAAGCAACGACAGCCAACCACACATGTCCAAGGGATCCAGGCACCACTTAAGAAACTGTCCTGAGTTTTCTGGCCAGGCAATGCCACAGATCCCCACACAGGCTACACCACAGGCTCAGGGCTCCTCAGAGCACTCCTGTCACTGTCCTCCTCTGCCCTTGGCCTTGGGCGAGATGCCCCGGGTCAGGCGGGCATCCTGGAGGAGACCTCCACCACCCCTGGCTGCCTCTCGGTGCCCGCATCATCAGAGTTGATGGAGGCATTCAGAAGGGCTTTGCAGGAGTTTACGGTGATCTCCCCTGAGCCTCTGCTATTTGATTTTTTTTCTTTTAATCTCTGATAGTCAGAAAGCAATTTATCTCAGAGCTTATCAGGGGCCCTTATTTTTTGATGCCTTTGAAGACTGTCAGAAGGACACAGATGGTGGTAAAGGGTACTGGGCGGGGGTGGTGGGGGGAACTCTTAGGACTCATTTACTTCTTTTTCAAAACCTCAGTTCCATACCAGAGATGAAAATTCAGACTGACACAGCAAACTTAAAAAGAGTGGTGGTTAAAAGAGCTCCCAGCAGAGATGGAGAGTCTGAGAGACCCATGCCTTAATGACGGTAGGAGAGCCCAGCTTTTGGAGTCTGTTTGCTCTGACGGAAATGGCCTTCAAAGCAATCAGGACCCTTTGAAAGAAGGGAGATGCTGCACGAAGCTGCAGCATGGCCTGGGGTGCAGGGTCAGCCCCAAGCCTGAGGCTCACAGCCCAGCTCTCTGCTCCGGGCAAACCTCATCTGGTCTATGCCTTAGCGGCAAGTGCTTTAAAAAACAAAGGTGGGGGTTTCTACTCAACCATTTCTCAGGAATAAAGGCCACAGTTATGGCATGTGCTTTCCTCCATGGACTCACTCATTCATTCCTCAACTGCTACAGGGCCCCTGTTATGTGTCAGGCGCTGCAATGAGGAAGAGGTGTGAGACTCTCAGGCGCTCGAATGCTCATCAAGAAAGAGATGTGTCAACACGTGGAACCCAACCATCAGTGAGGATGTCTGCAGAAAGTGCAGCAAAGCACAGGAAAAGTGATGCTGAAATTGCAACTGATTTGAACAAGTTAGAAGAGAGCCAGAAACGTGCTCGATTTGGGATTTCAACTCAAGGGTTTTCCTTTCCACTGGAAATAGTTCTGTTTTGCCATGTGATGCCCTTTCAATTTAGAATCTCAGTTTTTGCTGAAATGAAGCTGTTCTATACACAACTTGCTCTGGTAGCCTGAGGTTTCCTGGACAGTGGATAAAACACCTAAATGGAGCAACACAGAAACAAACTTGTTTTGTGATCAAGTAAGAAAAGACCATTTTCTTATAGCTCTTGGGAAGGGAAAACATTATGTGCAATCATTTTAATTAAATAACATTTCCTCTACTTTAAAAGTACACATACTGACCGGGTGTACCCATTTATTTCCAGAAGAGGATTGAAAGTAGCTTCGTCTACCTTCTCAGTGCTTTGTTGGCAATATATTATTTTAGCTTATCTCCAGAAAGTACATGTAAGATTTCTTTTGAATATGTGTACCTTGATAGCCAAAGAAAGACTATGCACTTCTCAATGACAAAGGTTAAGTATTCTAAACATTTGTTGAGAGACCATCAGACTCAATAGATGCACCACCGCCAATCACTATTACTATTCCTCTTCTTCATTCTCCTCCTCCTACTAAAAAGGAGGATTAGAAGGATGAATTACTCTGGACAGGCCCCTCCCTATATGCCGTGTCCCTTACGAACATCATCTCGCTAAATTCCCATGGAGGTGGGTCCTGTTGTCTTCATTTCCAGGGGATTTGTTAGGTTACGGAGCCACACCACTTCTAAGTCCCAGAGTCAGAAAGTAACATCAAACTTACCAACTCCCAAGCTCAGACTGTAACTGCTACAAGACCCTTAGCATCAGGTATCTTTGAGGTTTTCTGAGAAGCAACAAAGGCCAGAAATAAACGGAATAAACTGGCATATCATAAACATCTGCCAGATGCTGCACTTCCTGCTGCCTCACACTTTTGTGTCAGAAGGAACTTTAAATAACAGATTCTCAGATCCCACCTCAAATTATGGTGGAGGCAGGAGCCCAGGAATGTCATTCATAACAATTATCCCCATGAGACTCTGACTGAGGAGGTCATGAATTATGTGATTTAGGCCACTAAATATGTATTTAAGGAGACCCACAGGGGTCACCCATCTGACAGCAACACCCAGCACATTCATGCACACACACTGACAGATAAACATTTAAACGCTGAAACAAAGGTCTCTGAAAATAATACTTACCCTTGGTAGAGGTGAATAATGCTGACAAGTTCTATTTTATTTTATTCTGTTTCATTAATAAGATATCCTAGCTGTGAATCACTAAACTGATTTCACGACCTTCTAATGGATCTTTTTTTTTTGAGAGACAGAGAGAGAATGCTGACTTGGGTGTTCTGTACAGTACATATTTTCTAATGCAGTCCTCACAGCCCAAAGAGGCAGAGGAAAGTACTTTTTATCTCCGTTTTTATAGATGAGAAAACTGAGGCTCAAGGAGGCTAAGGATTTGCCCCAGATCACAGAGACAGATACGGGGCTGAACTCAGGCACATCAGAACCTAAAGCCTCCTCTCATCCTACTAAAATCGTCTCAAGTGCCCCCTTTATAAAGTTTGCACAATGCTGTTAAAAGTGGATTTGCTCCAGAAATGTCACTGACTAACTCTCTTGACTAGGTCCCCATATTTCCTCAATGCCAAGACATCTCTGACTGTAAGTTGACATTATTTAGTTACTAATTGGAAGAAGGAGGTAGTGGGAAGAAACTTTGTTAAAGGTACACATTCTTTCCAATCATTAGGTTTATCCTTGGCTAATAAATGGCTCTAAGAGTCACAGAAACAGGCACTCAGCCAGATTATCCTACAGTCCTGATGCAACTGGAAAGAACTTGGATATGGGCCCATTTGAAGGGCAGGTGGGAGAGATGGCTACTTTTAATCTCCTTTGTTTCTGCTCTTCATGGGAATCTGTGCTGAAAGCAGTAAACACTGAAACTAATGCAGAAGGCCAGGCAGCCAGAATTATAATACCTGCTTCCATCTCCAGGGTCACAGGTAAGGAAACCAAGCCCCACGCTGGTGCAAGGTCTCGCCCCAGGTCCCATGCCTTTCCTGATCAGAACAGCACCATTCTCCTGACCTAGCTAGACCCTGCCATGATCACAGTCCTAAGATCAACCACATGGACATCCATAAGGCACTTTCACATCACAAAGCACAATCACGCTATCCCACTGGAGCATTGCCACCATCCAGAGAAAGCAGGGAAGTATTTTTCACTCCACTTTCAGGTAAAGGGAAATAAAGACCAAGCAGTCTGCACAGTCCACAGACGTAGAGCCAGAACCCTGTCCTGTAACTTCAAATTCCCAGTTTTATCCATTTCATGGCAGCAATAATGGTACAAGTGTCAAAACAGTGACAATGACACAGCTAAATACTGGTGGGTGGTGAATAAAATAATTTTTCTTAGATGCTTCAGAATTTTTCTTAGATGCTTCATAATTTTTGAAAACCCTTTAAGGAAAGGTTAATACTTAACCTCCTAGAATTAACCTCCATGCTTTCTTAGGTGATTTCACAAAGAATTAGATTGAATCCTGTGGATTTAAAACACTCTGTAGTTGGGAGGTACTGTCTTGGTGAAATTACCACTAAAAAAATGCCATCAACTGATGAAATGCAGTGTATCCATGCAATGGAATATTATTCAGCTGTAAAAAGGAAACCATGGATGAATTAAGTGACAGAAATGAGTCACAAAAGACTGTATTGAATATACACATTTTATGATTTCTTTCATATGAAATGAAAGAAATTTCATATGAAAGAAAGAACAGGCAAATCCACAGATATAGAGAGTAGATTAGTGGCTGCCTAGGGCTCAGGGAGGGGAACGAGGGATGGCAGCTGATGGGTACCAGGTTCCTTTATGGGATGATGAAAAAGCTCTGAAATTAGCTGTGGTGATGATAATTGCACAACTCCGTGGATATACTAAAAAAAAAAAAAAATTTGATTTCACACTTTAATGAGCAAATTGTATGCTATGTAAAATATATCTTGATAAAGTAAAGCTGTTACCAAAAAAAATCCACGTTAACTGTCCTTGAAAATACGGAATTCTATTTAAAACACTTTGCAATAGCAACTTTATTATCAGATCAAAAGAGTCTTCATTAAGGGAAAGCAGATCTTTTTTTTTTTTGTACTGCGTCAACATTTTCTTGGTACCCTTGGCTTCATTACAAAAATAATTTGCAGGCTCAAAAGACAAATGTCTAAACTAAAAATCCTGGAGCCTGTTTTCATAAATCATGCTATCTTACTATGTTGGCAATATGGTCCACCTGCTTCATGGAAAATGTTCAGTAATTCAATAACCTGGAGTAAATACAAATAGCTTCCCCTTGGTTTGTGCTGTTGACTCTGCTGGGAATTTCCTCCTCACTCTCTTTCCTGGCCCAAATCTACTCATAACCTCAGAACCCCTTCCTCCAGACAGCCCTCAGAACCCTTCCTCCCAGGCCCTTTCCAGGAAAATTTTTTTTGGGCGGAGAGTACATTGTTGTATTGACGTCACTGTCCCTCTCACGTTGCCATTTTGCCATTACTGTTTATTGTTTAGCTCCCCCTTCACAAAACCAAGAGCACCCTGAAGGCAGGGACCAGATCCTACTTGAAAATCTCAATGCCCGACACGTAGAGGAGGGGGCCTCCAGCCAGCGCTGGCTGGCTTTGGAAGCAGCGGCAACACATTCACCTTTAAAAGCGTTTCTGCTGGAAGAACTGCAAATATCAGTAAGGGAAAAGATTGAAGTTAAACTTACAACTTCTAAGAAAACGTGAGAGCTAATGAGAAGCAGGCTAGCATATCTCTTTTGTAAGGTCAACTGAGTCACACCCCCTTATTCAGCACACTGCTCTTCTCCTGCAGTTAGTTGCACAGAAATTTTATTATCGTAGCATAAAGCACAACTGCCACTTAACAGCACAGAAAGAATCAGCACAATCCCTGCCCTCACGGCACAACATCTGCCTCAACCACATTCCTTCAGATGACGGACAAGTGTCCAAGAGACCTACCAAGAACCATGTGGTTGCTGTTAATGACCAACTACAACAAAATGGGCAACCCCAGGCAGTGGTGAGAATGTGGGCTTGAATTCTGTCTCTGTCCCTTACCAATGGCACAACCATGAGCAAGTTACCAAACGACTCTGTAATGCCAGGCCCCTAATCTGCCCAGTGGAGGAAATACTCCAACTCCTAGAAGTAATATGAGAATTAAGACTGCACAAGGAGCTGACCCACAGGATAAAGACAGCAGCTGTTCCTTCCCTTTCCCCCAACATGTATTTCCCCAGATGCCATCCTACATGTTCACATTGAAGAGATAAGCCTCTCAGAAGGAAGATAACCATAGAAAGTTGAAAAGAGAAACCTCTTTAGATGCTGGTTTATTAAGAAGAATGAAGGCAGATGTGACTGGGGCCAAAGATCTCAGTGCACATTCCTGACACTCCCCCACTGATCATGAGGCCCAAGGATGTGGCCAGGAGGCCGAGCATCAGCAGCTGGGGTAAGAAAATCACTGGGCTGAACCATGGGTCCCTCACAACAGGCAGGCAAGATTTGGGCATGGAAAAATACATACAGTCCCAGGTGGTAAAGCTCAATTACAACTTCCCTTTTCTTGTCATTTTTTCAGCCTATGTTTCAAAATCTCTAAATCCAGAGCAGCAAGTTCCAAAAGGAGAAGTAGAATCAATAATGATAATAGTCCATGACACACAGTGCTTGCTCCATGCCAGGCACTGTTCTAAGACATTTACATCTATTCTCTCACTTCATCCTCATCCAAGGATGGGTAAACTGAGGCAAATAGGTCACATGACTTTTCCCAAGGCTAAACACGTGGTAAATAGGGAGCCAGGGTGAAAACCCAGCAGTCTGCTTCCTAGTTTTTATTGCCATATTCAAAGGCTTCTCCCAAGAACTTGTTCTCATATTGGCTTCACTCCCTCCCGACTTCATATGAGTTTCCAGCAAAATCACTTTAATGAATTCTGCCACCTCACTTTTCCCGGCCATAATAGCGTACTGGAATCAGTATCTATGTAACAGCGGTTCCATGAAGAATTACAAACAACATGCCTTCACATGCTACTCAAAGAGAGAGAGACAGAAAGAAAAGGAAGGACAGAGAATGTGTAATGAGAAGTGCCAAATGACATGCGATAGCCGGTACACAGTCAATTACATGACAAGGACTGTGCCAAGTTCTTTAGAGTACTGTACATATGTGTGTGTGTGTGCGCGCGCATGCATATAAGTGTATGTGTGTAGGTGTGTATAAGCACGTGTATAAATACATGTATATACACATCTGTATATGTGTGTATATGCATATGTGTGTGGATGTATATAAAATAGATTTTTTAAAAATATGTATCTTATACAGAAGGCTATTTCATACAGGTCTCAGGGAAGACAAGTGACTTGCCCAAGGCCACAGGGCCTGTGAGAGTGTTGGAGACAGTGTTTGAATCCAGGTATCCAACCCCAAAGCCCATGCTCTGACCTACTCACCACACCCAAACACCTGACTTTACCCTTAGTGACAAACTGTTATGATTTTTATGCCAGGAAACCATGGTAGCACATCAAATGTCTGAAGCTTCACTTTTTGCTGTCTGTAGCATAAAAAGGCATTCAATTAAAACAGAACCACACCTGGGGCCAGATGTGCTTCCTTTATAACTTGAAGAAGTCTCAAATCACTCTCAGGTGTCAGCCTCTTGAGTTAGATTAGAATTTGCAAAAATAAGCATTCATTCATTGTGTTACAAGATCCTCCACCAAAGACCTAAAGAAATTTACCTTTGTGAATATTAACAGCATATTGAATTAACATTTCACTTTTTTAAAATAAACGTGCTTCAAAGACATTCTCTCCCAGAGACTAAAATAAATAACACAAAACTGTGACAACAGTGGTCATCAACATCTACTATGCTCTTACTCTGAACCAAATACTGTTCTCATCACTGTACAGCATTATCTAATTCAACCTCTCAACCACGTTCAGTAGGAGCTATTACTGTTATCTCTGCTATTAATTATTCTTTAAAATGTCATTTGAGAAATTCTGACTTTACTTCTACTCTATAGATATCTCTTCTGTAGACTTTATCTGATGCTAAAAAAATTTGCACAGGAAACAATTTATTCCATCTAATCTCTTTTTTCAACGTATTAGAGACTCTTGCTGTGAAAGGAACCTGGGAAGCCTCTGCCACGTGCACAGCTGTGTAAGGAGAAGGATCTCTCTATGTTTTCAGGGCTGACCTGCAGCAGAGACACCTACATATAAGCATAAACTTGAGAAAGCAATGAGCACCCAGGGGAGACGGGGCTGCCGCTTGGGCTTGCTACTTACCAGTGCTGTGTGAACTTTAAGATGTGCCTGTAGCTTATATTTATCTGGAGTTGAGTAGTCACAGCCATCGGTGGGACACTTCAGCAAGATGTTACTGTGTTTCTGAATTACGTGGCGTTTAAGGCAGTTTTTGGTGATGGAAGAATAATGACACTGAGAGCAATAATACAGATGTTCCCGGGTGTGGGTGCGGACATGCATATCAAAATGCACTTGGTACCAAAAAAGTTTGCCTAAAAAAATATTTTCACATGAGAACAAGGAAGTTTCATTTTGACTGATTTTGAATTTTTTAAATTATTATTATTTTTTATCTACAATATCTATCTCCCTCTTGCGCTTGTCCGGGTCACCCTTCATACTTTTCACCACATTTCTGTCTGAAAATTACTCTTCAAAGGTGGGAGGTTGCAAATATTAAGGGTGCTACTATTTTTTGCATGATGTTAGGGCCCAGAGAGGAGGAAGCCAGTGTTTACTGAGAACCAGTTATGGCTCCAAATACCATGATGCACATGCATAAATCTACAAATCTCTAAGTTCTACCGGCCCTCCTGGGACAGCAGGTCTGGAGCTGGATTTTCTATATCCTGACCACCAGCTCCCCAGGAGTTCCAGGAGCCATGCTTTCATTGTGAGTTGCAGGGTGCTATTTGGGACCTCCCTACAGAGAGCTGCAGCCACTTTCATAACCTCTCTTGGCTGATATAGTAGTTGGCCACAATTTAAAGCTCAACTTTAAACTTGTCATGTGCCAGAAGAAAGATTCTTCTTGGTTAGAGTTCTGGTAGAGGTCATGGGTAACCCTCAGCACACACACCTGACCAGGCCAACACAGTCAACTGTGCAGCCATCCCGGCCACCTCCACAAGACTCCAAGCGCTAACGGCCACACAGGGTCACCGTTCCTATCTACAATGGAGGAGGATGGCTCACTTAGAAGGTATTCTTTGCAAACAGACATGAGCTCAAATCAAATGCGAGGTGACCACAGCATGATGGTTGTGGACAGGGCCACGCACCGGCGCTGCCTTTCCTTACCACAGTATTCACACTCCAGGTCTCCATAAACCTTCCGGATCCGCTCACACAAGCTGGTGTTCATTTGCTTCTTCTGTAAACTGTTCAGGACCTTCATGAAAGCGGTGATGCCTGACCGGTGCTCAGGGGCAGCTTTGCAAGAGTCAGGCTGATGTGTGATGGTGTCCCCACCACCAGCTACTGGAGGGAGGAGGTCTGAGGCCTCAGCTGGGTTTGACCTGAGACACCTGCTGGGATCTGGGTCACCAGCTGAAAGCACAGCCATGTTCTGCCCTTCCCCTAGGGGGCTCTGGGCGCCATGGCTTTCCTGATCTGACCCAGCACTCTGGGCCTTGGACAGCAGTAGTGTGATCACTTCACCTTGCGTCTGGACTGAGCTTCTGTGCTGCATGTCTGGGGGCTTCTCAGGAGCAGCATGAGCCTCTGCGGAGGAGGTATCATTTTTCAACAAAAAATCATCTGAAACCACCTCTTGAGAATGCAGGTCTGAGGAGGAGACCACGGTGGTTTCCAGCTCACAGGGTGGCAGGGCTGTGCTTTCGGCCTGCGGGGAGGCCAGGTGCACAGCTGGGGCAGGCATTTCCCCAGGGGCCTCCGGCTCCTTCCGGCCCTCCTCCAGCTGAGTGTCCCCAGGACAGGCCTCTTCCTTGAGTGCATTCACGCCCTGGAGGGCAAACTCCTCTTCCACCAGCTGTAGCTGGTCCCCCAGAGCTTCTTGCTGGATGTCCCCACCAGGTTCCAGGAGGCAGAAGCTCTGGTTGATGGAACTGGTGAAGACCAAGGCCTCCTGGGCAGCCCCGTGCACCTCTTTGATGTGGGTGCGCAGCCTGATGGAGCTGACGAACTTCTTGCGGCAGACGGCACAGACGTACACGAAGGGGTGCTTCCTGACATGCAGTTCCAGCGCCTGGTACTTGGTGGCCCCATGGCCACAGAGCTCACAGGCAAAAGGCCACTTGTCTCCGTGGACCAGCATATGGCGGTCACGGTCCAGCTCGTTCTTGAACTTGCGCTCACAGATGTGGCAGTCATAGAGCAGCTGCCGCTTGCCCTCCCTCGTCATCAGGCAGAGCTCGTCCAAGGCCTCTTTGACCTTCTTGTCCTGTGGGTCATGCGCGTCTCGGATGTGCTTGATGAGGTTCTTGACGTCAGAGTACTTCTTCTTGCAGAAGCGGCAGTGCTGCTTGATCTTCTTGTGCACTCGCTCGATGTGCACCTTGAGGTGGCCCTTGCTCAGGCAGGTGAACGAGCAATAGTCGCAGGCGAACTTCTCTCCAGTGTGCTTGCGCAGGTGCACATTGAGGTTGGCCTTGATGGCACTGGCATAGCTGCACTGGGGGCACTTGTATGGCTTTTCATTGGTGTGGATCCTCAGGTGGGCCTGCAGCGAGTGCTTGAACTTGAAGACCTTGTTGCAGTATTCACAAGTGAAGATTTTGAGCTGAGTGGGACCTAGCCTAGAAACAGATGACAGCATGGTTACATCTGGAGACCTTGAATGTTCCTCATGAACTCTACATCCTTTTCATGAACCAAACACTAAAGGCTGAAAAGTGAACAAAACTGGACAGACGCTGGATGGGTGCAGTCACTCACTCAACAAACAGGATCAGAGGGCTCGTGTGTGCCATGGTCCTTCAGGAGCTCACAGTCTTGGGGGAGGGAGGACAGGTTGGCAAATATTTGCATGACAGCGTGGTATGTATTGATAGGAATATGCACACCACAAAAAAGGAAAGAGACCTCTAACCTGGATTAGGATAGCTGAGAAAACTTGAGGAAGAGATGTCTGTCTGGACTGGGCTTCAAGAAAAGGAAAGAGGGAGGCAAGAGAAGGAAGAAGGAAGAGGAAGGACAGGTGTGCCATCCACAACTCGCACAATAATAATGAGCTGTGTTCCAAGCTGATCTAGGTGGATTCTGTGATATTTTAACAGGACTAGTCTTAATGGAATGAATTCAGTCTGCTGCATAAGACTGGATGCAACCATCTTTTCAATAGCTTGGTTAAGCCAGACTTCCTATTCATTCAACCAACTGTTGGGGGTGACTCTTTTCCTTTCTGCAAGTTTCCATGTGAGGGCCAACCACTAGGGAATGACCCCTGGCCTTTCTTCACATCCTTACTTCTTCCCAAGAAAAGAGAACCAATGTGTTTGATTGGTGACTTCAGAGCAGGACCTAAGTCACGAGCTGAGCTCTGCCTATTTCTGTTGAGGATGTGCCTGCCTGGGGTGAGCATGGGATACAGCGGGCACTTAGCCAACTGGGCCTCTGTGAGCCTGGCTGGAGCAATCCAGGACTGCGGGTGGGAGAGAAAGTCTGTCTCACTCTGCAGGCAGTAACAGGAGGCTACTGCTGACTTGTACCACACTGTTCTCCTCCACAGCTCTGTCAGTAATAGAGCTGGCATGTGGCTCTCCATCTTCCTCCTCCTCTATCATGGTTGGTTTAGAACACAGATGGGGAAAATAGGGTTGCTGTTTATTAACTTTGTATTCCATTTATTCATAAATGGCCACCATTTGTTAACACCTGCCAATGTGTTTCAGACACCACGTTAGATTTTACGTATGTGGTGAAGAACAAAAGCATGGTCTGCCTGCCTCATGAATTCTGTCTCTTTCACTAATGTGTGTGCTGAATGAGATGGTAATAATAACAGCTAATAATTATTGAGTATGTGTAGTATGATAAGCTCTATGCTAAGTATTTAATCCCAACTGTATTGTTATACTCATTTTACAGATGAGAAAACTGAGTATTTGCCCCATGTTGTACAGTTAGTAAGTGGTGAAGTCAGGACTTGAATCTAGGAAGACTCTCTGACTCTAGAGCCTACACGTGCATGCTTATCCTCTCTACCACCTGAAATCACTGACACGCAGCGACCCTGCCCCAGAGTGACTGTACTGCAAAGAAGTCTCCCTGTGTGGGGTTTCCATTGCTGTTGGAATGGCCAAGCCTTGTTTCTGAAACCAGCAAATGACAGTCACCAAAGTACCACAATAGGCACCAGGGACAGGCACTGACAGATGAGTCTAAGGAGGCAAATGAGGCTTCTTCTCCAGCCGTAACTGCTTTCTCTGGACAATGTGTCCAGGTTATCCAAAAAGGACCTCAAACATACTAATAATCAGGTTGTGCTATTAACCAGATACCATTCAACTGTACCCACTCTCACTGTAAAGTCTATAGTTATAAAACTATCCACAACACAGGTGGCCTTGTCTTTAAATTTAAAATATTTAAATGGATTGCAGTCCATAAATACCAGAGGGTACAATCCACATGATGTAATTACAATATTTAAATTTGGAAGTTACTAGTATGCCTGCATGCTAAGCCCAAGGCTAATTTAAGGAAAGTAATTTGGATCTTTCTCAAATGACAAAGATATCCAGAAGGTGATACATATTATTGGCACAAAGAATGCCAAAGAAAGAAACCCTGGATTCATAACATTAATTAAATAAATAAATCAAGACTTTGCATATTTTCTCCTCTACTGCAAGATCTAAATGGTCTTAGGAGAATCTTTTGCTCTGACTTTTTGTATTATTAGGCAAATACCTGGTAAAGCCCTTAGTGCCCAGGTTCCCCTCGAGGATAGTGAGTCTGATGAGGATGCTACACAGCCTCCATCTGACCCTTAAGTCCAAGTCATTGACTGTGACAGTGAACTGATGCCAGAGCTTCGATGTCCATGCGAGTTCTATGAAGTCACTTTATTCCAAATGCTGCCTCCTCAGAGAGGTACTCTCACCACTGCTTTTACAAAGGAATCCGGCCAGGCGCAGTGGCTCACGCCTGTAATCCCAGCACTTTGGGAGGCTGAGGAGGGCGGATCACAAGGTCAGGAGATCGAGACCATCCTGGCTAACACGGTGAAACCCCGTCTCTACTAAAAATACAAAAAATTAGCTGGGTGTGGTGGTGGGCGCCTGCAGTCCCAGCTACTCGGGAGGCTGAGGCGGGAGAATGGCGTGAACCCAGGGGGTGGAGCTTGCAGTGAGCCCAGATCGCGCCACTGCACTCCAGCCCGGGAGACAGAGCCACAGAGCCAGACCCCATCTCAAAAAAAAAAAAAAAAGAAAGAAATCCAGCAGAACTTTAAGAGGTCCTACTCCTTAATCCAGTTATTCCACTTATGGGAATTTATCCAAAAGAAAGAATACAAAATTCAGATGATGGTGCTCATGGCTCATTTTCCACAATAGTTAAGAATGGGAAGCTGTTCGAAGGTACCAACATAGGGAACTAGTTTGTTTGCACGTTTATCTTTCTTCACTTATTCATTCCCTTAAAAAAGTGTTCCAGGTACTCAGGATACAAAAGGGAATGAAAACAAGCACAGCCCTGCCCTCTGGAGCTCACCTTCCAGAAAGTGCCATAGGCCAGCCTACGTACTAAATATAAAAGTAAGCAGACAAGGACCATCAGGCTCCCTGTGAGAAGGATAACGGCCGGACACTCTGAGAGTCCAGTCAGGGTAGATTGACTTGGTCTAGGGACAGGGAAGGCCTCCCTGAGGACAAGACATTTGAGCAGAAAGCTGAAGGACAGATAAGCATTAACTAAGCAAGAGGGAGGAAAGGCATCCAGGAAAAGGAAGCGGTGCCTGCAATAAGAGACTAAGGAAGTGAAAAGAGGCCCAGATGGCTGGAACAGATGGCAGCAGCAAGAGTACTGGGGAACCACAGCAGGTGGACAAGCCTCAGAGGTGGCAGGGCTAGTCTTGGAAGCCCCCTGCACCCCTAAGAGCAAGACAAAGCCTAAAAGGGTAACAATCAGATGAGCATTTTTAAAAGATCTTGTTGGCTCCAATGTCAAGAGTTGAGTTGATAACACTATATCCTCATGAAGTTATGCCTTGTTGCTATAAAGCAAAATGTTTGTGATTCATTTGAGTACAAAGGCATATAAATGTAATGTGATTAAGTTTTAAAAAGTGACAGCCGGGCACAGTGGCTCACGCCTGTAATTCCAGCATTTTGGGAGGCCAAGGCTGGTGGATAACTTGAGGTCAAGAGTTCAAGAACAGCCTGGCCAACATAGTGAAACCCCAACTCTACTGAAAATCCAAAAAAAAAGCTGGCCGTGGTGGTGCACACCTGTATTCCCAGCTACTCAGGAGGCTGAGGCAAGAGAATAGGCAAGAGAATAGCTTGAACCTGGGAGGCAGAGGCTGCAGTGAGCCAAGATTGTGCCACTGCACTCCAGCCTGGGTAACAGAGTGAGACTCTGTCTCAGAAAAAAAAAAAAAAAAAAAGTTTTAAAAAGTGAGATACAAAATCGCTATAAAATATAAACTCAATTTTATAAAATACACATGCTGAAAAAAAGGCTGGGAGAAAACACATTTAAAATAATAAGTGGTTATCTTTGGGCAATAAGATCATAAATGACTTTTTTTCCCTCAGTTTTCTGGACTTCCAAAATTTTTTATATAATAACTCTGTATCATTTGTTATGAGAGAAGAATTATATAACCTAAAAGTTTTTATCTGTATTTTACAAAGTAAAATCCTTACGCAAAAACATCTCTTTTATAGTTATCTTATAATTTGCACAATAAAATATTAATAGAATGCATGACAACAAAAATATAGCCTAGATCTGTTGATTAAATATTCAGTGTATTTACCTGTAACTAGATTAACATTTAGCTGAACCTCCCCGCCAACAGACCTTGAAATATTGTGAAGATAATTAATTAAGGTCTACAAATCAACCTGACTTGAAACACAGAATGATTTTAGAGACTTAATTCTATTATGAATTCACCAAAGGAATGAGTATTTTTACAACTTCATCAATAAATTCAATTGTTCACATTTACAAGAATAGAGGATTGAAGCTACAAATTAATGAAGCATACCACATGATATAATAATATAATTTAATGAGAGCACTACATGTGCCAGGCACTTTGCATATTTTATCTCTTATTCTCACTACTAAACTAAAATTCTATTAGACAGTCTTAAAATTGTGCAACAAATGTTAGATGCAAAGTAACGTGTGTCAAGTTACAATGGAGTGTAAGCTTCATCAGGGCAGGGGCTGCAACTGTCTGATTCTTTGTCATATCACCAGTGCCCAGCACATAAGAGGTGTTCAATTTGTTGAGCTGAACTCATACAGAGTAGTCTAGAGCCAACCTAGGTCTATTTCATTCTGAAGCTTATGTTCTACTCAAAAACACCCCATTTCTCTTCTTCCAGAAACAGAGGAAAACCACTGGCAACTGGCATTTTCTTTGTCTTTCCTTCTAGCTGGGAGAAATGTTTTCAGACCTCTGGGGATCAGAGTTTGTTAACTGACTTCAGCAGGTACAGGCTAAAGACAGACAATTTGGGGAGACTGTAGAGAAACACACTGGTTTGCTATGGGTGGTCAACTGATCCAGTGTATCTGGAGGACAGTTTTTAATGTCAGTTAAGCACTAGGCACTCATATCCTTTGCTGTAGCAATTTCAACTCTAGCAATGGATTCCACAGGAGGTCTTGAAGTATGGAAAGATGTATACACCAAAACATTAATCACTGCATTGTCCGTAATAGTAAAAACTGGCTATATAAACTAAAATACATCCACATAATAGCAAACACAGCTTTTTAAACTGTGTACTAAAAATGAAAGACTTTCAAGGTGTAGTAAGCTTTTAAAAAAAAGTTGAAAACAGTACTTTTGGTATTTAGTATTTGCAAAAAACAACAAAATTAAACCAATATATGTTAGTATATTTCAAAAAACTTGTAGAAGCACATGAACTAAACTACCTCCAGAAACAGTAACTCTAGGTTACTTTAATGCCACATCATATGGGACATGTGAGCCTTCTGCAACACACTTGTGTTACTTTTGAAAGTGGGAAGGAAATAAATATTTTTCTAAACGGTAGTAAGTGAAGCTATAAATGTCTAAAACTTTACTTAAGCTATGTTTCTATTTCTTTTTATTAAGGTAAAAAATAGTTTTTCTTTAAATAAAATGCTCTGGCTTCATTAAGCCAGTTGGTGCTCAGTTCTAAAAACATGCTACTCTGCAACACACTGGAGGCTCAGCGAGCACACCGAGGGCTGCCATGGAGGGGTAATTCTACTGCTGAATCAAGGAGTCAGTATCTCTTATAAACAAGTTTATAAGCAGAATCCAAACGAACAAGCATGCTGATCCTTCCTGCACTCTGTGGAGTTCACTCACATGCAACCTCTGGCTGAAGTTACACAGAACAAAACACTTTACCTGCTTGACTTCATTGGTTGCTCATAAGGTGTCTGCTGAATGGCGTATTCCTGGTAGCCTCTCCGAGGCACCAGGTCTGCTGAAGTGGTCTCAGAATTTGTAGCTCCTGTTTCAGGGGGCCCAGCCTCCACTGGCACAATCTTGGTAGCACCTGAGATTGATGCAAAAGGCATTGCTTATTGAGAGGCATCGAAAGTGGGCACTGACCCCATCGCAGCAGAGGGGATGGTGCTGGGAAGTCTATTTCTATACTGTCTGATACCCACGCAAGATAGTTTTCACTCAGCTCGCACATTTACATTTTTTGGGTGAGTGTGTGTGAGTGTGTGCATGTGTTTGAGAAAGGACAAGTTTTTCAATAATCTGTCTAAATGTCCTCTTGAGATATATTTTCACTTGATCTACTTATATTAAAAAGTACACATATACACACACACACATATACATATATATGTATATACATATACATATATATGTTACTTGCAAGGTTTTATATAGGATCACCCGTGTCAAACTGCATTAAAGAAAAAGATCCAATTTACCCCTTGTTTCTGGAATTGCAAAGGAATTATTTATACTTTTCACCCTTGCTTAAAGAAATATCAAAATACTACCACTAATTTTTAGAAAAATCATAGAAACTTTCTCTAGCAACAATTGAAAATAGGAAATTCTCTTCTGGGCTTCTTATTTTCCAGAATAATACTATTCTGAAGTGAGTAGGGCAGACAAAGTGACTTTCCAGAAAGTTCTTCTAGCCACACAATTTTATATGGTCTGTTCTCTACCGATCACCTTGGTCTGCAGTGACGTACAGAAGGAGAATTTATTCAGATTTTTCATTTTAAATAATGAGTTACTCTTAGCATTGAAAATAGGTACTTAAAAGGCTGTAGCTGTCCTTAAAATCCTAAACTTAATTTTTAAATTTTATTTGACAGCAATCACCTCAAGCGCATAGAGAAAAAATATTATACTTTGAAACACTATTATAAACTGCTTTTTAAATTAAGGGTCCTATCCTAGAGATCTTTTTTAAAAATATAGTGTCACATATCCACCAGCTATTTCATGTAAAAGAATACAGAGATGGAAATTTCTAGTATTATATTTGGTGAACCCTTCTAAAAATACAAAAAAAGATCAGAGGCACCCCAGGATACCACCTTAGGACATTTCCCACTGTCTTGATCTTAAAAGAAAAGAAAAATGAGAATAGAACTCTAACCTTTGAGAGATGGAAACAGTGGGTATCTATGTCAGTTTACATCTTTTCTATGTGCAGAGAGGAAAAAAATACAAAACAGATGGTGGGCAGAGTTAGCATGGGTTTTGGAGCAGCAGCCTGCATGCGTCTGGCTGAATGGGCTGGCCTCACATGCAGGACAGCATGGCTGAGAGCAGGAGGGGAAGGCACACACCCAGGAGAAGAGCTGGGTGAGGGGACGAAGAAAACTAACTGCTCCCGGAACCACTACTCCAGCAGGAGCAGCACGGCGGAGCTGTGGGACTACAGCAAGAGCAGCGGCCCTCACAGCAGCCCTCACAGCTTCTCCTCCATCCATTAACCACAACACCTGGGCAGTAAGTAAGTCTCATCCTCTCAAATTAGTGGGTGATTAAATGGAGAGCCCCACCAATGCACCAGCTCTGTGTTCTGACTCAGACTGTGACATCAGGCTGCCCTTGGCACAGACTTGCCAAGGGTCTTGCCTTTTCCTTTCCCGCTTGGTGCAGTCACCTGGAATTGCTTCGTGTGCAGTTAAAACCACACTTATGATGGGTTTCTTCGCCCCAGAAAGCTGTCTGGCCTCCTTTCCTGAGATCTTCTGGACTTTCTCTGTTTTCTGTGACCGTGGTCTTTTCGAGGCTTTTTCCCGATCATCTTCCTTACACTTCTTTTCTAGTTCAAGGTCAGACTCGTTACCTAAGGAGCAAATACCAAGATGCATAAGGTATCCTTTTATATCAGTGGCAGAGTTGGAGGGTAAACACTACTCTTTCACGGGACAGTAAAGGAAACACAGCTCTTTGGTCTGCAGTGCCACGCAGACCACGGAATCACTGTAGGTACCACGGTGGCTCTTCACTGCTTCACTCGATTCAGTACATGTTCACTGCTCCCCGCCACAGGCCATCACCTAGGCCCTGGGCGTACACTGTTGGGTGAAGCAGACATAGTTTCTTGTCTTGTCTTGTCTTCATGAGGCCTAGCAGACTTCAGAATCATTAATAAACAACACTGCACAGAAGATAAGGTCTCCAAGATTTATATTCTAAGAAATAAATCATTCACTTATTCAACTTACACTTATCAGCTACTGTCTGGTGCCAGGCATGGTGGACAAAAGGAGTGATAAGGTACAGACCCTGCTCTTGAGGGCCCCACCGTGCAGGGGGAGAGGCAGACATGCAAACAGCACAGGCAGTCCAGGGCAGTCTGCTGCACACCGAATGAAATGAGCAAGGGTCTGAGATGGTTACAGGAAAGGATGGTAGATTCTCCACTTCGTGGGGAGGTAAACCCTTGGTTCACATAAAAAGCAAGCATGTGCGAAGCAATGGTCAGGAAATACAGGCAAGGGGTATAGGGCAAAGGAGGAGTGGGTGTGGTGGAAACAATGGTGTTCCAATCTAGGGACAGATGGCAGAGCCTAAGTATAAACCAGTGCCCAAGTATCCCGTGTGGTGACAACTCCATAGGAAGCAGGGAGACAGAAATAAAACCAGGGGAGGGCGTCAGAGCTGGGCCCTAGAGGGCCCTGAATGGCCATGAGAAGACTGGAACCTTCCTTTGGGGAATCGGGGGTGAAACATCAATGTACATGGAGACCAGTCAGGCCTGGGGAGGGGGAGAAGCTGGAAGGAAAGGAGGCTCAAGTTCCCACAGAGGACCAGCCTGCTGGGTCTTCTGATGGCTCACAGAGAGACTGGAAATCGAGATTTACATGAAATCTTCTGATTTTTCAAGGCTGACTCTAGTCTAAAATTTCTTAAAACAATGGAAGAGCAAAGGGAAACAATGCCTGGGGCCTGCCTGCTGCCTCTGGAAGGCCATGGAGAGCCACAGGTGTCTAAGCCGGGAAGGGCTGGATTATATTTGTGCCGCTGCTGCAGACAGCAAAGTCAACGGGTTCAAAAAATGTTGAAATACACTGAAGAGGGAACGTGTCAGCCACAGAAAGAACAGCTAATTCCACATGGCTACCCTTGGCATTAGCCTGAGGGGTAAGAAAAGCTTCGATATCCAAGTGAAGAACAAAGGAGCCACCTCTTGAATGCACACTATTTGAGAGCCATCTCTTGAATGTACAGTATTTGAGATCCCTAAGTGAGGAGGAAATATAGGGAAGGGAGGAAAAGGAGTTTTCTCTTTCTTAGAAATAGAGCCACAAAACCTCAAATAACCTGCCCAAAATTCACTTCCTCAGAACATATGACAAATGCACAGGGAACAATTCCACATAAGCCTTTCTCAGCCATGAGTGTGGAAACGGATGAAGGGAAGCAGGGTGCGCAAGCGCAAGGTGGGGGTCCAGAAAGTGCTGCAAGGTCGGGTCATAGGGAGGTGAGATCGGAACCATGCAGTAATATGGCAGGAACAGGAGAAACCAAAGGGAGATAGCCAGAGTCCATTTGGTCCGTCTGTTTCCAGTGATTCAACTCTGCCTAAAGCCAGTACCCCAAGTAATTGTACCAAGGAATGCCTGAAGGGAAAAGATAAAATGGAGGAGTATTCTTTCTTAGGGAGGCAGGCTGGTTCGAGGAAAGCTCACTCAAGAGGCAAGAAAAAAACTCGGCTAATGGCAGATTGATCAAAACAAACATTCTAATTTTCTATGTTCTATAAAGTTTTTTTGGTGTTCGTCCCACAATCCAGGTGCTTGGACCATTTTTAGACCTAGTGAAACAGTTTTATAGAAGTTCTTTCATTCACTGGAAAAGGTCCTTAATCATATAACTAGTATCAGCACTAAATATGGTAACATTGAGCTAAAAAGAACGAATAGATGAGATCATGAATCAGACAGAACTGCATCACTCTCCAAGGCTAAACGGAAAAAGTCAAGACCATCAGACGTGTCCCTCCTTTGAAGAGCATGATGACTCCTATAAAGCCGGAGAATGAGGAAAACAAGTGATCTCAAAGTCACTGGCAGTGCCTACATTTTGTAGGCTTGATTTGCATCATGCCTAACAGCAGTTTTCATTTTATTTTACTTTTTAGTGCCTATAATAAAAACATTTCAAAAGGTCTACAAATTGTCTGAGTCACAGAAGTTCTTTTTGTGGCCTACATACTGGGTGATACACACGCATAAATAACTATAGCAGAATATATTGGATGCTATAAAAAGGTAGAAACAACATTTTACAGAATTTTTTGCTTTTAAAATGATGCCTTGCTTTATACCGGAATTCACCATGGGATACAATTCAATATGTGGGTGATATGCCAGGAACAGATTTGTTCACATTTAAAAAAAAGACCTGAGAATTAGAACTTGCCAGAAGCTCAACCCAGGTTAACAGCATGAATCAACAAAAACCAAACGACATTCACCTACACTAATAAGAAGCAGCTGAAGAGATCACCACGCTCTGCAACGGATAAACTGTGTCTGGATAAACCGCGTCCGGACTCTGCTTTAGGCATTGTATGTTAGGAACACACTGCAGAACCGGGGGGCTGGACGTGGGTGAAGGTCTGGCGCCATGCCGTTTTAAAAGCCAATGGAGACCTGAGCTGGCGTTGGTGGAGAAGAGAAGACTGCACAAGAATCTCATCTCTCCCCTCACCATTCCTACAGCTCCAATTTGAGTTTCCTTCCCCACGGCTGCTTTGGGGTGTGCATTGTTGGTATCCACCCTACCCGTTCCCAATACCCGTCCCTCCTGGAGTGTGATGCCACCTCCCACTCCAGGAACTTGGAAAGCTGCTCCGTCTGAACAGCTAGGGCTACAGGACCCAAGCCTGGCCAATGGGCTCTGAGGAGAAGGGTCCAGGGACTTCCAGAAGTGGTTTTCCTTCCTCATGAGAAAAGTACCGCCTCTCTTCCTCAGCTGGGTATTGCTATGTCCACTGCCAGAACTGAGGCATCCACCCAGCAGCTAGGAGAGGCCAAGTGAAAGACCATGATAATGCCTTGGGCATCACAAAGAGAGAGGTGGATCCTGGGGTTTCCACGGCATAGATATGCCTCTGAACCAGCCCTTGAACCATTGTGCCTGGACTTCTTGTTACACGAGAGAACATTCTCATTGTTAAACTCGTTTTTAACCAGTGTCTCTGCTAACAGTATCTTGACTAACACACTCTCCGAACCATCCTCCTCCACCTAGACCCTAGAGGAACTGTTTTAAAAATCCAAATCTAATCCTGTCACTTGCCTGCTTAAAACCCTTCATCAGGCTTCCTTCCCATCTCCATTAGGAGAAAGTGCTAGGTAAAGTCCTCCAAGAATTGCCATAAATCCTCTCCCACTATCCCTGTACCATCAAGGCCATGACTTGCAAGCACACACCCTCATGTACTTATCTCCTACCCCTTTGGGCTCCAACAATGCTGAACCACAAGTTGACTGACACCCGGTCCTGTTTACAGCCCCTGGACCTTGGCACACAGACATGCATTGCACAACGTCCTGATCCACACACCTCTGCTTGTCTGAGTGACAAGCCAAAAGGCAGCTCAGATTTCCCCTCCTCTGTGATACTCTGTACCCTTCACCTTCTTACCTCCTCCATTCTCCTTACACACACACAGAGCACCGAACCAACGGTTGGACTTTCCCACACTGCTTACAATTATCTGTTGACATGCCTTATCCATATTGTGACCTCTTGGAGGTTGGGTCCATGACTTCTTGGGATTTTATGAAGCCTAACGTAGGCCTCCAGAGGGCTAGAGCCAGACAATGAAGAAGACCTGCTCTGTTGTGTTCAAAAAGATGAAGCTAGGACCAATGGGTAGAGTCTCCTGCAATAGATCTCAGAGCAGAGAAAGGAACTTGCAACAGTTAGAGCTGTCCAAGGAAAGGGTGTTTTTCAGACACGTTTATGAGGAGGGTTTTCCAGGAAGTCACAGATACCATTGGAAATGCTATGGAAAAGACTCTGAACCACATGGGAAGTCAGACCAAACAACGTCTAAATCTCTAAATTCTAAGGCCCTCACATACAAATAGGTGGAACTATTACATAAGGAAGAAGGTAGGAGAAAGGAAGTTGCAGGGAGAAAAGAAGGAGAAAGAGTGAAAAATATGAGAGATAGTAAAAGAAAAACCTGGAAGAGACAAAAGAGCAGGGGACAGAACACCACGCACCTTCAACCCACTGGACCACACCAGCCTCAAATCTGCGCTGAGTGCAGGCTCTGGTCCTCCCCTCAGCCAGGGACAGTGGGGTTCTCCTTGTATCCCATGGCCCAAACGTGACTCTGGCAGCGGCTAAGGTGGAACCAGTGCTCTGGACACTGTCCAGGCAGACAATTCTGGGAGTCACCATGGCTGGAGTGGTGCGATCTTGGCTGACTGCAACCTCCACCTCCGGAGTTCAAGTGATTCTCGTGCCTCAGCCTCCCAAGTAGCTAGGATTACAGGTGCGCACCATCCCATCCAGCTGATTTTTGTATTTTTTTAGTAGAGACGGGGTTTCGCCATGTTAGCCAGACTGGTCTCAAACTCCTGACCGCAAGTGATCCATGCACCTCGGCCTCCCAAAGTGCTAAGATTACATGCGTGAGCTACTGTGCCTGGCCCATGGCAACATCTTGAGAGTCAAATCCCCACTACCTAGAGCAGGGACCCCACTAACAAGCCCTTGGCATTGCTCCTTCCCTGTCTCACTCTTCTCACTCCCCACTCCTGCTTCCTGGGAATACCACTCAGGTAAACTACCTGCAGCCAAAGCTGCTTCCAGTGGGGAACCTAAGCTAAGACTCTGCCCACTCAAGACTGCCCCAAATACACACCTCCAAGCCCCCACATCCTTCATCAATTCTCTGTGGCCTCATGCAACGTGGATCCACAGTCCACGGACATTACATTCTATTCTTGAAAGCTTCAGAAGCTTCAACACTAAACTTTCCAACCGATTCAGGCACCATGGTGCCAGGCACCGCACTGAACAGCCTTGAAAATGGTTCTTGGAGATGATCTTAACTGATCCCTTGAGCCCTGGAGCACTGTGAAAAGAACAAGGCTCCCACAAAAAAGAACACGCATGCTCGCTCAGAGGCAAATGCCAGGTGCATTTAGGGAGTATCAAATAACTCCAGGTAAAACACCCAGTATGTGGGGGGTGGGAGGTGAGGCAGGAGAAGAACTGGCATGGAGACCCAGACGCCACCCAGAGACTCTGGCCTACAAAAGCAGGTGTTTCATGGAGAGAAATATCAGGTTCTCCACCGCACTCCTGTACAAGCCATGCTCCTCACAGCCCTGAACCCAGCTCTCTCAACAGCCACATGACTGTGTGTTTCTCATCCCCAGCATTAGGTCTGGTGTGTCGTAGATGCTCAATACTTCTTCGTGGAAAGCAAGGAGGGTACAGGGTAAAAGAGAAAGACACTTTAACAACAGCCTTGTTAGTAATTTTCTGCCCACTCCCTTTTGGACACCAAAGTCCTCGTTCCCATTTGACCTGGTTGCTCACCAATTTCCCTATATCCTCACTTGACCCACCTTTGTACTTTTCAAAGTTGCGTTTTGTCCCCTGAAATGCCTCGAGGACCCGACCTAGAAGTCATGCTGATGATGCTTTTCTGAGGGCTTGGCATGTCCCATCTTCAGTTCACATGTATCATGGCCTTTCAATAGGTGTTTTTCAATAGTCTCCTGCTTCCTCTGAATTGCTGACTTTTTCAACTTTTCTACTCTTTCCTGTCTATGCTCCCCTCCAGCTTCCTTTCTTCCTTTTAAAAATTCCATAGCTGTCGATGGGTTTTGCTTCTCCCTCTTGCGCATGGCTGCTGCATTCAGTCATGCCGTGAGCTTGCTACAAACCAGCTGGCCTGAGCAGCACAGGGGCTGGTTAATGGAACCACTGCAGAGAGGTAGTGGGCATGCAGCACTCCGGAGTCAGAGAGGCTGGGTTAGGACACAACTTAACCACTTGCAAAGGAACTCTGGACAATTGATGAATCTCCCTAAAATCACTCATAAAAAATAAAATATAAATAAGGACCTCAAAAGATGGCTGTAAGGTGGAAGAACACAATTACGGGGAAAACCCCAGACACATATTAAATATCTCATCAATGTTCGCCTTCTCTGCCTTTTGAAAACATATCTGGGACACCACCCCAAAGACTCTCTCAACCACACACCACAGCTACTCTCATTCCCCTGTCTTGGCAGCCACCCTGATGGGCACCAAATTTAGAAATCCTAAGAACCAGATGAAATTAAGTTAGTCGTCAGAGGCAATCTTGAGGAGAGCTTCCCACCTCTGCTCTCAGCATCTGGTGGTTCTAGACAGCCATGAGAGCGTCCCATGCACCCACACACCTGGAGCAGGGACTATGGCTCTGCACAGTCACTCAAGAAAACCCCTACCTCCACATTCTCCCAATGAACAAAGCCCTCCTCCTATGTTGGAAATGCTTCAGTTTGTTCAATCCAAAATATCTTGTTTTAGATTCAGCTTTGTTTTTAAGACTTTTATCACCTCTACCATGCAAATTAAATAAATATACAACATAATGTCCCAGCTAGTATTAATAACAACAATTAAGATTAGATATTTCTTGGACAATGATATGACAACACACTAAGAACCACGACAGAAAGTCTGGGTTCTAATGTAGACTCAGGGACCCCAAGCCTTTAGGGGCAGATGGGATGGTAGAAGGTCATTCTGCACAATTTCCAATCATCAGGCAGTTATCACGCGACCATCTCAAAGGAATGCTGTCTACACTACCTGTGAACCACTCTGGGAACAGAGACTTCACCACTACAAAACAGACAGTTTGTATGGTGACCTGCTTAGAAATAAGCTGCGCTGCCCAACCCACCTTGCACATGCACAAAAGCCCTCTGAGCTGCCGTAAACCACAGGCTTGATTCACTAAATTGCAGATAGTCTCGACCGTGATTACTGACATAGTTTGGCTGTGTCCCCATCCAAATCTCAACTTGAATTGTATCTCCCAGAATTCCCACGAATTGTGGGAGGGGCCCAGGGGGAGGTAACTGAATCATGGGGCCTGGCCTTTCTTGTGCTATTCTCATGATAGTGAATAAGTCTCATGAGATCTGATGGGTTCATCAGGGGTTTCCGCTTTTGCTTCTTCCTCATTTTTCTCTTGCCACCACCATGTAAGAAGTGCCTTTCACCTCCCGCCATGATTCTGAGGCCTCCCCAGCCAAGTGGAACTATAAGTCCAATTGAACCTCTTTTTCTTCCCAGTCTCGGGAAGAAAAATGTCTTTATCAGCAGTGTGAAAACAGACTAATACAGTTACTATGAGCAAATTCATTGCTATGAGTTTTCAGGAAACACGAACAGAGAAGGACACTTTGCGACACCCATACTCCTGCTCCAGAGCCATTCGTCATCTTGTGCAATCGTGGCAACAGAAGAGAGGTGCAGCACTGGGGTTGTCTGAGTGTCTGCCAGCTTCCTACCCCAGGCTGTCCTGGTATGTGTGGTGTTTGCTGCAGAATGAGGCGGGGAGTCACACCCCTGGTTTCCAGTCTCTGTGCATTTTTATTTGAAAAAGAGTGGCTGCTTGTGACTAGGGAGGGCCAGGTCAACGTTGGGTCTGATTTCAAGTCTGCCTCTTCAGTTTCTGTGCCTGCTTGCTGGTTACCCCCTCCTCAATTTGGTTAAATATTCATACCAAGCGTGTCTCCTCTGAAAACAGAATTTCTGTCTCCAATACAAAGTTTAACAATTATCCCCTACTACTAAATAAAATATTCTCTTTATGAGATGATTTTCCTTTCTCACTTTCCTATTTTCAAATTTTCTTAAGTGTCCATATTCAAACAAAATATCATTTCTGCACAAAAGAAATAAATAATTACTTGGAAATTATGTACACACTATAGCATTTATTTTCTCTTTACTAGCCACAGTCTGTTCAGCAGATACTTATGGAGTAGTCAGCACTGTTCTAGCATTTGTAATACCTTAGTGTACAAAACAGAGAGAGAGCCCTGCCCTCTGGAGTTTACATGCTAGTGAGGAAAGAGACAATCAGTTTAAAACATAATAAATAACTAAACCACACAGCACGTTAGAAGGTAATCATTTTACCTGAGTCTGGTAGAGTGCAGGCCTTTGGGAAGTAGGAAAAGTTTGTGTTGTTAAATACAGATGCTCCTCAACTTATGATGAGTTACATTCCAATAAACCCATCCTAAGTCAAAAATATCATTGTCAAAAATGCACTTAAAACACCTAACCTGCCAAATATCATAGCTTAGCCTATCCTATCTTAAATGTGCTCAGAACACTTACATTAGCCTAGAGTTGGGCAAAACCATTTCACACAAAGCCTATTTTATAATAATAATAATATAAATTTTATAGTAATAAAAAATAGAAACAAAAATAAAAGATCAAAATTTCTAATTCGAAGTACAGTTTCTACTAAATGCATGTCACTTTCACACCATAGTAAAGTTGAAAAACCGTAAGTCCACCCATTGCAGTTGCGGACCACCAGCAACTGTGGTCTAGTGCCCTAAGCTCTGTCTGATCTAACAAACACATCTCACAAACACATCTCACACAAACAGTCCCTACTGATAAGGACAGTTATTGTGAGTGGCTTGCCTGTCTATTTGTTTACTTATTTCTTGTTTGTCTCCCCTAGATGGATGTAAGTTCAGTAAGGCCTGGCAGGATTTAGCCTATTTCACTGGAAGTCTTCCACCGTGCCCAAAACATCATAGATAGTAAAGTGGGGAAAGACAGGAAGGGCCTCCAACCTCACACAGTGGGAAAGTCATCCAGTCATTAAACAAATAGCAAGGGAAGGCCTCTTGCAGCCACTCAGGACGCTGCACATGCCACGGTCTCCCTCAGTCTCCACCATCCTGGTGAGGCAGGACTGCTCCCAAGCCCCTTATAAAGATAAGGAGTCCGAAGCTCGGTGAGGAGAAGAGGTGACTGAGCCTGGACACTGTCTCCATGAGTGGTACACCCAGCATCACATTGAAGTCCAGCAGCCTGCAAGGTGAGCGCTTCCCACAACCCCTCCTGCCTCTGATGCTCTGCAGGAGCAGAAGTTTAGAAAGAGTGCAGAGAGGAACCAGCCGAACAGCTGGCTCCACAATGAGATGAGGTGATAGTCAAATGGCAAAGTGTAATACTGTGTTAAGGTGCTGGAGAGAACAGAGGGGCCTGGCTAGTGGACTATAAGTGGTTTCAATAAAAGGCATTTTTGCTTTCACCACAGGCAGAGGTGTGAAAGGCTTACAGGAAGCTCAGGCACCACAGCATGCAAACACTGCTCCTTTCCTTCTCACCCACCTCTCTCTGAGCAGGGGCTTGGGCCCAGCTGTGCTAAAGGCTGAGGTAGACGAAGTAAGGCTGGCATTTGCTCTGTGCATCCTCAGCCAAGCGCCCATACACAGCAAGAGGCCATTTGCTCCTAATCACTCCATGCAGATGAACGGCCCCACTCCAGCCCGAGAAGGCACGCTGCACAGTCAACTGCACAGTTGGCTCCCGGGTGCAACAGGCTGCTGCTCTGGCCTGGCATCCAGGCCCAGGCATTTAAAGTCCCCTATTGGCTTGTCAATGGTGTGCCCAGCTCTTCCAGCTCTGCAGTGATTCTCTGTGCTATGAAGAGGCAATTCTTGGGGATTGAAGAAAGCCAGAGTTCTGTTCAACAAATAAATGCCTATCTCCCTTGCACTGAGATACAATGAACCTTCTGGTAATAAGCACGGCTGCTAAAAGTCACTCTTCCGAGATGGTAGGATACAGCGCAGGGCCAAAGACCCCCAGCTGAAATCCAAGCCCCCTAGCTGATGCTGACGGGGAATTTTGGATAATTTACTAACACTTGTTTCAGAGAAAACCCGGTTGAGTCCCTGGGCCTAGGCAGGGTGCTTGACAAAGAACAGCTGACAAGCAGATGTCTTTTAACAAACACATCCTAATGTGGAAAATAAGGACACCGAAGGGAGCCCCAGGGGTTTCTGGGCTTGCTGGGGTGACCCAGGTCAAACTCCAAGTCCTCTAGATGCCATTTTCAAAATGAACCCTCTTCAAATATCCTGCTTCTTCATGTACATGTGCTAATTACACAGTTAATTCTAAGGTAGTATTTTGTTTTCATTGTATTGAATGTTTAAAAATATCTTCACTGAGCTCTAGAAAAGACTCTTTAGCCAAGAGAAAACAGAATGTAATTTTAGTGAGATCAATAGCTGAAATCTGTCTGAGATGCTTAAGAGGAAGAGCACACTAGATGACATCAAACCCCAGTGAGCTCTTTATGGCCCTACCCTGGGTAAGCCAGATCACAGGAAGGGAGGCCAGCATTAATTCCATCAGCAACAGTGGGTGTAAATGGAAATTTCTAACAGTAGTCTATGCCTGTCTAGTATTTTCCCTTTAGTCAATATCACAGAAGGGAGATCAACTATACTATTAATACTATTATAATAACAATACCTTATCTTCTGAGTGGCACATGACAGTTTACAAAGCACTGTCTTGAGCATTAACTAGCACCTGTATCTCTACTATTATGTACATGGCATGTGTTTTTAACCAGTCTTTTAAGGGTTCACTTTTTTTCCAAGGCTCTTATAAATGTGCTCTTCCAGAAAACAAGGCCCTTAGCTGAAGTCCCCTTGTCCATCAAGTTTTACATCATGCAGCACCACTGTCTGAATTCAGCTGTCATTGTCAGCATACTGGGATGGTAATTTTCAAATTTTTTTAACTGGCAGGAGCTTTTTCCTGCTTTTTAGGCAATCTCAATATAAATAATCTAAAAAAAGTACAATCTCTCAGATTAAAGTGAATGAGCTCCCTGCCAGCCTCCCACACCTGTCCTCAGTATTCTTCTAGTCCCAGCCACTAAGCAACTCTGAAGAGCCCTGGAAACAGCATTAAAACTACTGAATTAAGAGGTACAGTGTACTACGTGAAATACGGCTTTAACAAAAAGTCACTGTTTTGAGAACGCATGATGAAAAACACAAGATTTGGAGTTAAAGGCATCTCAGCTAAGATCCAGGCTCTGCCTTTCAGCTGGATGAATTTGGAACACTCTAAACTTATCTGCATCTGCAGAATGAGTCACTGTAAGGTTCACATGAGGGAACAGATGCAGAACCTTCTCACATGGTGAGCACACACAGTAGGCTTTCAGGAAACACTGGCTGCATGCCAGTCTGTCGACTTCACGCCCAATTATATACATGAAAGTCCTACTCAGGCCTGAGGTTGGGATGATGACTTCTTTCTGGTTTCTTTCGGTTTGTATTAATCATGAGCTGCGACAGAGCCCCTTTCTCCCCCTACCACCTAGCTTTGTGCGTTTTCCCCAGGTGCTGATGCTCCAAGAACTGTAACTTTCACTGTGCAGCACTGCTCTTCAACCCTAGCACATTAGCATACTTCTTTATATTTCATTTCCTTTGGAAAAGACAGCATTTGAAAAAGTGATGACATCGCACAACGTGGAATGCAAACCTTAAAGAGGGAAGCAGATGTTGGCAAATGGTGTGCATGCCCCGCGGGGCTGAAGCCCTTTCTATGACGACAGGGTCTAGTGCCCCTGCAGGGAGTGAGATGTTCTGATGCAAACTGGAGGGGACCATTACTTAAGGAACAGAGACCCGAGCGTGTCCCTTTTAAGGGCAGATAATAAGCAAGCATCCAGAGTCCCCTGAAGTTCTGGTGAGGTCCTGCTTGCCCTTCCACGTCGCCCCTCCCCCCTCTCCACCCAGCTCCCAAGGCTGACCAGTAAGGACCACACAATGGGCCCTACTGCTCTCTGGCTTCCAACTGGGTTTGACCAGTGGAGGCACCAGCAGGAGATGAAAGGAAATGGGGAAAGTCGGGGATGGGGAGCAGTATTTATTCTCCAGGCTCCCTCCCTGCCAGGTTATCACAGGCTGACCTCATCCTCTACCAAAGGCCACAGCTCTCTCCCTCGGTGTTCTGGTGACTTCTCTCCCCTCTTGTGTGTTTACCCTGCTTTTCCCAGCTGCCCTCGGTCCCACAGGTACACCATGACTTGATGCTGTACCTAGACCAGAACATACTTTTACAAAGGGTCTCTTCCTTAGCTTCTCTAGTCACACATTTGAGCATGCCACCTGCCTCCTGTTGGTACCCTGATGGCTCCCCCAGGCCATCCTCTTAGTCATCTCTGGATGACTCCTCGCTCCATTCCCATTTTCATTCCCTCCCACTACAAGCATCTCCCACTGACCTCCTTCCACTGATACTGCTCCGGCTCAAGTCAGCAACGAGGCACACCCCCAATCAATGGAGTCTTCACCCCAGCTTCCTCTCACTGAACTCCCTGCATCACTCATCATCCTCAACCCATCCGCTTCCTCCTTCAAGGTAGCCTTCCCTGCTCTCCATCCCTGGACACTCCCCTGTGGGGGCCTCAGGAGGCTGCCCTTGGTGGTTTATCCTTCTGCTTCCACCCAGTCTCTACTCATGCCCCTCCTCCACTGAGGACCTCATGCTAGACTCCACGTGGGGCGGCATGCCCTCTTGGATATCCTGCAGTCCCCAGATCAATGTGTGGCCACAACTAACTCACCCTTTTTCCTCCAAATCTGCATCTCCTCTGGGCTCTCAAGGTTGGCAGGGATGCCACCATTCACCCTGGTCCCCAGCCAAAACCAAGGCAGCTCCCCTCTGCGAACTCTGCCAGGTCCTGTGAACTGCACTTCCTTGACATCTCCACAATATGTCCCCTTATTTCAACTCCCACTGCTGGATTCAGATGCCACAGAACACTTCCCAGGATCACTGCATCAGCCTCCTCTGTGTCTGAGCAAATGCTATTTCCTCTTGCAAGGGTAGTACTCCCCTCCTCTCCTCCCCTCTTCTCCCTGCCCTCCTCTACCCCCAGCCCCACTCTTCAGTGCTCGACGTCTCTGTAGCCTTCAACTCTCTGCCCCAGCGAGCCACCAGAGAGCACCCACCTCACCTGCTCTCCAGGCTGCTAGAGAAGCCCCTTCCACAAGCTCTCCCAATACCTTGTGGAGCACCCACCAGCTGTTCCCCACACTTATCTCAGAGTGTCAGAGTCATTTCTGCCCAGCCCACTACACTCTAAGAAACTACTATACAGACCTCCATTCATGCGACATCCTGTAGTCAGCAACCACTCCATGCCTGGTACACAAAGAGTAGGCGCTCGGTGCCTCTGATGCACTCATGAATGACCCACAGGAGGGCTCAAAAAGTTCCCATTCTTCTCAGCCCCTAACGTGCAGGCACATGTGCACATGCACACACACACACACACACACACACACACACACACACACCCTTAACTCTGATGAGCTTCCCACACCTTACTAAGAAAAACAAAGCCCATTTGATACAAAATCTCTCAAGTAAGTTCCTTTTACCTCAAAATCTTCCTGTTCTTTGTTTACCATCCCACCTCTTCTAGAAGTGCTTCTTTAGGAGGGGTCCTGTGGCCGGGCATGGTGGTTCACACCTGTAATCCCAGCACTTTGGGAGGCCAAGGCGAGCAGATCACCTGAGGTCAGGAGTTTGAGACCAGCGTGGCTAACATGGTGAAACCCTGCTTCTACCAAAAATACAAAAAATTAGCCGGGCATGGGGGCGCACACCTATATTCCCAGCTACTCGGGAAGCTGAGGCAGGAGAATCGCTTGAACCCAGGAGGTGGAGGTTGCAATGAGCCGAGGTCGCACCATTGCATTCCAGTTTGGGCAACAAGAGCAAAACTCTGTCTCAAAAAAATAGGAGGGGTCCTGCTTTGTTTTCCAGCCCTACACTCTTAGTGCAGGATTTGCGTCCGAATTTCTTACCCTTGAATTCCCCACAGAACAGAGTATCTCACATGTAACTCGTAATTCAAAGTATGTTGAATTGGAAGCAGGCAACTAAAGAGTTTAATGTAAATGCAATCACACATTTGTAGAAATTAGTTCATATGCATTCATTTATAATTAACACTGCACTAATATTCTAAAGTACCTATTCTAAATTGCCCAAGAACTAATTAAATCTCAGAATGCCCCAGAGAGTAAAGTGTTATCAGCCACATTAATAAAAAGCCCACAACAGTTGTCAGAACAGCAGACTGATAAGGGATTATATTCTGGGACTCTGCCACCAATTCACTCCACACTGCTAATAAAGCAGTTTTAATTATTGATTACACCCACACTGATTCGAACCTGCTGAATGTGCTCTTCCTCGCCCTCTTCCCTTAGGCTTTCTCGCATCCTCCTATATCTCTTACTACAGGGGAAGAACAGGCAGGCACCTGCTTCCAGCATGTGCTCTTCCCAATAAAGAGAAACTGCCAGGAAAATAAACCTGTGAAGGGCACGAGGCCATTGTCTCACAGGTCACCCATGGCGGCCTTACATACTAACTGCAGTGATTGTCCCAGACCTCAAATGTGCCTGCATTCCCCTATCTGCAGGCTTTTGTATGAACCATCACGAGAGAAATGCCTATTCCATCTCCTTCTCCACCTTCTCCCCCAGTCCCAAGTCATCCTCAGAGATGGAGTTCAGGGCTACCTCCTCCTTCAAGAAGCCTTCCAGGAAACGCTCCAGCAAGTGGTCCTGCCCTGCTCCCTCTGCAGGTGGTTCACCTCACCACATTTGGTTGTCTATTTACATCACTGTCCTCCTCCCCAGGCACTCAGCTGCTCAAGGGAATAGACTTGTCTTACTCAACTTTGATCCCCAAAGTCTGACTTGGTGCCCAACAATAGCACAAGTTCAGGAAGTGGGAGAAAAAAAGAGAAGAGATTCTGCCTGCTGCAGGAGTCTCACTCAGCCCTTGACTTTAGCCAATCTCCCTGTGATGGGAAGCCTCAGCCCCAGCAGTATGTCCAGATGTACAGGCTGCTGGGCACGAGCCGTGAGCCACGTGTTCAGTACTTCTCCGGTCTCAGGCATGGTCACCGTGAGACCGTTAATTAGAGCAAAGGCCCCCTGTGCCATGGGCTACATCACACTGGATCAATCGTGGACCCTCCACACTGAAAATCGCTGCACTTCAGAGAGCAACTGTAGGATGAGGCCACTCCCTTTGCCTCCAGACACCAGCCTACCACATAGTCCCTGAGAGCCAGCAGCCGCAGGGTGACCTCCAAGATGCTGAGGAAGAAAGTCTTCCTTTCACAGTTCTGCTGGGGTGGGATTCTGCCCCTGCAAAAGGCCCTGAGTACCCTTTGGTCATTAAGAGTCACAATAAGCAGCAGTGGGAGAGGGGGGCTGCAGTGTCAGCCCTGTTTCTATCTGACATGTCTCTCAGGAAGACATCACTGCCAACAGGACTGGAGGTTTGAATTCACACGACTCTGAAGCAGGGGAGCGTGGAGAATCGGAGGACCACCCAATCAGCAGCAGCATCCCTGAAGACTGATGGATCCACGTGGCAAGAGCTTGAGCTGGAAAGTCCAAGGGTCCTAGACCAGAATCCCTGTTCCAACAGGTACTCTCTAGCTGGGCTTAGGCAACTTCCTTCACCTAGCAGAGCCTCAGCTTCTTCATCTAAAAAAGAGAATGGTGCCCTGCCCCAGTGGTCGAATCAGAGCAGAGACACAGTGCCCCACACAGCAGCAGAGGCAGATGGTCACACAGAAGAAGAGGCAGCGTCACTGGGGAGCCCAGCTGGGGCAGGTGAGCTTCACAATCCCTGCTGAGCCAAGAACTGGGATTCCACGGATCTCTGGGAAGTTCTGGAGGGGATGGCTCAGGGAAGTTTGGAAGTGTGTAAACACAAGTATGTAAAACTCAGCAGCCTGGTTAACACTGCAGTTTGCTCATCCAGGCCCACCTCTGGGCATGCTGGAGCTCCCCATGGGCTCAAGGCTCTGGGGCCCACACTTTCTTCCTTCTCTAAACAACTCTGATAATGTAGCTTACTGTCATTTATCTGAGCTTTTTATCTGAACTATGTAAAGTATAAGAAGCTGCTGGAGTAATAAAGGTCATACACAGGTACTTTCACCAGGCAGATGTTTGCCGGGACTGCCTACATTGAGGGATTGTGCATGCCATAAAGAATGAGACAGAATTCATTAGCTAGCTTTGAGGGTACAGGGGGCTTCCCAGGAAGAAAGCTCTGCCTGCACAAAAGAATCCATAAGACCAGTGGGGGCCAATGGCATACAGAGACAGTGGCCTAAGACAAAGCAGTCTCAGGACAGGGTGAGATCCATCCATGTCCAGCAAGAGCAGGGGAGGGAAAGCCACGGGAGGCCCACCGGCAGGAAGCAGCCTGACCCCATGTATTTTACACCATTCTGGGAGTGCGGGCTTATAGGGAGCAGACTCAGAAGGAGAGCGGCCAGTCTGAAGACTGTTGCAAAACTGTCTGCATTAGAGGTGATGACAGTGGACCTGGGGCAATGAGAGGAAGGAAGAAATGTTGGCAGGACTGGGGACTGAGAGATTTGCAGATGAGACAAAAGGAGGAATTCGAGATGGCTCCAAGGTTTCCAATTCAAATGGCTGCATTAGACGGCAAACAAGAGGTAACTTCCATACATAACCCTTAAGTACCAGTGAAAAAACTGATAGCTGAAGCCGAAATGTGAAAAGCAGGAGAGCAGGAGGAAAAAGAACTAAAGCATCTGCAGATTCAGAAATGCATGGGAGCAAGTATAGATGGCAGCCAGTCAGCCACAACATGTACCTACCCAGGGCCTCATCTGAGTCACTGGGCCACACCACAGAGAAATACAAATGCAAGGTATAAAATAATTAACTTTGGGTTTCCCACCCATTAGATATTGTACAGTTCTTGTGTCTGCTGTATGAGAATCCATATTTTCACTCAAAAGATATTCACTGAGCACTTGCTGTGTGCCCGGCACTGTTCTGAATGCTACAGACAGAGCCAGGAAGTGATACACCCACACAGAAAAAGTTACTTGGTCTGTTTGTGCCGAATCCACCAAGGACTAGAGTCTGGCCCTGGACTTTGGTAAAGAAAAGAGAGATGTGTCCCTATTCTGTCCACAGGGAACCAGGCCGTGGTGCAAGTGTGGATTCCTGCCTTCTCAGTTTGGAGACAAATACACACACCAGCAATTCCAACACACCGAGGCACGTGCGCGGCACAATGAGAAGCCCAGATCTGCTGGGAAGCTGAGCACAAGGGAGGGGGACTCTGGAGCTGGGCCTGGAAAGGGGAAATAAAGCTGTGACTTGAAGACCAGCAGGAATCACTGGCACAGGAGAGGGTTGTGGCATTCCATAGAGAAGGGACAGATGACAGGATGGGGCCCCGCTGGCTCAGGGGGCTTCTGCATATGCCAGGATCATTGAAGGTCAAGCATATTCAGAGGTAAAAGGGCAAACGGACATCACAAGCAAAAAGAATGACATGTACAAGAGATGGTGAGGGCACAGGACACTGGAGGCTTTCAGAGGTTCACTGCAGATCTAGAGGTGGGCAAAGTGGGAGAGGGTAAGAAGTCAGGGTGCAGAGCAGGCAGCGGCTAGGTCCTAAGTAACATAGCAGGTTCTTAAGGCGCTTAGGCTGTCCCTGAACAGCAGTGGGTGTCACAAAGGGGTGCGTTCAGAGTAAGGATAAGATGGGTTCATATGTCATAAAGATGCTTAACGCTAGGGAGACAAGGTGGAAGGTGAAAGGCATACAGCCAGGGGATGCCTAGGAAAATCCACTGAAATTCGGGAATAAAAAAGAATTCTTCTTTACCTTTCTTAACTCATCCTTTTGAAACTTACCATTATAATACCATGTGTGTATTATAACACCTATAGCATATTAATACAGCAGTCTATGTATCTGAGCCAAAAGGCCTGAGTCTACATCCCTGGTCCATTGCTTACTACAGGGTGACACTGGATAGGATGCTTGCCCCAGTTTCCTCATCCATGAAATGGGAATAAAAACAGTAACTACCTCATAGGGCTTTTATGAAGAGGAAATGAATTAATATTTGTAAGACACTCAGAAGAGAGGCAGGCCCATAGTAAGAACTCTACAGATGCTTATTGAATTTTAAAAATGCAGCTTATTACTAAATAAATATTTAATGGGGATAAATCCCCCAAAATATCTGCAAACCACTGGTGTACACAGAGCATGAATTGGGGTAAATAGGCAGACTGGAGCTGTCACAGAGTCCACAGAAAAGATGATGGACCCACGAGGACAACAGCAGGGATAGGGGAAGGATTGAAGTGATATTCAGCAGGTAGTCAATCGACCACGGTAAGTGTCGGGATGTGACGGGGATGTTTCTGGCTGAATGGTGGGGGCCAGTCAGCAGGATGAAATAGAGGAGGATCATCAGTTGGGAGCTGGATGAGTTTCGGATTGAACACACTGCATAACTTAAACTGCCTGGGGGACACCCAAACTGAAACATGGGCAAGGAAGATATTTGCAAGACATGAGAACACAGCTGGTGGTGAAATCAGGCAAATGGATAAGAACCATGCGGCCGTCACTAGTGACGGTCACCAAGCATTTCCAGGGCTCCCCTACCCCGAGAATAGGGCAGAACTGCACTTCTTGGGCCCTTGAACTCAGGTGGGGCCATGTGATTCCCTGCTGGCTGATATAGTTTGGATTTGTGTCTCCACCCAAATCTCATGTTGAATTGGAGGAGAGGCCTGGTGGAAGGTGATTGGATCATGGGGGTGGATTTCCTCCTTACTGTTCTCATAATAGTGAGATCTGATGTTCTCATGAGATATGATGGTTTAAAAGTGTGAGGCACTTCCCCCTTCATTCACTCTCTCTCCTGCCACCATATAAAGACGGTCCTTGCTTCCCCTTCAACTTCTGCAATGATTGTAAGTTTCCTGAGGCCTCCCAGTCATGCTTCCTGTTAAGCCTGTGGAACTGTGAATCAATTAAACCTTTCTTCATAACTTATCCAGTCTCAGGTAGTTCTTTATAGCAGTGTGAAAACGGACTAATACACTGGCAAGTGAACTGTGGAGAGAAGAAATGACAGATGCTCTTCTGAGCCAAGGTGAAACCACCCAGGCTCTCTTCCCTCCTGTACCATGACCAGCTACCTTCAAGATGGTGGCTGCTCACTCCAGCTGGGTCCCTGAGTAAGCAGAGTCCCTGAGGACCTGCAACACCGACAAGAAAGCAAACACAGGAATATAGAGCCACTGTCACTCAGGGTAGCTCTGCTATCAGGTGTAACCAGGTCTCCCCTTAATCAGGGACAGTGACATGATAGGCAGAAGAGGGGCCACTCACAGAGCAGGCAGGCAGGAGCAGTGGCATGAACTGGGCCATGCAGAAGCCACACTCACAAGTACGCCCAAGACCAAGCACGGCTGGAGACCACTGGGTTTCCACTCACCTAGTTAGTACAGAGGAAAAAATGAGGGTTTACAGGCAGCAAAAAGAAACAGACATTACCACTATCCATCTTTCCACAGACAAATGTGGGATGTTCAGAAACACATTTTCACCTGCAAATTTTCAAACATGACTCACTCAAAAACATTTTCAGTCATGGCAGGTATTTATCAAGCCATCTGTTTTGCTAACACAAATACAGTAGAAGGCAGAGACTTGAAACACTGTAATAAAAAATCATCATGAAGATTACAGGTGGATCTTAAGACCATAAAATGAATGCCTTGTCTTTGACAGGAAGAATTTAATGAGAATAAGAGGAAATTTTCACAACTCTCCTTGCCTAAGATGACCCCAGAAATAACAAGCTTAGAAAAGTTCAGAAGTCACTTTTATAAATTTGACATATTGATTTCTGTAGGCTGCAAAACATTTTCAAAACACCAGCTGTTCTACATAACTACAGGAAAAAAAAATCTCTTTTCCTGGTTTCTGCTACCATTCAAATGCAGAATAAAATAAATAAATGTTGAAAACATATCAAAAGAGTTATTTTAACTTGCCATGGTTCAGGGTAAGAAAAAGTTTATTTTGTTTTCTTCTAATTGTTTTAACAAGCTATAGAGCCAAGGTCAGTTGTTTGAAATGTCACTAGACTGCTCTTGACAGAGCACATATTAAAACAATTACTCGAGAATTTTCCAAATTGTGATATTGTGCTTGGCAAACTAGAGAACACGGTGCAATCACATGGATGCCAGCCACAAGGCAGCTGGGCATAAGGTCATTTCTGCATATTTTAGAGCTTCAACCGTGGCTGGAAAGGAAAAAACACCCAGAGCGTCTATCTTTCCATTTGGTATTTGTTAAATTAAAGTCAATTTAGGTCATTCAAATCAATGGAATAGGAGGCCATTTTCTCTACTGCTATTCCTGGAGGAAGCCGATAATCTGATTAGAAAGGACCCTGTCTGTCTGCCATTGCTGAAGAGACTGCCTAATTATTACAGAGTAGAAAATAAGCATCAGGAATCCACACAGGGTGCCACTTCCATCGCTTATAAGGTTAGACAAAAATATGACAGAGACATGCTGAACTGGAGAAAATCTCCATCCATGAGGTAGAAATGAGAGTGGTCTTAAGGCACAGACGTGATAGAGCAAACTGGTAACGGGGCAGGAGTCGGGAGACACGGGCCCCAACCAGCCCCAAATGAGTCATGTGACCTGATCATCATCGCTTCTGCATCTCAAATTCTTCAGTCATAAAATTAGAACTTAGGTCTAAAAGGGGAGTTCTTTAAGCCAACCACAAAAGGTCACATACTGTGTGAGTCCATTTACACAGTGTTCCCAAAATGACAAAATCACACAGTTGGAGAACAGGCTGGCAGCTGCTAGGCGAGGGTGACAATTGAGGGACAGGGTGCCTGGCCCTGTGACAACAGAGCAGTTCTGCCTCCTGGTGGTGAGCACAGGCCATACTTGTGAGTGGCAAATTGGCAGCAAGCCACGCGCACTCAAAGGCCAAAGTCCTGATTCTGATACTGCGCTAGAGTTGTGTAGGGTGTAGCCACTGGGGGAGACCAGATGAGGAACACATGGGACTCTTCTGTATTATCTTTGTAGCTTCCTGTGAATTCATAATTATTTCAAAACACAAAGTTTTATTTTTTAAGGGGTTTTTGAGACTTTGAACTGCCAGATCTGTATTTTCTCCGTGGACCCTATCTATGACTTCAAATATTTTATCTACTGAATTATATTTATTAAGATAATTCCTTTCCCTAGATTTATTGGTCAAATATATACAGTTGACCCTTGAACAACATGGGTTTGAACTGCAAGGGGAAACTTATACTGAAATTTCTTCCATCTCTCTGACCTCTCCAGAAAGACCAACCCCTCCTCTTTCTCCTCAGCCTACTCAACATGAGGAGAATGAAGATGAAGATCTTTATGATGATCCACTTCCACTTAATGAACAGTAAACATATTCTCTCTTCCTTATGACTTTCTTAGTAACATTTTTGTTTCTCTAGCTTACTTTATTATAAGGAAATAGTATATAATACATATAACATACCAAATATGTGTTAATTGACTATTGGTAAGGCTTCTGGCCAACAGTAGATTATTACTAGTTAAGTTTGAGGAGAGTCAAAAGTTATACTTGAAAATAACTGTTGACAGTGGGATGGTGCCCTTAATCCCCACCTTGTTAAAAAGTCAACTATATAACTGCCTTACTTCACAACTTACAGAAAACAAAAATGCAATGTCCAAATGAATCAAAGATATACATAAAACCATACAGATAACAGAGAAACAGAAGCATTTTTTTTAAATTGGAGGGGATATGAGGTAAATTTTGTAAACTATGATAAAAGGGCAAAAAATGTAAAAGATACATTTGACAATACGATACAAACAGTGGTGACAATACAGAAATTTAAAACTCCAGCAAAATGCAAAAGGAAAAAAAGCAATGCTACAAAGAAAATTAAAAGACAAATGACAAATTGCAGAAAATATTTTCAGCATATATGATCATTCAAAGGTATAAGTAAAGTGCATGAACACAGAATGCCCCCAATCACACAAAAAAACACAAATAACTAAAAACTGTAACAGAGATAGCTCACTAGTGACCAAGGGGCAACAAATTAAAACAATTAAAGCAAACTGTTCACAAAAGAGACTGGCAAGGACAGAGGCTGACACAACCCAGGATGAAAAGGATAAAGGCTATCTGAGGACATGGCCCATGACGGAAAAATAATTGATACGCACATTCTACAGGGCAGTTTGACAATACGTATGCGCGTCAAAATGTAAAATATGCCCTATTTGCATTTTCCTAATGCAAAAGAAAAAAAAAAGCAATGCTACAAAGGAAACTAAAAGATACACTTACAGACTGTGTGATCTATCCAAGCGAACTGCTGAAACTATCTGTGTCTCTGTTTCCTCTTCTATAAAATGGGAATAACAATAGTGCCTACCTCTTAGCTGCTATGAGAATTAAAAGAGCTATTAGCTGTAAAACACTGAGAAACAGCAACTGCAAAATAAAAAGCACTAAAAAACAGCTCGTTAAATAACAACTTAACAAGCATTTCATTATTAGTCATTTAAGATAATGGCATAAGTGCAAAAAATAATAATAATAAATCTGAAATGCATGCTCAGGACTGTTCACCTGAGTAGTGCTTTTTGATCAGAGAGAAAATTTTAAAACAATTCTAAATGCCCATCAACTAGAGACCAATGAAGCAAAATGAGGTATGCCCATGCATATGAAGAAATGCTGTACAGCCTTTAAAAATGACAACAAGTAACACTGTTTTGGGTAAGGACACACAGCAAAGCAGTCAAAAGCACAGACCCTGGAGCCAGCCCACCTCGCTCACAACCAGCTCCACCACATATGGGCTGTGTGACCAAAGCCAACGGCTGAAACATCTGTGCCTTAGTTTGCTCTTCTATAAAATGGGAATAACAATAGTGCATACCTTGGCCAGGCACAGTGGCTCATACCTATAATCCCAACACTTTGGGAGGCCAAGTGAGGTGGATCACCTGAGGTCAAGAGTTCAAGACCAGCCTGGTCAACATGGTGAAACTCCATCTCTACTAAAAATACAAAAAATTAGCCGGGCGTGGTGGCAGATGCCTGTAATTGCAGCTACTTGGGAGGCTGAGGCAGGAGAATCACTTGAACCTGGGAGGCAGAGGTTGCAGTGAGCTGAGATTGCGCCACTGCACTCCAGCCTAGGCAACAAGAGCAAAACTCCATCTCAAAAAAACAAAACAAAACAAAACAAACAACAACAACAAAAATAGTGCCTATCTCTTAAGCTACCATGAGAATTAAAATGACTATTAGTTGTAAAACACTGAGAACAGCAACTGTAGCATAAAAAAGCGCTAGAAAACAGCTTGTTAAATAAAAAATATTGTCATGAAAAATTTATCTGCCACATTAGTGAGTGAAAAAAGATCACAGAATATTATGAATAATCTCAGTTCTGAAAAATACATATGGGTGTACAAAGAATGGAGGAGGGCCTTCTCTTTTTCAGTGTAACAGTCATTGACCCCAGGCAGTGAAATTTTGGAATATTTTCACTTTCTTAGTATTTTCTGTTTCATTACAGGTATTAAAAACTAAAACAAACAAAAGTAATAATATCCAATAGGCATTCTCAGACACTTCTGGAATATAAGTTGATGTGAGCTTTCTGGGCGCAATATTAACACACTTTCCAACCCAGCAATCTGGTTCTAGGAATTTATCCTACAAAAATCATAACACAAGTCTACAAATATGTATACATATTGACACACACACACACACATTTAGGAATAGTTATTAAAGCAGTATTTACAACAGTGAAAAATTGATAAAAACCTAAGTTTTCATCAAGTGTACCCTGGTTGGTACAAAAAACAGAATACTTTATGTCACTGACAAATGATGCCACAGAGCCACACGGAAAGATGGTTTTGGTGAGGGTCTTGAACATGCAGGGAGAAAGACTCTGTACTCTGCTGTGATGGGGAGACACTAAGGCACTCTGTTTTAGAGCAGCAGTCCCCAACTTTTTTGGCACCAGGGACTGGTTTCATGGAAGATAATTTTTCCACAGATGGCGGGGTGGGGTGGTTTGGGGATGAAACTGTTCCACCTCAGATCTCAAGCATTAGATTCTCAATAAGGAGCACGCAACGTAGATCCCTGGCATGTGCAGTTTACAATAGGGCTCATGTTCCTATGAGAAGCGAGTGTCGCAGCTGATCTGTCAGGAGGCAGAGCTCAGGTGGTAATGCTCGCTCACCAACCACTCACCTGCTGTGCAGCCTGGTTCCTAACAGGCCACAGACCCGTACAAACCTGCGGCCCAGGGATTGGGGACCCCTGTTTTAGAGAGTTGACCCTAAGGGCAGTGCAGACTGGGGAACGGCCACAGACCCAGCTGAACTTCTGGGCCTCCAGGGTCTGTGCTGTTGACTTTGAGCCTCAAACCCAGAGCTTGACCTGAGGTCTGGAAGAATGGAAAGCAGAAAAATTTAGTGTTGCCAAAGAGCAAAGTCTCTGATTTCTAGCCACAATTGTGCAGAAAGTCCAGGAGTGTCTCAGAAGGAACCTGACAGGAAAAACCCTGTGAAGGTACAAACAAAAGGGATTCTCGAGAAGACAGCAGAAAATGATCGGAGAGAACTAGATTCTCTGAAGGGCTCAGGCAGTGCAGAAACTACAGACAGCAGAGCTGCCTCGATGGCTAGCACTGATTAAAATGCAACGTCGTTACCTAGCTGTGCCGGAGCAGGGGGCATGCATATGTATGCATGTGAGACAGAAAGAGAGACAGGGAGAGAGAGAGAGAGTCAGGGAGAGAGGGAGAGAGAGAGAGAGACAGGGAGAGAGAGAGTGTGCATGCACGCACAAGAGGGTGGGGGAAAGACTCTGTAACCCAAATCCAGTGATTAACAAATCACTGGAAATCAGAGCTTCGGGTTCAGGGGAGGTCTATCCTAATCCTTCCTCTTTCAACCATCTCATTTCTAAAATTATCTTTATTTCCCAAAAGGACTTTAGGTTCTGAAACACGATGCAGATTCTTCTGAAATGACAGCACTCCGGGCCTACAGCTCTCACACGGCAATTACTCAGGCTCCATTTAGGGACAGCTCCACCTCCTTTGATCCTCATGGGTTATTTTCATGAGCCCGTGCAGCCCCACAAGGTTTTACATCATTGCCTTGAGAGTTCTTTATGAGAGGGAACAGTGTCTGGTATTTTCTACAACTTGTACAGATGTTGGCAATGAGCCTTGGCCACCAACCTAGATGCTCCATAAATATTAGTTGATGAGTTACTCAATAATTCACCCAAACTATGATAGGGTTTTGCAAACCAAGAGTCTTGCTTATTGTAGGGAGGCATTTATGGTGAGGAATTTAAGAACAGGGGTCAGAGTAGGATGGCCTGGGTTCAAAGGCCAGGTCCCCTTACTAACTAAAGGACCCTAAACAAATTACTTCATCTCTCAGAGTCTAAACGCCCTTATCCAGGAAGCAGGAAGGATGACAACAATACTGTATCCATGTGGTTATGAACGGCTCACTGTAATAGCTGGCATTCACTTGGTGCTTTTGATATAGCAGGTACTACTGGAAGCACTTTCTAAGTCCTATCTTACTTAATTGTCAAAGCAACCATAGGAGACAGGACTGCTTTTATTCCAATTTTACGGATGAGGAAACTGAGGCAAAATTAAGTTAATAAGTGCTGAAGCTGGAATGCAAACCCAGACAGCCGTAACCCAGAGCCTATGTTCTTAATGAGAACTGCTTCCCACATAACATGGTTAGCACAATACAAAACAGAAAGAACTTAAACATGGGGTACAGTTTGAAGGCTTCAAAAATGGTGCAAGGACTCAACAACAACAGAACCCACAGCAGAGGCCCTAACTGCTCCAGCGTAGCCTTGCTATTTCATTCCTCCGACGAAGGCCATCTGCAGACACACTACCCCACAGCAACTTCATTCCCTGACCACATCTATCCGCCTTTCAGCCTCTTTTAGAAGCTGCTTCAGAGCTGAAGCCTAGTCAAGAATGTATCTGAAGGAGGCACCCGATAGTCTTTATTTTCTTCAAGAATGCCCACTGAAATCTAGTCCTCAGCCAATGCTGGCCCATCGAGGTCCCTCATAGGAGCCTTGAGGATCCTAATCTCTGCACTTTGGCCCACATGGCCCCATCCATCCACTAAGACGTCCTTCCTTCAATTCAATGCCACCCAAACTGTGACACCAGATTCACTCCTGACTTTCCATCAGAATGCTTTCTCCTGCTGACAATTTGTTATCGATTAACATGATGCATTTAAAACCTTGTCTTCTTTCCCAGAACATAAGCTCAGCAAAGAGAGAGGCTGTGTTTTACCATCCCTGCAACTCTCAAAGCATCTAGCAAAGCAGTCCCCTGACCTGCATGCCATGGGCATCAACTCCCAGATGACACATTCACTTCAAAGACTACTTACGGTAATAGTCATCATTAGGAAAATAAGCACTTTTCCAGATGGGTGAGAGCTGAATAAATATGTGCTATTTCCAAGTAAAAACTGACCCAGTGAAACCTGATATTAGCAGATACACCTCTTCATAAGAAATTGACATGTTCAGCCCTTTGGCAGCATTTACCTGCTTCTCCTTCCTCCTCACCCAAATTCAGCACGATAATGCAGATGTGCTTCCGCAGCTGGCGCGTGTTGGAGAACTTCCGACAGCACTTGCTACACTCCAAGCTGCTTGGAGGCAGGCTGTTCCCTTCCTCCGGAGCCAGCGGGCTGTCCTCAGTCGGACTCACGATGTTTTCTGCCAGCTCCTCTTCTGTGCTGGACTTCTTCGTGGACCCCTTAGGCCTGCCTCTCTTCCTCTTCATGACCAAAAACTCTACAGAGGAAACAAGAGGGCACAATGGAATCACGTGAGACGGCAGTGCAGGGTTCACAATCACCCTCCAAGTGTGAGGATATGTTCAGGTTTCACGTTTCATTAAAAATGAAAAGTCTAAAGTGATTCCAGACATTAACAGCTGCAAACAATTATCGTTGGTGCTAATATCATTGCATCTGTGTACTAATGGGTAATCAATTTTCTAATGTTCTGATTCAAGACCATCAGTTTATCAGCATCGCTGTACATCTTTCTCCAGCAATGCTGACAGGATTTTAAGTTGCGGCTGTCAACCCCCCGTTCACAAATCCTGCCCCTTGTTAAGCACCATTTCCACTGAAATCCAGTTCTCAGAAACTGCTTAGGGACTCCTTTGCAAAGCGTTCTCAAAGGCTGCTGAGCTTGTCATGCCCTTAATGAGTTACAAAACTATTCAGATTATTTCAAGGAGTCATAATTATTAGAGTCAAATTGTCCTGGCAAGAAAAAGAAAAAATAATTACAATCTAAAGCCACAAATTATAGCACTAAAGACAATAACAATATTTTTCCAGTTTCCTAGCGACCTAGTGATTTTCAATGGCATGATCACAGCTGCTTTAGAGCAAGTTTAAAATCATTTTACAACTTGTGTTTCTTCTCAATTAGTGTTAATTTTTAAGGCATTCATCTCCGGAATGAAGGTGGGAATTAAGAGGGGTGAGCGGGGGCCAGGCGCGGTGGCTCACGCCTGTAATCCCAGCACTTTGGGAGGCCGAGGTGGGCGGATCACGAGGTCAGGAGATCGAGACTATCCTGGCTAACATGGTGAAACTCTGTCTCTACTAAAAATACAAAAAAAAAACAAAACAAAAAAAAAAAACATTAACCAGGCGTGGTGGCGGGCACCTGTAGTCCCAGCTACTCAGGAGGCTGAGGCAGGAGAATGGCGTGAACTGGGAGGCAGAGCTTGTAGTAAGCTGAGATCACACTACTGCACTCCAGCCTGGGCAACAGAGCGAGACTCCATCTCAAATAAAAAAAAAAAAAGATGGGTGAGCAGGGCAGGGAGCAGAGCATCTCATCCAGTTGTGTGAAGGTGGAGGGGTGTGGTCTTCAACGATGAGACTTAGGAGATGTCCCTGAGCGAGACCAAGCAGAGAGCCGCCAGCAGCCTGGCTGACATCCCCAATGCCAGTCATCTGTCTGGCAGAGGAGTGGCACTTCAGCAACCCTCTTTGAACCTGAACATTGGGGTAGAGGAAGGAGTACTAGATTCTGGCACCATCTTGGGTACACGTGCATCTGTAGAATGTCTCTCAGGTCCCTTCCTGCTCTCTCTAAAGCTGTTGCTCTGCACAGTAGGACACCAGCCACTTTATCTACTGCTATTACCATGAGGACCCGTTAAGTAAGTCACTTGTGCTCACAAATCAGAGAGGGAGGCCACAGGGGCAAAGGGGAGCAGAGATGGGCAGAACAGTCTGGGGCAGAGTCTGCAGGGACACAACAGCCTGACCACAGGGAATCTGAACAAAGAAGCCTGCCTTGGTACGGGGTACCCAAGACCTCAGGGAAACCTGGCACCAGAATGAAGCAAGAGATTTCCTGGGAAAGGAGGGCCCTTGCTGGAACAGAGCTTCAACCAAACTGCAACGCCACTGGTGAGTGGGTCAGCCTTGGCTGAAAGATCCAAACCAGAGTCCTGCACTAAGGCAACCAGCGAGATTCCTGCCTTCACTCTATCTCCCTGGGGCATGGTGGGCAGGGGAGCACAAAGAAGAAGAAGGTACTTAATGATAGGAAGGCAAACCAGATAAAACAAGGGACAGAAGGCCCTGGGAGCCCTCCCTAGATTTAAACAAGGAGAAAAAAGCCTGTGTTTACAGGAGAACCAGCCTGTGTGCAAGGGAGATGGGAGGAAAGAAATACAAGGTACAGAGTAAGAAACCATTTCCCTTGGAGTCTTTAAAACTTTTCTCCTTATTCTTCTTCACAACAACGTGTACTTGCACAATCTACTGAAGCAGCAATTCATATCAGAGAAGCAGAATTAGCAGAGAGGCTACAAAACACCCACCTCGTGTCATGTCAGCTGAGTTCCAGAAACAGGGTGCCTAAGAGTTTACTGAAGCCTGCGGCCCAGGTCTAAACCCAGTGACAGACTCTGCCATCCCGCAGACACAAGCCACTCCCCTGAAACACTCTATGAGGATGTGATTGTGAGTGAAGAATTAACTTTACCCAAAGAGAAGTCTGGCCTTTGCCCTTGGCTACAGGGAGGTGATTTCTAGGCCCCCGGATGTCCCTCCTGATGTCCTATGTTGTAGTTGGGAGAGAGGTAACTTTGCTCAGGACTCCATGGGTGGACCAAAAGCTCCACGTCTAGAACCTTCCCAGTCTGCAACTTTACCCACACACCTCTCTCCCTTTAACTGGCTCTCTGATTTGCATCCTTTGAGTATAATCAAATTATAATCATGAGGACAGGGCTTTCCTGAGTTGTGTGAGTTATTCTAGCAAATTATCAAAGCTGAGAGAGGCCGCAGGGACCTTCCAAATCTGTAGTAGTAAGAAAGAAGTAAAGGTGGTCCAGGAGACCCTCCAAACTTGTGGCTGGTATCAGGAGTCTTGGGCAGACTTGGTCGTCTTGCGGAGAACTGTGCCCTTAAGCTTGAGTTTGGCAAACTTACTATTGCGGGGTAGCCAGTGTTTTCTCCACACAGACTCAATGGAGCACAGACAGCCACAGTGTTTGCACTTGCTGGAGCACAGCACAGCGTGTGGTACAGCAGACATCGTGAGTCTCCACTCCCCCAGACTGGAGACTCCTCGAAGGCAGAGTCCCTGTCCTGATTACTTTTTATCCCCCTCGCACCTAACCTGGTGCCCTGAGCAGCAGGCAGCCAGCAAATCTGGGTGAATTAAACTGATGAGCAATGCACAATTAATTCCAAGGCAAGGAAAAAATAAAATCGGCCTGAAAGCTTTGGAAAACCTCAAACACGATGGTGACAAAACTAATCTTCCAGCTTGCTGCATCCATAATTCAGATCCTCAAGACCAATTAGCTAGCTAAAAATGAAATATTCATGAATGAACTTGAATAATTTAAGCTCTGAAAATGAGTTGCTGCTGTCAACTACTCGCATTTTATGGCAGAGCTGAGAATCTTGGGACTGGGCAAGGAAAATCATGTAACCTCTAAATCAAAACATTTCAATGGAGTTAGCTTTAATTCCTCTTCCTCCCTCTGAATTCCTTTATTTAATCTGTCACTAAACTCTATGGACTTTGCCCTAAAGATGTCTCTCCAGTAAATCCCCTCTCTGTTCACACAGCAACCTCACCACCCAGATGCCTGCACACGGTGTCCAGATTCCAGCCTCCTGCTCTGGGCTTTCTCTGCCTCCATCCCTCATCTGTCATTCCCTCACTCTAGAACCTTCCATTGTTCTGGATGATTTTGCCCACAACTCTCAGGCCTGGCCTTCAAGGTCCTTTAGCACGTGATCCAACCCTGCACATATGCACACACAGACACACACACCTGCACACACACACACATTCAGTGACCCCACTTCCTTCTTCCTCCCCCTTAACTGCTCAGGGCAATTTTCTAGACCTCCCCAAATATACACAGAGAATCCCCGTCTCTTTTCACTTACTTGTACTATTCTCCCAAGCTGTGACCACCTCCTTCACTACCAATCAGAGACCAAGCCCCAGTTCAAATCCTAACATGTCCGGTCCAGTTAAGACCTCAGTGCCTCCTCCATGAGGTGTCCCCAGCTAAGTGAGCAGGATGACTACCCCCACAGCTTGATGTGAATTACAGTGTGAGCCACACACACGTAGGGTGTGTATGCGCCCACACCACTCCCTGATTGTTTCGATTTTTCCCCACCTTTTATGACAAACCCTGAGGTCTGAGCTGGCCTTTTAATTCCTGGGTCCCACAGGGTCTCGAACGGAGCTGGATGTGGAGTAGATACAATTAATAAGTACACACTGATCCACTGTTTGATGATAGAAAAAGAAATATCTGGAAAAGAAGCCATTTCCTGTGTCCCCAGTTTCCAAAAGGAAGAAAGGGCTGAGCCACAGTGCCTCTTAACTCTGCTCTAAATCCACAGTTTGGGGACAACTTCCTCTTAGTCAGAAAATCATCCTTGCAGATCCAAGGCCAAAAACTGGCAAGGGGCAGAGAATCGGCCAAAGGATTACTTCTAACTCAATCAAAACACAACGTGAACACTATGAAAAAATAGCCCAACATTATCAACAATTTAATAACGTAAGCCCTTTATTTGTGCATCACTCAAGTTTGCAAGGCACTTTCCCAGCTATTATCTCATTTTAGCCTTATAAAAATCTTAAGAGATGGATGCAGCAAACACAACGTCCTCAATGGGAGAAGAAACAAGGGACACAACGGTTCAAGTGGCTTGGCGCATCTTCCAGAACCAGCTGCTGAGCACGCAGAACTGGAATTTGGGTTTCCTTATTCCCAGTCAAAAATGTATCTGCAGAATCACATACCCCTGAAGCATGGGTAAGAAAAGGTCAGCACTACACACTTTAATAGAGACAATCTGTGCTGTGCAGAGAATGCTGGCTTGGAGCTGGACCGACCTGGGTTCAAATCTCCCCTGAGCCTCCGTTTCCAATGCGAAAAATAAACACAAAACTGCCTCTATTTTATAGAGTCACTACTGATAAAAGCAATCCATTACAATGCTGGGCACAGAACTCAGGAGATGATTGATAAATGGCAACTGTTTAATATTATGGCCATAGTCATTAAGATTCTGACTTAGAATATCTCTTTTAAGAAACTATTATCCTCCCACCTGGTCCACAGTTAGATAATGTGATTTCTTGATGTACATGCATTCTCATTCATTCTGACTCAATACGCATTTTTTCCTTGAGTTCTTCATTTTAAAATAGCTCTCACACCAGGAAATCCAATGTAGAATTAAAGGCACACAAATTTTATTATGCCTAAAACCCTGGATACGGCCAGCTTCCCAGCACTCGCACAGGGCAGCTCAATCTCTAATCACACCAACTCAAGAATTTTGGAAAATCCTGAAAGACTAACATTTTAAGGCCCTGACAGTCAATCTCCCTGACGTTTATTTCCAAAGCTCAGGAAGCAATAGGGGAGACAATGAATTATTTATCATAAATAGGGGAACACAAGCCTCTTAGGTTTATGAGGAATGCAACATCCCCTTTGCAGGGACAGACTGCATCCTGTTCCACAATGCCAGGCACCAGGGAGGCTGAAGGCATCCCAAGCTTGCTCCTTGTACTTTTACCAGCCATATCGTGGAAATGCCACGTAAATAATGGTGATAACTAATCATTATTAAGCACATATATCTCAGGCACCATGCTAAGCACTTCACATGCACGTCCTCATTTAATCCCCAAGGGAGGCATTAGTATGATCCCCATCATATAGTAGAGGTCACTGAGGCTTAAGAAGATTAACTTATTTGCTCCAAGGTCAGGGAATTAATAAATGGCAGAATCAGGAATTGAATACAGACCTGTTTGCCTCAAAGTCAGTGAACTTCATACCCATGTCATAGCAAGTCCTTTGGACAGTTCAATTAATATCTAAGCACAGAAATAATATACTTTGACCTCTTCACTAAGTTCTGCAGGAAAATGACGATAGTCTCATGCAGTGACAAGCTTCAGTGTGATCCCACTCCCTGGGCTGGAAAGTACACGGATGTAAGGTACAGGAGGGTACAATGTCTAACAGGCAGTCACTATGGACTAAGGCATCATGTATGAACATGCACTTGTCTCAGAACCTATGAAAAAGGTCAGTATCTTATCTCTCTTTGACAGGTGACAAAAGTCACAGCCATGCCACTTGTCTAAGTCCCCAGCAGAGCCTCAAGGCTGTGGTGCAGGCTGTACCCTGTGTGAGGCGGTGATTGAAGACTTACCAGGGCCAAATTCCACTAGCCAAGCTGTGTGCTCCGGCACTGGCTGCATCAGCCCTGAGCACGTTTTATGTTTGTTCACCCAGAAACAGCTCCTGTTACTAGCTCATCCCCTCAGAATGGGGGCGCCTTTTGTAATCTGCACAAAGGTCCCTATGTGCCAGCCAAGGCTCCAGCAATCACATGAAAGCTCCAGGAATGGAGCCTAAGTCTGATTCCAAGACGTGTGCCCTTTCCACTACACTGCGCTGCTGACCAGGGCAGATCAGAGTGCTCAACATTCGTACATGCACTCAGAATGACTGGATTTGTGGTAAATGCCCAGAAGAGACAACATACAGATTTAAACATAGACATCAACTTCCCCTGGGAAGCCTCCTTTTACCCTCACATTAGAGGACGTCTTTAGCAGCCTGAACTTAACCGCGCAGAGGCACTCGCCCTGCTGCACTGAAACTGCCTTTTTGCCTATTTGCCATTCACCAGCTAGGGGGCCAGAGTCAACAGCCTGTGGGCCCCTCCTGCAGCCCCAGCACCTAGCACAGCACCCAGACATACAGCAGGCACCCAACAAACAGTTAATGACTAAAGAGATGGAAAGGGGGAGGGGAGAGGAGAGGAAAGATAAGAAAGGAAGAATTCCTGCAGAGGGTCTGAAATCAGAGAGAAAATGGGAGAGCCAAAACGAGGCTCTCGGGAGACCCATGTACATTCTTCCTCAATTGCCCCAGCCTCCATCAGGATAAATGAATGCATGCGTGTGCACACACACTCTCACACACACATGCTCATACACACCCATATACAAAATCATACACGTGCACACACATATCCATATACACAATCATACACACATACACAAGCACCTATACAACCACACACACATGCACACTCACACACGTACACAACCACATACACAACCCATGTACACAACCACATACACATGTGCACACTCCCAAATGTACCGTATACACAATCTCACACACAAACGTGCACTTACACATGTGCCCACAACCACACACACGTGCACTTACACATATGCCCACGACACACAGCACACTCACAAACGTGCCCATATTCACAATCACACACACATGTATACTCACAATGTGCCCAGATATGCAATCACACACATGCACACTCGCATGCGCACATATACAGTATCACACACGTGCACACTCACACACCATCTATATACACAATCACACAACGTGCACACTCAAACGTGCCTATATACACAATCACATGCACACACACAAACACACCCATATACACACATACCTGTGTACTCACAAACACACCCATACACATACACACAGAGATATGATCACACACACGCACATGGGATCACACACACGAGAATGAGCTTGGTCCATTAGGAAATTTCTTCTTGGATCACAGCCAGAGGTTTGATGAGGAAAAGAGAAGGAAAATGAAAGGTCTTTCTGCAGACCACTTCCTACATGAGCAAAAAAGATTAAAAGGCTATAAAATAAACCAGAGGATTTCAGTGGCTTCACGTTATAACGAGAGACCAAAATAATAAATCAATTACTACTCAGTTAAAGGTTTAATTAAACCATTTCAAGTAGCTCTCAATTTAAAATGAATTGTGAAGGTTAAACCTGAATGAAAATCATTAGAGAGAAACTAAGCCTCTACAAGCCTCAAATTTTATGAACTTTCACAAAGAGAAAAAGAAAGACTTGAAGTTCATAATGAAAGACTTTTTAAAATTTTTTGTCATGTTAAGAGGCTGAGTTTAACTAAGGAATTCATGCTTTTTAAAATTAAACTACACAGACAAAAGTAGTTTAGTATACACACACACACAAAAAAGAAAACATACGGAAGAAGAATTTGTCAAAAGTAAATTATTTAATAAAAGAAAATAATTTATAAAAGTAGGCTCAATGATAAGAATTTGATTATTCCTGGACTACCACCATAACATGCAAATAACATCAAATCAGCTGGGCCTAAATCCCTCCCTCTCACTTACTATATAGGTAATCTTGAACATGCTGTTTTAACTCCTCTGAGTCTCTAAGCCACATATTCCTCAATTATAAAATCTGGGCATCAGCCAGGAAATAGATGTGAATAACCCTATAAACCAACAAATTCTAATACATATACCGAACATGCCACCCAGCAACAGCAGAATACAAAGTATTCTCAAGTCCACATGAAAAATTCTCCAAAACAGACAACATTTTAGGCCATAAGTTAAGTCTCTATAAATTTAAAAGAACTGAGCCAGGCGCAGTGGCTCACGCCTGTAATCCCAGCACTTTGGGAGGCCGAGGCGGGTGGATCACAAGGTCAGGAGTTTGAGAACCATCCTGGCCAACACAGTGAAACACCGTCTCTACTTAAAAAAAAAAATAGAAAAATTAGCCGGGCGTGGTGGCGGGCGCCTGTAGTCCTAGCTACTCAGGAGGCTGAGGCAGGAGAATCGCTTGAAACTGGAAGGCGGAGGTTGCAGTGAGCCGAGATCACGCCACTGCACTCCAGCCTGGGCGAAAGAGCGAAACCCCATCTCAAAGAAAAAAGAATGGAAATCATTCAAGTATGTGGAATTAAATTAGAAATAAAAAGGAAGAAATTTGGGAAATTCAAAAATTTATGAAAATTAAATGGTACTCTTAAATAGCCATTGGGCCAAAAAGGAAATCATAAGGGAAATTAGAAATACTTTGAGATGAACAAAACAAAAACACAACATACCAAAACTTATAGGATGTAGCAAAGGCAGTTCTAAAAAGAAAGTTTATTGCCTACATTAGAAAAAAAGAAAAATCTCAAATAAACAACATAATTTTACAACTCAAGGAATTAGACAAAGAAGAATAAATAAGCCCAAAGTGAGCAGATGGAAGGAAATAATAGAATAGAGCAGAAATAAACAAAATAGAAAAAGAATAAAAAAGATCAACAAACTAAGAGCTTGTTGTTTGAAAAGATAAACACAGTTGAGAAACCCTTAGCTAGACTAACCGAGAAAAAAAGAGAGGCCACAAATGAATTAAATTTTGAATAAAAAAGGACACATTATAACTGGCACCACAGAAAGACAAGTGATCATAAAAGACTACTATCAACAATTATATGCCAACCAACTAGATAACCTAGAAGAAACTGATAAATTCCTAGAATCACACAATCTACCAAGACTGGATCATAAGGAAATAGAAAATCTGAATAGATCAATAACAAGTTAGGAGACTGAATCAGTAATCAAAATCTCCCAACAAAGAAAAGCCCAGGACCAGGTGGTTTCACTGGTGAACTCTACCAAACATTTAAAAAGGAATTAATTCCAGTTTTACTCAAGCTCTTCAAAAAAATTAAAGAGGAGGGAATACCTCCCAACTCATTTTGTAAGGCCAAAGCTAGACAGACACTACAAAAAAAGAAAATTACAGGCCAATATTCCTGATAAACAAAAATACTCAAAAAATACTAACAAACCAAATTCAACAGCACATTAAAAAAATTACACGCCATGATAACGAGGGTGTTATCTCTAAGATGCAAGGCTGGTTCAACATATGTGTATAAATAAATGTGATATATAACATTTATAGAATTAAGGACAAAAATCATACATGATCATCTCAATAAGTATGGGGAAAAGTTTGACAAAATTCAACAACCCTTCATGATAAAAACTCTCAAAAAACTAGATAACAAGGAATGTACCACAACATAATAAAGGAATGTGCTTCAACAAACGACAGACCCAGAGCTAACATAATAATCAACGTGAAAAGCTGAAAGCTCTCCTCTAAGATCAGGAATAGGACAAGGGTGCCTACTCTCACCACTTATATGCTTCCTGGCATTGGAAGTCCTAGCCAGAGTAGTTAGGTAAGCAAAAATACAAAGCATGCAAAGTAAAATGGAAGGAGTAGAACTGTCTCTGTTTGTAGATGACATAATCTTAGATATAGAAAGCCCTAAAGATTATACTTCTAATAGCTTTTGGATAATGTATAAAGTTACAAATGTTACAAGATACAAAATCAACATACAAAGATCTGTTGTGTTTCTACACAAAAACAACTGAAAAAGAAAACGATCCCATTTATAATAGCGTCGAAAAAAATACTTAGGCATAAATATAATCAAGGTGAAAGATCCGTATACTAAAAACCATATCAATGAAAGACATTGAAGACGACACAAATAAATGGAAAGATATCCCACATTTATGGATCAGAAGAATTAATATTGTTAAAATGTTCATACTAACAAAAGCAACCTATAGATTCAATGCATCCTGGGAATCTAAGGTAAAGCATGATGACTATAACTAACAACACTGTATTATATACTTAAAATTTGCTAAGACATATCTTAAATGTTTTCACCACGTACATACAAAAATAATGGTAGCTATGTGAGGTAATAGATGTGTTAACTAACCTGATTGTGGTATCATTTCACAATATATATGTATAACAAATCATCACTGTAAACTTACACAATTTTGTCAAGTATACCTTAATAAAGCTGGAGAAAGAAAGAGAGAGAAGGATCTGAAAGATAAAAGAACTATCTCAAATCAATAGCCTACCCTTTCCAACCTAAGAAAAAAAAACAGAAGCAAGCTAAATCCAATACAAGCAGAAGGACAGAAATAATAATGCCTAGAATGGAAAGAGATTATATAAAATATAGAAAAAGAAAAGAGAAAATCAACAAAACCAATGTTTTTCAAAGATTAAGAAAATGCCAAACCTTCAGCTAAACTTACCAAGAAAAAATAGCAAGACCTAATTTGTTAAAATCAATAATGAAAGGGAGAACATTACCATTTAATCTTACAAAAATCAAAATAATTATTAGAGAATATTAAGAACAATTATATGTCAACAAATTAGACAATCTAGACAAAATGGAAAATTCCCTAGAAAGACAAACTACTGAACCTAATTCAAAAATAGCAAAGATGCATACACCTATAACAAGAGATTGAATCAGTGAAAAAATAAAAAGCCCAGGACCAAATAGTCTCACTGGTGAATTCTACCAAATGTTTAAAGAAGAATTAACACCAATACTTAAAAATTTTTCCAAAAAATAGAAGAGGAGGGAACACTTCTCAAGTCATGCTATGAGGCCACTATTACCCTGAAACCAAAACCAAAGACATCAAAGACTCTAGACCAATATCTCTTATGAATATAAATGCAAATATGTTTAACAAAATACTAGGAAACTGAATCCAGCAGCACAGCAAAAGGATTATGCAACATGACCAAATGAGATCTATCCAAAAGTTACAAGGGTGATGCATCCTGGCATGTAAAAACATCAGTGTAATATACCATATTAATACAACAAATAAGAAAAAAAACCACATGGTCATCTCAACAAACTCAGAAAAAACATCTGACAAAATCCAACACCATTTTATGATTTAAAAAATAAACAACACTCAACAAACCAAGAATAAAAAGAGCTTCCTTAACCTAATGAAGAACATCTATCTCTCACACACACACACACACACACACACACACACACACACCCCATCATACTTAATGGTAAAAGACTGGATACTTTCTTCCTAAGATAGTATCAGAACAAGAATGTCCACTCATCATTTCCACTCAACCCTGTACTGGAGTTTCTTGCCAGGGAAATTGGGCAAGAAAATAAAATACAAAGAATCCAGATTAGAAAGGAAAAAGTAAAATTATCTCTAGTCACAGATGACAAGATTATATGTAAAGACTCCTGAGGAATACACTAGAAAACTAATAAACAAGTTTTTAGAAGTTTTTTTAAAAAACTAATAAACAAGTTCACAAGATCTAATAAACAAGTCCAGCAAAATTGCAGGATAAAATATCTATATACAAATAACAGTTGTATTTATAAACTAGCAATGAGCAATCTGAAAATAAATTATGAAAATAGTTCCATTTACAGTAGCATCGAAAAGAATAGAATACTTAGGAATTAAAGTAATCAAGGAGGAGTAAGACTTGAACATTGAAAAATACAACACATTGTTGAAAGACATTAAACAAGACCTAAATTTAAATGGAAAGATATTCCATGTTCATGGATTGGAAGGTTTAAAATTGTTAAGATGGCAGTAGTCTCTAAATGGATCTTGATACAGCTTGGCTCTGTGTCCCCACCCAAATCTCACCTCGAATTATAACCCCCATAATCTCAACATGTCAAGGGTGGGACCAGGTGGATGTAATGGATCACTGGGGCAGTTTCCCCCATGCCGTTCTCGTGATAAGTGAGTTCTCATAAGATCTGATGGGTTTATAATCGTCTGGCATTTCCCCTTGTTTGCACTCACTCTGTCCTGCTGCCCTGTGAAGAAGGTTCCTGCTTCTCCTTTGCCTTCTACCATGACTGTAAGTTTCCTGAGGCCTCCTCAGCAATGAGGAACTATGAGTCAATTAAACCTCTTTTCTTTTTTATTTTTTTTCTTTTTTTTTTTTTGAGACAGAGTCTCGCTCTGTCACCCAGGCTGGAGTGTAGTGGTGCCATCTTGGCTCACTGCAACCTCTGCCTCCTGGGTTCAAGTGATTCTTCTGCTGCCTCAGCCTCCCGAGAAGCTGGGACTACAGGCCCACGTGCCACCACACCCAGCTAATTTTTGTATTTTTAGTAGAGACGGGGTGTCACCATAATGGCCAGGCTGGTCTCGAACTCCTGACCTCATGATCCGCCCACCTCAGCTTCCCAAAGTGCTGGGATTACAGTCGTGAGCCACTGCGCCCGGCCTAAACCTCTTTTCTTTATAAATTACCCAGTCTCAGGTATTTCTTCACAGCAGTTTGAGAATGGACTAATACAGATCTAATGCAATCTTTATCAAAAATCCAACTGTCTTTTTTGAAGAAATAGACAAGCTGATCCTAAAATTCATATGGAACTGCAAAGGACCCTGAAAAGTCAAAACAATCTTGATAAAGAAGAACAAAGTTGGAAGATTCAAACTTCCCCATTTCAAAACTTACTACAGTTACAGCCATCTAAACAGCATACTACTGACATTAGAAGAGACGTATTGATCAATGAAATAGAATTAAGAGTCCAGAATTAAACTCATACATTTGTACTCAATTGATTTTTGACAAGGGTGCCAAAACCTCTCAATGGGAAAAGAACAGTCTTGTCAACAAATGATGTTGGGACAACTGAATAACCACATGTAAAAGAACAAATTTGGAACCCTACCTCACATCATATGCAAAAATTAACTTAAAATGGATCAAAGACTTAAATGCTTAACATCATTAATCATCAAAAATGCAAACCAAAACCACAATGAAATACCAGTTCACATTCACTGGGATGGGTACAAACCAAAATGTGAAAATTAACAAGTGTTGGCAACGATGTGGAGAAATTGGATCCTTTATATGCTGTTGACTGAAATGTTTTTAAATGGTGCACCTCCCATTGAAAAAAGTTTGACAGTCCTTGAAAAACTTAAATATAGAATTGACATATGACCCAGCAATCCCACTCCTTGGTATATATCCAAGAGAAATGAAAACAAATATTCATGTGAAAACTTGTAAACAAATGCTGATAGAAGCATTATTCAGTAGCCTAAAAGTGAAAACAACTCAAATGTCTATCAAAAGAGGAATGGATACACAATATGTAGCATATGCATACAATGAAATATCACTCAGCCATAAAAAAGGAATGAAGCACTGATACATGCTACAATATGGATGAATCTTGAATGACTGCTTAATGGGTACAGAGCTATTTTTGGAGTAATGAAAATGTTCTGGAATTAGGTAGTTGTAGAAGTTGTACAATCTTGTAAACACACTAACACCATTGAATTTTGTATTTTAAAATTCTTAAAATGGCTAATTTTATCTCATATGAATTTTATCTAAAAATAACAGGTAAAAAATAGTGAACTGGAAAATGGATCAGAAGTAAATACGCAGAATGCAGCACAAGATAAAAGCAAAGAAAACATAAAAGTTAGGGTAAAGGTATAGAGAAGGACTAGCAAATATTTAAGTCACAGAAAGATAATGAAGCAGAGGCAATACCAAAAGGCAGAACAGTTTATATTCTTCTAAAATTTATAAAAATCATAAATCTATAGGTTTAAGAAGACCAACTAACATCGATGTAAAAATGTACTTAATCCTACCTGGATGCATCACAGTAAAACTTTAGAAAACCAAAAACAAAGAGACTAGGGAATTAAAGCACTTAAAGTCAGATTGACAGCTGGCATCCTAACAACAATAAAAGCCAGGATTCAATGAAATAATATTTTCAATGTGCTGAAATGAAAAAAAAAAGCCAACCTACAATCCTATCCCCAAGAAAAATATATATTAAAAATAAAGACAATAGGCTGGGCATGGTGGCTCACGCCTCTAATCCCAGCACTTCGGGAGCCTGAGGCAGGCAGATCACGTGATGTCAGGAGTTCAAGACCAGCCTGGCCAAAATGGCAAAACCCCATCCCTAGTAAAAATATAAAAATTAGCCAGAAATGGCTTGAACCCAGGAGGTGGAGGTAGCAGTGAGCCCAGATCGTGCCACTGCACTCCAGCCTGGGCAAATGAGCGAGACTCTGTCTCAAAATAATAATAATAAAGGCAATAATTAGGACCACATCAGATAAACAATAACCAGGAGAGTTCATGATGAGCAGCTCCATTCAGATTTCTTTACAAAGAAATCTAAAGTGTATTCTATAGCAGAAAAAAACTCATCCATGGATGGAGATGGAATGGATGCAGATCCAAGGACTGAAGAGCCGGAAAGTCATAAATATGTAGCTAAATCTAAATGAACACTTACTGTATAAAATAATCATTATCATGCATTGTGAGGTTTAAAATGAGTACACACAGATTCTCTAAAGACAAGTGTTAATATTTTCTATACAAAGAGCTCCTACAAATCAATAAAGAGCAAACAAAAACATAGACAACTGATATGAACAGTAATTCACAGATGTGTAAATAGCCATTAAACAGTAAACATGGTCAACCTCACTAGTGACCAGCAAAATGCAAATTAAAATGATACACCATTTTTTGTCTATCAAATTGGCAAAAACTCTTTAAAATAAGATAATATCCTTGGGTTGATGTGGATATGGAAAAACAGAAGATCTTAGATCCTAGTGAGAATATAAATGGATAAAACCTTTCCAGAGAGCATTCTGATAAAACCTAGCAAACTTTTCAATAAGCATACCCTCTACACAGCAATTCTCCTAGGAATATAGCCAACGTGAATGCACAATGTACAATGATATTCATGACAACATTTATTGTAACATTATTTATAATAGCACAAAATTAGAGAGAAAACATATGTCATCAAAAAAAGGTTGAGTAAATTATGCATTATCCATAGAAGTAAATACCATACAGACACTAAAAAAAATTAGGACATACAAATAATACAGTATTGTGTACTTAACATTTGCTAAAAGAGAAGGTCGGGTTTTTGGTGGGGTTTTTTTTTTCATTATTATTATTATTATAATACTTTAAGTTTTAGGGTACATGTGCACAACGTGCAGGTTTGCTACAAATAGCAAAGACTTGGAACCAACCCAAATGTCTTTTTTAAAAAAAAAAAAAAAAAAAAACAAAAAACAGGGTCTCACTCTATCACCCAGGCTGGAGTGCAGTGGTGCAATCACAGCTCACTGTAGCCTCAACATCCTGGCTCAGCCTCCTGAGTACCTGGGACTACAGGCACAAGCCGTTTTATCTGTTTTTTTTTTTTTTTTTTTTTTTTTTTTAGAGACAGAGTCCCATTATGTTGCACAGGCTGGTCTCAAACTCCTGGGCTCAAGTGATCCTCCTCCCTCAACTTCTCAAAATGCTAGGATTACAGGCATAAGCCATCACACACAGCCGAAAAAGAACAGATCTTCTCACAATACACACACACACATAAAAGTTAACTACATGGGGTGATAGATAAATGAGTTAGCTTGGCTGTGACTTCACAATGTATATGTATATCAAAATATCACATATACACCGTAAATACATACAATTTTTGTCAATTATACCTCAATAAAACTAAAAAAAGAAATTAGGAGACATGTCGGTACTGAAATGAAGAAATATCCAGTACATACTGCTGACATTTTTTTAAGGCTGCAGAACACATATTATGATCCCATTTTTGTTTCTTATTAAATAACAAAGCAACTAACAGTGTATTTATGTTTACATATGCAGACAAAAAGTCTGGAAGAACACTTGTTAGCACCATTATTTCTAGAACTTGGAGAGCAGTTAGAAAAACGTGCTTTCCCCATATTATATTGCTTTAATTTTCTTTTACAGCAAGATTTCAGGGCCAGGCACGGGGGCTCATGCCTGTAATCTCAGTACTTTGGGAGGCTGAGGCAAGTGGATCACCTGAAGTCAGAAGTTCAAGACCAGCCTGGCCAACATGGCAAATCCATCTCTACTAAAAATACAAAAATTAGCTGGGTGTGGTGATGGACACCTGTAATCCCAGCTACTTGGGAGGCTGAGGCAGGAGAATCACTTGAACCCGGGAGACGGACGTTGCAGTGAGCCAAGATCACGCCATTGCACTCCAGCTAGCTAGGTGACAAGAGCAAACTTGTCAAAGTCAAAAAAAAAAATTACTCTTATAATTGGAAAAAAAAGTACAAAGTAAAAGTGTAATTGCTTTGATGGGTTTACCCACATAGTATATTCGCCCAGTAGAAGCACCAAAGTCAGTCTGGAGGAGATAAGGGAAGTTTTACAAGTGTGGGTTCACCTGCAACACCACGGAGGGAAAAAGGAGCCAGGGGCCTAGAGGACCTCCAGCTGTTCGGCTATAGAAGGAGCCTACAGTACCAAGAGAAGGGCCCCACCAGTGAATCCATGCTGCCAAGGGCACTCCACAGAAGTCAGGGGTCTTATACTCGTCAGAAGGATCCCCAGGTCAGATGAGTTTGAGGAGCCCTGCTTTGGGTGGCAAAAGCCACTGAAGTTTCTTGAGCAAAGGGTGACAGCTGGGACGGAGGGAGGGCAGCAAGGCCCAAGGCAAGAAAGCAAGGACAACAAAATGTAATTCATTCACTGGACACACACGGAAGGGGCTGTACCCTGTGTCAGGCCCCATGCCAGGACCTGAGGCTAAGAGCTGAACAGCCCAAATCCCTTCTTTGGGACATTTCCTGACAAGCAAGAGAAACATAGAGACAAATGAAAGCACACCCAGGTGAGACAGAACTGAAACAAGTCTAGTTGTGGGGTTCTGGGAGCCCAGAGAAAGGTCCTGCAGCCCCACTTGGGACCAAAAAGTGTTCCTCAGGGTGACCCCAAGCTGAGTGAGTCCCAGCCACATACAGGAGTGAACCAGCAAGAACACCTGCAAGGGGCTTCCCAGGCAGGGGTGGCCTTTGCATTCAGTTGCTCCTCCGCCAGCAGTCGGGGAACCGTGGCTGTAGATCAGTGATGAGAGGGAGGAGAGGGGCATGGGGGACGGTTGAGAGGGAGGTGAATCTCCGGGAAGGGGCAGGAGCTCAGGGCCAGCTCCTACATGAATGGCACTGTCTCTCACTAATGCTGGTTAGGCGTGGAAGGGTGGAAGTCGGAAAATGCACCTTACAACACTGACACTCATAATTCTATGTGAATTCTGCTTTTTTAGCATTTATTCATTTCCTATTTATAAAAGAAATGAAAGGCGGGGTACGGTGGCTCACACCTGTAATCCCAGCATTCTGGGAGGCCTAGGTGGGTGGATTGCTTGAGTCTAGGAGTTTGAGACCAGCCTGAGCAACATAGTGAAACCCTGTCTATACAAAAAATACAAAAATTAGGTGGGTGTGGTGGCGGGTGCCTGTAGTCACAGCTACTCAGGTGGCTGAGGTGAGAGGAACGCTTGAGCCCAAAAGGTGGAGGTGGCAGTGAGCCAAGATCACGCCACTGCATTCGAGCCTGGGCAACAGAGTGAGACTCAGTCTCAAAAAGAAAATGAAAAAAATAAAAATTAAAATTTCTCTCTTATCTACAACTCATTTAGAAAGAAGAGAATCTTAATAAGCAAAGAACTAAAAGCTTTGCAAGAGCCAGTCTAGAAGTTCTTTCCACCTTGATCCACATGGCTTCGATCTGCCATATGAATTGGACAAGAGACATTATCCATTTTTCTGAGTCCATATACATTCAACCCCAGAGGCAGGTACCCAGATGAAACCCTGTCTCTACAAAAAATACAAAACTTAGCTGGGTGTGGTGGCGGGCACCTGTAGTCACAGCTGCTCAGGTGGCTGAGGTGAGAGGAATGCTTGAGCCCAAAAGGCGGAGGTGACTAAACACAGTTCTTGACTAAAGCCCTCTCTGTGAAGCTATACTCTTCAGAAAGCAAGTCACTGACTGCTCAGCAGGGAAGTGGGCCATGGAGAGTGTGGGTGTCACAAAGCTTCTGGCCAGGGGTCAGGACTCACACAGGCTGGGTGGGCAGAGGGAGGGCGCTGAACTGCAAGGCCCCTGGCACCAAGGAGGTTCTGACTCTCACTGTCCCATGCAAACTTTCCTCCTCTACCCCAAAGCAAAGGGTCTCAAGTGTGCGCTACTGGTTGAGACGCAATTACACATAACTTTCCTCCTCACTCCTGCTTCCTCTAAATGGGGAGAGGACAGGTCTGCTCACAAGGCCTGTGAGGGGCTGAGCACGCCATGGACACACACCCTATTAGCTGACGGTGATGACAGAAGTAAGAAATACTAACTGCTGCTCCTTATTCACCCACCACTAGCTTCGGGTGCTGCATCTTTTTCATTTTTCACTTTATGCCACTAACAGTAACTCTCAGAACTTCCTAACTTCCCAAAAACTTAATCTTCTGTCAGGCATGTTTCTCTGAGAACCCTGGGAATGACCAGAGGGACTTATTAACCAAAACATTTTTTGTCTGGAATCTCTCCTTGTTAATGGTGTCCGACAGATGATGAATAGCCAGCCTATTTAGAAATGCCAGCCTGAATATTCCCAGGAAAGAGCCAGTGGATTATTAGTGTGGCTGATGAACTCTGCAATGGGACACTGACTGCTATGCATTGGGCTTCTGCACAGGTGCCCAGCTGCTGTCCTTTATCTTAGTGTTTTGTGAGGATCTTTGCAGCGGTTCCTCATGTGCTATATGTTTTCTCTGTCTGTGGGGACCTAATTACAGTGCCTGGATGGTTTCTCTGATCCGTGCACCTGCTGCATCGGATAACCACACAGTGACAGATGTCCAGACACTACAGACAAGATGCATCTCACTTTGCACGCTGACTGTGAACCCAAAGGATTCTGTGCAAATCAAAGCTTTGCAATGTGAATCCTTGTTCCAGGTTTATAGGAACAGTTGGAAAATGCTGTAAGATTATATAGACTTATTTATTAATCATGTACGTTAGAACAACAGCTTCCTTTTATCATGTTCTGTGTGCCAGGCATCATCTTAGGTCCTGTAGGCATATTCTTTAACTTCATCCTCACAGACCCCCTTGTAACCAGCATATTTCTCATCATTTGTCCAGATAAGCAAAGTGAGGCTTGGAGAAGTAACATCATTGGCTTCAGGTAATGCAGCCAGTAGGTACTAGGGCTGGGTTAAACCCACACTTGTCTGACAACAAGCTCATGTTTTTCACACTATTGAATACTGCCACTTCCATTCATTCTTTCATTCATTCATTTGCCAACCTACAGGGGGCTAGGTATGGGATTTCAAAGGCACAATCTTATTTGAGCATATCTACAATTGGAGACTTATTGTGACTTCTGATTTGGAAATGTGGATTTTCTAGGCTTCTGCTATGCCCACGGAGCAAATCAACATCAACAGGTGTGTCAGAAGGTATCCTGCCCCACCCCCCAGCCCCCTTACCATCTCCGGTTTTGCTTGAGTTGGGGGGTTCAGGTGTACTCAGAGGCCTAAGGGGAATAATAATCTCATCAACATTAACCCCTTCTTCCATGTGCTTCTCTGAAACGTGGGAGAGGAGTTCCGACTGATTTGGTGAGAAGAGGTTACAACATTTACACATAAAGATGGCCGTGTTTTCTGTAAGGAAAAAAAAGGAAAATATGTTATTTCATCTCCACATAAACAATTATTACTTCCAATTGCCAAAGACAATACCGAAAGCTGCCCTTCTGAGCCATCACCAGCCTCTACCAGATTGTGTCTCTCTGGCAGTCACCTCCATGGCAGGCCACTCACTTTCATCTTCAGGGAGATCCAGGGGCCAGAAAGTTCTTTATTCAGTATCTCAACCCTCAGTCCTTCTGGATAGTGTCTAATACAAACCTTCTTGTTACCCAAATCTACTCATCAGCCCAGATTCTGGGATAAGTACAGCCAAGTAAAAAATAAATATGCGGCCGGGCGCGGTGGCGCACGCCTGTAATCCCAGCACTTTGGGAGGCCGAGGCGGGCGGAGCACAAGGTCAGGAGATCGAGACCATCCTGGCTAACATGGTGAAATCTCGTCTCTACTAAAAATACAAAAAATTAGCCAGGCATGGCAGCGTGCACCTGTAGGCCCAGCTACTCGGGAGGCTGAGGCAGGAGGATGGCGTGAACCCGGGAGGTGAAGCTTGCAGTGAGCCGAGATCACGCCACTGCACTCCAGCCTGGGCGACAGAGCGAGATTCTGTCTCCAAAAAAAAAAAAATTTGCAACTTAAAAAACTAAATCCTACCCCTCAAATGACTGAACTGCACACTGATGGCAATTAAGCAGTCTTGCTAGATTCTCTCAAATTACGCACAAGGAAAAGTTGACCACAATAGCATTTCTCAACAGCCCAGCACCTTTCAATGAAACGGCAGGAATTTGTTGCCTTTTTAAAGCCACTGAATTCCTATTTAAAGCACTCTCATTGTTCAAAAAATTTACCAATAGTTCATTATGTTCATCTCATTATACTAGGCAGGAAGACATAATAAGGGAAATAAAACACTCACTTTTTAGACTGATAAAATAATTATAGGTATATACAAAATATTAAATTCAGGATTCAATAACAATTAAAAGCCAGATCTTTGTATTATTATTTTTACATTCAGACTGAAAGGAAGTGGCTTTGTCCACTGAAAAGGACAATGGCTTTGGAGCCAAAAGGCCCAGGTTAAATTCCCAACTCGTCCCTAAATGCTGGAAAGCTGAGGACCTCAGAGAAGCAGTCATCTGTCAGTTGCTGGAATCCATAGGAACTTTGGGGATGGAACTTGCCTATTCAGCAGCAAGAACCCAGCAGACACTCAGAAAGCACAACACTGACTCGGCGCAACTCTGCACCCATGGTGTGCCCTCGCCCAGCAGCTGGACGGCTGGCAATCCACACCTGGCTCCCTTCGGCATCCCCCTCACCAGCCTCCTGGGGAGGCTCAACGCTGCCTGGAAGTCACATGCAACTTCTACGCCATTTACTGCCTGGTGATGCTGGACAAATACATGGCAATCATACAAGCTCTGCGCTCTCTGGTGATGGTGAGCAAGTATCTCATCCTCCTCGCTCCTCACTCTCAACAGCTGACCTTGCTTCATATCTCACTGCAAGCAGCCAGAAAACAACTGCCTCTGCCACCCCTTCCAGCCCGCCTGCGTCTTCAGCTGTCTCCCCACCTCGCTCCTGCTGGTTTGAAGGTGGGCATAGTGAGGGGGACACAAGGTGTGCGGGTGAGAGCAGTGGCCCACCCCAGAGCAGGGCTATCATATCTCTGATATTGTCTGGAATTGCTGGTTCATGGAGATACTAAAAGCAGACCAACACTTCACTTGTGTGATCATTACTTTCAAATTCTCTAAAGATAGCGCATGCCTGATTGCCTGCACCCAGGAAGATGCTCCCACATCCCTGTGTGAGAAGGCTACTAGACAAAGGGTGCATGATGGCTTGTGCGTGCAGAACTCACCCTCTCTGATGATTGTTCTCCAGGTCATCAATTCTTCCCTCTGTACTAGATCTTTCCATTGGCCTATAAGCATACTCTTATTCTCCCATCTTAAAATGAAAACAACTCCTGATCCCCACTCCCCCAACCCATTTCTCTCCTCTTTACAGTAAAACTCTCCTACCAGAAAGAGGAAATGAGGAAAGGCAATAGGCCAACCCAGCCTTGCTGGCATGAAGGTGGAGCTCTTGGAAGGCACTGGAGTCCCAGGAGCAAGCCCCTCCCTGGGTTCACAGAAAGACTTTCTCCGTGAATTAGCAGGGAGGTAACGACCTGAGAGAATTCTTTCCTACCAACAACACATGAAATCAAAATTTAACAAAGCAGAACATTGCTTCGCCAATGAAAATCTCTCACAGATACTGCCAATCGATATTATTTTTTTCCAGGAAACGTTCTATTCCTAAGGAACCCAAAATGCTTCCCGAACAAGAAGAGATTAGAGTAATACATTTTTCTTTATAGGAGGCCAAGTTGTTTCCAATGTGCTTCTTGCTAATCCTACAATAATCCAATGATTTAGGCAGAAAGGGTTTGTAATCCCCAGTCCAAAGGTAGGAAACTGAGGCCGAGAGAGGAAAAGCAACTTGCTCAAGTCATTATGGGCAAGAGGCAGGGACCAGATTCTCTCCTACCTGCATTTGACAGGAGTTATGTTTGGCTACAGCCCATGAGCTGAGTTCCTCCAAGTTATAGCTAAAATACTTAAGACTCTACACCCAGCAGCATCTGAAATAAAACTCATTACAGCAAAGAGCGTAATCCCCAAAGCACATATCAACTTCAACTGTGTTCATTTCAGTGTCCATTGAGCAGTAACCACAGGTGGGCCCCACCCCAGACACTGGAGACAGAGATGAATCAGGCATGAGGTCCAGGCCCTGCCACAAGAGGAGGCCACCACATCACTGAACAGATAGACATGTCACAGAACAATCCCATGTAATGGTTTTTACTGAAATTATTTTATAGACATGTCACAGAACAATCTCATGTAATGTTTTTACTGAAATTATTTCCCAATACCTGTAAGTATTCTTGGTTCCTAGGATGCTCTCAGGAAAATGGGAATTCTGTGACATGTAACAGAGCTGAACTTCTGGGGACCACAGGGCTATTACAATGGGTCTCCTAGTTCAAAGGTACACAAAGCACTGCCCAGAGATTACATAAATAAAACTATTTTGCATTTGTATATGACAAAGTGTTGGAGACTACTGGAAATAAACTACTGCTCAGCTATTCCACACCACCTGAAGGCCTGAGGACCCTGGGTGGCACCTGGCCTTGGCCATCTGTTATGAATTTGCATTAACACATGTGTCTGTGTACTCAGCTCTCTCAGGCAGGGAAACTGGACCTGGAGCTCCCGAGGTGGAGGCAGAGACAAACACAGGAACCTGGAACGATTCTCACATCACAGAAGGCTCCGCCACGTGACGTGGGCCATGAGAGTGGGGTGGATACCGATCTGGACAGGCTGCCATGGACAGGAGAGGCTTCTCAGCCGAGAGACAACCAGAGCTCAGTGCTGCAGGGCAGTGAAACTCCAGGAAGGGCGCGTGGGCAGGAGACATGCAGGCTCAGGGAGGAAACACACAGAGTGTCGTGGAGGCAGGAGGGAGGGAAATGAGTGGATCTGCTGACAACACAGGGACCTGCGCCCACAGGGACAGAGATCCCCAGCACAGTCACTGGGCAGGCACTGGCAGCTCCTGAGAGAGCCAGCAGTCCACCAGCAGAGCAAAGGCAAGGAGAAACTGTCTGAAGGGGCTGGCCCTGAAGGAGAGGCCCCACGTGCCTGAGCTGTGCCAGCTCCCCTGCGTGTCCACACCCTGGATTCTGCAATGGCCCCATCACATGGCTCCCCCTAGAATGTGAGGTCATTGGAAACAGCATCTGGCTAGCCTTGGACACCTCAGTGCACCTGGAGGACAGCAAGTGGCCATGGCGGAATGAGGGAGGGAGAAGGAAGGAGTACATTGGCCCAAGACGGGTGGGACTGACACCAAAGAGCCTGTCCAGGGATGAGAGCAGAGATGATGGCCTGAGACACAGATCTGCAGAGGAGTCAGGCCAAGCAGGCATGACACCATCACTGACTAGACATGGCCAACAACAGAGACAGGGGAGGCAGATGTGCCCCCAAGGGAGCAAGGACAGGTCTGATGGGCAGGATCAGGTGGTTGTGGGCAGGACATCAGGATGCAGATGCCTACTAGGAGCAGGCAGCGCAAGACGGGGTGGGGTTCAGCTACAGTAGGGCAGAGAAATGGGGTCAGCACGCAAGGAGGAACATCAAGCCTAAAGATGGAAAGTGTCAAGAAGCCAAATCCTTCCAAAGGCCCTGTCCCAGTCCATCTGAGTAGCTATCACAAAATGCCACAACTGGGTGGCTTATTAACAGAACTTTATTTCTGACAGTTCTGGAGGCTGGGAAGTCTGAGATAGAGGCATTGGCAGAATCAATGCTTGGTGAGGGCTGCTTCCTGGTTCATAGCTGGTGCCTTCTTGCTGTGTCCTCACATGGTGGAAGGGGCAAGGTAGCTCTTTGGGGTTTCTTTTATAACAGCAATAATTCCATTCATGAAGGCCCCACCCTCACGACCTGACCACCTCCCAAAGGTCCCACCTGCTAGGCCATCACATTAGGGGGTAGGTTTTGATCTATGAATTTTAGGAGGAAACAAACATTCAGCTCATAGCAAGCAAGAAACAGAAGACCCAGTCCTTAGTGACAGAGAAGGCCCTTAGGGAGAAGGTGGAAGAGAAGAGGGGTTGCTCCTGAAAAATGCAGCAAGAATGGGGAGGGCAGGCACTGGATCCAGCCATGAGGAAGACACTGGTAACCTCAAAAAGTGAGATTTCCCTAACATGGCCACAGAGTCGCACAAGGTGGCTGAGATCAAGGCAGGGATATTCAGAAAGCAGGCACCCTCATCAGGCCTGGGGAAGGTTTGCTCTAATAAAAGGAAGCATCCTTTGGCCGGCTGGGTGACAATGGCCACCGCCAAGCACTGGCTACACTGGACAAATGACTTTTACCAGCTTTCCAAGACTTTCAAGCCTTTGAGTAAAAGGCCAGCATCTATATTAAAATTACAAAATAATAAGAGGTCTGGTCAGCAGGGAGGCAAGCGTACAGAAAGACTGTGCAGACAGCATGTAAAAAGGCCAGAGGGGAGGCAGCCCAGTGTGTCCTGAGCCTCCACATCTCTCTAGCCTGCAAGGCAGCCTCTTCTGGGTCATCCGCCCACAGAGGACGGCTCAGAGGTTTCCAGGGAGTCTGGTTTTCGGGACCAGCCCTATGCCCAAGACCACTTCTCCCTACAAAGTTGCTCTGCAGCGCAGACATGCACGCACAGACACGCACAAGGGTGGTGGAGTCTGCTGCTCTCATGAACGAATACTGCCATGGCAAAGGGGCCAAGAGCGCCAAAGACACTCGCTCATAACTTCTGACCAGTGGTTTTCCTCCTTGAGATCCTGCCTTCGTGATCGTCCAAAACTAGAACTGGGATTGTGCACTAAGATATTCAACACACAAGCAAGTTCCCAGAAGCAACCGAAGTGCTCAGCAGTGGACAAATCCTGACACTTACAAAACAAATTATGATACAGCCACTGAAAATCATATTTCAAAGAACACTGAATGGCACAGGGAAACGCTCCTAATGAACACTAAGTTTTAAAGAATGGAATACTCAGCTATTTGGTATGAATACAATTTTGTTATTAATGGATAGATATTATTTATGAATAGATGGAAGGAAGGAGAGCTGGCCAGGATTAAAGAAAATATACCAAAATTTTCACTGTGAAACTTTTTTAAAAAATAACTTCTGCCTGTAATCCCAGCACTTCGGGAGGGCAAGGTGGGTGGATCACGAGGTCAGGAGTGTGAAACCAGCCTGGCCAACATGGTGAAACCCCGTCTCCACTAAAAATACAAAAAATTAGCCGGGGGTGGGGGCATACACCTACAATCCCAGCTACTCGAGAGGCTGAGGAAGGAGAATTGCTTGAACCTGGGAGGTGGAGGATACAGTGAGCTGAGATCGTGCCACTGTACTCTAGCCTCGGTGACAGAGCAAGACTCTGTCTTAAAATAGTGATAAAAATCATAACATCTGTATTTTCTACAATGAGTCTAAATAACATTTAAAAATCGGAAACACTGCTAGGCACGGTAAAGGATAACACAGCAGACCCAACATGGTTCAGCAGGATCCACTCTAAGCTGCTCAGGCAAGAATGGTGTCTTATTCAAGTCCATGTCCCCAGCCTGGCACATGATAGGTGTTCAACTAATGAGGAAGCTGAGTCGCACGCTGCAAATCATGAAGACCGTGAGCAGAGGAAAGGGGAAAGCCTTGGCTGAAGTGCCTGGGAAGTTACGGGAGGAGGCACTTGAAAGGATCTTGAAAGGCAGCCAGACCTGCACAGGAGGTCATGGAAGGGGCTCCCAGACTCCAGAATGCATCAGGCATGGGCTCTACCCCCCACTCCACCCCTATGAACACTCCCTCATTCAATCCCCCACCTCTCTGCTGGCCAGCCCATGATCCCCACTCTACAGTACAGGACGGAGGGTCAGAGAGGCTGACCTCCCCTCAGCCAGGGAAGTGCAGGGGCAAGCAGAACCCGGATCTCCCTGACCCAGGCCCAGGGCTCCACAGTGCCACATGGCCTGTCCAGGGTCAGCGCCAGTAAAGAACATACAGCCACACAGAGCCCACGAGACCACAAAACTCCCCAAGGGAGCAGGGGTCTTGGACACAGGGCTGGCCCTGACAGTCAGACTCCCCAGGGGCGCTCTATGCTGCTCCTACCATTGCAATCTCATATTTAAAAGCAGCCTGTTCCAAAAGCCCAGAGCAGAGAGCATGGTGCTCCCTTTTCAACAGAACCTATGAGTGCCTCCCAGGCCTCCCACGGGGAGGGCAGCTGCAATCACTGGGTACGTTCATAAAGCAGCGTATAAACGGCAAAATGCCAAAGCACACAGAGAGGGCGCCGGGTCAGGCTGCATCCCCCAAATATTAAGAATTGTTAATCCGCCAAAATAACAACAAAGGAGCCACTTTTGTTTTCTATAGTGGACTAATATGAAAAAAATATATCTTGCACCCTGAAATATTCTCATAATTATGTTGTCAGCTAATCCTGATGAAGATGCTATAATTTGGATGCATTTTTAGGTCCAATTACTGTGCACTCATCCTTATCAAAAGAATTCAAAGGGAAAATGACATATTCAGCACAAAGAAAATCACGAAAGTTTGGGGTTTGAGCATTCAATTCCTAGTAACTGTTTGCCAGGCTTTAGCCAGCTACTCTGTAGTATTAAAATGGAAAATCCTAAAATAACTGTACTAATAAGTCCTCATTTCTGATCTCTGATTTGTAAACATTCCCAGCCAAGAACAGCCAGGTCCTGTCTGCAACCTCTGACCTCCCTGCCTGCTCTGGGACCTTGGGACAAGCAAGGTGTTTTGACCCAACTCCTTCCAGAAGGCAGCTATGAACTGGAATATGAATTCATAGGCCCTGAGGGGGAGACTGAGTCCCTTGCACTTAGGGAGGGTTCCAGGATGCAGCAGAAGGTGGCCACTTCTCTGGCCATGGGCTGCAGACATGATCAGATGGAGTTGGCCTACTCTGAGGGACCCCTCCCCAACTTTCAGGCCCTCAAGGGAAGGGGTGATGAGGGTCAGTTGGGCCTTGAGCTGGAGTCACAGATGCTCACAGCCAGCTCACATCCAGCCAGCTCACAGAATGCTCTGTTACCCCGCACATGAGGCAGAGTGTCCTCCTCCTGCTGCTGCTGTCCTCTGTACGCCCACCTGGTGGGAGTCTCAAGGGCAGGATGAGTGGAACAAGACAGGGTTCAGGCTTTATGGGGTCCCCCAGCCCTTACACTGGCTTTTAATATTTCCATTATTGTTTATTACAAAACGTACATAGAAGTACATGCTCATGGTAACAGTAAACAAAACAGCAGTCTATAGAATACAGACAGCCCCCGAGCATTCCCTCTGAGAGTCAGCATCACTGAGCACAGTGTGGTGTCTGTATCCTTCCAGACCTTTTGCTGTGCATCACAGAGAGAGAGAGATGGACAGGAGAAGGGGGATGAATATCACCTTCACAGCAGCAAAACCTTGTAAAAACCCTTCCCCACTGGGGTCTCCAGAGCCCTGTGCCCCTCCATACCCCTCTGCCTCCCCTGAGGTCCTGCAGGCTGGGCTTGACACAGAAGGACGGCAGAGGAGGGAGCTGGTATTGTTGACATGGAGGGTCTCAGAGGCCTCAAGTAAAAACTCAAAATACACTACCTAACAGGTGACAGAGCACCCCTTCCCATTCCCAGCTGGGCTAGTGTCAGAGAAGGCCTAGTACAGAGCCAAGACTTTCACCAGCATCCAGCAGTAATGAAGCTATCACTGTCCACTGAAGTGTCACTGGAGGCCCCATGGAGGGTAGTACTAAGGCACCCTTGCCCCTCCTAGCTAGGACTGGTATCAGCAGCAGAGGCCCAGTTGGGAGCCTGAACTCCCACCCCCATCCACCAGTAATGAGGTGCACTTTTCTCCAGGCATCAAAGAGACTGAGTGGGGAACCTAAACTTCTACCCCCCATTGGCAGTAACAAGGCAGTACCCCCTTGTCCACACCACAACAGTGTCAGATGGAGCCTGCTAAAACCGAAGATTTAAATGAGATCCAGACTCTCATAACATAATACTGAAAATGCCCAAGATTCAATTAAAAATCATTCCTCGTGATTTTCCAAGAACCAGGAAAATATCAACTGTAATGAGAAAAGACAATTAACAGACACCAATACTAGGTGGCACAGATGTCAGAATTAGATGGCAAGGGCTTAAAGTAACCATCACAAAAATGACTTCATGATTAAGGATAAGCCTGTCTACAACAAGCGAAAAAACATTGTGTCTCAGCAAAGAAATCAGAGATATAAGAGAAAACCCAAATAAAAATTTTACAACAGAAAAATACAGCAAGAACAAAACCTTCAAAGGATGGGCTCAAAGCAGAATGAAAAGGAGAGAAAAATAACATGAAAAAGAGATTGAAAAAGAAAAGAACAGTGCCCCCAAGGACCTGTGGGACTGTAACAAAAGATTAACATTTGTGATATGAGTCCCAAAAAAAGAAAAAGAGAGTAGAAGTGGGAAAGTATTCAAAGAAATTATAGCTGAAAACTTTCAAAATTTGACAAAAGATATAAATCCACTAATTCAAGAAGCTGAGCAAACCCGACAGGATAAACCCAAAGAAATCCACGCCAAGTGCGGCCATAAAAAAGAGTGAGTTCATGTCCTTTGAAGGGACATGGATGAAGGTGGAAACCATCATTCTCAGCAAACTAACACAGGAACAGAAAACCAAATACCACGTTCTCACTCATAAGTGGGAGTTGAACAATGAGAACTCATGGACATAGGGAGGGGAACATCACACACTGGGGCCTGTCAGGGGCTGGGAGGAAAGGGAAAGGAGAGCATTAGGACAAAAAGGTAATGCACGCAGGGTTTAAAACATAGATGACAGGTGGCTGGGTGCAGTGGCTCACACCTGTAATCCCAGCACTTTGGGAGGCCGAGATGGGCGGATCAGAGGTCAGGAGATCCAGACCACCCTGGCTAACACAGTGAAACTCTGTCTCTACTAAAAATGCAGAAAAATTAGCCGGGCGTGGTGGCAGGCACCTGTAGTCCCAGCTACTTGGGAGGCTGAGGCAGGAGAATGGCATGAACCCGGGAGGTGGAGGTTGCAGTGAGCTGGGATCGCACCACTGCACTCCAGCCTGGGCGACAGAGTGAGACTAAGTCTCAAAAAAAAAAAAAAAAAAAACATAGATGACAGGTTGATAGGTGCAGCAAACCACCAGGGCACATATGTAACAAACCTTCATGTTCTACACATGTATCCAAGAACTTAAAAGTAAAATAAAAAAAAAAAGAGGGGGGCAGCTCCAAGATAGCTGAATAGGAACAGCTCCAGTCTACAGCTCCCAGCATGAGCGACACAGAAGACGACTGATTTATGGATTTCCAACTGAGGTACCGGGTTCATGTCACTGGGGCTCGTCGGATAGTGGAGACAGGACAGTAGGTGCAGCCCACTGAGTGTGAGCCGAAGCAGGGCGAGGCATCACCTCACCCGGGAAGTAAGGGGTCAGGGAATTCACTTTCCTAGCCAAGGGAAGGGGTGACAGACAGCACCTGGAAAATCGGGTCACTCCCACCCTAATACTGCACTTTTCCAACAGTCTTAGCAAACAGCACACCAGGAGATTATATCCCGCGCATGGCTCCGTGGGTCCCATGCCCACAGAGCCTCACTCATTGCTAGCACGGCAGTCTGAGATCGAACTGCAAGGCGGCACTGAGGCTGGGGAAGGGGTGCCCGCCATTGCTGAGGCTTGAGTAGGTAAACATAGCAGCCAGGAAACTCGAACTGGGTGGAGCCCACCACAGCTCAAGGAGGCCTGCCTGCCTCTGCAGACTCCACCTCTGGGGGCAGGACATAGCCGAACAAAAGCAGCAGAAACCTCTGCAGACTTAAAAATGTCCCTGTCTGACAGCTTTGAAGACAGTAGTGGTTCTCTCAGCATGGAGTTTGAGATCTGAGAACGGACAGACCCTCAAGTGGGTCCCTGACCCCTGAGTAGCCTAACTGGGAGGCACCCCCAAGTAGGGGCAGACTGACACCTCACATAGCTGGGTACTCCTCTGAGACAAAACTTCCAGAGGAATGATCAGGCAGCAACATTTGCCATTCACCAATATCCGCTGTTCTGCAGCTTCCGCTGCTAATACCCAGGCAAACAGGGTCTGGAGTGGACCTCCAGCAAACTCCAACAGACCTGCAGCTGAGGGTCCTGACTGCTAGAAGGAAAACTAACAAACAGAAAGGACATCCACACCAAAACCCCATCTGTACGTCACCATCATCAAAGACCAAAGGTAGATAAAACCACAAAGATGGGGAAAAAACAGAGCAGAAAAGCTGAAAATTCTAAAAATCAGAGCACTTCTCCCCCTTCAAAGGAACACAGCTCCTCACTAGCAAGGGAACAAAGCTGGACGGAGAATGACTTTGACGAGTTGAGAGAAGGAGGCTTCAGACGATTGAACTTCTCCAAGCTAAAGGAGGAAGTTCAAACCCATCACAAAGAAGCTAAAAACCTTGAAAAAAGATTAGACGAATGCCTAACTAGAATAATGAGTGTAGAGAAGTCCTTAAATACCTGATGGAGGTGAAAACCATGGCAGGAGAACTACATGACAAATGCACAAGTTTCAGTAGCCGATTCGATCAACTGGAAGAAAGAGTATCAGTGATTGAAGATCAAATGAATGAAATGAAGTGAGAAGAGAAATTTAGAGAAAAAAGAGGAAAAAGAAATGAACAAAGCCTCCAAGAAATATGGGACTATGTGAAAAGACCAAATCTACGTCTGATCGCTGTACCTGAAAGTGACGGGGAGAATGGAACCAAGGTGGAAAACACTCTGCAGGATATTATCCAGGAGAACTTCCCCAGCCTAACAAGGTAGGCCAACATTCAAATTCAGGAAATACAGAGAATGCCACAAAGATACTCCTCAAGAAGAGCAGCTCCAAGACAAACAATTGTCAGATTCACCAAAGTTGAAATGAAGGAAAAAATGTTAAGGGCACCCAGACAGAAAAGTCGGGTTACCCACAAAGGGAAGCCCATCTGACTAACAACGGATCTCTCGGCGGAAACTCCACAAGCCAGAAGAGAGTGGAAGCCAATATTCAACATTCTTGAAGAAAAGAAATTTCAACCCAGAATTTCAAATCCTGCCAAACTAAGCTTCATAAGTGAAGGAGAAATAAAATCCTTTACAGACAAGCAAATGCTGAGAGATTTTGTCACCACTAGGCCTGCCCTACAAGACCTCCTGAAGGAAGCACTAAACATAGAAAGGAACAACCGGTACCAGCCACTGCAAAAACATGACAAATTGTAAAGACCATCGCTGCTAGGAAGAAACTGCATCAACTAACGAGCAAAATAACCAGCTAACATCATTATGACAGGATCAAATTCACACATAACAATATTAACCTTAAATATAAATGGGCTAAATGCTCCAATTAAAAGACACAAACTGGCAAACTGGATAAAGAGTCAAGACCCATCAGTGTGCTGTATTCAGGAGACCCATCTCACGTGCAGAGACACACATAGGCTCAAAATAAAGGGATGGAGAAAGATCTACCAAGCAAATGGACAACAAAAAAGGCAGAGGTTGCAATCCTAGTCTCTGATAAAACAGACTTTAAACCAACAAAGATCAAAAGAGACAAAGAAGGCCAGTACATAATGGTAAAGGGACCAATTCAACAAGAAGAGCTAACTATCCTAAATATATATGCACCCAATACAGGAGTACCCAGATTCATAAAGCAAGTCCTTAGAGATCTACAAAGAGACTTAGACTCCCACACAATAATAATGGGAGACTGTAACACCCCACTGTCAACATTAGACAGATCAACGAGACAGAAAGTTAACAAGGATATCCGGGAATTGAACTCAGCTCTGCACCAAGTGGACCTAGTAGACATCTACAGAACTCTCCACCCCAAATCAACAGAATATACATTCTTCTCAGCACCACATCACACTTAATCCAAAATTGACCACATAGTTGGAAGTAAAGCACTCCTCAGCAAATGTAAAAGAACAGAAATTATAACAAACTGTCTCTCAGACCACAGTGCAATCAAACTAGAACTCAGGATTAAGAAACTCAATCAAAATCGCTCAACTACATGGAAACTGAACAACCTGCTCCTGAATGACTACTGAGTACATAACTAAATGAAAGCAGAAATAAAGATGTTCTTTGAAACCAATGAGAACAAAGACACAACATACCAGAATCTCTGGGACACATTTAAAGCAGTGTGTACAGGGAAATTTATAGCACTAAATGCCCACAAGAGAAAGCAGGGAAGAACTAAAATTGACACCCTAACGTCACAATTAAAAGAACTAAAGAAGCAAGAGCAAACACATTCAAAAGCCAGCAGAAGGCAAGAAATAACTAAGATCAGAGAAGAACTGAAGGAGATAGAAACACAAAAAAACCTTCAAAAACTCAATGAATCCAGGAGCTGGTTTTTTGAAAAGATCAACAAAATTGATAGACTACTAGCCACACTAATAAAGAAGAAAACAGAGAAGAATCAAATAGACACAATAAAAAATGATAAAGGGGATATCACCACCGATCCCACAGAAATACAAACTACCATCAGAGAATACTATAAACACCTCTATGTAAATAAACTAGAAAATCTAGAAGAAATGGATAAATTCCTGGACACATACACCCTCCCAAGAGTAAACCAGGAAGAAGTTCAATCTCTGAATAGACCAATAACAGGCTCTGAAATTGAGGCAATAATTAATAGCATACCAACCAAAAAAAGTCCAGGACCAGATGGATTCACAGCCAGATTCTACCAGAGGTACAAGGAGGAGCTGGTACCATTCATTCTGAAACTGTTCCAATCAATAGAAAAAGAGGGAATCCTCCCTAACTCATTTTATGAGGCCAGCATCGTCCTGATACCAAAGCCTGGCAGAGACACAACAAAAAAAGAGAATTTTAGACCAATATCCCTGATGAACATCGATGCAAAAATCCTCAATAAAATACTGGCAAACCGAATCCGGCAGCACATCAAAAAGCTTATCCACCATGATCAAGTGGGCTTCATCCCTGGGATGCAAGGCTGGTTCAACATACACAAATCAATAAATGTAATCCAGCATATAAACAGAAACAAAGACAAAAACCACATGATTATCTCAATAGATGCAGAAAAGGCCTTCAACAAAATTCAACAGCCCTTCATGTTAAAAACTCTCAATAAATTAGGTATTGATGGGACGTATCTCAAAATAATAAGAGCTATTTATGACTAACCCACAGCCAATATCATACTGAATGGGCAAAAACTGGAAGCATTCCCTTTAAAAACTGGCACAAGACAGGGATGCCCTCTCTCACCACTGCTATTCAACCCAGTGTTGGAAGTTCTGGCCAGGGCAATCAGGCAGGACAAAGAAATAAAGTGTATTCAATTAGGAAAAGAGGAAGTCAAATTGTCCCTGTTTGCAGATGACATGATTGTATATTTAGAAAACCCCATTGTCTCAGCCCAAAATCTCCTTAAGCTGATAAGCAACTTCAGCAAAGTCTCAGGATACAAAATCAATGTGCAAAGATCACAAGCATTCTTATACACCAATAACGGACAAACAGAGAGCCAAATCATGAGTGAACTCCCATTCACAATTGCTTCAAAGAGAATAAAATACCTAGGAATACAACTTACAAGGGATGTGAAGGACCTCTTCAAGGAGAACTACAAACCACTGCTCAAGGAAATAAAAGAGGATACAAACAAATGGAAGAACATTCCATGTTCATGGATAGGAAGAATCAATATTGTGAAAATGGCCATACTGCCCAAGGTAATTTATAGATTCAATGCCATCCCCATCAAGCTACCAATGACTTTCTTCACAGAATTGGAAAAAACTACTTTAAAGTTCATATGGAACCAAAAAAGAGCCCACATTGCCAAGACAATCCTAAGCCAAAAGAACAAAGCTGGAGGCATAAAGCTGGAGGTGGAACTGAACAATGAGAACACTTGGACACAGGAAAGGGAACATCACACACCGGGGCCTGTTGTAGGGTGGGGGCAGGGTGGAAGGATAGCATTAGGAGATATACCTAATGTAAATGACAAGTTAATGGGTGCAGCATACCAACATGGCACATGTATACATATGTAACAAACCTGCACGTTGTGCACATGTACCCTAGAACTTAAAGTATAATAATAAAAAAAAAGAAATCCATGCCAAGACACATCATAATCAAATCTCTGAAAACTAAAGACAAAGAAAAAATGTAAAAGTAATGAAAAAAAGTCTGTAGAGGAAAATTATGTGAATGACAGCAGATTTATCATCATATACAATGGAACTCAGACGGAAATGGCACAACATTTTTCAAATGTTGAAAGAAAAGAACTGTCCACCTAAAATTCCATGTCCAGTGAAAATATCCTTCAGGAATGGAGGGGAAATCAAGATATTTTCAAAGGAAGAAAAACTGGCATAATTTGTCACCAGTAGATATAACCTAATAGAATGGATAAAGGAAGTTCCCTAAACAGGAAGAAAATATAAAAACAATAAATCTTAGAACATCAAAAAGAAAGAAGAAGGGAAAGTATAAAAATATGGGTAAATACACCAGATTTTCCTCTTAAGTCTTCTAAATTACGTTTGACGGTTGAAACAAAAAGCCTATCTCTGTGGGAAGTGGTTCTCAATGTATGTAGAAGAAATACAACAATTATACCATGAATGAGGGAGGGAGTCCTCTCAAACTTCTGCTCTGAGATGTTGATAACCTTCATAACTTGACTCTCAACCCTTGTACTGAATTCCCTTCCCTTCTACCACAGGTTCACCCCAACAATAGTCACTCCAACAATAGCATACAAGAGCAATGATCCTCAAGTAAATCAGAGATGACTTGCTTTACAAGAGTAGAGGAGTAAAAACACTGCTATCTGTGCAGAAAGAAAGAATGGCAAAATTGAGATACCCATTACTCAGCACAGTTCCTAGGCTTGAAAGAGAACTAACAAACACTCAACTTAAAGGACTTCAGAATGAATGAAGAAGTAAACCATTCCAATGTTGCTGCAGTTTCTGCATATTTAACAGATAGGATCCTTCTGAGAATGCTAGAATTGGGGATTATGACACCAAGTCACTTCAGCCATAAACCTTATTCTTGTACTTTTCTTTCTTGCTGGTAATTTTACATAGCAGGATATATAGCTAGAATAAACTATATACGAATAATTTTGATAATGAATTCTATGATGTGTTCTGTCTGCTTGTATCTTTTCCTTCCTACCATGATACCAGTTATTTATAAGTGATCTGTGTAGTTTGAATGTATTTGAATAACCTCAGTATATTTTAGCTCTACTTACTGATTTGATCTAAAAAAGCACCAAAAGGACATAAGTATTCCCATGTATTTTAGAAGCCTAAAGTCAGTGACAGGAAACCCAACATCAAGAATTTGAAGCAGGCCAGGCACAGTGGCTCACGCCTATAATCCCAGCACTTTGAGAGGCCGAGGTGGGCAGATCACCTGAGGTCAAGAGTTCGAGACCAGCCTGGCCTAATGGTGAAATCCCGTCTCTACTAAAAATAGAAAAAACTGAGGTAGCTGGCAAGATGGCCGAATAGGAACAGCTTTGGTCTGCAGCTCCCAGTGAGAGCGAAGCAGAAGGTGGGTAATTCCTGCATTTCCAGCTGAGGTAGCCAGTTCATCATATTCAGTCTGGTTGGACAGTGGGTGTACCCCAGAGGGCAAGCCAAAGCAAGGTGGGGCATTGCCTCACCTGGGAAGCACAAGGGGTCGGGAGATTTTCCCTTTCCTAGCCAAGGGAAGCCGTGAGAGGCTGTACCGGGAGGAATGGTGCATTCCAGCCCAGGTACTGCGCTTTTCCTATGGTCTTCACAATCGGTAGACCAGGAGATTTTCTCTGGTGCCTGGCTCGGCAGGTCCCACCCCTAGAGCCTAGCAAGCTAAGATCCACTGGCTCGAAATTCTCACTGCTAGCACAGCAGTCTGAGGCCAACCTGGGATGCTGGAGCTTGGTGGGGGAAGGGGCATCCATCATTGCTGAGGCCTGAGTAGGCGGTTTTACCCTCACAGTGTAACAAAAGCTGCCAGGAAGTTCGAACTGCATGGAGCCCACCACAGCTCCCTGGGACGGAGCACCTGTGGGAAGGGGCAGCTGTGGGTGGAGCCTCAGCAGTCTTAAACATCCCTGCCTGACAGCTCTGAAGAGAGCAGCGGTTCTCCCAGAATGGCGTTTGAACTCTGATAAGGGACAGACTGCCTCCTCAAATGGGTCCCTGACCTCCCCACCCCGTGTATCCAGACTGGGAGACACCTCCCAGTAGGGGCCAACAGACACCTCATACAGGAGAGCTCTGGCTGGCATCTGGCAGGTGCCCCTCTGGGACGAAGCTTCCAGAGGCAGGAACAGGCAGCAATCTTTGTTGTTCTGCAGCCTCCACTGGTGATACCCAGGCAAACAGGGTATGGAGCGGACCTCCAGCAAACTCCAGCAGACCTGCAGCAGAGGGGCCTGACTGTTAGAAGGAAAACTGACAAACAGAATGGAATAGTATCAGCATCACCAACATCAAAGACCAAAGGTAGGTAAATCAACGAAGATGTGGAGAAACCAGCGCAAAAAGGCTGAAAATTCCAAAAACCAGAAAGCCTCTTCTCCTCCAAAGGATCACAACTCCTCGCCAGCGAGGGGACAAAGCTGGACGGAGAATGAGTTTGACAAATTGACAGAAGTAGGCTTCAGAAGGTGGGTAATAAATTCCTCCAAGCTAAAGGAGCATGTTCTAACCCAATGCAAGGAAGCTAAAAACCTGGAAAAAAGGTTAGACACATTCCTAACTAGAACAACCAGCTTAGAGAAGAAAATAAATGACCTGATGGAGCTGAAAAACACAGCACGAAAATTTCATGAAGCATATACAAGTATCAATAGCCAAATCGATCAAGTAGAAGAAAGGATATCAGAAATTGAAGATCAACTCAATGAAATAAAGTGAGAAGACAAGATTAGAGAAAAAAGGGTGAAAAGAAGCAAACAAAGCCTCCAAGAAATATGGGACTACGTGAAAAGATCAAATCTACGTTTGATTGGTATACCTGAAAGTGATAGAGAGAATGGAACCAAGTTGGAAAACACTCTGCAGGATATTATCCAGGAGAACTTCCCCAACCTAGCAAGGCCGGCCAACATTCAAATTCAAGAAATGCAGAGAACACCCTAAGAATATTCCTCGAGAAGAGCAACCCCAAGACACATAATCATCAAATTCACCAAGGTTGAAATGAAGGCAACAGCCAGAGAGAAAGGTCGGGTTAGCCACAAAGGGAAGCCCATCTGACTAACAGCGGATCTCTCGGCAGAAACCCTACAAGCCAGAAGAGAGTAGGAGCCAATATTCAACATTCTTGAAGAAAAGAAATTTCAACCCAGAATTTCATATCCGGCCAAACTAAGCTTCATAAGTGAAGGAGAAATAAAATCCTTTACAGACAAGCAAACACTGAGAGATTTTTGTCACCACCAGGCCTGCCCTACAAGACCTCCTGAAGGAAGCACTAAACATAGAAAGGAACAACCAGCACCAGCCACTGCAAAAACATACCAAGTTGTAAAGACCATCAATGCTATGAAGAAACTGCATCAACTAATGGGCAAAATAACCAGCCAGCATCATAATGACAGGATCAAATTCACACATAACAATATCAACCTTAAATATAAATGGTCTAAATGCCCCAATTAAAAGATACAGACTGGCAAATTAGATAAAGAGTGTGCTGTATTCAGGAGACCCATTTCATGTGCAAACACACAAAGGCACAAAATAAAGGGATGGAGGAAGATCTACCAAGCAAATGGAAAGCAAAAAAAAAAAAAAAAAAAAAAATCCCAGGGGTTGCAATCCTAGTCTCTGATAAAACAGACTTTAAACCAACAAAGATCAAAAGATACAAAGAAGTGCATTACATAATGGTAAAGGGATCCATGCAACAAGAAGAGCTAACTATCCTAAATATATACGCACCCGATACAGGTGCACCCAGATTCATAAAACAACTTCTTAAAGACCTACAAAGAGACTTAGACTCCCACACAGTAATAGTGGGAAACTTTAACACCTCACTGTCAATATTAGACAGATCAATGAGATGGAAAATTAACAAGGATATCCAGGACTTGAACTCAGCTCTGGGCCAAGCTGACCTAATAGATATCTACAGAACTCTCCACCCCAAATCAACAGAATAAACATTCTTCTCAGCACCACATTACACTTATTCTAAAATTGACCACATAATTGGAAGTAAAACACTCCTCAGCAAATGCAAAAGAACGGAAATCATAACAAACAGTCTCTCAGACCACAGTGCAATCAAATTAGAACTCAGGATTAAGAAACTCACTCAAAACCGCTCAATTACATGGGAACTGAACAACCTGCTCCTGAATGACTACTGGGTACATCACAAAATGAAGGCAGAAATAAAGATGTTCTTTGAAACCAATGAGAACAAAGACACAACATACCAGAATCTCTGGGACACATTTAAAGCAGTGTGTAGAGGGAAATTTATAGCACTAAATGACCACAAGAAAAAGTAGGAGAGATCTAAAATTGACACCCTAACATCACAATTAAAAGAACTAGAGAAGAGCAAACAAATTCGAAAGCTAGCAGAAGACAAGAAATAACTAAGATCAGAGCAGAACTAAAGGAGATAGAGATACGAAAAACCCTTCAAAAAAATCAATGAATCCAGTAGCTGGTTTTTTGAAAAGATCAACAAAATAGATAGACTTCTAGCCAGACTAATAAAGAAGAAAAGAGAGAAGAAACAAATAGACGCAATAAAAAATGATAAAGGGGCCATCACTACCAATCCCACAGAAATACAAACTACCATCAGAGAATACTATAAACACCTCTATGCAAATAAACTAGAAAATCTAGAAGAAATGGACTAATTCCTGGACACATACATCTCCCAAGACTAAATCAGGAAGAAGTTGAATCCCTGAATACACCAATAACAAGTTCTGAAATTGAGGCAGTAATGAATAGCCTACCAACCAAAAAAAGTCCAGGACCAGATGGATTTACAGCCAAATTCTACCAGAGGTATGAAAAGGAGCTGGTACCATTCCTTCTGAAACTATTCCAAACAACAGAAAAAGAGGGAATCCTCCCTAACTCATTTTATGAGGCCAGCATCATCCTGATACCAAAACCTAGCAGAGACAAAATAAAAAATAAAAAAATAAAAATTTAGGCCAATATCCTGATGAACATCAATACGAAAATTCTCAATAAAATACTGGCAAACCGAATCCAGCAGCACATCAAAAAGCTTGTCCACCACGATTAAGTTGGCCTCATCCCTGGGATGCAAGGCTAGTTCAACATACGTAAATAAATAAACATCATCTATCACGTAAACAGAACCAATGACAAAAACCACGATTATCTCAATAGACGCTGAAAAGGCCTTCGACAAAATTCAACAGCCCTTCATGCTAAAAACTCTCAATAAACTAGGTATTGATGGAACGTATCTCAAAATAATAACAGCTATTTATGACAAACCCACAGCCAATATCGTATTGAATGGGCAAAAACTGGAAGCATTCCCTTTGAAAACTGGCACAAGACAAGGATGCCCTCTCTCACCACTCCTATTCAACACAGTACTGGAAGCTCTGGCCAGGGCAATCAGGCAAGAGAAAGAAATAAAGGGTATTCGATTAGGAAAAGAGGAAGTCAAATTGTCTCTGTTTGCAGAAGACATGATTGTATATTTATAACCCCATTGTCTCAGCCCAAAATCTCCTTAAGCTGATAAGCAACTTCAGCAAAGTCTCAGGATATAAAATCAACGTGCAAAAATCACAAGCATTCCTATACACCAGTAACAAACAGAGAGCCAAATCATGAGTGAACTCCCATTCACAATTGCTACAAAGAGAATAAAATACCTAGGAATACAACTTACAAGGGATGTGAAGGACCTCTTCAAGGAGAATTATAAGCCACTGCTCAAGGAAATAAGAGAGGACACAAACAAATGGAAAAATGCTCATGGATAGGAAGAATCAATATTGTGAAAATGGCCATACTGCCCAAAGTAATTTATAGATTTAATGCTATCCCCATCAAACTACCATTGACTCTTCACAGAATTGTAAAAAACTACTTTAAATTTCATATGGAACCAAATAAAGAAACCACATAGCCAAGACAATCCTAAGCAAAAAGAACAAAGCTGGAGGCTTTGAAATCACTACCTGATTTCAAACTATACTACAAGGCTACAGCAACCAAAACAGCATGTTACTGGTACCAAAACAGATATATAGACCAATGGAACAGAACAGAGGCCTCAGAAATAACACCACACATCTACAGATATCTGATCTTTGACAAACCTGACAAAAACAAGCAATGAGGAAAGGATTCCCTATTTAATAAATGGTGCTGGGAAAACTGGCTAGCCATATGCAGAAAGCTGAAACTGGATCCCTTCCTTACACCTTATACAAAAATTAACTCAAGATAAATTAAAGACTTAAATATAAGACCTAAAACCATAAAAACCCTAGAAGAAAACCTAGGCAATACCATTCAGGACATAGGCATAGCAAAGACTTCATGACTAAAACACCAAAAGCAATGGCAACAAAAGCTGAAACTGACAAATAGGATCTAATTAAACTAAAGACCTTCTGCACAGCAAAAGAAACTATCATCAGAGTCAACAGGCAACCTACCGAATAGGAGAAAATTTTTTCAATCTATCCATCCGAAAAAGCGCTAATATCCAGAATCTACAAAGAACTTAAACAAGTTTACAAGAAAAAAACAAACAACCCCATCAGAAAGTGAGTGAAGGATATGAATAGACACTTCTCAAAAGAAGACATTCATGCAGCCAACAAACATATGAAAAAATGCTCATCATCACTGGTTGTTAGAGAAATGCAAATCAAAACCACAATGAGATACCATCTCGCACCAGTTAGAATGGCGATCATTAAAAACTCAGGAAACAACAGATAGTGGAGAGGATGTGGAGAAATACTAACGCTTTTACACTGTTGGTGGGAGTAAATTAGTTCAACCATTGCGGAAGACGGTGTGGCGATTCCTCAGGGATCTAGAACTAGAAATACCATTTGACCCAGCAATCCCATTACTGGGTATATATCCAAAGGATTATAAAACATTCTACTATAAAGACACATTCACACATATGTTTATTACAGCACTGTTCACAATAGCAAAGACTTGGAACCAACCCAAATGCCCATCAGTGATAGACTGGATAAAGAAAATGTGGCACATATACACCATGGAATACTATGCAGCCATAAAAAAAGGATGAGTTCATGTCCTTTGCAGGGACACGGATGAAGCTGGAAACCATCATTCTCAGCAAACTAACACAAGAACAGAAAACCAAACACTGCATGTTCTCACTCATAAACGGGAGTTGAACAATGAGAACACATGGACACAGGGAAGGGAACATTACACACTGGGGCCTGTGGGGGGTTGGGGGTTGGGGAGGGGGAGGGATAGCATTAGGAGAAATACCTAATGCAGATGACAGGTTGATGGGTGCAGCAAACCACCATGGTACATGTATACCTATGTAACAAACCTGCATGTTCTGTACATGTACCCCTGAACTTAAAGTATAATTAAAAAAAAAAACAGAAAAAATTAGCCAGGCAAGGTGTTGCATGCCTACAGTCCCAGCTACTTGGGAGGCTGAGGCAGGAGAATCGCTTGAACCCTGGAGGCAGAGATTGCAGTGAGCCATGATCGCACCACTGTACTCCAGCCTGGGTGACAGAGCCAGACTCCCCCTCAAAAAAAAAAAAAAAAAAAAGAATTTGAAGCAAAGTCACTTGTGGGGAAAGAATGTAAAGAAAGCACTGGATGATAGTTTGGCTAGAGCATAATAATTGGATTTTCTGGCTTTCAAAAATTTGGATTGTAATAAAAAGAAACTTTGTGCTACTTTTACAATTTTCAGTACAAATAAATGTGTGTATTGAGAAACAATAAAATTAACATATTTGAGTACCTTTTTTAAAAAAAATGAGGGATGGTAAAAGGATGTAAATGGTGGGAAGCTTTCTACACTTCACTCACACAGATCAAATGGCAACAAACAGTGCTGCATCTTGACTGCAGGAGTAATGACACAAACGTACACCAATAAAAATGGATTCAAACTATACACAACACACTGCACCGGCACCAATTTCTTGGTTTAATATTGTATGATAGTTAGTTACATAAGATGTAACTATTAGGTTGGGATAATAAAAAAAAAGTTCTAGAGATCAAGGATGGTGATGGTTACATAATACTAACGTACCTGATGCCACTAAACTATCTACCGAAAAATGATTAAAATGGTAAATTTTGTGTTGTGTTGTGTATATTTTATATTTATTTTAAAAATGTAAACCACTTTTGGGTAAACTGGGTAAAAGGTATGTGAGACTTCTGTATTATCTTTACAACTTCCTGTGAATCTATAATTATTTCAAAATACACATTTAAAAAAATAACTGTGGCAAACAAAAAGACTCTGGATCTTCTGGAACAAACAATAATTTTGAGAAGATCATGTACACTGCTAGGTGGCTTATCCATGAGCCCAGTCAGTCCCAACTACCCTGGAAGATATGTAAGGCTCAGAAAGGTAGAAGGAGGCAGCTCCCAGAGGCACACACAGAATGCAGCCCAGTGAATGTGCCCATCTCTGCTGGGAGGGAAGTTTGGGATCTGAAAGGCTGGCTATGGACCCCACACCTTTGCCCAGTACCTTCTATACCAGCTGGTGGGGAGGTTTGGGGTCTGAAGGGCTGGCTGTGGACCCCACACCTCTGCCCAGTACCCTCTACACCAGCTGGTGGGGAGAGGCAGGGTCTGAAGGGCTGGCTTCTGCCACACCTTTGCCCACTGCCTTTCATACCACCTGTACTCATTACCTGCAGTGACAGCCTCACCAGCCCAATGCCAGCTTCCCCTTAGCGATGATGCTGCTGACACAGTAGGCACTCCATAAGTGCTAGATGATCTGATTATTACAAAATGATTAACCATTTATCAATGCCCTCAAGAAGACAAAATGCTACATTATGAGACTAGTACATTACTCTGTTTAAAAGCTCTAGATTAAACATCTCTTACTTCTTCTCCTTGATTAGTATAAATCATCCTCCCTGCTTTGTAACTATCTTTTACTTGTATTTATTAACTTTAGAGAGAGTACAACCACCAAAACTAAGATCCTATTAAATTATCTATCTTATGAGGAGAGGAGTAGGGTGGCAAATTCTTTCTGAGTTATACTTTTGTTTTCTTGTTTTTCATTTGCCCTTAAGTTATTAATTTAATAAGGGCCAGTAGCTTCCCAATAGGAATGGAAATATTTTAACAACATAAAGCCAGATTGCTGTCACATCCAGCGGAATCAATAAAGTCTCATATGTGCAGCTGAGTACAGTTTAAAATATCTTTTTTATATATTCAGGAAGAGACTCAGGTTAGAACAAACATTTTCCTTCCATTTAGCTCATCTTGCAGAACTTTTAATCAGCTGTGAATAAACTATGTCATCAACTTCATTACCGTCATTATACTTAGGGAAAACTTGCTGTAACCAAAACAATGGCATTGAAAGAGGAAGAAGCCGATGAGAAGGGAGGTTAAATTAAACCCTCACCATGAGCTGGCACCAGCAGAGGCTCATACGAGGCTTATTTAATTCTCACAACAATCCTGTGAAATAGGTTTTATTATTGTATTTCCTCAAATCTAAGACAGCATCTACTTTAGGGAGCACGGATATTTTACATACCACTAAAAAAGATAAAAACGCTGCCAAATAAACTCAGAGACACTAGCTTCTCACCACACCAACTGTAAGCTGCCTCCTGATCTTAGAGATGCTAAAATCTAAGTCTGGCCGGGCACGGTGGCTCATGCCTATAATCCCAGCACTTTGGGAGGCTGAGGCAGGCAGATCGCTTGAGCTCAGGAGTTCGAGACCACCTAAGGGACATGGCGAAACCTGTCTCTATCAAAAATACAAAAAATTAGCCGGGTGTGGTGGCGCCTGCCTGTGGTCACAGCTACTGGGGAGGCTGAGGTGAGAGGATCGCTTGAGCCTGGAAGGCGGAGGTTGCAGTGAGCAGAGATTGTGCCATTGCACTCCATTGTGGGTGACAGAGTGAAACTCCATCTCAAAAATAAAATAAAATTAAATTAAATTAAATTAAAAAGTCTTTGAATCAATGAAGTTCAGAAACATTTCCATATAACTGGGCAGGCTGGATGTTAGCTGGGGAGAGAGCCTGGCTCCCAACCTCGGCTCCCTCCCCTGTAAGGCCCTTTTTCCCCACTCTGCACACCGTACACACTCAGGCTGTAAGCCTGGCTTCTGAGCTCACTTCTATGGCAGCACAACAACCCTACTTTCAAGGGAGAGGAGATAAACATTTCCTGAGTACCAGAGGCTTTCGTACTCCCTCTCACATTTGATCTGGACAAGCTGGGTTGCTGCTAGCCCTTAAGGCACCTCTGTGAGAAATGGACAAACGCACCCTTCCTTAAGACACTAGCACCCCCTGTCAGAAAATGGTCATAACATATTGAGTTTGTTGGAATAATACGCTTTGCAGCCATTTGTAGAAAACTCATAATAAACATACAAATTCACTATGTGAAATGAGCCCCCTTAGAAGTGGCTCCCTTGGGGGCATGGAGGATACAAAAACAAAAGAAGAAGTGGCTCCTTTGTGCAGTGTGTAACCTGCACAGCTGTACACAGTAGCTCTGCTAATGTGTCAGACACAAAGATATGATTATCCCACGTTACAGATGAGAAAGCTATAACTTGCCTAAGAATCAAATACAGGCCTGTATGGTTCCACAGCTACTTGATGAATCGCAAGGAGCTTAAAAATTAGGTAGGAAAGCAGGTTGTATGTGTGCGCATCTACATATGAACATACTAACCACAGGCCACAGAAGCACGTGTGGAGAAGGCAGAGATCCCTGTGGCTGGAGCACCTGGAAGAGGTTTGTCAGAAAAGGGGAAGTTGAACTGCTCCAGGAGGTGGCCAGACAGCTGGAGGAAGGAAAGGAGAAGGGAGTGGAAGCCACACAGCCAGTGGGGGCAGAACCAAGAGCCTTGCCTGTTGGAAGAGCCTTGAGTGTGGAAAGAGGACAGGTTAAAGGCAGGGCAGGCACACTGAGAGCTGTGGCGGCTCCACCAAGAGCCCCCCGCCACAGACCGGTACCTGGACAGGAAATGGATGCAAGAAGCTCCTGCCCCGCAAGCAGGAGGCCCATCCTGGAGGTCTGGAGACAGGGGGTGGGGCACTTAGAAAGCCTGCTCTGTCTGATGGGGTAGCTGCCTCCCAGGTCTAGTCAATGGAGGCCCAAATATTGAATTTGTAGTTGGAATCCCCTGATTTTTAAGCACTGGCCATCAAATAAGATTTTTCTGGGAAAGAAAAAAAAGAAAAGAAAAAAACCTCTGCAGCCCCTGCAGACCAAACTAAGCAAATCTGCAGGTTAGGTCTGGCCTACGGGTTGCCAATTTGCAACTTCTGATAAAAAGCTTTCCACTTGGGTGACTAGGGGAAAGCTGTTAACTTACAGGGGAAAAGCCAAGGAAACTGGTCTGAAAAAAACAGAGACACACAGACCACGAGAAAGAGAGAGTACAGGGACATTGAAAGGGACAGAGGAGACGACCCAGCACCTTCTGCCCATCCACCCAGCTCCCTAACACCCCATACCAGTGCCTGGCTTGGGTAAGTGGATGACAATTAGTGTGATTTTTCCAGTTTGGAGATTTTCTCTGAGTTTTTCACATCTTACACAACAGGAATTACATGTGTAATCCAAGAAAAATTAAATTTAAAAAAACACTTACATGGGTGTTAGAAATAAAGCGATAGCAAGTGACAAAATAATAAGATCTCCATCTTACAGGAGGAAGACTTACTGATCCCCAGACAGCTTGGGCCTCAGACACGTCAACTTGTCTTGGTCAGGACCAAACACTCATTCAAGACCGAGATCAAGGCCAGGGCTGCCCACACCATAGGGACACGCCAGCTCTAGACACAGCTGCTGGGTTCCTGGTATTTCTCCTTGACGTTGATTAGATGTTTGACTGGACAGGGTAGGGATATGTCTTACACTTCTCCCTTCCTTTATGTAATAAAGGTATGTTTGATTGATAAAATGACCCAAAAAATAAAAGAAGACAGGAAACTAGTTTAACCAGTAGCAAGATAGATTTAGATTACGTGGGGAAAAGGCATTCTTGGCACAAAAGTTTCATTCATTGCAACGAGAAACTTGGTAAGTGTGGCAGGTGTGGGCAGCCTAACCTCAAAGTGCCAGATTCCAGAACTGCAAATGTGGGGGCTGGGTGCGAGGAGTGCCCAGGTGAGCAGACAGCCCACCAGGATTAGAGGAGGCCAGCCAGGAAAAGGCACAGGAGCTCCCAGAGCTGGTGTTCTAGGAGTTTCCACGTGTCAGCCATGGGAAGGAGAGGAAGACATCAAGACTTCATGGCACAAAGTGGCACCCCCACCCTCCCCTGCCCCAGCCACTAGCTGCAAGGAGGTGTTTACGCTGCCTCCTGTTGGTCACACAGACGTTCCTATTAGTGACCACACTGGACCCTCCCTGCTGTCCTGTGAAACAGCCCAGTACATGGTGTCATCCCCATCACCACCACCACCGTCACCATCCCCTTTTTACAGAGGAGAAACCTGGGGCTCAGGTTAGTGAGCTGCCAAAGAGCCCCCAGTCAGATAAATTAAAAAGCCAGAACTTAACCAAGACCCACCAAGTCGACCACCACATCTGCCCACCCACCTGGTACCTAGCCCTGCTACAGGAAATCGCTTGTTATTTCCTGTAATGCTCACAGTGAGCAATACTGTGAGGAATGCAAGTCTTGGTCTCCCCAGCCCACAGCCAGCGTCATGGTTAGAGGGACATTTCAAATGATTAATTACAACTAAGAAAAGTAGCTACGTGGAGAAGGGGACTCTGCTGTGTTTGTTATAATTTACTACAGCAATTCATTTCGGGGAGCAACAGCTGGAAAATAACAGTATGCCAGATATAAGTGATACCAACCCACCCCAAACCACATACTTAATGAGCATGCCCACTGCACAGGTTGGCAGCAGGTCCAGAACCAGGGAACAGCAGACCACCAGGTAAGAGGCAGACAGTCTTTTAGCAAAACAACACCGGGAGTTACTGTCAAGCAGAAAGCACAGACCTTCATCAACGGGAGGGCGACATATACGTGCTAACATCACCCTCCAGTGGCCCACCAGGGCACTACATCTGACTAGGCCATAATTTTAAAAAACATGGCTAGTATTTACTGATTGCCTAACTCTTGGCTGGTGCCTTCCCCGTCACCCCACTTAACCTTCACATTAACCCAGTAAGTGAGGGGCTGCTGTTCCCATCTTAAGACGAGTTAAGTGGGCCAGGTAGGGGATTACAAGGTGATACAGCAGGTGGGCACACAGCAGGGCTACAACCCAAACACACATCCTTGGCCCAGGACCAGACCCCGCTGCCCTTCCTAGGTGGAGTCACTGCTGCTGCTGGTCCCCAGAGGGGGTGCAGCTGCCCTGACAGCTCAGGTGCCCTGGCCAGCCCCAGCAGGTAACTCAGACCAACTCTGACCACAGATTGGCCGCCACCTGGCCAATTCTCAACCTGAGTAAGTTATTTTCAACTCTTATGGGGCTTTCCCGTGTATGCCCACATTTCTATGTGACAGAAATGACACGGAGAGGAATAAGCCTAACCCAGGGTCCAGGTGGCATGCTTCCACTGACATGGCTACAAGGAAGGCACAACCACCCTGCCCTGAGTCCTGGTTATCCTGGGTTGGGGGCTGGGACCAGAGACTTCTGGGGTGCAGGGGAGTTCTGCTTCCAGATGTGATACTGGTTACTCACTGGTTATGCAGTGAGTTCAGTTTGCGAACATTCACTAAGCTGTTTATCCTATGCATATTTCTCTACATGTATGTTACACGTTAATCTAAGAAAATGTGAACAGCAAATTTTAAAGGAAAAGATATAGGGAAAAAAAACGATATTCTGATTCACAAGTGAACCTCTCATTTAAAACAACATAGATCGGAACACTATTTTGGCCCTCGTAGCTGTGTGACCCTGCGCACACACACTTGGCCTCTCTGAGCTTCAGTTTCCTTCTGCACAGGGCTGCAGAGAGGACGGCAGGACATCACGAAGACGATGTGCCTAGCTTAGTGCCTGGCCCCTCAGAGGCACCATTCTACATGAAGCATCATGAGGGGTACCCACCTTGTCAGAAGCCCAGGCCTCCCAGCTCCTAAGTGGCTCTCACACTTCCAATGGATGGATTCTGCATACGTCTCTGAATTTCTTTATCCCTCATTGTCTCTTCTGAAAGAAGAGCAGCCCAAATTAATAGTGGCCTTGGAGTGTTTGAAAGTGGAACCTAGTCTTCAAGCCCTATGCAGAGGCTAACGTGCAGAGAGACAGAGACAGCATCTTCAACCAAAGCAAGGGTGTGGGGCAGACCCACCAGCACCCACCTCCCCTCCACCCTGCAGGGACACAATATGAACCAACCCTCCTGCCTCCTGCTGCTCCCCTGCCCATAAATCATCTCCAAGGTGCCTCCCTTCCAGCTCTGATGCTCAGTGGGCTGAAGCTCCAATAAATGCACACCACTAATTTGTGAAATGATTATCATGCATCTCATAAAATGCTGATGAACATGCCAACTCCCATAGCTCACACAGTTAACGTGTTTATTAAAGGCAAGAGAGAAATCCCGTGGGTGTTTCTTTGCTGAAGCTGGATTAACAAAATAAAATGAGAAATACTCAGCATCAGCTATAATTAGGGCTGGGCCAACAGTTGCATTATAATTTTATGCATACACATCTCTTCCATGTTGAAACTTGGCATAAATTCTTTTAAGTTATTTTTAAGCACTCTCAAAATGAGAGCCCCTGGGCAATGGAATACATTCACATTTAACACAATAATCATAGCTTTAAAATGTGGCCCTCAGGAAAGCACCACAAATCATTTTACATAAACAGGAACAGCCCCCCACCCCGAGAGCAGATGTGTGGGAAGCGCTGAGGGTACAGGAACACCCCCTGTCCCGCTGCAGACCCTGGACACGACAGCTCCCCATTTGCAAACTGACGAGGTGGCCCTGAAGAGCCGCCTACCCACAGCTCTCAAGTGATGCCTCTAAGTAACCAAGTCTCTGTGGTCATTTCCACATCAAAAGTAAAAGGAGCAAAATCCTCTCCCATTTTCTAGAGTACTGGGGAGAAATAGCAATGCCCATCACCACCGCACATCCGGGTTGACAGCTGTTGGTCTGCGTTGCTTTAGTGTATTTCTGTTCCTCCGTGGGGCAGGCCTGCCTCTCGTCTTGTTTCTGAAGTAAAGGGCTGCCTGAAAGCCAGCCTCAGCGCTGAGCTCGGCTCAGAAGCCCTGGTTCAAACCCCATGGCATCAGCCACTTCAGTGTGACTGGAGCCACCTTTCCCTTCCTGAATCTGTAGGGACTCAGCTCAAAAATGGAGATAACCACAGCTGCCCTGGTAAGATTGATGGGCGGTGGGGGGGATCTTGTGGTGGGGGTGTTATGTAGGGGAATACTGGGAAAAAAGGGCTTTGTAGACTGCTAAAGATGGTGTCGATGCTGAAGAGAACAGAGAATTTTTTAAATCCAGAAACGTTCAGCCAGACAGCTAAAGCTACCTACTGGGTCCCTAGTTGCTTCTGCTGTCCTTTAACACACATCTATACAAATACACATACACACACATAAAACATATACATGCGCACACATGCACCCGCAAAACGTGTGTACATACACAAATGCACATACAGCACACATGCGCACACAAACATACACTTTCTTCAGGGAAACCAAAGACACAGGCAATTCAGAAGCTTTTTGAGAGACAATATAAACAACACAGCAACAATAATGACAGAAAGTGGAAATCAGGGATCCAAATCCCAAGAACTGAGAAAAGAAAGAGCCACGAGAAAGGGGAGAAGGAAGGTGGAGGAAACAAAAGGAAGAAAAGGAGCCAGGACTTGGGTTTCCAGAGTTTGAGCCACAGCAGGTGCTTGGAGGAGCTGTCAGGAGCCCTGGGAGGGAGCAGGGAATTGTCACCCAGTTCCAGCTCTGGAAAGACAACACTCGTTCAGGGTCCCACACATGCCACCTTCGACTTCCACCCTCTCCCTCAGGGGCCTCAAATTCTACCCGCATTTTCTATCCCATCGCATCCTCAACCCATCAAGAGAAGGAAGAGACCAAATAAGAGCTTGCTGCAGCCTCAGGGAACCGAGAGCTGCAGGAGGTGGGATTCAACCCATTTGTTCATGAGACGTGTCCAGCCATGGTTTCCCCACTCTGCTTCCTGGGGTTTTCAAAATGCAGGAGTTTATTCCAGTGAAGCACCAAGCACAGTGCCTGGCACACAGCAGATGAAGGTGCTGCCTGCCCTTTTCCCTGTTTCTGCAGTTTACTAACATCACACTGAGGTAGAAGGCAGGCAGGATTCAACTCCAGACCTGACTGAAGACTGGCCAGAACTGGGAAGAGGGGCCTAAAGCACCCCTCACTGCCCATCACCATAATACACGCCCACCAGAGCGTAACAGTTTACCACTGCAATGGCAACACCCAAAAGTTACTGCCTTGCCATGGCAATGCCGGAAGTTACCACCCACTTTCTAGCTATTTCTGAATAATCTGCCCCTTAATTAGCACGTCATTGAAAGTGGGTATAAATTTGGCCGCAAAGCACTGCTACTCTTGGCGCTCTGCCTACGGGGTAGCCCTGCTCCACAGGAGCGGTAACACTGTCACTGCCTCAATAAAGCTGTTTTCTACTACCACCGGCAGCTCATTCTTGAATTCCCTCCTGAGCGAAGCCAAGAACCTGCCCTGCATCAACACCATGGTGGGTGAGAATTCCTGCCAGACAAAACCCAAGTCCTTAGAAATGCTGACTCTACCCAGCCTCCTTCCCCTAATTCAGGGATGTTTTAATTCAACAAAGATGTGATTCGCATACTACGATAGAGAGCAGAGGGAGCCATGAAAGAGAAAAACAAGTAGCATTTCCAGCAGTCAAGGTATTCAATCTACCAGGTGAAACAGGCTTGAAAACAATATAGAAGGCCGAATTCAGTCAACAGCTACTTTTTTCTTAAAAGGTACTAGGCACTATTCCTGGAGATGGCCCCCACCAGGGACGCCTCCTAGACTGGAGGACACGGACAGATGCGTGACTCTGCACAAGGACACACACTCCAGCCCAGGCCTGTGAAAGCACGGGGCAAGAGGCTGGATGCTTTGTCCAGGCCACTGCTGTCCAACAGATACACAGCATGGCCACTGATGTCATTTAAAATTTTCCAGTAGCCATATTAAAATAAAATAATCAAGAAAAAATAATTTTAATGATGTTTTCTTTAACCCAGTATATCCAAAATAGAATCATTTCACTTACAATCTATTTTCAAAGATCAATGAGAAATTTTAAATTTTGTGTACTAAGTCTTCAACAGCCAGTGTGTTATTTTTCACCTACAGCACATCAAAGTTTGGACTAGGCATGAACCCAGTATTCACATTATTTCCAGAATACCAGGCAACTTTTCCCTGCAGACGAGAGAAATGTAATACACAGGTTCTACTCCCTGACCTCCAGCGGGGTAGGAGAAGGCTTCCACCACCCCCAAACTCTTTGAGATTCAAGAGTTAGGAAAATCGAGACAAAGAATTAGCAGACTTAGAACCTGCAGACCAAGTCCCTGTCCGCACTGTTACAGGAGAGGCAGATGACGGACGAATATTTTCATTTATTATTGTCACAGGTTTAAAAGCTGACTGTGTGCTCAGGGATCCTGAGGTCTTGATCAAGGAGATAAAATAACAGGCTGGGCAGGAACTGGAGGCAGATGTGGAAAACATACAACTTCAATTCCAAATGTCCGCTTTATGAAAGTCTGAGATTGGCCTCAGTTATATTGGGCTCAGTTATATAAAATGTTCTGATTTTCAAATTAAATCCTGAAGAATGAACTTCCCCCTAGTATTTACATGTGTCTAGGGTCTTTCCAAATTCCAGAGTAGAGCTTTAAATTTAAGGAAGGAGAGACACTGGGAAAAGAAGAATTCTCCAAACCATCCCCTCAACCCATCCCCAGCCTACCAAAATGATCTGGCCCATTTTTCCTGGTAACCAAAATACAAAATAAATATTTAATGTATTCTCCAAATATCTGGGCTGTTCAGTTTTTATTAGGAGAAAAAAGCAGAATTCTTTGAATTTATGTGCATTGGCCTCATAATTCAACACTAAATGAATGCCTGACATCTGTCACTCACCATGCTAGGTGCAATCAGAAATGAGGAAGACACAGACTCTCCCCACCAGGAACATAAATAAGCAATTCCATTTTGTTCATGAGAATAATTTTACATGACTGTGGTGTTATTTATAATCTAGTTTTGTAGACTCTTGCTGTTGGAAAGGACAGAGTGTCCAAGTCCAGCTTCCCAGCCTGTATCCAAACAAGGTCAGAAAGTCCTACCTGGCCCTCCCCTCGATGCAGAGGCATCACTGTGGTCAGCTGCCACCTGTGTTTACATCACTGGGAGCCACAGAAAGGCTGCCCCCCTTTTCCCTCACCATGCTAGGCTAGTACAGCCTCAGGGTGACCCTGGCAAGGCCAGTCCCTCCCATAGCCAAGTGCTGTAAGCATCTGAACAAGCTATCCAGTGGCCCTGGGTCTTCTCTCCTGCAGGCCTGGCATCCTGGCCCTTCAGCCCCATGCTCAGGCGGGGCTCAGGTGGTGGCCAGGAGGCCAGTCTCCGCTGCAGCGGGCGCCTCCACGGACACAGTGTCTCCCAAGCCACCTGTAGCAGGTCCATTCACACACATGTCCCCTAGGGGGCGATAAAAGACAAACGAGAACTCTGGCCACAGGGCAGCTTGTTCTGGCCTGCAGGCTTGCAATTTTGCAAGGTGAGGAGGACGGGTAAGCAAGCACCTGCTCGCTGGTTTTCAGACTTTATTAATTCAGGAACTTCATTCTTCAAGTCTCAGCTCCATCCTAGCTTTCTCAGAGAGACTTTTCGTAAATCCCCTTCAATATTAATGAGGTCTCTGGTACTCCCTCCTGCTTATTTGCCTTGTAATATGACCACGATTTGTAATCATGTATTTAATGCTGTGCTTATTGGTTTAACCTGTCTCCCTCAATAGATTGTAAGCTCCAAAATCATCAATATCATTTAATTCAAAATATAGTAAAGTGCTTTAAAAGATCCATGTTAAAGCTATAAAAGATATTTACCTGCATTTCCTTTATCATGAAGACCAGAACATTTCCAGAGTGTTCACTTAAGAAACCCTGAGAATAATCTGAACTAACTGAACCCTCCTGGGTTCAAGCAATTCTCCTGCCTCAGCCTCCCAAGTAGCTGGGATTACAGGCATGCACCACCACACCTGGCTAATTTTGTATTTTAGTAGAGACAGGGTTTCTCCATGTTGGTCAGGCTGGTCTCGAACTCCCACCTCAGCCTCCCAAAGTGCTGAGATTACAGACGTAAGCCACCGTGCCCGGCCTGAACTAAGTCATTCTTAACGCTCATTTTCTAGAAAAGGAAGATGGTGTGCCAAGGAAGAAAGATCAGGCTCAGGGTGGGAAAGCCCCCAGTCCAATCCCCAGCAGAGGAGAAAACACAACTTCTCTGACTCTCTGACTCTTCATCTATAAAATGGGAATAAATGCAAATCAGAATGGTGATTTGAAGGAAGAGAAACCAGAACCAAGACAAAGCACTGGAAGAAAGACTCTCGCTGAAGGGTTTCAGAATCCAGGTGTCAGCAGGTGCGCCCCAGCCCTACCTCAATGGGGCAAGTCCCTTCAGGGCCATGGCCGCCCAGGACTTCTACTCCTTCCTGGAAACTTACACCCTCAGGCCTCTGCCATTCTCTGTTCATGCCCCACAAACAAAAAGAAGCGAAACTCAGTCCTTTCACTGAAATACGCTCACCTCCAAAATTCACCTAGTCAAAGGATGAAAGTAAATACAATAAACAAGTATGGGAGGAAATCTTAAAACAAAATACAAACAAACAAATGAACAAAACCATACTTTAAATGAATAACCATAATTGCACTGAAATAGGAGACGATCAACCCAAGTAACTTTGGAAGCTGCTGTTTACACCAGATGCCTCGGGCTAAAGAGAAGAAGAGCTCTAATTAAATACTGAACTCTAGGTAGCAGGCTTCTTTTTCACAAAGACATGGTTTCCTGATTCTGAAACTATTTTTAGTATAGTCCAGGACTGAGCAAATAAGTAACTATATTATGGATAGTGAGATCCAGATTTTTCTTTGTCAGAGAAGGGAGTTATCAATATGGAAAGGAGAGAGGATAGAATACACTGTGCTGTTGAATTGCAACTGGAAAAATCCATGTGAACTCAATGATTTTTAAGAGGGAAATACAGATTGTGTAGGTGTGTCTTGAATTTAGATACATGTATGTCTCGTATATGTACATACATACTTCTGTTTCCTAGCTGTGTTTCTGAGAGGGTGGAGAGGCAATGACACCCAGCTCACCTAGTTCCCAGATCTCCGTTTCTAAATGCCACTCTCCACTAAAAGAAACCAGGTCTCCTTGTAGAAATAGTTGATTCCAGAGCTGGAACAGGGAAAGCAGAAAATGAGCCCAGAATCTCTTGTACCAGAAGTAAGGAAGTCCTCACAAAAGCGGGGGCACGCTGAAGGAATACAAAGGCCCACTTTAACACAACTGGCCAAATATGGGGCAATCTGAGCACCAAATTAAACAATGAGAAAAGATTACAGACCACTGACTAAAATAAGCATTCCTGAGTCTACACAAATATAAATAAAGGAAAAGAGAACGTTCTTCCTTACACAGACAACTAGTAAAACAAAATAGTAACAATGTGAGGTGCGGCTATGTGAATTAGCTGACTGTAATAATCATTTCACAATGCATGCCTGTATCAAAGCATCACATTGTATACCTTACTTACATACAATTTTTGTTAATTATACCTCAATAAAACGGGGCGCGGGGGGTGGGAGAAGACAACTAGTAAATGCGGAAGAAATGACGGAATTAGACACCCATCACGTAGCAGCCATCCTGATGCTAACCAAGTCTGGCAAGAATCATCAATGGGTGCTGAAACTACTGAATGAAGAAAGTCCTTGGAGTGAGGAGTAGCAGGATAAACACACTGTCTCAAATAGCTCACCACAAGGCATTTCATTACAAAGGGGAAATACAGTAACTTTACAGTGAAGAAACCTGACCTTCTCAAATATGTAGCATCACCAGCAATGGGACAAATCATGATCACGTGTCTCCTGCTATGGTGTGCTGAGAACGCAGCATTATTTCTGCGCAATTCCTGCCCAGAAATGCAGAATTTAAATCCACTCACCAGGAAGCATTACACACAGCCAAAGGGAGGTAGAGTCTACAAAATAACTGGCCCATACTCCACAAAAATATCAATGTCCTGGAACACAAGGCCAGAGGCAGCGCTCCACATTCAGAGTGAAGAGACATGACGCTGGAACGCGGGGCGCAGCTGAGGTGTCCTTCCGCCATAAAAAAGACGCTGGAATGAGGCACGTGGCTGAGGTGTCCTTCCGCCATAAAGGGTGTCGCTGGGACAATCAGTGACATCTCAAGAGGAGCGCTACACTGATGCTGTTTCTCACTTTGATAACTGAAATGTGGTTATGTGGGAGAATGTCCTTGTGTTTAGGAAATAAACACCGAAGATACTTAGGAATAGGCAAAGGGGCATCAGCTCTGCAACTTTATCCCAAATGGCTGAGACAGAGGACAAAGCAATGTAGTAAAATACTAACACTCAGGAGACTGAGTGAAGGGCATATGAAAAGTTTTTGTACTACTCTCTCCATTTTTCTGTAAGTATAAATTATGTCATAATAACAGGTTAAATGAGAACAAACCCTACATCCAACATGCCTTCGGTATTTGAGCATCTCAAGGAGAGGTCAACACACAACAGGCTCCATTTAGCCATCCTCCTAGTTCATTTGCCTCTCCTCCCCATCGCTGGATCTTCCCTGCCTCTCTAAAGGCTCCAGAAGCTCCAGATCCATGGTCTTTTACTTGCAGAAACTTCAGCTCTCGTGTGTTCCTGTGCCCCCTCCCCATTGGAATCCTCAAATCAAGTTGGCTCAAAGAATAAAAGGTGTCCATGTAACCAAAGCCTTTCTCCCTAGAAGACATTCGGAGTATTAAATAGAAAAAGCAATCAAATCCATTACCGTAGTTATCACTATAACTACAACTCCCTAAATGTTGCCTCATTATATATCTAAGGTCTTCATTTTTTAAAGTTGGAAAATTAGTTCTCAAAAGACATCTCCACATTGGAAAAAAAACACGAAAATGAAGTCACCTGGGAAAGGGAGGATTCTCATGCCCACAGCAGGATGGTCGCACCGCAAACTGATGGGCCTCAGGGCTTCAGGGGAGGGAGCCAGGCAGGGAGAACCCAGAAGAAGGCAGCGGCCAGAGGAGGACGAACTAACCATGGCCCAGGCTGCAGTGGAGGAGCTCACTCCAGACCCAGGGCAAGGGGGTTGCGTCCACATCCTCCCCGGGAGGCACCCCGGCCAGGAAGGCCCTCGCAGACGCTCTGAGAAGTGAGAAGCCTCGGCTCTGCTCCCAGTAGGGCCCCTGGCCATGCTCTTGAGCAAATCCCACACCCCTTGCTCTCTCCATCTTTGTCTCTGAAAGGCAAGAGCCACTCCCCGGCTGCCAGGCCCAGGCCCTCCGTCCGTAACTAAGGATGCGCCGCCCCCAGGCCCGGCCATCTCCAACCAAGGAGGCGACACCCTCCAGGCCCGGCCATCTTAACCAAGATGGCGCCAGCCCCCAGGCCTGGGCCATCTCTAACAAAGGCGGCACCGCCCCCACCCCCAGGCCCTGCCTGCATCTCTAACCAAGGAAGCACCACCACCCCCAGGCCCAGGCGGCATCTCTAACCAGGAAGGCGCTGCCCTCAGGCCCTGCCCGCATCTCTAACCAAGGTGGCGCCACTCCCCAAGCCTGGGTCATCTCTAACAAAGGTGGCACCGCCCCCCCAGGCCCAGGCAGCATCTCTAACCAAGGAGGCGCTGCCCCCAGGCCTTGCCCGCATCTCTAACCAAGGTGGCACCACCCCCTAGGCCTCGGCCATCTCTAACAAAGGCAGCACCGCCCCCCAGGCCCTGACTGCGTCTCTAATCAAGGAGGCGCCACCCCCAGGCCCTGCCTGCCTCTCTAAACAAGGAGGTACCACCACCCCCAGGCCCAGGCGGCATCTCTAACCAAGGAGGCGCTGCCCCCAGGCCCTACCCGCATCTCTAACCAAGGAGGAGCCCATCCGCAGGCCCAAGTCCCATCTCTAACGAATAAGGTGCCACCCTCTAGACACCCAGGTCTTTAACCAAGGAGGCACCATCCCCAGGCCCTGCCTGCGTCTCTAACTAAGGAGGAGCTGCCCCCAAGCCCTGCCCGCATTTCTAACCAAACAGGCACCACCCTAAGGCCCTGGCCCCATCTCTAACCAAGGAGGTGCCACCCCCAGGCCCTGGCCCCATCTCTAACCAAGGAGGTGCCACCGCCAGGCGCGGACCATCTCTAAGCAAGGAGGCTCCCCAGACCCAGGCCGCATCTCTAGCCAACCAAGGCAGCCCCTGAGTCCCAGGCCACCCTGCAAAGCAGTACAGCGTTCCTGCCAGGAGTTGCTATAGGCGACCAGGAGTGGAGAACAGCCGAGACACCTCTGAAACCACCCAGGAATCAACAGGAAAGTTCAGAGTGGAAACTCGCATCGGGAGAATTACCTCGTAAACCTCCACCAAGGGCAGAGTAGGAGGGATGCTGGGCGCCTCCGCCGCTTCCCACGGAGCATGCAGAGGTGAGGCCACCGCCTCTCCATCTACACCCTTTCTTCTCAGACTCCTGCACTCTCCCAGGAAGCCCTACCATCCTAGTTATCCCTGGCTGGCACCACCCACCCGCGCTTCTCTCCAATACAGCCACAGCCCTGCCCAGGTGGGACAGGGCATCCTGCCGCCACAGAGGCTCTGATTGGCCCAGAATGAGCACATGACACCATCCACAGACCAACCAGCACTCCGAGGGGGTGTGGCCTGAGGCTGGTAGCCGCCCCCACCCAGCAGGGGTCCCTCCTAGGTCTCTGGGAGCCCGCTCCAGTCCCAGGAGGCTGCAGGCGAGAAGCGCCCAGCGTCTAGAAAAACTTGGACTCTACGTATCTCTCTCAGGCATATTAAAGGTTCTGAGCTGCCATCAGTCAGGAAACTAATCCAACAATTTTTTTTTTTTTTTGGAGACGAGTCTCGCTGTGTCGCCCAGGCTGGAGTGCAGTGGCGCCATTTCGGCTCACTGCAACCTCCGCCCACCAGGTTCAAGCGATCCTCCCACCTTAGCCTCCAGAGTAGCTGGGATTACAGGTGCCCACCGCCACATCTGGCTAATTGTTTTGGTTTGTTTTTGGTTTGGTTTGGTTTTGAGATGGAGTCTCACTCCGTTGGTCTCGCTCTGTCACCCAGGCTGGAGTGCAGTGGCACGATCTCGGCTTACTGCAACCTCCGCCTCCCTGGTTCAAGCAATTATCCGCCTCAGCCTCCTGAGTACCTGGGATTACGGGCACCCGCCACCATGCCCAGCTAATTTTTGTATTTTTAGTAGAGACAGGGTTTCACTATCTTGGCCAGGCTGGTATTGAACTCCTGACCTTGTGATCCGCCCGCCTCAGCCTCCCAAAGTGCTGGGATTACAGGTGTGAGCCACCGCGCCCACCTTTTTTTGTATTTTTAGTAGAGAAGGGGTTTCACCAGCCTGGCGCGGTGGCTCACGCCTATAATCCCAGCACTTTGGGAGGCCGAGGTGGGCGGATCACGAAATCAGGAGATCCAGACCATCCTGGCTAACACGGCGAAACCCCGTCTCTACTAAAAATACAAAAAATTAGCCGGGCGTGGTAGCGGGCGCCTGTAGTCCCAGCTACTCAGGAGGCTGAGGCAGGAGAATGGCGTGAACCCGGAAGGCGGAGCTTGCAGTGAGCCGAGATCGCGCCACTGCACTCCAGCCTGGGCGACAGAGCGAGACTCCATCTCAAAAAACTAAAAACTAAAAACTAAAAAAAAAAAAGAAAAAGAAGGGGTTTCACCATGTTGGCCAGGCTGATCTTAAATCCCTGGGCTCAAGTGATCCGCCTGCCTCGGCCTCCCAAAGCGCTGGGATTACAGGCGTGAGCCACCGCACCCAGCCAGTACAACAATATTTAACATGCTCAGTGCTGAGCAACAGACCCCTATGTCACATAGTCCCTCCTACCTGCTCAGACTGCACACACAGCAAACTCCAAAAGCCCTGGGATAAGGGAGCCACCAGGGCCGGTCAGGAACACGCAGAAGGAGGACCCAACTGGGGCCAGGTGCGGTGGCTCACGCCTGTAATCCCAGCACTTTGGGAGGCCGAGGTGGGTGGATTACCTGAGGTCAGGAGTTCGAGACCAGCCTGGCCAACATGGCAAAACCCCGTCTCTATTAAACATACAAAAAAAATTAGCTGTGCGTGGTGGCAGATGCCTGTAGTCCCAGCTACTCTGGAGGCTGAGGCAGAAGAATTGCTTGAACCCAGGAGGTGGAGCTGAGTGAGCTGAGATCACGCCACTTCACTCCAGCCTGGGTGAAGGAGCGAGACTCCATCTCAAAAAAAAAAAAAAAGAATGACCTAAATAATAGCAGAAGGAGAAGGAGGCAAGGGAAGGCAGAAGAGATAGAGAGCATGCCCAGAAGAGGCAGCGGGGGAACCTGACAGCGCCGGACAGCCAACTATTCAGACACTCCAGTAGTCTTGCTAAAGAATTCTGAACTAAAATAATATGACCAATAATAAAGAATGCCCTGATCAAATCTATGTTCCTTGCATCCAAGAATTCCAAACACCATGCCCCACACAAATCGCTCATGCCCCCTCTTCCCTGGGACATTCTGGTAGAAGCGTCAGACGGTCAGGTGAATCGTCAAAGCCACTGTGTCCCAAAGAGGAACTCTCCTCCCACTCAACAGAACCAGCCTCCCGGACACCCCCAGGGATCCAGGGCACAGCACCCTCCTGGCCACCCTCTCACCTTTGACTCCTCCCCTGGAAGGGCACCAAGAAGCAGTCACCAAATCCCATCAATGTTCCTGCCTACCTGATGTCTAGCCATCAGTTCCCATCACCAAAACTCTTTTCCCAATTCAAGCCCTTCTGTGGGCATTTCTTACATAGTCTTCCCATTAGAGAGCAAAGACCAAAGGAGATTAAAAAGGAAAAGTACAGAATGTTTTTCTTGATTACTTTGTCTTCTAAAAATTTAGAGCAGGAGAAAGAGAAGAAGAGGAGAGTGAGATCAACATTAAAAAGGCAGAATCAAAGCCTGGTGTTCCAGGGCACCTTGTATTTCTGCAACTGTATCTCTATATTCCCACATTTCCCTAAAGTCCAATGATCTTAATCATTGCCCCTCACCCCCTCCCCGCATTGCGTAGGGAACTGAGGATAAAGCCAGGGTCCACACCTGAGAGCAGGTCAAACCCACCACAAGGGCAAACAGCAAACTCTGGCAGGAAAGGGTTAATAACCCCAAAGTATGAAATGCTTCTATCAATCTCTAAGGAACAATAAGGCTCAAAGAGGGAAAGGAACAGAGACATGAAAGCAATGACAATAGAGGAAATAAAAGGAGCTAACCCACAGCCTGCAGGTATAAAGACCTGTGCTTTGGGACCACACTGACCTGGGTGAGTCTGGCTGCACTCCTAGTGAGGAGTGGACTCTGTGCCATGACTCTGCCCTGCTGAGCCCGTTTCCTAATCTGTATAATGGCAATAACAGCATCTGCCTCCCTGGGTCCTCATTAAATTAAATGAGGTAGGGTGGGAAGAGCTGACGGCCCAGGTGCTCAAGAAATGTGATGGAGTCCACTCAGTAGCCTGAAAAGAGCACAGTTTGGTTTGGGATTGGACAGCCCAAAGCTCAAATCCTGGCTGGACCACCTACCAGCATGTGACCAAACCTCTCTGTCCCTCCGTTTATTTGTCTGTAAATCAAAGATAATATCCCAACATGAGAGAACTGCAGTTACGCTGGCAGAGAACGATGGCTGGAGAGCACCTCACACAGCACTGGGACACGGTGGAAGCTATGATTGCAGATAACCTCTCTGGTGGTTAAGAACGTGAGTGCTAGAGCTTCATGCTGTCGGGATGGACAAGGCACCGGGGCAGGAGCCTCGGCTCAGGCAGAAGGCTGGCACGCACCCGTGGGGAGCTAAGTGGCATACAGGCAGTGGGGCCAAGGACAGCTGCAAGTCCTGTGCATTGTCAGGCAGTGATACTCCCCGACAGACTTTGAAAAGCTGCAAGCTGCCTCTGATGGAGTCTTAGGCACTGAGTTCAACGTGGGCTTGCTCAGCAAGAACTCTCAAGATCACCTCAAAAACACTTCCTGAGCACCAGCCAGTCCAGTGTGTACCTCACCTGATTTGGTTCTTCAGAGAATAAAATCCTCAGATGACATGTTTAGCTACAGTTTTGTAGAAATGGAAACTGAGGCTCAAAGAAGTCACAAGAACTATCACATTGTTGGTCTAAAATGCAAAGCTAGGTCTCCGGGACTCCAAAGCCAGTGCTATTTCCCAGAGCCCACATTTCTGAGGTGGGGGACCCCACAAACACCCAACTCAGCAAGAAGCAAGGCCAAGGAGAGGAGAGAAAGGCAGGCTAGATGGATGGGGAGTTGACCCTGCCAATGGAGGTAGAGACTCAGGACATGGGCAGGGCCTCACAAGCCAGAGGCTACTGGATGGCTCAGCCAGAGTGCTGGCACCTCCAGCAGGAGAGCAGCCGGCTGAGCACACTCCCCTCCCTCCACCCCAGTGCTCGGCAGCTCAGGCCTGACCCCTGTACAAAGAATGCACACGGACCTGGAAGTTCACTGTCGGACTCCGGGCTGTGATTACCCCACCTCAGAGGAGCTCTGGCCAGTCCGGGGGGAGGCAGAGGCTGCGTACCTTGTCGGGCTCCCTCATGCTTCCCTGCCTTGCCCCCTGCTGTATCCCCTTGGCCTGGTCACTCTGCTCAAACATCATCCTGTGGCTTTCCTGAGCCCCTCGCCCAGCCCAGGCAGAAGTGACTGGCAGTGACCATGTCACTGATCCCCCTACTCTACCTTGTACAAGCTTCTGGCACTGCCCAAGCGACCCTTGTACAAGTGAGTAAGTTCAAATCGAGAGACAGGGTTGTGTCGCCATCACCACAGTCAAGACACAGACCAGTCCCAAGTGCCCACACCAAGCTTCCGGTGCCTCTTCAGTCAGTGCCCTCACCCCCCACCCCCATGTAAATGTGTGTTTATGGTAAATACACATAAAATGTACCATCTTAACTATTTGTAGGTATACAGTTCAGTGGCATTAGATACATTCACATTGTTGTGCAACCATCTCGACCATCCATCACCAGAAATTTTTCATCTTACAAAACCGAAACTCTATGTCCATTAAACACTAACTCCGGATGCCTCCTCCCCCAGCTCCTGGCAACCACCATCCTACATTCTGTCTCTTTGAATTTAACTACTCTAGGAATCTCATGTAAGGGTAATCATTTGGTAATTGTCTTTTTGTGACTATCTTATTTCACTGTGCACAATGGCCTCAAGGTTCATCATGTGGTAGCCCGTGTCAGGTTTCCACCCTTTTTAAGGCTGAATAATACTTTATTCTATGTATACATTACATTTTGCTTAGCCTTTCATCCCTTAGTTTGTTCCCAAGTTTTAGCTATTATGAATAATGCTGTTATGAACATGGGTATACAAATATCTCTTTGAGACTCTGCTTTCAATTTTGGGAAATATATTCCAAGAAGCGAAGTTGCTAAATCACATGGTAATTCTATCTGTAATTTTTTGAGAGATTTCCATACTGTTTTCCACAGCAGCTGCACTGTTTTTACATTCCAACAAACAGTGAACAAAGGTTCTAATTTCTCCCATCCTCAAAGTATGTTGTCTTTTGTGTCTGGCTTCTTTAATACGACCTTGAGATTAGTCCAGGTTGTTGCCTGCATCACTTTTTCATCCTTTTTCATTGCCAAGTAGTATTCCTTTGTATGGATATACCACAATTTGTTTAGCTATTCACCAGCTAATGAGCATTTGGGCTGGTTCCAGTTTGGGGCTTGCTATGCTTTCAATGTTCCCTCCAGAAATACATGTTGAAACTTAATCCCCAATGTGGCACTGCTGAGAGGTGGGGCCTTTAAGATGTGATTGGACCATGATGGCTCTGCTCTCATGAATGAATTAAAGAGTTAATGGATTAATGGGTTATGATGGGAGTAGAACTGGTGGCTTTATAAGAAGAGGAAAAGAGTCCTGATCATAGTACATTAGCAAACTCGGCCCCTTGCCATTGATACCCTGTGCCACCTTGGGACTCTTCAAAAAGTACCCACCCAGCAAGAAGGCCCTCACCAGATGCAGCCCCTTGACCTTGGCCTTCTCAGCCTCCAGAACTATAAGAAATAAATTCCTTTCCTTATAAATTACCCAACTTCAGGTATTCTGTTATAAGCAACAGAAATCAGACTAAGACAGGGCTATTACAAATAAAGCTGCTATGAACATGTGCATACCTGTCTTCAGATAGACATAGGTTTCATTTTTCTTGGAATAGGATTGCTACCTTTTATGGTAAGTTGATATGGTCTGGCTGCATTTCCACCCAAATTTCATCTTAAATTGTAGCCCCCATAATTCCCACACGTTGTAGGAGGAACCCAATGGGAGATAAATTGAATCTTGGGGACTGTTTCCCCCATACTGTTCTGATGATAGTTAATAAGTCTCATGAGACCTGACAGTTTCATAAGAGGTTTCCCCTTTCACTTGGTTCTCATTCTCTGTTGCCTACCCCCAAGTAAAAAGTGCCTTTTGCCTTCTGCCATGATTGTAAGGCCTCCACAGCCATGTGGAACTGTGAGTCCACCAAATCTCTATTTCTTTTTTTTTTTTTCTTTTTTTTTTGAGACAGAGTCTCACGCTGTCGCCCAGGCTGGAGTACAGTGGCGCGATCTCGGCTCACTGCAAGCTCCGCCTTCCGGGTTCACACCATTCTCCTGCCTCAGCCTCCCGAGTAGCTGGGACTACAGGCACCCACCACCACGTCCAGCTAATTTCTTGTATTTTTAGTAGAGACGGGGTTTCACCATGTTAGCCAGGATGGTCTCAATCTCCTGACCTCGTGATCTGCCGGCCTCGGCCTCCCAAAGTGCTGGGATTATAGGCGTGAGCCACCGCACCCAGCCTAAACCTCTTTTTCTTTATAAATTACCCAGTCTCGGGTATGTCTTTCTCAGCAGCATGAAAGCAGACTAATATATAAGTGTACCTTCAACATTGTAAGAAGCCAGCAAACTATTTTCCAAAGTAGCTGTACCATTTTGCATTCCTACTAATGATGTATCAAAGTTCCAGCTGCTTCACATCCTTATCAGCACTTGGGATTGTCTTTTTAATTTTTACCATTCTAGTGGGTACGTAGTAGTGTCTCATTGTGATTTTAATTTGCATTTTCCTAGGAACTAGTGATATTAAGCATCTTTTCATACATTTATTGACCATTTTTATACATTCTTCTGTTAAAGTATCTTTCAAACCTTTTGCTCATTTTAATTAGTTTTGTCTGCCTTACAGACTACGAGTTCCTTCAGAACAGGTCTCAAGGACCCCTCAATGCCTAATTCCTGGGAGTACCATTCCCATAGAGGATATGTGAGTAGTGCTGTGTGGCCACCTAACGGCTCATGCCTTGGCCATTGCACGCAGCCCAGATAGGGCCTCACACACAGCAGGCACTTCAGAGATGTTCATGGCCACATCAGCAAGCACAGATGGCCAGTAGCACTAGGGAGAGATTGAGTGGGGCTGGACAGCCACAGGGACCAGCCTGAGCTTCTGTATCCTCACTTGGAAAGCAGAGATAATAAGCCCACCTTGCAGAGCTTTTGTGAAGAATAAACTAAAGAATGGGTGTGAAGCACCTGACTGAGCAGGTCTACAGAAATGATAGTTATGACCAGACCCTATCTTATTCCCCTGCAACTGCATGAGGGATTAGATCCAATCCCTCCTCATGCATTTAATTCTCCCAGATACTATTAAAAGTGATAAAATGTTCAGGGAAAGAAGGTGAAGACTGACAGAGGGAGAATGGAAGGGGAAGAGAGGAGAGGGAAAGAAGGAAAAAACAGATGGTGGAAAAGAGTAAAGTCCCCTGCCATATGCCAGGTATGTTCCCAATCCTCCTCTATGAAAACTCTACGAGCATGCTACCAAATAGGTCTGTGGGGACCATTTTCATGTAATATATAATATAGGAGGCAATGGTGACTCAAGATACTTGCCAAGGTCCCAGGGCTGTTAGACAGCAGGACCAGGACTTCACCCAGTTCTGCTTCCCCCCAGGGCCCCTTTTCCCTGCATTACCTGAGCCTGGTTCCCTGTGGGGCTCTCTCCCCGAGGAAGGGTCTTCCCAAGATGCTTCCAGGAACCTGGCTAGCCCTGAACAAGCCCCTTGCACCAACTCAGAAACAAAAACAGGCAGAATTCAAAAGATGCTTCTCTCTACCACCACAGGAGGAAATTGAAGATTACAGACCCAGGGCTGCACGTAGGAAACCTGCAGAGTTTTCATGTCCCTGAGCCTGTTATGTTCACCATTCCTCTTCCCCTAGAAACAAACATGGATGGAATGCCTGCAGGTCCCTAAGGTAAAAGCCAAGCCCTCACCAGTCCCAGGGGCTTCCTCTCTGAACTATTTCTCTAAATCTGTCCCTTCTCATCCCTACAGCCTGGACTGCACTAGGACAGCACCTAATGAAACTCTCCTGCCTGCACTTTTGTCCCTCCAAAAAGTGTTCTCTTGCTTATTCTTTATACTTCAAAAATTACTATAAAGCTGTAGTAATCAAGGCAGTGTGGTACTGATAAAGAATAAACAAATAGAGCAATGGAACAGACCAGACAGTTCAGGAGTGAACTGATGCATAATTTTCAAGAAAAGAGCCAAAGTAACTCAATGGAGGAAGAAAAGGTTCTTCTAACAAATGAGGCTAGAAAAACTGGATATCCACGTGCAAGAAAAAAACATTCTCCATCCCTACTTCATACCATACACAAACTTATTAGAGATAGACAGTAGACCTAACAAAAGCAAGAAATATAAACCTTTAAAAAAAAAAACAAAAAAACTTAGGAGATTTTCTTTGGACCTTAAAGTAGGAAAACATTTCTTAAGAGAAGATACAAAAAGCACTTCCGATAAATGTAAAAATAATGGCAAATAAAACTCCAATAAAATCACAAACTTCTGTTCATCAAAAGATAAAAGACAAATAGGTAAGCAGAAATTGGGAGAAAATATTCACAACATACACACACACACATATATACAACAAAAGACAAATATCCAGAATATATAAAGAACTCTTACATTCCAGCAACAAAAAGACAATAAACCCTATTTATGTATTTACTTACCTATTTATTTATTTTTAGAGAAACTGTTTCACTGATGCCCAGGCTGGAGTGCAATGGCATGTTCACAGCTCACTGCAGCCTTGAATTCCTGGGCTCAAGTGATCCTCCCACCTCAGCCTCCTGATTAGCTGGGACCAAAGGCATCCACCACCATGCCCAGCTGGTTTTTTTTTGTTTTTTTTTTTTTGTAGAGCTGGGATCTCACTATGTTGTATGTTGCCAAGGATAATCTTGAACTCCTGTCCTCAAGCAGTCCTCCCACCTCAGACTCCCAAAATGCTGAGATTGAAGGCATGAGCCACCACACTCAGCCCCCAATTTATTTTTTATTTTTAATTTTTTTTGAGACCAAGTCTCACTCTGTTGCCCAGGCTAGAGTTCAGTGGTGCAATTTCAGCTCACTGCAACCTCTACTCCCAGGTTCAAGCGATTCTCATGCCTCAGCCTCCTGAATAGCTGGGACTACAGGCATGAGCCACCAAGCCTGGCTAATTTTTTTTTTTTTTCTAAGTTTCAGTAGAGACAGGGTTTCACCATGTTGGCCAAGCTGGTCTTGAACTCCTGACCTCAGGTGATCCACCCGCCTTGGCCTCCCAAAGTGCTGAGATTACTGTCGTGAGCTACCACCCAGCCCCCAATTTATTAAAATAGCCCAAAGACTTGAATAGACACATCTCTAAAGATGACACAAATGGCCAATAAGCACAAGAAAAAATGCCCAACATCATTGGTCATCAGGGAAATGCAAATTAAGGGAGATACCACTGCATATCCTCTAGGGAAGGCAAAATGAAAGACTGACAACACCAAATGCTGGTGAGGACAGAGAGCAAGCAGAATTCTCTGACGTTGCTGATGGGAATGTAAAATGATACAAACTACTCTGGAAAGCTATTTGGAAGTTTCTTAAAAAGATAAACATAACTACTCTATAACCCAGAAATTCCACTCCTATGTACTTATTAACCCAGAAGAAATGAAAATAAATATCCACAAAAAGGCTTGTACGGGAACATTCACTGCAGCTTTATTCCCAATAACGAAAAACTGGAAATAGACTATGGCTGTATCCACGCAACAGAAAGAAACAAACTACTGAATCTCAGAAGCTTTATGTTGAATAAAGGAAACCAGACACAAAAGAATTATATGATGTTCTATAGAAGAAGAAACTCATCTATGGTGACATCAAGACTAGTGGTTGCGGCCGGGAGTGGTGGCTCACGCCTGTAACCCCCAGCCCTTTGGGAGACCGAGGTGGGCAAATCACTTGAGGTCAGGAGTTCCAGACCAGCCTGGCCAACATGGTGAAACCCCGTCTCCACTAAAAATACAGAAATTAACCAGGTGTGGTGGTATCCCCCTGTAATCCCAGCTACTCGGGAGGCTGAGGCAGGAGAATTGCTGGAACCTGGGAGGAGGAGGTTGCAGTGAGCCGAGATCGTGCCATTGCCCTCCATCCTGGGCAACAAGAGCAAGACTCCATCTCAAAAACAAACAAACAAAAAAAGACTAGTGGTTGCTTGGGGTGAGGAGCAGGGATGGGATAGTAAGGGGCAAGAGAAAACTTTCTGGGCTGATGAAAAAGTTCTGTATATTGTTAGGAGTGTGGGTTATGTGAGTGGTCAAACTCTACACTTAAGGTCTATGCATTTCAGCATGTATATAGTACGCCAAAAAAAAAAAAAAGAAAGAAAGAAAAAACCTGTCTCCTGGCAGCTGCCAGAGATCTTTCTTTCTGAAAGGCTAATTAGCCAGCCTTGTTATCTTCCTGTCCCTCAACATTTCCAAGATAAAGTCCTGACAGCTTCCCACTACTCAAAGGCCCTTCATCACAGACCTCCAGCACCCCATGCCCCTCCCCAAACTCAGTGCTCACCTGGTCACAAAGGGTGGGTCACACCTGTGTCACTGTACCAGCTGTCCTTTCTACAGGGCACCTCTGCTCACCCTACAAGACCCAGCTCAAAACATCTCCTCCTTCAGGAAGCCTTCCCACAATCCCTGGGGCTGGGGTAGATGCACCCCCTCTGAAACCCTCAATACTCAAGGCTTACTTCCATCACAGCACCTAGACCCATTCCTACAGGAATCCGTTTTCCACTGCCAGGACTGCATGAAATCCTCAAGAGGAAAGAACATGTCATATTGGACTTTGCATGCCTAGCAAACAGCACAAAGTTTGGCATAAACATCTAGGTAAACTGATGACCAGCCTAATAGTAAAAAAAAAATTAATAAGCAATAATAATAACCCTAAGGGGCAGAGAAATGGTAGCCACTCCTGAAGAAGAGGCCCACCAGCAGGGACACAAGGAGAATATCTAACACTAAGAAAGAAGCCAGTTAGAGCCCTACAAGAAGTCTTGGGGCTGAATTAAAATGCCCTCCAGCAATGCCAGGACACCCCAAGCTCTCCTGGTCCTTGGCTCCAGGTCCCATGGCTGAGCTGGTCCTCTTTTCCCCCACTGCCCACTATGGGATGCTGCCCCTTTCTTATTCAGACAACCCGCAGCTTCCACTGGCATCCTCTAAGGCCAGGTCCCTACCCCACCCATCCTGCCTTGATCAGACTGTGTTGAACACAAAGGCATCCGATTCCAGAGTTCCACCTTTTGCAGCTCCATGTATTACATGATTTAAAATAACTCAAAAGATTTGAAACCAGTATATTGAAAGGAATGACTGAACCATGTTCACTGTTGTGCTATTCACAATAGTCAAGTATGGAATCGGCCTCAGTGGCCAACAACACATGAATGATTTTTTTAATGTGGGACATATACACAACGGAATATTATTCAGCTGTAAAAAAGAAATGTTGTCGTTTGTGACAACATGGATGAAACTGGAGAACACTGTCCTAAGTAAAATATGCCAGCACAGAAGGACAAACACTGCATGTTTTCTCTTACATGTGAACTCTAAAACAATGGAGCTCAAAGAAGCAGAGAGTAGAATGGTGGGTACCAGAGCCTGAAGGTGTAGGAAGAAATGATGATCAAAGGCTACAAAGCCTCAATTAGACAAGAGGAATCGTTTTTTTCTTTGAGACATATTGCACAGCATGGTGAATACAGTAATAACGTACATTTCAAATTTGCTAAGAGTAAATTTTAAATGTTTACTTACCACAAAATGATAACTATTTGAGCTGATGGATATGTTAATTAGCTTGATTTAATTATTCCACATTATACTCATAAATCATAACATCACATTATACCCCGTAAAGAAACAAATATGTCGTTACAGTTTTTTTAATTTAAAAAAAGATTATGTTACCCAATTTTAAGTCCGTGTTTTTCTATAAATATGCCAAGCATTATCTTTATAAGTAAACTCAATCATCTATATATTTTGTGTTCCTTGAAAAAAAAGGAGGCAACTTTAAATCTGTAAGATGTTTAAAATGTCTATTTTGTTTTGCTCTGCTTTTTCTTTTCTCTTTTAAAAAAAAATTACTCGGCCAGGCACAGCGGCTCACGTCTGTAATACTGGCACTTTGGGAGGCTGAGGCAGGCGGATCACCTGAGGTCAGGAGTTGGAAACCAGCCTGACCAACATGGTGAAACCCCACCTCTACTAAAAGTACAAAATTAGCGAGGCGTGGTGGCGCATGCTTATAATCCCAGCTACTTGGGAGGCTGAGGCAGGAGAATCGCTTGAGCCCAGAAGGCAGAGGTTGCAGTGAGCCAAGATCACACCATTGTGCTCCAGACTGGGCAAAGAGCAAAACTCCGTGCCAATAAATTAATTTAATTTAATTTTTAAAAATGACTTATTTAAAAAAAATTACTCGGCTGGGCACAGTGACTCAAGCCTATAATCCTAGCATTTCAGGAGGCCGAGGCCAGTGGATCTCTTAGGCTGAGTTCAATACCAGCCTGGTCAACCTGGTGACACCCCATCTCTACAAAAAATACAAAAATTAGCCAGGTGTGGTGGTGCACCCCTGTAGTCCCAGCTATTCAGGAGGCTGATGTGGGAGGGTGGCCTGAGCCTGGGAGTCTCTGCCTTTCCATCCACAAATGCTTTCAAGAAGAGAGTGGATGACAATGTACTGAGCTGTACACTGGGAAGTCTGGTTCTGGGAAGGGAAGAGACAAACCCCATTTCCTGAATGCCATCAGCAGCCACCTGTGGCAGGACTGTGTCTCCTTTGCCGGTGAAGGGACTGGGGTCCCAAGGGTTCTGTGACTTCCCTTAGGTCAGGAATCTGGTGAGAGGCAGATCTCTGGAGCCAGAGCACGTGCTCTTTCTACCCTCCTAAATGTTCCAGCCCTTAAAGTTGATGCCTGCCCTTGAGAAATTGCAAATCAGTGAAACTTTAACAGGGTAAACAGCTGAGAAGAGAGGGAAAACTTAACTCTAGGCTAAATCTCTTTTACGTAATTAAATCAGCCCATCTTGGTGCAGAGTTTTTCAGAGGCTGTATGCTTGAAACTATCTACAAAGGGAAATGCAATTAAGGAGACTTTTTAATATATCTGATTCTTGACTGCCCTTGCTCTAGGCAAGAGCTTAATTCTACTTAACAATAGCTATCTTGCAAAAGTTATGTAAATTGCAAGGTATGGGGAGAAAAGAAACAGGAATCCTTTCACCGGAGGCAAATGAGAAGCCCACTGAGAAGGGAGCACTGCGGTAAGACGGCTCCAATTCACACAATGACCATCTCAGCTCATTTGCCACCTACAGCTGTGCCCTGTAGACCACATGCAACTCCACCTCCTTATCATTCATTGTACTCCCTTTCCTAAATTAACCAAAACAGGAAACTCTTTTCAGAAATTAGCTGACCATGAGTTGACAGTAACACATTTTAAAATATGATCTTTTCTCATTTGGTACAGCTGGAAATTGAAGGAAACTTCAACATATGTCCAGGGTTCTTTTTTAAAACTCTTGGGTAAATTCCAGAAGTGGAGAAGTGGGCAACTCATTCTCTCTATATAAGCAACAACGTGGGAGGAGGAAGGCACCAATCGAAAAGATATTTCACGTTTATCAAAATGGAGTCACTCATGTCAAACTCTAACAAAATGGAGCCAGAGGATAGGAAGGAAGGGCCCTCATGCAAGTATGCCTATGACAGGAACTATGCCAGGAATTCCTTAGAGCCTGTTACTTGCACAGGACACTTGCCTGGTGCACCTGTCTCCAATGGACTAATGCCAGCTCCTGCAATAAACCTCTGAAACCAATGGTCTTTGTTTCAAAACCGCTTAGGTGGACTTCCCTTTTGGGTCTTTAAAAGTTTCCATTTGCCCCAACTTCTTTGGACGTACCTATGATCCAGCATAGCGCATGTATCTAAATTGCAATCCCCTATTATTCCCAAATAAACTACAGTTTCAGGATCCCATATCCAAAATGCTTGGGACCAGAAGTTTTAGAATTCCAGATGTTTTTGGATTTTGGAATATTTGCATATACATAGTGAGATAACCTGAGGATGGGACCCAAGTCTAAACATGAAATTTATTTATGTTTGATGTGCACCTTATACACACAGTCTGAAGGTAATTTTACAATATTTTTAATTTTGATCATGAAACAAAGTGTACAATGAACCATCAGAAAGCAAAGGTGTCACTATCTCAGCCACACATATGGGCAATCTGTGGTTGTCTGGCATCGCCATCATTCCCGACTCTGAATTTCTATGCTACCAATAAGACAATCACTTTCTTACATTTATTTACACATAAGTCCTTACCAGTAAAAAATATGACACACCATTAATACAGTGAAAAACAAGGTGTTCAAGGTACCTAAGCGGCACAGCAGCATCACCAGAACACATGCATCAGCTGCTAAACAACAGAACAATAAACAACGGCTGGCTTTAAGTCTGCTGTTCAGCCTGCATTTCTTTCTGAGTGTTAACAGCATCGTCTTTACAGTTGTGCAACTGTTGTTTTGTTTTGTTTTTTGAGAAAAATAGAGATGGGGTTTCACTACACTGCCCAGGCTGGTCTTGAACTCCTGGACTCAAGGGACCCTCCCGCCTCAGACTCCCAGAGTGCTGGGATTACAGGCGTGAGCTACTGCGCCCGGCTATGGAACTGCATTTCTGCTGAGAACCTTCACGAGGTCAGATAGAAAATTTTCCACTGTGGCCTCATGTCAGTGCTCAAAGTTTCAGACTTTGGAGCATTTCCGATTTCGGATTTTTGGATTAGGGATGCTCAACCTGTATTTGGAGAGCAAGTCTCTCCGGTGCTCATTTTAGGCTAACCTAAGACAGCACACCTGAATCAGCTGGGCACCACAGCTAATCAGCGCACCTGTGGTCACAGCTACTTGGCAGGCTGAGGCGGGAGGTTTACCTGAGGGCGGGAGGCAGAGGTTGCAGTGACCCGAGATTGCACCATTGCACCCCGGCCTGAGTGATAGTGCGGGACTCTGTCCCAAAAAATTAAAAAAATTAAATTAAAAAAAAGCACGCCTGATATAGTTCGGGTCTCCTGACCCAATATTCGGCTCTGGGCCCACTCTGTCACTCCAGGACACATTCTCCCACATCTAGCACCGCAGCAGGTGGAGGCAGGACTACGACTGGGACTGCTCTTTACCCCTGCCTGGCGTGCAGAGGGGATCCTTGCAAAGCTGTTATTTGAACTAAAGTCAGGAAAGGTGTCCCTGGGGGTTAGAGGTAGGACACGCTACTTCCTTCAGCATGGGGACACACACTACAGATGTTTCAGTAGATGAACTGGTAGGCTCGGAAGATAAAGCTGGTGAGAGGCAGCTGTGCGGGGCATCTCCAAAAGGTCACTTGGACTCCAGCAAAAAAAGCCAGACTGATGGGCAGGCGTGATCAGTTAGCGCGTTCGTTCTTTCATTCACTAAGTATATAGTGAACACTTACATGAGCCAAGCCCTATTCTAAGAAGATGGAGGTACAAGTCAGGCGAGCACGCAGGAGTTTGGATTTTAGCCCAAGTTGGAGGAAGTTAATTTTTAAAGCCCCAGCTCTGTCGTTTTTAAACTGTGTAAAGTTGACCTCTCTGAACTTCTGTTCCTCATAATAAATGACCTACAAATTAGAGTTCTCAAGAGAGCTGAGCAGCAAAACGTGTTAAGTCAGTGCCCAAATGTGGAAGCTTGTGGTAATTACAGGTGAAGGACCCCAAGCTCAAGGTTAAATGACTTGCACCGGGTGTCAAGTGGAAGATCTGTCACTCTATTAGGTCCAGCCGGCGGCCGGGAAGCCTGCAGGAGGTACTCATTTCGCCAAGGAGGAATCCGAGGCCAGGCAAGAAGGAAGCCCCGCCAAGGTCCAGTCAAAGAGCTGGCATCGCCGGGATTCGAACCTCGCGCCCACTGCGTTCCGTCGCTGGCCCGCGCCCCAACGCCACCCATTGCCGTGGAAACGGCCGGGCGCATGCTCTCCCACTCGCTCCCGCCTTGCTTTTTTTTTTTTTTTGCGGCGGGATACCCCAGCGACTGAACGTGAGCCGCAGAACGCAACTACGTTCGCTCTCCTCCCCAGACCCGGATCCCTCCGCGGCCGGCGGCCGGCGGCCGGCGGCCGGCGCACTGCTTCCCGACTCGACGCTCGAAACGGCTTTCCGCGCGCCGCGCCGCGCCCCACCCCCACCCCGTCTCACCCCAACCCCCAGCCCGGCTCACCTGCCGCCCGCGTCTCCATGGCAACGCCCCACCGCGGAGGAAAAAAAAGCCTCGGGCTCTTCCGGGCCCCCTCCCGTGCCGACCGAGGGGGCGGGGCGCCCTGCTGACGCTTCGCTTTTTATTTTTATTTTTTTAAGAAAAGAGCCGGCGAGGTTATGGCGAATCTGCGGCATCCAACATGGCGGATGGAGTCTTCGCCCTCCTCCCCACGGGGCGCAGACGCCTGCGTAGCGGACGTCCGCTTCGGGTGACCCTCCCCCGGCGCCGAGCGCGGCCCGGCAGGGCCGAGCTAACGCGCATGCTCGCAGTCGGAGGCCGTGCTTTTTATCCCACTTCACGGATTCCGCTGCGCCGCGTTTTGAGCCACGCCCAGGGAGGGGCCCTCGGGAGGTCCGGAGCGCGGATCTCGGGGTCAGGAGTCTGGCGGTTGTGCCAGGCCTCTGCTAGCGCGACCCTAGACCCGCGGCATGTGGGGCCGCCGAGCTGGGCGTGCAAGGAGAGTTCTGGGTGCGCTTCGTGTCCCAGCTCTACCTCTCACTACCTAACTTGGGGCAGCGAATTAACTTTTCTTGCTCTCAGTTTACTGATGTGTCCATCGGGGTGCTCCCAACCTGCATCCCGCTCAAAGCTGCGGCGTTTCCCGAAGCGTGGGGTGCTTTCCTTTGGGCCACCCGGCTGGGTTTTAGGGGCTACAGAGCACTGAGCGGCCTACGATCACACGTGACAAGGCGACTTCCTCCTCTCTCGTCTCTTTTTGTCCCACAACAAGTCTGCACTGGATGTGCGCGCCTCCAACACCCGCTCATTCATTTCTCTGCTTGTGGCACAGCCTTCGGCAGGCAGCTGAGTCTGGTGGAAATTTAATGACTTTGTTTTTGGTTTTGATGTTAAGGTGTTTAGCTCCAACACTGTAGTCCTCGGCTCAAATGATATCTTCCAGCCCCTAACCCTCACCCCCCGAAACCCATCTAAAGTAACCCTCCAAGACACTTCATATTTTCTACGTAGCATCCATTCCTATCTGTCATTATCTCCCTCCCTTACCTCTGTCAATGGTCACCCCGTTAGCCTCAGAAACAAACTGAGCCTGACAGTTATTTATTTCATGAGTAATGAGTTGATGTGGTCCATGTTCTAAGGTCATTTTCTGTTCATGACAAATAACGTTTTTCACTTACAGTAGTCATATAAAGTTTTTAAATTGTTCGTTTACATTTTCAAAAATCAGTCAACTTAAAATGGTGTACATGCTGCAAAGACATGCCCCCCCCCCCCCAAAAAAAAAAAGTGTAAAAGCAGACTTCAGGAGACTGAAGTTTGGGAAACTGATTTGTGTTCATGGTTCCCCTGAAATGCTAGTCTTTGCCTGTTCTTCTTTTCCTGGAATAACCCTCTTTGGTTGCTGCTCAACATGAAATTCTCGGACAGCCCTGAAGTTCACACTTCATGTTCCCACAGCTCTGGTCTCACTGGCCTAGCTCCATCCCCCACTTCTCTGTTTGCACAGCGTTCATCCTCACTAGACTGAGCTTCCTGAGCAGCCCTTATAGGTCCTTTTCATCTTGTTTTCTCAGCGCCTGTTGCATAGTCATATTACTGAATGAACACTTCGTTCTGGGGTCACTTATTTTTTAGGAGGAAAACTCCCTTGGGCATTGAGCTTCAGGATGACTCATCTGATTTCTCAGGAGACTGCCCGCCTGCTCCTTAACCCTGTTCTTGGGAAATACGGAACCATGAAAAGACCCTAAAGTTGTCCAGTCTGTTAAATATATGCTCACAGATATAGCCTCCCCCTTCTTCATTTCATCCTCGCAATCTGGAAGGTTAAGTTGGGCAATATGATTATTGTCCTTTTCCAGATGAGAAAATGGAATGTTCAGAGTGGTCAAATGGCTTTCTGAGATTACACAGCAAAATAGTGAAGAGCCAGGTGTGGATCTCGCCTCTCCATGCCCAGTGTTCCTCTCCCCACCACATCTAAAATGTACCCAAACTGCCCCCCAGGCCTCCAGGAGAGCCTCCAAGAGAGCCAGTTCCAAGACAGCCACAGAGTCGCTTCACAGCCACCACGTCCTCCACCACAAGATACATGGCTAGGTGGGGCCCATCAGAATCTTTATTTGGAAATGAACTGCTCAAAAAGCTGCATTGATGAGCGTTTCCTTTTAGAACTATAAATATTTACAATAATCATTATTTTGCTGTGAATCGATTTCTGTCAGGAAATTAGAGTTGTTCTGGGTTGCTGACAGTATTGGTTTTGTGCCGGTTTGCCTTTCTCACAGCAGCGTTTAAATGTTGTTTATTGATTAGCAGATGGATTGCTCCTAGATGTTGTGACCAAACGAATTTTGGAAATGAAACAATTTAAAATTTGTCTCAAAACCCAATTACCTCAGACTGCTGAAGACAAATTAAAAGAAGAAATTGTGGACTGTGGATGATGGTTCTGGGTTAATTATTTGGAAAGCTATGATTTTCTCCACTATTCCCATGGCATTTTCTTCCTCCTACCCATTCATCATTCAGAGAAGAGTTACTGAGCACCTATTATTACTGGAAACTGTCCTGGCCATAGGCAGATGGAAATGACTAAGAGATGGCCCCTTTCTGTGGGGGAATCCAGGTTCGTAAATGGAGAGATGAGTCCACAGCTGGCTCTTCCACGGCCTTACTATGTGATTTGCACATTTTCAATCAGCAAACATCTCTATTCTTTCTATTTGCCAGTAATATTTCAGAATGCCTTCAATTAATGAAGACACATTTGTGGAATTGGATGTAAATCACTCGAAAGTATATAATTAATGGCAAGCTGCCTCGGTGATGGTTCCTAGAAGAGAGCGGCTTCCCAGCTGACCACTGGTGGCAGTTGGCCTCTTGAAGCTAGTATGTGAATTAATTTGTGTCAATAAATTTATCGACATGAAATGGTATTTAGTTATATAAGAAATATAATTTGCACAACTGAATATATTCGTGTCAATAATTTTATCATTATATCCAATATCTTTATGAGAAATAGACATTTACATGAAAACAATAATTTAGGAACATAATTTCACAGGATGCTTTCTTGAAAGAAGGTTTTGATAAAGGATACATACAGGCGACCTCAAAATAATGGATCTTGGCTGGGCATGGTGGCTCATGCCTGTAATCCTAACACTATGGGAGGCCAAGGCTGGAGGATTGCTTGAGCCCAGGAGCTCAAGGCTGCAATAAGCTGTGATCATGCCACTGCACTCCTCCAACCTGGGCAGCAACAAAGCAAGACCCTGTCCCTAAAATTTATTTATATATATATATATATGTATATATGCACACACACACACATATATATATATATGCATATGTATGCACACACACATATATATCTATAAAATGATAAAATCAGAGGTGGGAATAATCAGTTTGGGTTAACAGTTAAAAATCTAAATAGGCACATTGTAGAAAATAATCCACTTAAAAATCATATAAAAGAGAAGGATGTAGTAATGCTAGAACTATATGAGCAATCTCACTATGAACATAATTACAAGATTAGGAAACAGCATCTTTTCCACCTGTCTTTCCAGTGGCCATGGAGTGCCATCACATCCCCGGTCTGCCTGTGCACACCTGTGTGTACTCTCAGTACCCAAGTATTAATCTCCGGAGTGGTTTTCATTAGCAGTAGCCAGGGCCCCTTCAAAGAAGCTAATTCCATGTGTGGGAGTAAGGGAACATCAGAATGGCCTGAAACATATTGCTATTCTCAGAAAACCAGGTTCCTTCCAAAAATGCTGGGTTAGTGCTGAAAGGACAAAGGAAGAGGCAGTGACAATTTGCATATCACAACAACTGTAGATCTATGGTTGTTGATCTACAAGTTGAGCCATGAGGCTTTACTGATAAAAAGTTAACATTGTATATGCAAAAATAGACATATAACTGTGTAATTACAAAACTAGTTACAATTCAAAGAAAGGGTCAAAATAGGATATTTTAGTAAAGAGACAGGTTTGGTAGATATGGGGTCCTATTTCTTACTTGAAGTTCTGTATGTCTGTTTATGAAATGGTATATTTGTGTAAGTTTCGAGGGGCAGATAAGTTTACTAAGAGTAAGTCAAAGACTTCCAGAAGACTAGGAACCATGCCAAAACCAGGAAGGGCAGGTCAGGACCAGTGGTCTCATAAATAACCAGCTAAAAGGGGGGTTCAATAATTTATGTTGGAAGTTAATGGATTAGCCAGATGTCCTAAGGGAGTAGCTGATAGATTAAACTGCTATATGGCCCTGCTAATGTTAATGAAATGCTAATGATGCATAATGAAGGTCATTGTAAACTGTGGCAGAACATCATGGACCCAAGACTTCATGCACATGGGAGTGAAGATTGCAAGAACTTGCTGTAAGTCCTCTTGACTTAATAGTTGAAAATGGTCTGAGGGAGCCCCCACCAGCAAATGCCTGCTGCCACCAAGAACCCACCAGTCCAGGCCCAAGGCTGCCACTCAGTGCACCTGGGAAGGAGATCATCTTTCTCTCTGTGGTCCAATAAGGGCAGTCCTGAAAAAGTATAAAAATATGTTTTGTAGAGATGACAAAGAAATTGGTCAAGTCAATAACAACTCTTTTTTTTTTTTTTTTTTTTTTTTTTTTTTTTTTTGAGACGGAGTCTCACTCTGTCGCCCAGGCTGGAGTGCAGTTGTGCCATCTCGGCTCACTGCAAGCTCTGCCTCCTGGGTTCATGCCATTCTCCTGCTCAGCCTTCCGAGTAGCTGGGACTACAGGCGCCCACCACCACACCCGGCTAATTTTTTTTTTGTATTTTTAGTAGAGACGGGGTTTCACCATGTTAGCCAGGATGGTCTCCATCTCCTGACCTCGTGATCCGCCTCTGTCACCCAGGCCAGAGTGCAGTGGTGAGATCTCAACCCACCGCAACCTCCGCCTCCAGGATTCAGGCCTCCTGCCTCAGACTCTCAAGTAATTGGGATTACAAGCGCTTGCCACCATGCCCAGCCAATTTTTGTATTTTTAGTAGAGAAGGAGTTTTACCATGTTGGCCAGGCTGGTCTTGAACTCCTGACCTCAAGTGATCTGCCCACCTCAGCCTCCCAAAGTGTTGGGATTACAGGCATGAGCCTCCATGTCCAGTGTAATAACAACTGTTTTTACAAAGTTAAGGTATGGGTGCAGTAGGTTTAGGTATGGTGCAGTAAAAACTTTTGTGTTAAATTTTAAGGTATTTGAAGCATTTCGAAGTTACATTCGACAGTTACATTGAAACAAGATAATTTGACTGTGTAAATGTTTAGGAAAATTTTATTTTGAAAGTTTTAAGTTTTGATTTATCAGTTGTATTTAAATCGTTTAGGAAAGGCCGGGTGCAGTGGTTCACACCTGTAATTCCAGCACTTTGGGAGGCCGAGGCAGGAGGATCACAAGGTCAGGAGTTCAAGAGCAGCATGGCCAAAATGATGAAGCCCCAACTCTACCAAAAATATAAAACATTAGCTGGGTGTGGTAGCATGCACCTGTAATCCCAGCTACTTGGGAGGCTGAGGCAGGAGAATTGCTTGAACCCAGGAGGTGGAGGTTGCAGTGAGCCGAGATCACGCCATTCACTCCAGCCTGGGCGACAGATTAAGACCTGTCTCAAAGAAAAAAAATAGTTTAGGAAAAGGGTGACTATATTTATAACCAATTTTCTTTAAATCAACTATGAATAAGAGTAACAGGGCCATGAAAAAAGGGGCAGGGAGTGGGATTTGGATCCCAGCAAAGAAACGGAAAACCAGGAGAGCTACCAGAGCCTAGCACTGTTGGGTGCACAGCTGGGACCCAATAAACCGTTGTTGAAGAAAAGGATAAGGGGTAGAGGGAGGGAAAGATGCAGTAAGGGATTGAGGAAAAGGAATAATACGTAATTAAGCATTTATTTGTAGCTGTCACATAAACAGCACTGCTTTGGATGTTCAGAAGAGAAAATAACTATTTCAAATAAAGGATGGCATCTGGTGTCCACGACTAGAGGGCTGGTTAAACGGATAGTTCAGCCATACAGGGAAATATGACGTGGCAGTTTGAAAGAATGAGAGTGCCACGTGCAGAGACCCGGGGTGTGCTCTGCAGTGCATCCTTGAGTGAAAAGAGCCAGGTGCAGGACAGCATCGGGAGCACACTGTCGCTTGTGAACACGGTTGTACCTGCACAGAAAAGCTGAAAATGTGGAAAGAAACCGGCTAGAGCAGACAGCTTTGGAGACAATGTCTGGGCCTGGAGATCTGGCTCACAGGGAGACTGACTTCACTGAACATCCTTTTGAAATATTGGGATGTTTAACCATATGCATATACTGCCTTTTCAGAGAAGAAGGGGGAGGATTTGGAAGCCCAATCTCCAGGTCTGGTCCTCCTTTTATTACTCAGTAGCTTTGACTTTGGACAACTTACTTATCTGCAATGTGCTTCCCTTCTCTGGGCAATGAAGGTGTTGAGCCCCACATCAGGGGTTGGTGGAAGGGAAATGAGACAAGAAAATGCAGTTGAGTGCCACGGGTGGGGGCGAATCAAGTGGTTTCAGCCCCTTTGGGGACCAAAGAAGCCCAGCAGCAGCAGCAGCGAGGGTGAGAGCCAACATACAGGGTGCTGTTTGATTTAAGGGCTGCCGCCAGCTCGCTGCAGAACTCGAAAAAGTGACCTTAAAGTCTCTGGATTTCAGTTCTTTCATCTGTAAAAGGGCACTGGTGGGGAGTGGCAATGACACTAGATGGTTCACTTCAGCTAAAAACAGACATAAAACATGATTTTAATATTGGTTGGAAATGACTCAGTGCAGTAACAGAGGCAGAAAAAAAGCCCCCAAGGGAGTTTGCAGCACAGAACCATCGCTTCCAGCTGTGAATGTGCAGAGGGGAAGAGGACGTTGCAGAAAGGAGAAACTGGTGGTCTCTTTACCTAAATCACCCAGACCCTGGTGCCAGGCAAATGTTCACTCTTTCAGCCGTTTTTGGAAAGGCCAACAGAAAGGAGAGGTACCTAGACAGTCTGTACAATGGTGGCCCCCAATGAACTATGCCTCCTTGTAATCATGTCCTAGTGTAATCCCCTCTGACACTGACTTTGGGATTGACCATGTGACTTGCTTTCGCCATGGAACACAAACAGCACAAGCACAAACTTGATAAGCACTTGGACACTGGGTCTTTGGAACGCCGCCTCTGGAAGCCAGCATCCATGCTGTAAGGAAGCTCAAGCTAAACTACCAGATGATGAGAGGACATGGAGAGAAAACCCAGAGGACAGGAGTCCTCATGGACATTCAATCTTAGCTGTTCCCCAGCCAATGCAGCCACATGGGTGACCTCGGCAACCCTGCACTGTGCAAAAGAACTACCCAGCTGAACCAGTCAACCCATAGGATTGCAAAACATGATAACCAGTTGTTGATTTAAGCCACTAAGTGTGGGAGTAGTTTTTTGGGCAGCAAAAGATAACTTAGTATTGTGGGAAGCTAAAATTTCAGTTTCAGGGAGGGTTTTGAGAGTTGATGAGTCCATTTGGGGGAAGGATGTAGTCTTAAGCTTACTTCCCCAGAAGCAAAAGGGGAATGAGATAAACAGACCTTTGGCTGGACTCCAAGAGTCTTTCAACCAAAGAAAGTTTACTGAAGAAAAAAAGAGAAACTTGGCCGAGATCTGAAGTGTGATGAGAATTTGGAACACGGAAGACAAGCCAGGAGGCCCTTCTGAAAGTAGGAAGCCACAGAAGCAAACGGTGCCAAGGAGGACGATCCAGGGCGGGCCTGGCCGCAAGAGGGCACCTTGCAGAAAGCACCGCAGTTGGCAGTAAGCAGGCATTTTCCAGAAGAATCCCGAAGGCAAATACTCTGTTCTGCTCTCAGTTAACCTGTGCTACTGTCAGACCACATACACTGTAGAGTTCAGAGGTAGCTGCTATGGGAGTGAATCTTCTTGCTGCTGCCAAAGTGAGTAAAAATCAAACGGAATAAAATAATAATGGTGGTATGGGCCCAGTCTTCTAGAGTTTTCCATGCCCTTCATTTCACATAGCCTTCACACCATCCTGTAGGGTCGGGAGGGCATGAATAAGAACCCTCCTCCCAAAGATGAAAGAACAGAGAACAAAAGGGGCTGAGGGACTTTTGTGAGACCACGCGGCAAGCTGGGGCCTGGAAACATGAGCTCATCCATCCCGGCCTTTCTGCTGTGGCTCTATCATCCACTTGTCCAGGGAGGGTGCCAGCCCTACGTGTGTTTAGTGAGAAGTGTGGGGTGAGAGCAACCACAGGAAAGAAAGCCCCGTTGTGACAACGTTGTGCCCTGAGCTGCCTGGCCCACTCATTCCACTGGCCTGTGTTCTACCCAGGACGGGCCGCATGTCCCAGGGTTTCTGCTGAGCAACCAGTCAGCGTGCTGCTGAGCACCCGGGCCCGATGTGAAATGGTCAGCTCCTTTCCTTCTACCAGTGCCAACTGCTGCACCTGCCAGCCTCTGCCTAGCCTCCACCACTGATGCTGCTGTAAGAGGAAGAAGATTCCTGTCTTAACAGAATTCTCATGCATGCCTTTCAAACCGAGGAGCTCACAGGCTGACGGAAGAGGATGACAGGGAGTGGAGGCAGCTGCACTCGGGTGTTTATAGTGCACATACATGATTCATCTCAAACCAGACAAGCCATGCTGCACCCGACGGCTCGCCATTTCTCAGAGATGCCAAGCCTTCTTACAACTCTGAGCCTCTGCATGTGTCTAGAACATTTTACCCATATTTCTCTACCTGCTGGACTCCTTTCCATCCTTCAAAACTCAGACCAAATGTCCTTGCTCTGTGAAACCCTCCTTCTTCCCAGGCAAGTTAATGGCTCCCATCGCCCCTTTCCGTGATTCTTACATATTGTACCATATCTTGTAACATACTTGACTTCTCTCTTGAACAGGGGACTCCTGCAGGCCAGCAGCAGGGACGGACTCACCTCCCTGTGCCCTCTCCCAGCAGATGACCTCAGCCCTCACAGTTGAAGAAGTTGGTAAGAAACTGACAATTTGGTGTAGGAAAATTTAAAAAACTGTCAGCAAGTTCACTGAATAACATTTGGAGGACTTCATTATGAAAAAGGGATCAGGCCATTCATTCATTCCTTAAGCATTTATGGCGTGCCCACCAGGTGCCCAAAGTGTGCTCCAAAGAGGCACAGGTGAGGCCACAGGATCTGTCCTCAGATCCGGATTTCACAGCCCAGTGGAGGAAGTGATGTCTAACAAGGTGAGTGTCATACAGCACACCACTCACGGGAGAAAAAAAGCTCTGGAGCAATGGCAACGGGACAGAGCCCACCCGAGGAGATGGGAAGATGTGGGAGGCACACCTCAGAGGGGTGGAGAGTCCCTGGGAACTGTGCTTCAGGCAGAAGGGACAGCCTAGGCGAGAAATAGCATGCCAGGCACAGGGGAATTTTATCATAAGGGGAGGCAAGAGTATAAGAAAACCGGGTTTGCCCTATCGCATTCAAGGGTGGCTCTCTTGGCCAGCATCATTCAGGTGGCTGTTTTGAGTTGTTCCCGGCAGCCTCCACCAAAGACAAAAGAGGACTGTGTACAAGCTCTCACCTGGCCAGGCCCTCGTGACTGGCAGCTTACATTGCCAAGACAGCTGCTTGGATCATGAGATGTAGCACAGCTGGTCCAAAAGGCAAATAAGAAACGATCCGTGGTGTCACCTCAAGTGTCTCAAAATCATTGAAGCACATGCTGAGAGCCCACCTCTCACTTTGCAGATGAGGAAGCAGAGGAGGGGAGGGAGTTGTCTAAGGTCACACCACAGGATAAGCATTGAGTGACAGGGCAGGAATCAGGCACCTGGAGATGGAGCTGCAAAGGACACTGTCCTCGACCTTGAGGGGCTTACAACGTGTTATTGACTGAACTGTGCCCCCCTTAACTCGTATGTTGAAATCCTGACCCCCAATACTTCCAAATGTGACTGCATTTGGAGAAAGGGCCTTTAAAGAGGTTATTAAGGTAAAGGGAGGTCATGAGTGGACTCTAATCCAACATGGCCAGGGTCATATTCCAAAAGTGGAAATTAGGACAGAGACACACAGAAGACACAGAGAAAAGGTGGCCATCTACGAGCCACCTTCTACAAGAGAGGCCTCAGAATGAACCCAACCCTGCTGACACCTTGATCTTGGACTTCTAGCCACCAGAATGGTGAGGACATAAATTCCTGTTGCTTAAGCCACCCAGTCTGTGGTATTCGTTACAGCAGTCACAGAAAAATAGTACACAGGCCTTGAGAAACAGACGTGAACACTGCTCCAATCCCTGGAGTAACAGGGATTCCTGTGAGCTGCCTGACTGCAGGCAGCACTGTCAGCATCCCCATCCCCCAGGATCGCCTGGGACCTCCCTCTTATCACATCGCTCCACCTCAGCTCCTTGGCAGCCAGGCCTCCAGCGGGAGGCAGAGGGCATCCTCAAGCTGGGCAATTGGAGGAGCATTTAATGAAGGGGCTCTTTACAAAGGTGTGGGCAGGGTTTTGGGAGGTCAGAGAGGAATGATGCAGCCCTTCTGCAACCTCGCCTCACCCCAGGCCTGCAGGCATGCGGAGGGAGTGCCCGCTGGAACCCAGGGCCAGGACAGGGCCTGTGCAGAGGAGTCCACCTTCAGCAAGACGGACCACCAATACTCTGCGACTTAGAGAAGGAGACTGAGGAATAAATGCCCAGACCGTACTCCGCTCCTGCCCTCCTGGTTTCCTGCCAGAGTCTCCCCTTGTCTGAAGCCAACCTGAAGACACCCCTTGAGGACCCCTTCACTGTACTGGGACCATGGGGGGCTGAGCCTCTGGGATCAGTCACCTCCCTAACCTCCTGCATGAGGAACAACTTGACGAACACACATTTCAACCTGTAACAGGGTGGACAAGCAGAACCCTTCTTCAGAAGCACATTTATGAAGTTCCCGCAGTAACTGGCTCAGAGAGAAATGCTGCTGTAACAGCTGAGAGAAAACTGATAACCCTGAAAATAAAGTGTCCATGGAAATCTCATATATTGCCTATTGTTTAAAAACAATGTCTCACATAAAAGAGGTGATGGATTAGTTTCTTTCATTATGCTGCCTCAAGCTATCTACGTGGACAAAAACCTACGCAGCTGCTTTTACACTTTAGAGCTAGACTTGATTCACTTCCATTCTTAGGAGTCAGGGGTGGCATTTGGTGGGCATCTCTTGATGCAGAATCTTATGCCAGTTTCTATAAGCAGGCTCAGGTGCCATCTGCATAGGAACTCCAGAGGGTGGACATGTAAAGAAACTTTGGGACTGTGCATTGGTCACCATCTTGGAGGGTGATGGCAGCTGCCCTGTAAATTATTGGGTAGGCATCTTGAGAGGCAGGGAGATGCAGTGAGCTCCAAGCCCAGTCAAGGCATAGCAGAAGGAAGGACAATGGAACACAGGTGACCCAGGGTGACATTTGTCAATAGATACAGCATGGACACTGGCTAATCAGAAAGAACGCATGCCCCTGATGTGCCAGGGGTTACTCCTTTAATTTTAGAAGCTGAGAAAGAAGGTCCTAGGAGTTTGGGGCCAGTGGGCTATACTGCCAAGAGTATGGGGACACAGGGCCAGGGCTTAAAGAGGTGCTATTTACTAAATCACTAAATAGGGAAAGATTTCGTTAGTATAATAACCACCATGGCCATAACTCATGTATATGGGTTGAACAGCAGCCCTGCTGGTAGGTGGCCAACTGGTCTCGGGTGGTCTGGGCCTTTCCTGGTTTCGTCACTTAAAGTCCCAGAACCTCTTTAGCCTGCCCTGGGTATCATTCTATCAGTTACGTTACCTGCCAGTCAAGTTACACAGTGCAGGCTAGAAGCTCTCAAAGGGGAGCTGTCTATAGCAAGGGGGAGAAACTCGCCTCCCTTCCCCTTACAGAGTCAAGATTACCATGGGCTGTGGGGGAATTCACCCCACACTCCCCAGTTAAAGCGCTTCTCCCTTTGCGAACTGAAGTCCAAGCAGTTCTCACCCATGGAAGTCCTTGGCAACCAAGCTCACCTCTCCACCTGTGCTCTCCACCGCAAGCTCAGTTGCAGTTGCACCTCTGCAGGTTCTTTAAAGCCCCTCCCTGGGGCCTTGCTTGAGAAAACAGCCCCCCATCTGCTCCTACCCCTGCTCCTCTTTGCAGATCTCCCTCCAGCTCTCTGGGCTGGAGGTAACCTCCACAGAGAAGGCTTCCCCAACCCTGCAGATTAAGGCTACCATCCTTCCTGCCCGTTTCCTGGGCACACTGTACCGCCCCATCCCACATATCGTTATGGCTCGTTTAACTACTTTCTCCCTCAGAACTGTAAGCTGCCTCAGGGCACAAGTTCAAGCGCCTGGCAAAGAGTGGTGTATTAGTCTGATCTCAGACGGCTTTCAAGAAATATCTGAGACTCGGCCATTTATAAAGAGGATGAATTGGCTCATGGTTCCACAGGCTGTTCAGGAAGCATAGCACTGGCATCTGCTCAGCTTCTGGGGAAGCCTCAGGAAACTTACAATCATGGCAGGAGATGAAGGGGGAATGGGCACATATTACATGGCCAGCGTAGGAGCAAGAGAGGGACGGGGAGAGGTGCTACACGCTTTTCTACAGCCAGATCTCATGAGAACTCTATCACAAGAACAGCAGCAAAGGTATGGTGCCAAACCATTCACAAAGGATCCACCGCCACGATCTAATCACCTCCCATCAGGTCCCACCCTCAACACTGGCGATTACAATTCAACGTGAGATTTGGATGGGGACACAGAGCCAAACTGTATCAAGTGGGCCTCCCATACATATTGAATGAACGAAGCAACTAGATAGGAGTTAAAGAAAGTGGCATGGGCAAACCAGAGCCCTTTTTGGTAAGTTAATTAAGTCATTGGTCCTATGCACATATAAACAGGAAAAGCTCTGCCTTCAGCTCACCACTGTGAAGCCAGGCTGGGTTGGGAAAGAAGCAGAGAGCCAGGACTCAGTAATTACCGTGTGGCGGTCAACTGTTCATTAATCCGTTCAATTCATTCATTCATTCTATCAATGAATTAATTAGTGGACTTATTCCATTAACTTATTCCATTAATTCATTCTTCTCCTTTAAGACCCATGTTGTGCCAGGCACTGCCTAGGCTCTGTGGGTACAATGTGAGTGAAACAGACAAGAGTCCTCCTTTCATGGGGTCTGGAATTGTTAACAGTGGGGAATTCATATGGGTCCGCAGCAACGTGATTCTTGCTTCTCAAAGGAAAGAATTCATCTGAGGAAGGATCCTTCCTCAGGACAAGCAGGAAAGGAAACGAAGTAAAGTAAACTTGGAAGAGGGCCAAGCGGGCAACTTGAGAGATTCAAGTGCCCTGTTTGACCTTTGAGTTGGGGTTTTATGCATTGGCATGCTTCCAGGGCTTTGCATCTCTCCTCCCTTGATTTTTCCGTCGGGCAAGCTGACTGCATGAGCAGTGGCCTGCTAGCCTCTGGGAGGGGCTGCATGTGCAGTGTGTTTACTGAAATTGTGCACATGCTCACTTGAGGCATTTTCCCCTTACCAGTCGAGTGTTCCTAGAAGAAGGTCATATATACCAGTTGAACGCCACCAATTTGCCTCTTAGTGCACATGCTTGAGCCCACTCACCCAAGTCCTGAGTCCAACTCCTGAGGTCTTATTGGGAAGTTGCTGATCACCAGCTTCAGGGTTTGGAGGGTTTTCTTTGAGATGGGGTCTCACTCTGTCACCCCAGTTGGAGTGCAGTGCTGCGATCTCAGCTCACTGCAACCTCCACCTCCCAGGCTCAAGCAGCAAGCAGTCCTCCCACCTCAGCCTCCTGAGTAGCTGGGACCGCAGGTGAACGCCACCATGCCTGGCTAAATTTTTTTTTTTTGTATTTTGGTAGAGATGGGATTTTGCCATTTTGCCCAGGCTGTTCTTGAACTCCTGAGCTCAAGCAATCCACCGCCTCCCAAAATGCTGGAATTTATAGGTAGAAGCCACCGCACAGGGCTGGGTATTTTCTATCTATTGAGAGACTGCCTTTCCCTGGCACTGGCTGTGATCAATCATTATTTTAGAGAGACAGTTTAGCAACCATCTGACCATTACCTGATGCTCGCCTAACCTTCCTTGCAGAGACCCTTTCCTGCCCTGCTCATGTCTGCCTTGCTACCCACTCTAACTGGATGACTGACGCTAAACAAGCACAAGATAATTTCATCTAAGGAGTGACACGAAGTGGAGAAAAAAAAAAACAAAACAAGGAGTAATGTTTTCTAGAATGTGTCTGCAGGAAGTGAAGTGAATGAATCTTTGGAGTGGGTGAGCAGGAAAGGTCTCTGCAAGTAGGCGACATTTGAGCTGAAACCTGAGTGATAAGAAGGAGCCAGGCTGGTGGACACCTGAGAGAAAAGTGATCTAGATGGAGGAAGTGGCTGGTGCAAAGGTCCTGAGGTCAGGACACTGCTGTGTTTGAGGAGAAGAACGGCTGTGGGGCAAGTTCATTCGTAGGCAGAGGAAAGGGTCCTGTCACTGCGCTGTCTCCTCTATCTGCCTTTCTCTCTCTCTGATCATTGAAGACCCTGTCTCTCCTCCTCTCATGGAACTGCCCTTTTGGGATTTCTACAAACTCTGAAGTATAAAACCAAATTTTAAAACATACTGCAAATTATAATGCTTTTTAAAGTACCACCTATTTTACACGTCAAGCCAGTTTTGTGACTTCAAAATGAATAGGGCTTTTTTTTGAGAAGTCACGAGATGAGAAACTAAGGCTATCCATCTATGTTAGGGGCGGGGAATCTTTTTCTGTAAAGGGCCAGATAGTAAATATTTTCAGTTTTGCAGGTCGCAGGGTGTCTACTGAAGCTACTCCACTCTGCCCCATGAAAGCAGCCAAAGGGAATGTAAATAAAACCCTGTGGCTGTGTGCCAATAAAAGTTTATTTACAGAACCAAGTAGGAAGTGAGATTTGCCCCCTAGGTTATAGTTTGCCAATCCCTAATCTACTTATCATAATGATAAATATCATTATCAAAAATACATTTCTTGTTCTTTTAGCATTAGCTATGGGCCAAGCAAACAGGCCACTTTTGGGTGCTCCTGTCTCCTGGTACTGAGCAGACATGCTGTACCAGGTACAATGTGAGTAATGAGCAGAGGAGTACCTGAAATCTATAATACCTCACCTGGATATACTACCAGTGGTGCAATTCTATTTTTAAAAACTTGAGATTCCAATATTAAATTTTTTAACTTTATGGAATATTTTTCCTAAGGCCAAGCTTAAGCCAGTTGACTCTTCACAACTGACTGGTCTCGGTGGCTATTGGCAGCCTTCCATGATCACAGGGAGGAAGGTGAGGGCCTGAAAGACCCCGCTGGCAATCTCTGCTAGGTAGCATGTACAGGGAAGGCAGACTTCAAATGGAATTGTGCAAAATATTTCTACGCAAGCAGATATAGAAACAGGCATGCAAGCTTTTCCTAAAAGTCTGTGAGGCCCTGCTTTGTGCCCTTCAGACTATCTAGTAAATCATGAAAGGTTCATGTGAAGCAGATACACCAATAATTCAGCAGTAGGGTTTAGCTAATCTTCTTAGCAATCTTAGAGGGACTGGCTGGAAAATCCCCAGCTGCAAGTCCAGGGCACCACTCTGGAGGGTGTGAGCATGCTGGGCTCAGCGGGCTCCTGCATCCATCCACACCAGGACAGGTGTGCCTGCAAAGATGCACATCCAACCCCAGATCCTAAACCATGTTTACTACTGGTGAAAAATTAGCCAAGGATCTAATCAAAAGTTTTGATAACTTATAGCAGCACTCCTGAAGTTTGCATTTCTGAGCAAGGCTTCTAAATGTTAAAATTGCAGAGTCTATATTAAAATCAGTTTGCACACACGTATATAAGAATGTTTATGCTAAAACATTTTAAAGTAAATTATGCATTACATAACATATCTCTCTCCTCTTATAGTAAATTTTTGATGCTTTGGAGAGTTCATTCCTTTTTTTCCAGTTACTCATTCTGGATTTTTTTTAATGGAAAGTGAAAGAAAATATATGACTTTTTATTTTCAATTTTGAAATTGTGGCAATATACTATACACTAATTGTCACATTCAAAAGTTTAAAATAATCCTTAAATATTCTTAGGAGAATTATACTATCAGGAAAGAATGCATATCTTTTCCAACTAATAGCTTCATCTCTAACTAATACCTTTGTAAAGAACGCTGGCCTGTAATTTATAGACATGACCCCTGAATGGCAGAGTCACCATGCCCGACCAGGATGATTTTTTACATCACTCTTAACACTACAATTTACTTTAGTAAACTCTGTGACCCTGGGACCCTCATTCCCAGGCTCCTCTGTAAAATTGGGAGATGGCTGGATTTGGGCTGCCCCTGGGATTTCATCCACCTCGCCATTCTTTTTTTGTTTTGTTTTGTTTTTGAGACGGAGTCTCGCTCTATCACCCAGGCTGGAGTGCAGTGGCGTGATCTCAGCTCACTGCAAGCTCTGCCTCCCAGGTTCATGCCATTCTCCTGCCTCAGCCTCCCAAGTAGCTGGGACTACAGGCGCCTGCCACCACGCCCAGCTAATTTTTTTTGTATTTTTAGTAGAGATGGGGTTTCACCGTGTTAGCCAGGATGGTCTCGATCTCCTGACCTTGTGATCCACCCACCTCGGCCTCACCTCACCATTCTACCACCAGAGTTGGCCAAGCTGTCAGGCCCCGCTTCTGACTGCCACTGAGGACTTTCTTCCCAAATGCAGCTCCCTGTTACTACACCTGAATAGCATCGTCCTTATAAGCAATGCCTCTGAAGCTTGACTGCTTGAGTTTGTAATCCTGATGGGCTGGTTACCCTCACAAGCTTGGGTCCTGGGCATATTCTAAAACTTTGTATGTCTTGGTTTCCCCGTTTGTAAAACAAAACTTAAGAGTATCCACTCCATGGGCTTGTCCTGACGCTTACATGAATTAATACACAATAACTGGATTTTTCTTTTGCAATATTCAAAGCTGTGCTCCTATTAGATTCAGTGGAATCTGGCTTCTTGCAAACCTGACCAATATTTTCATTTTCTCCTCCCTGTCTTTGCATTTTGACAGTGTTTGGGTCAGTTAGATTAGGCTGTTGTCTGCCTGCCATCTGGATTTGGTGACCTGGCCTTTGGTTGTTACGCGCTGCTCCCACTTGTGTCAGGGAGAAAGCAGAAGAGAAGTCTGGCCCGGGAATTTCTTGCTACAAAGGAAGTTCTGGGAATACTGAGGGTGAAGCCTGCACTCTCCTCATCTCCAGAGGGAGCAATGCCCCGGGCCCAATGCCCCCAGTGACAAGGCAAAGGCCCAACGTACTCCTCCCTTGCCTAGCTAGCCAGCTACCCTGCAGCTTGCAGTTATCTGCATCAACCTCGACATCTCCCATGACTCTCGCCTTTTAAAGGTGCACGTGGCACAGTTACAGCCTCCCTTGGATGCTACAGAGTTGCCCAGGCACACAGTCCACTTCCCCACTCCCCCTTCCTGCCAGAGATGAATTTGTCACAAGAGAGACCTTTATCAGTCCCATCATCCTGGATTCCTAGGGCAGCACGTGGAACATCCTCCGTGTTCAGGAACAATTTGTTAGAGGAGAAGATGAATAAATAAACGTCTCCATTCTCTACTGTCAGCAGGTGGCCAGTAGACATTAACAGTAGCATTTTGGTGTGATCCCCTGTTTAAAGATGTGTGCGGACATCTCTTCAAGGGTCCCCATGACAACATTTCACACAAATTATTGGAGTTCAAATGACTAAAGATCCTTTCATTGAACTCCCTCAGTTTACAGATGGGGGACCTGAAGCCCAGAGAAACTAAACATATTCATCAAGCAGCCAGGATGACGAAGGCATGCAAATTCATGTCTTTTGAGCAACTTTAAAGAAGCTAGAAATATTCTGGTTTCTTTTCCTGGGGAAGATAGCATTCCGTGGGAATATGAGCACTGATTTTTTGAACATCTGAAGGGCTACTATATGAAGAAAAGCTCCTAAGAGATCAGAAGTATCCAAAGATGAAACGGTTGCCCCTTGAGGCCATGAATGCTCTATTGCCGGAGGTGTCCAAGCACAAACAGAAATAGCTTAGAGAGAGGAGAAGCATCAAAGTCGGGGGCAGAAAAAATGTCTGAAATGATAAACACAGACAATAGCAAGTGTCAGAAGGATATGGAGCAAGGGGAACCCTCAGACACTGCATGTGGGAGAGGTAATGGTGCAACCACTTTGGAAAACTAGCAGTTTTTAATAAGGTTAAACTTACATCTTCCCTGTGTTCCAACAATTCCACTCCTAGGAATGGACTCAACAGAAACACATATGTATTTTTCGCCAAACACATATATGAGAACTTCATAGCAGGTTACTCATAATAGCCCCAAGTGAGAAACTACCCAATCTACTGCTCATTGACAGTAAAATGTATAAATAAATGTTAGTATATTCACACAATGGAATATTATACAGAAATCAGGAGACTTTTTCTGTAAAGGGCCAGATAGTATTTTCAGCTTTGCAGGCCATATGGCCTACATCTCAACCACTCAGTTCTGTCATTGTAGTGCAAAAGCAGCCATAGACATAGACATATACAGAAATAAATGGGCATGGCTGTGTTTCAAAAAAACCTTAATTTACAAAAGCAGATGGAATACACAGTGTGCTCAGTTTTTGAAAATTCATTAAGGTGCACAGCTATGGTATGTGTACTTTCTGAATGTATATAAAAAGGTTTTCAATTTTTTAAAAAGGGTTTTCAATAACAAGTTTAAAAAGAAATAGGGGCAGGGCAGTTATTGGCCTGTGTGTCTATGATTCAGCGGCTAGTCCCAGATAAAACAGTTAGATAATAGCAAAACTGGAACTGAAATTCAGGCCTCTGGCTCCCAGAAAGGAAAGGGAATTCATACCTATGAGTGTTTCCAGTGTGCAATGCACTTGTCACAGTCATTCCTCATAATAACTCTCAGAGAAGGCATTATTATGCTTATTTTTGTAGATGAGAAAACAGGGGCCCAGAGTGGGTACAAACTTAGCCAGGATCATACATCTTATCTGGAGCAGCAATGCCACCTGAGCCCAGCTCTGTCTGATCCTGACCCCAGGCTCTTAGGTTTCCTCCACAGGCTTTAAATGCAAACATGGCATTTCCTACATGAGCATTGCATGTGTATAAAAATAAACTGTGAGCCCCACACTATGAAATATTATCCGGTTATCACTGGCTTCTGCTGCTGACAGCCAGGGCTGCTAAATCTTATGAGGCTGTGCCCGCTGCTTCTGGGTAAGCCCTGACCATGGGCACAGCTGGGACATAGGCCCGCTCTGCAGGTTTTTTACTGTGGCTTTCCTCACTGAAGCAAGCATAGTGGGATGAGGGGAGAGGGAGAAGCAAGGGCAGACAAGATGCTGGATGATGCAGGTTCTGCAGCCAGGGGAGACCAGAAGGCAGGCAGACTGATGAGGAAGGGGCTTGTCACAAGGGGCCAGTCCAAAAGGGAAACTAAGACCATTCTCCTATCAGGAGCCACTTGCCCCTCCTGTCCGACTCTACTTCTGAGATTCTCTCCCTCACCCTCAACAACCCCTGCTCCCAGTACCAGCTGTAGAAAGAAAGAGAAAGGTACCTACTCATCCAACTCAGAAAATGGGGTAGGGTGAAGTTCTACTTTTGAATGTCTTGTGACAATTTCCATTAGTTCTCAATAGTTAAAAATTAGGAGCGTTTCAGAAAGGAATGCATATACCCAGTGAAAGATGCCAGTCTGAAAAGGCTACATACTTTACGTTTCCAGCAACATCACATTCCGGGTAAAGCACAACTATAGAGACAGTAAAAAGATCAGGGGCTGCCAGGGGCTGGTGTGAGGAGTGGAGAGGAATGGGCACACAGAGCACAGGCTTGTTAGGGCAGTGAGACTATTCCGTAGGATCCTATAATGGTGGGTACATGTCAGTATACCCCGTCACAATCTACAGGAGATTCCTCACAAAGAGTGAACCCAAATGTGAACTATGGGCTTTAGTCAGTAGTAATGTATCAATATTGGTTCATCAATTGTAACAAATGTGCCACACTAATATAAGGTGTTCATTAGAGGGGAAACTGAGGCCAAGAAGAGGGCATACATGGAAATTCTCTATACTTTACACTCAATTTTTCTGTAATCCTAAAACTGCTCCAAAAAATCATCTCCTAATGCTATAAAAATTAGGTGAATTCAATGAAAAAATCTGGATTTCTGTCTTCATGCAAATATCTGGTCTGGGAACATAGGGCCAATATTCCTAGAGCTGCCAGAGTCCAGCAACAACCGCTCCTGGGGAAGAAGCACAGCTTCTCAAGTCCCCAAGTCCTCCACGGCCAAAATGAGCCAATATCACGCTTTAGGTGACCATCCGGCTTTTGGGGTCATTGGAGTTTGAGACTCCCTGGGGTAAAACGAGCAGTTTATGCAATGGTTTTCTGGGTTCCTGAGAAAGTTTCCTGCCCCTGGGGTGTTGAGGCCAGAGATGGAATGGGGATGAATGGGCGAGGCCCTGGGCCCCACTTATGATCCTTCTTCTTTATCTGCTGGACCTATTGTCCTTATCATATAAGATTCACCCCAACAAACTGGCCTGTGGGTAAAATACACATGCAACTTCTAATGCCTTCCTTTAACAGATAGGGAAACTGAGGCTGAGAAGGACGATGACTAGCTAAAGGTGGTTGCTTGCAGGTGGAGGCAGTGCTGTGTCTCTTGATTGTCCCTCTGAAGTTCCCTCTATGAGAAACCCAGTTTTCCATCTTTGTCTCGTCCTTGGTAGGTCACCGTGCCATCACCTGTCCTGACATGACTTGATGGCTTGAGGGATGTTTTGTGCATGGAACATTCCTTTCCCATCATCCAAGACTGCCCTGTTTACTGGACAAGCTTTGTCCTGCGGCCACCCCAGCTCCTCAAAGGCCCTCTCATTCAGGGTGAAGGCCAAAAGGTTTAATTCGAAGAAAATAAAAGCACAGAGGCCTAACAAACATGAGGTCTGTGGGATGCATTTTGAAAATGAGATCCCTGGATGAAACCCTTAAACTTTCCAAGAGCTCATCCTGGTTAGAGAGTGTGGTTACCCTCCTGCTTCAGGACGCCGTTATTAAGGGGTTTTTGCCATGACGCTGCTGTTAGTGTTCTGCCTCATGCTTAGTCGGGGCACCGTCTGTCCTCTGCTGTGGGCTGCTTCTGCCACTTCAGGCTGCTCTCCCCCACTTCAGGGGACTCCCACCACCACTTCAGGATACTCTGGCAACTTTAGGCTGCTTTCACAACCTCAGGATACTCCTGCCACTTCTGCCACTTCCGGCGGCTCCTGTCGCTTCGGGCTGCTCCCTCCACTTCAGGCTGTTCCTATACCCTTGTGACCAGTCTTTATTTTTAGGAAAGATGCTTTCATGAATGTTGGGGCTCCCCAGAGTGTCTGCATCCTGCATGCATCATATAGGTCACATTCTTTCAGCTCACATATATCACACAGTTGTGAGCATTTCACAAACATTTAAAAAGTAGTCATAGTGTGCCTGACACTGTGCACAGAGCAAGGCTTTGTTATCTTGGTGAAGCTGCATGAACAAACCCTCGTGGCACAGTGTGGTGGGTGCAGTAAAAGAGGGGTGGGCAGGATGCCAGGGGAGCACTGGAGAAGCAGCTAAACTACCACCCCCAGAATTAGGCTGGTGGCTCCTGTGAGTTGAGAGGAGAGCTGTCTTGCAGAGCATGCAGGAACTGGACCAGAGGGGCGGCATTCCTAACACCATGTGTTCCGGGAAAGGCAGGTGCTCGGGAGCAGGGAGTGCTGGCCCACAGCTACTGCTCCGACAGAGACTTTTCTAACTGAGAAAGAGCGAGCTGGTGCAGCTGCTCAGTCTGAGGGCATTAGGAATAGTGGAAGGGCAGTGTAACCTAATCCTCTTATCAGATCTGCATAGCCCTGTCCTGCCTCCACACTTGCTGCTCCGTTCCTCTCAAGTCTGTCAACAGCTCAGTCTCCAGGGCCATGAACCACACCTGCCATTTGTTCTGTGCTCAGTGTGGGTGCAAGTGTCTGCTTGTCACCTGTTCCTACTCTATGATTTATTAGGGTAGGCTGTCCAGTTTGTGTGCCTTCACAGGCCAATGTCACTGTGAGTTGGGCCTTAATAATTTTTGTGTCAATGTTGGAAAGATTTTACAGGAGGGTTTTAAAAATCTGGGTCCATGGATTTGGGGGATATAAAAACACTCCAAAATTATATAGAAAATTTTGTTGATCTGGGCATTTTTCCTAGCAAGAGCTCCCAAGCTTTCCTCTAAGCCTGAAAGGGTTGTGTGACCCTTGACACTGGTGCCATGGCCAAATCCTCCCAAGAGTCACTGAAGTCTTTTCCCCAAAAGCTTACACATGGGAAGTAGCAGCATTGAGGCTAGCACTGGGATTGGAGGGCAGGCTATAGCTGATCCTATGTCCAATCAAATGAAGATTTCCTTTTACAAAACACTTTATTTACAAAAATTCAAAATGAAGGAAAAAAATGGCCATCTTTGACAGTACTTGACTATTTGGTATTTCCATTAAAACAGCAGTTCCAACTGGCTTTTTCTTAAGTAGGTGTGTGTGTTTTCAATTTTATTCCCTTTTTTGACTTCCCATTGGGACTCCTCTGATACCTGAATCTAGAAGTGAAATGCTGAGAAACCAGTGCAACCTGAGTGAGTGGGATTGTGTTTCATTTTTTGTTTTTGTTATAAAATGAAATTAAATCACTCATGAGGCCTCTAATAGAGATTTAAATGCATATAAGCTTATACTTCACTATGACAGTATTATACCATTTCCACCCAAGCAAAGCTGACCCTATGAGCCCAGTAGGTTAAAATATATTTTTCACTAATGCTAGTGTTACGCAAAATAAAGCACAAGTTGGGATTTTTTAGAATTTAAAAAAAAGGTCTAACATTATTGAATATTACCTGTAAATCCATCATGGATATATACACTTTAGAATCATTTCAAGTGGCAGGACATCAGCTCCAAAGAGTCAAGCAGGCAAGGTTAAGGCCCAGCCACCTGTCCTGGAGGGAAACTGGAGTCTCAGCAGCCCTAAAAGATGGCCGAGGAGTAGGGATCAAGGCTCAGTGGGTCCCAAATGTTAGAACTGAAGTCCATCAACAGCGAGATTCAGGGAGAGGGGAGCCAGCCATGGGCCCCAGTTACTAAAATGGAAGTACATATGTAGGGAATGAAGAAGGGATGGGATAGAGAATAAATAAAAACGACCACACCCCAGCAACCTACTGCAGGTGGCCTTGTTTATTCTTCCCTCTGCTGACTGGCCCTTTCTTCGTGAGTTATAAGTGACCCTCATGACGACCTTTCATGTGCAAAGTAGATATGTTCACATATCAGAGGTTTCGGGGATGCAACCAAACACATCAGGGTGTGACATGGTGGCCCTGCCTGCCATCTGACAGCTCCATTTCAACAAAGTTGTCATCTTTGTTATACAAACATTATGGAATGCAAAATTAAGTATTATTTGATAGTGATGGCTTCCACACAGCCGCACAGAGCAAGGTTTGCATAGACTGGGCTCCAGGTCCCCCAAAGCCTTTTAACATGTGCCATTCTCTCTCTCTCTCTCCCTCTCTCTCTACTGGGTCTTGCTCTTTCACACAGGTTGGAGTATGGAGTGCAGTGGTGCAATCACAACTCACTGCAGCCTCAACCTCTCAGGCTCAAGTGATCCTCCCACCGCAGCCTCCTGAGTAGTGGGGTGCGTACCACCACACCCAGCTAATTTTTTTTATTTCTAGATACAAAGTCTCGCTATGTTTCCCAGGCTGGTCTCAAACTCCTGGGCTCAACCAATTCTCCCACGTCAGCCTCCCAAAGTGCTGGGATTACAGGCATGAGGCACCATGCCAGGCCTGAGCCATTCTTCTCTTATTGGATTGTATATAGAGGTTCTGCGTAGGCTTTCATTTAAAGAAAAGGTTCTGCTGTTAGACCAACTTTTGTTTAAAATGTAAAAACATAGTTCTGGCCAGGCGTGGTGGCTCACGCCTATAATCCCAGCACTTTGGGAGGCCAAGGCGGGCAGATCACCTGAGGTCAGGTGTTCGAGACCAGTCTGACTAACATGGAGAAACCCCGTCTCTACTAAAAATACAAAATTAGCTGGACGTGGTGGCGCATGATTGTAATCCCAGCTACCCAGGAGGCTGAGGCAGGAGAATCGCTTGAACCTGGGAGACAGATGTTGTGGTGAGCCGAGATCACGCCACTGCACTCCAGCCTGGGCAACAAGAGCAAAACTCCATCTCAAAAAAAATGAAAATAAAAATAAAAATAAAAAAATAAAAATGTAGTTCTGTTGTACTCTCCACAATTATTACCTTATGAAAATAAATGGAGTGAGGGAATGAAAATACTGGCATGAATAGTAAGATGCTGGCTGGTCAAAAGCAGCAGCTTCCTAAGCCCAAATGCTGTTGCTCTTCAAACTTAAGCCAGGGCTCTGTGTGTTCAGTCATGGGGGCTGGGAGGACAAAGTTCAAGGGATACAAAAAGTGGGGAAGGTCAAAGCAAAGAGTAATTAGGTGATACAGCACCTTTCTAACATTTGATTCTCAGGACACATCTTTAGGACCTTATTGCAGGTAAAACTTAGGACTGCCCAGCTAGGTCAGGGGTTGCAGTGGGGAGTACCCTGACTCGGATAGTGAGGAGCTAAGGCTAATGAATTAATTTTAACCTCAAATCAGGATGGACCTGGGAATCCATCAGTTGATGAACCTAGCATCATGGGTGGTGACATAAGGCAGGTCTGATACATCTACAACCAGAACCTCTATCTCTCGGCTCCTATCCAAGTCATTGTCTATGAGATTGGTGGGTTTTTCAATCCTGCTTAATTTATACCCCATCAATTATTTGAGAAATGAAGTTAAGTTTCCTTAAGAGAGAGACAAAAAGACCAGGAGATCTTTTTTGTGTCTGGAGATTGCTCTGCATTGTGCTACCATTAAGGTCTCTTCATGGTAAACGTGGGGCATCTCACTTCCTCTCATGACCCTTTGAGGACTGACATACCAAGGCTGAAATCACCTTGTCATTATCTCAGTTCCTGTAGTCTAGTGCTGCTTTTAGCTCAGTTCCTGTAGTCTAGTGTTACTTTTTGTGTTGATGCACATAAAATGATTTAGAGACCTAAATCATTTTGTGTGCATCAACAAAGAAAACAAACATCACAGGACTCAAGTTTCCTTGAATGGCCCCACCTAGCCTCCTCTCTCAATATCACCAAGCTTGGGGGTTGAAATCAGGCAGCCCTGGGTAGAATTCTGCGGCTGTCCCAACTCATGAGCTCTTGGACTTCTGGCAAGCCCAAATCTTCTGAGCTTCCATCTCATTATCTATAAAAGAAGATGAGTAAGGGTTATCTTGGGAGGAGCTTGTGAGGCTTAGCTTTTCATTTGATTATTAATCCATTCATGCATTCAAAATATTTGAGTACCAACTACGTACGAGAGTGAAGTACTAGACAAAACCAGACACAGCTCTTTCTTCCCAGAAATGTAGACTCTAAAAGGGGAGGTTGTCCTGAAAAGATATGACTTCGGTAAATGTGTACACTTGCAAACTGGAATCAATGCCATGAAGGAGGTGGGATGGCTCCAGGTAAGAGGGTGTGAGGTGTAGGGGGTGGAGGAATGTAGGGGTGCAGAGAGGGGAGGCACACTCAGGAAAGGACACCAGAGCTAATGAACGAGGAGGGGGAGGTAACTAGCAGGAAGCAGAGGGGCTGAATTCCAGGTAGACAGGACAGCATGTGCAAAGGCCCAGGGGGAGAGCCAAGCATGGTTAAGGAAATAATAAATAACAGAAGCCCAATTTGGCTGTGGAGCAGAGAACAGTGGGGAGAAGGTAAGACAAGGCACAGAACCTGTGCTCAGAAGCAAGCTTCCCTAGTCCTTTTAGGAAACCAGTCAAGGGGAAAAACAGCTGAGGCTGCTGAGAGTCACCCCAAATCAGCAACACCTTCAGGAGATACAGGATGGCATAGGACTCCAGGTGACAGAGTTTAAGATCAGCTTGAGAGGACAGAGCTGAGGCCACCCTCCTTCCCTTCCATTTATCTTGTGAATCCATCTGGGGCCGTTCTATATCACCTCAGAATGGATAATGCCATAGACCCCAGCTGGGTTTGCAACTTGTAAATATCTATTAGAAGACCACTCTCACTTTTTCATTCCACCTTGCCACCAGCCCAAAAGAAAAAACAAAGCAGCAAGTATCTACAGAGAAGCACTCAGTGGTGTGTGTAGAGATGTGTGTGTGTGTGTGTGTGTGTGTGTGTGTACACATGCATGTCTTTATGCATGCTCTTGAACCGGGATATGGGAGTAAGAAATGGAAGAGAAAATTGCAGGCAGCTGTAATCAATGAGAAGAACCAGGATTTGGAATTAGGAGATCTGATTCTGCTACTAGTTAGCTTCATAACCTAGGGCAGGTCATAGCCTCTCTCTGTCTTATTTTGTTAACTTTTAAAATGAGGATAAAAGCAAGCCCATGCTGAAGTGTTGGAAGGCCCAGATTCATGCATTCTTTCATCTTCTGGGATGAAAAATACCACACTCTACAATGAGATGCAGAGATACAGGATATAGCCTTTGCCCTTAAGGAGCTCCCAGTCTAGGTCCTAGACTCTAGGAAGAGAGATAAACAATGAACAAGGAAATAGATAATTACAAAGAAATGTGATGGGCATGGAACAGAAAGAAACCATAGGGTCTGATGGGACTACAGATGGAGGCAGAGTGTAGCAGAGGCTGAGGACTCCCCACCATTTCAACGGAAGGTACCAGCAGTTTCTTGCCTGGGGGCTTTCTCTGGCCACTGGAGACCACTTTGCCCTGCAGGCTGGTAGTGAGAAGGAATTAATGTCCTCCTGAGCAGCTGTCTGCCTATGGATGACCATGGTGTGTCAATACCCAGCTTCCTCATGCCTTGGGGGAGATAACTCCAAGGTGAGTGTCTCCACCCTATTTCTCAGAATCCCCCCAGCAGAACCAAGTGTCAGTTGTCTACCAGATGACTTGCTCAGTTGATCCCTTTACTGACTTTTCCCCTTCTCATTTCATCTCCCCACTCCCTTTCCAATACTCTGTGGGGTTCTGTCCCAATAAACTCCTAACACTCAAACCCTTGTCTCGGGGAAATCCACTCTCAGACGGGAGGCACCCATTCCCTTCTAGGAAGAGTGAGTGAGGTAGAATTCGCAGGAAGAGTGGCATCTGAACTGAGCTCCTGAGAGCCTGAAGGCAAACACACTTAACCATCCTAAGTGCTAGACATGGGTAAGGAGCCAGAATTAGCATTGTCAATGGAAGGTGAAAGTGAACTTGTGCTACCCACAGCGTGGTCCTGGAACAAATGCTGGTCCCTAAACAATGAATTACTGGTTTAATTACTCAAACTTTCTGTTTGAGTAAGCATTGGCCTGCAACAGATTAGAAATTAAACAAAACAAGCAAAGCTTTATTACAGATAGTTTGACCACAGTTTAGAACACCTAGTTCCCTTCTTACGCATGTTTTTTTTTCTGTTGTCATGTCCACAAGCAAAATAAGTGGTGCTTTGTCCCAAGTCTTTTCCAGGATAGGTCAACCTAGAGAAAAAACAAAGCACAAGGGCCGCTCACATGGAATTTAGCCTTAGGCTTCCAGAACCATGGAATGTTCTGGCCTTTGGAAGGACCTCTGGCCTCCAGCTTGCCAAAGACTCAGAGCTCATGTGCTTCTCCCTCAGCAGGGCTAGGCACAGCCTATTCATTACTCTGGTACAGCCAACCAACAAGCTCAAGAAGCTAATCAGTAAGACAATGTCTAGAAGACTGAGCCCCATAACATAAGATGAAAGGGGCTGTGGCATTTCATCTACCAGATCCAGCTTGTCAACACCACTTTGAATATGTTTTTGAGAGCAGGTAGGAAAGTCATTAAACTTGATGTGCGCCCTTTCTCCCTCCCTTTTCCCTCTACCATAACCAACAGAACCCAAGCCCTACAAAGGGTAAGTGCTCAAGAAAGTTCTGAAGTGAATCAATAAAAATCATACTATGATTTGTGTTTTAAATTCAGAGCCCCTCCACCTATATTGACTCCTTCCCATCAGAATTCAAACATACCCAAGTTCTCACCTCTCAAAAAACATAACCCCACTTATCCAGCTCCTACTCCCCATCTCGCCCCCACCCCTCATAGACAAAGTTCTTGAAAGAATGATCTTTTAACTTCATATTGGCTCACGTTGACCTCTCAAATCCTCTCCTCTGGCTTCTGCTCCAGTACTTCTCTGAAACTGCTCCAGCCAGGCTCTCCAACAACCTTCTGGTCCTTAAATGAACACTTCTCGGAGTTGGGATTGTACTTGCCTTCTCAGCAGCGTTGGGTTCTTACTGGGTACGAATACTCTTCTATTCTTTACTCTTTTTCTTGGCTCTCATGACATCACCGTTTTCACATTTCCTTTCCACGCCCTGGACTGTCCACCTCAGTTGGCTTTGCCAGCCTCTTCTTTTCTGGCTGTTTCTTAAATGTGGATGCTTCCCAGGACTTTTTCCCATGTCTCTGTTCTCACCATACACAGTCTTCCTGGGTAACAGAGACATGGACTGTGGATTCAATTACCATCTATACGCTGAGGCCTCCTAAAGCCACACCCAGTCCAGACCTTCCTTCTTAGCTCCAGACTCATACACTCTGCCTACTTGGTTGTGTCACTGACACCCAAAAAGGAACACACCCAAATCTCACTCAGCATCTGCACCAAATTTACCTCTCATGCTCCAGCCCTGATGCCAGTAGAATGGCAATACCTTTCCACCAGTCACTTGAAAAAAAAAAAACAAACCAAGGATACATCTTCACTTCTCTGCCTCCCCAGTCCCCTCTCCCTGATCAGCAAGTCCTTCAGAGTTCCCCTCCTCAACACCTCTTCACCTGCGTACTTCTCCCCAGCCCCACTCCTGAGAACTGTGCCTCATCAGTTTCCTCTAGGACCATGGGAACAGCCCTAACCAAGCTCTCTCTGCTCCCCTCTGTCTTGCTATTTCCAATCCAGTCTCCTCTCTGCAACCTGATAAATTTTTCTCAAAAGGGTCTTTGAAGCTTCATTTATTTATTGCTGTGTCAGATCATTTCTTTTTTTTTTTTTAATTTTACTTTAAGTTCTGGGATACATGTGCAGAACATGCAGGTTTGTTACTTAAGTATATATGTGCCATGGTGGCTTGCTGCACCTATCAACCCGTCATCTAGGTTATATCAAGCTTTATTTTTAAAGGAGACCTGTCTTACTAAATTAAGCCTTCCCAGAACCGCTGGGTCAACCAGGTGAGAGCAGCAATGCTTTGGAGACACAGCGCAGGTGCCATCATGAAGCCCTCATCCCCTCCTCTCTCCCATCTCAGAGGAAACTTTGGGCTGTACAGAACTGTGTGAAAATCACAGTCCTCGGGGTTCAATCTGGCCACATTGATCTCCTTTTTAAAATGCTCCAAGTCACCCATTATCCTCTGATCAGATTCCTGAGCACAGTGGCAAGACTTCCCAGGACCTGGCTCCCACCTCTCTCCAGACTCGCATCCGCCCAGCCCCTCGGCTCTCTGCTACCACGCAATTATTTCATTCCTGAGCTCATCGTTCTCGCACTGCAAGTCTGTGAGCTCTGGCCCCCTGTGCTCCCTTCCCTCTCTTCCTGGAGCTAACTCCTGCTCTAGTCCTTCTGGTCTCAGCTCTGATGCCATATCCCAGACCTTCTGGAGCTGGGCTAGGGTATCACATAGCACATCAGGCTCTCCACTCTGGCCCTGAGTGGCGGTTGCAGTTAAGGAGCTGAGCTCCCCTCCAGCAAGCTCTAAGGGGAGGGCCCTCCTGCCAGCGCCTCACCCAGAGGTCTGGGAGCCTGACACCCATTCAGTGCACGCCCCAAGTGTGCCTCTGTCTCAGGTCCACGTTAGACTTGCCCATTCACAAAGTCCATTGGACTGTCACAACTGCTTCACCCCAGTTGACAGGTGTGAAAGAGTGACACATAATCAAGACTACACAAAAAGTGGCCGATCCATGACTGAAACACGTGGTGAAACCATCTCTATGCCCTTGCAGGTCTCATCACGATTGACTGCAAAGCCTCACTGGTTTGGGTTAATTGTGGCAAAGGCCAATCTAAATTAAGGAAAATGTGCCAGGTGTGGTGGCTCATGCCTGTAATCTCAACACTTCGGGAGGCAGAGGTGGGTGGATCACTTAAGGTCAGGAGTTCAAGACCAGCCTGGCCAACATGGTGAAACCCCGTCTCTACTAAAAATACAAAAATTAGCTGGGTCTGGTGATGGGCGCCTGTAATACCAGCTACTCGGGAGGCTGAGGCAGGAGAATAGCTTGAACCTGGGAGGTGGAGTTTGCAGTGAGCTGAGATCACACCATTGCACTCCAGCCTGGGCGACAGAGTGAGACTCCATCTCAAAGAAAAAAATTTAAAAAAATAAAAAATAAATGAAGGAAAATGTCATTATACTTTAAAAATATATACAACTTATTGTTATCAGTGACATACCTAATTGCAGCAAAGTGTTTCTTGGAAGAATCACTTTAGGGAACAGCTAAGAAGTCTTTGTAATCAGCCTGCTGGTTATTTGTAAAATAGTGCTTTTCACAGTCTCACAGAGTCTCACCTGGGGAGGGGAAGAGGGGGTTTGGAGATTGCTTTGCCCCAGAAGCGTCTGTCTCTCCTCAGCCTGGGCACCAGCCTGCCCAGTCACAGCGAGAAGAGAACCCACTTATCCACCTTTTCCTACTTGCCAGGCTCCTGGGGAGGCAAATCTCCACCCAGGGCTGCCAGAATTAAGACTGCCTTTCTTTTCTGGCCAAAAGGGCACACTGGTTTCTTATTGCAATGGCATAGAACATGTGGCTATCACGAGAGGGTGACAAGGACAGGCCAAACAGGTTTCTTGCTCCTCCGTTTGTTTTCTATTGCTACATAACACATCACTGCAAACTTAGTGACTGCAAGCTACACAAATTTATTATCTCACACTTTCCATGGGTCAGAAGTCCGGGCATGAGTTAACTGAATTTTCTAGTCAGGGTCTCACCATTTTAATGGGTAGTTGCTCTGCATTCCCCTCTGAGGCTCAAGGTCTTCTTCCAAGCTCACTGGTGGTTGGCAGAATTCATTTCCTTATGACCGTATGACTGAGGCCCCCATCTTTTTGCAGGCTGTTGTTCTTGCTGGCTGTTGGCTGGAAGCAACTCCTAGAGGCTAAGAGTTTTTTTTTTTTTTTTTTGAGATGGAGTCTTGCTCTGTTGCCTAGGCTGGAGTGCAGTGGCATAATCTTGGCTCACGGCAACCTCTGCCTTGCAGGTTCAAGCAATTCTCCTGCCTCAGCCTCCTGAGTAGATGGAATTACAGGCACCCGCCACCATGCCCGGCTAATTTTTGTATTTTTAGTAGAGATGGGGTTTCATCACATTGGCCAGGCTGGTCTCAAACTCCTGACCTCAAGTGATCCACCTGCCCCAGCCTCCCAAAGTGCTGGGATTACAGACGTGAACCACTGCGCGCAGCCTGAAGGCTAAGAGTTCTTTGTCACATTGCTTTCTACACAGGCCCCCTCACAACAAAGCAGTTTACTTCTTCAAAGTCAGCAGGAAAATCTTTTGTACTTCAAATCTCTTCCTTCAGGAAGGGCCTACTCTCCTTTTTTTTTTTTTTTTTTTTGAGACGGAGGCTTGCTCTGTCACCTAGGCTGGAGTGCAGTGGCCTGATCTCGGCTCACTGCAACTTCCACCTCCTGGGTTCATGCCATTCTCCTGCCTCAGCCTCCCAAGTAGCTGGGACTACAGGCGCCCGCCACCAGGCCCGGCTACTTTTTCGTATTTTTAGTGGAGATGGGGTTTCACCATGTTAGCCAGGATGGTCTCGATCGCCTGACCTCGTGATCCGCCCACCTCGGCCTCCCAAAGTGCTGGAATTACAGGCGTAGCCACCGCGCCCGGCCAGGAAGGGCCTACTCTCTTGTAAGGGCTCGTCTAATTTGCTCAGGATAATCTCCTTTTGATTAACCCTATGTCACCTGATTTGGTACATCAATTATATCTGCAAAATCCCTTCACCCCTTTACCTAATTGTGGGAATGAAATCTACCACATTTACAGCCCTGCTCACACTTGAGGGAAGGGAATCATATGGCATGTTCACCAGGGGTGGAGCCTGGAATTCTGTCTACCACGGTTCCCTGGTCTAACTCCTTAAGACGTGCAATGCCAAGCAGGATCCAGGTATCCTTGCACTGCTCTTGCCATCTGCTGGGTGGGATTCTGCAATGGTTAAGACAGTCCTGGACCCTAAAGCTGGCCTAGCTTGCTTGGTTTCGAATGCAGAAAGGTTCTGCCCTGAGTCTACAGCTGAGTGAATGTTCCAGTAAGGAGGTGGGAGAGGTAATGGTCAAAGCTGGGTTAAGACTTTATTACTTTCTCTATGACAGAGAAAGGGAAAAGAGGAGTTAGTGAGGACATGAGATCACAATGTTCTTTGACCTATTTTGGTTAGCAAAAAGTGCCGTGGACTCCCCAGTTTCACAGTGATGTTCAACATGGGCTAATGTGATTTCTAGGCAGAGGAGCTTTTATCAGATCATAAAAAGCCAAGGTTCAGGATTTTGCTTGCTGCCTTGCAGGTTTGCAATCTAAGGTCTCACTGAAGGGATTTCCTCAAGGGTTACCAATAATAGCATTACTTTATTTACTCATCCAAAACATCCTGTGAGATGAGTATATTATTATTATTATTCCCATTTTATAAGTATGGAAACTGAAGCTCAGAGAGGTTAAGTAACCTGCTTAGTCACGCAGCTATTTAGTATAGAAAGATGGGGTTGGTTGCAGTCTGTCTGGCTCCAAAGCCTTTGCTGGTTACCATTTATGAGGCAGTTTCTTAGTTTTTCACATCAGCCCCTTTGCCTGTGCTCTTCCTGCTCTCTGGGACTCTGCCTAATACTTTACAAGAAAGCCCCTTCCAGGTTTCATTGGCCCTGAGTGTAAAACTTCTTTAATTTGGAATCTACCATTATATTGATTTCCTCTCAATTCCGCTCTTTGCAGTACATTGAAAAAGCAACCAACCAACCAATCAATGAAAAGAACCTCCTCCTTTTGCAAGACATTCAAATGTTTAACAGCAGCTCTCATGTTCTCTCTAGGACTAAATCTTGCTAGGTTTTCTCACCATTCCTCACATGACTTGATTTCCTGATCATCTGTAATTCTATTTGCCCTCTGGTTAATCTTTGATTTATCATTTTCTGCTGAAAACAAGATGCCCCAAATTGAAGACTGTTTGTGCTATGTCTAAAACGTAGAACACCGCAAGACCATCACCCACCTGATATGGATACTATGGCTGTGTTAATGTACCCTAAAATCGCATTAGCTTTTTAAACAGCCAAATCACATTGTTGGCCCATATTTAAATTGCACTTGGCTAACACTTTGGGTCTTTCTCCACTAAACTAATGTCAAGCCACAGCCTCTCAATACTGACCTTGTGTTGCTGAACTTTTTTTTAACCTAGTTTTCATTTCCTTTCTGCCCTCTTTTGGAACATGTTCAAATCCTTGTAAGTCTGAATCTCCAATGCAGTGTCTTAGTTCTTCCCCCAGTGCTGAGTCATCTGTACAGTTCATAAGTAAGTTTTTTAGCTCTTCAGCCAGATATCAATCAAGTGTTACAATGGACGAGTTGAAGAGTAGAGTTATTTAAGGTTGTTATGACAAGTTAAATAACTGAACAATTAAAAATTGTTAATCCCTTAATTGAACTAGAATCCACGCTTTGTGAAAATTGAGCTATAATATGTCTGCGACATTCCCTTTATTCATGAACTTAGTGATTTCCTTAAAATGGAGATGAGATTAATGATAAATAATTTTCCCTAGAAAAGCTGTGCTGATTCTTAGTCACTACTACTGATTATAAACTACCTGTTAAAAATCAGAGCCTAATGTTTTATCAGGGATTGATACTATTATAATTTGTTCCTGGAATATGCCTTTTTTCTAAAGATCTTTTTTTTTCTTTTTGAGATAGGGTCTTGCTCTGTTGCCCAGGTTGGAGTGCAGTGGCATGATCATGGCTCACTGCAGCCTCGACCTCCCAGGTTCAAGTGATCCTCCCACCTCAGCCTCCCAAGTAGCTAGAACCACAGGCACATGCCACCACACCCAGCTAATTTTTAAAAATTTTTATACAGATGAGGTCTCACTGTGTTGCCCAGGCTGGTCTCAAACTCCTGGACTCAAATGATCCTCCCACCTCAGCCTCCCAAAGTGCTGGGATTACAGGCATGAGCCACTGCACTCAGCCTCTAAAGATCTTTAGAGTGTTTGAAAACCTTGTTTAAGCATCCTTTCTGAAATCTTATATAGATTATTAATTGGCTTATATGAATATTTTTCCTAATAGATTTTTAAAAAGCATTTAACACTATTCTTTTAATTTGAAATACCGAATCAGCAAGGTCCTAACAATGTCTCTAACTACTATTATTTATTACTCACATCCCTCCAAAATATAGCCAAATACACATAACAAGCTTGTGAAATACATTTATAGAACTTGTAACTGTGAAGAACAAATTTAGGTAAATCATGGCCTTCAGGTCAGCTGTGATGGAATCTAGGCCACTTGTTTTTCTTTGTTCTTATTTTGAGATAATCGTTTCCTCCCTTTTTTTACAGCCCTGTAATTTTGTGTATCTAATTCCTTTTTTATTATAATGAAGGCATCATCATCATATTACCGAGGAGACCAAAGACGTAAATTAATCTGAAGCATCTCTGGTCTCTGGGCTGGTGGATAGCCACCTGGGCTTTGGTCTTGATGAAGTCCAGAATTAATGAAATGTGGATAACAAGAATCAAAGCTTATTTCTGATAATAAATGTGCACAGTTTGTTCAGCTAGTTGGATCTGTCCATAATATCAGAAATATCTGGGGTTTCAGAAATATCTGGGGTTGTGGTAGTTTTTAAAGTATTTTTTAATTTAACATATATTACTTAGACAAGTGCATAAAATTTATATGTACAGTTTAACATATGGTAGTTAAGTGAAGACCCAAGCAATCATCCCCCAGGCCAAGAAACAGAACATTAAGAGCAACACAGAGGTCCTCTCTCTATTCCTTGCTTTAATAACAACCCCCTCTTCCACCCTCCAGAAGTAACCACTTGCCTTTTATAGTAATAATTTCCTCACTTTTCCTTGTAGGTTTATTGCCTGAGGATGCATCCCTAAACTGTGTGTATTTGTTTTACATGGTTCTAGACTATTTAAAAATGGAACTGTATTGTATTATTCTTTGAAACTTAATTTTTTTCCTCAACATTTCATATTCATCACATTGTTGCATTAAAACTGATTTGATTTGCTTATTTTCCTGCTGTAATCTATGGTATGAATATACCATATCATGGGCATTTTGTTTGTTTCTGGTTTTCGGTAATTACAAAAAGACAAATGTTGCTTTAGACATCCTTTTACACTTATCTTAGTGAATGTACGTATGAGTATCTCTAAAAAACATGGAATATTCAACTTCACTATACAACGCGACACTGTTCTCCACAGCAGGTTTACTGATTCACATTCTTATCATCAGGATTATGAGTTTCTAAATCTCCACATCCTAGCCAACACGCAGTATTGTTAGTCTTTTTAATTTTTACCAATCGCAGGTGTGTAGTTGTATTATGTTATAATTTTAATTTGTATTCTCCTGATTAACATTGAGGTTGAGCACTTTTCATATGTTCTTTGGCCATTTTAATATCTCTTCTTGTGAGGTACATGTTCAAGTCTTTGCCTATTTTTTTTCCTATCAGGTTTTCTGCCTTATTTATTTTTAATATTTCTCATATATTCTGTATGCTAGCCCTTTTAACCTATTTCTTGTTTAGAAAAAGAAAAAAAAGTGCAGCCTACTGCCAGTGCTCATTTCTCGGGGCAAATGGGAAATGGGTTAAAAAATTATATATGTTACAAATGTGTCCTCCCACTCTGTGGCTTGTATTTTAACTCTTTTTGTGGCATCTTTTGAAGAATGGAAATTTTAATTTTTACTATAACCAATTTACAACTTTTCCTTTGTGTTTAGTGTTTTTTCTCTCTACATAAGATATCTACTCCAAAATTATTAAGATATTCTCTTATACTACCTTCAAAAGCTTAGTATTTAGCCTTTCACAGTAGATCTTTGTCTTGATCCATTCAGCTACTGCAACAATACATCTTAGACTGGGTAATTTATAAACAACAGAAATTTATTGCTCATGGTTCTGAAGGCTGGGAAGTCCAAGATCAAGTTGCCAACAAGTTTGGTGTATGGTGAGGGCCTGTTCCTCATGGACAGTGCCTTCTATGTATTCACATGGTAGAAGGGGCAAGGGAGCTCAAGCCTCATTTATAAGGGCATTAATACCACTCTTGAGGGTAGAGCCCTCATCAATCACCTCCCAAAGGCCCCATCTTCCAACACCATCAGATTGGGTATCAGGCTCCAACATATGAATTTTGGGGGGACACTAACATTCAGACCAAAGCAGTCTTCAATCCACTTGGAACTGATTTTACATACAGTATGAGGAAGGAATAAAATCTCAATGTTTCCAATATGAACAATTTCCGGTTGTTCCATTATTATTTATTAAAAATGTTATCCTTTACCTATAGCCACTTCTGTCATAGATCAAGCCCATGTATGTGAAATCTAAGTTCTCTATTCTGTTTCATTGCTCAATTTTTATTTTATTGTATTTTTCCCCTCATTTTCTATACTCTAGAGGAACTACTTGCAGCCTGTTTTTAAAATCTTTGCATAAATACCACATCATCTTGATAACTAAAATACTGTAATGTATCTTGATATCTGATAAAACAAATCCTTCTACATTTTTCTTTTTCTTCAAAAAGTAGCTTCTCAAATTCTACAAAATAAAATCAATTGGAATTTTGATTGGGGTTGTGTCAAATCTACAGATCAGTTTCGGAGGAACAAACATTTTAAAAATATTCATTTTTCTATTCCATGAACATGGTATAACTCCTTTATTTGGATATTTTAAAATATCTCTCAGTAAGTTTTAATTTTTCACCTTTAGAGGCCTTCTGCATCTTTTCATAGATCTATTCCTAAGTAATTAATGCTTTTTAAATTATATTACGATTGGTATCTCTTTTTAAATTCTACTTTTAACTGTGTTTTTACTGGAATAGAGAAATACAATGTTTTTTGTATACTGGTATTTTTGTTATCAGTAATAGTTTAGCTGTAGTTTTTTGGATTTGTTAATGTATATATAATAGCATCTAAGAAAAATGATAGTTTTTTCCTTACAACTCTTGTGCCTTATATTTATGTGTCTTCCTTATTTCACTGGATAGGCCCTCCAGTACAACATTGACTAGAAGTACAGACTTGCTCCTAATCTCAAATTGAAATATTTTTTTTAAAAATAATTATTTATATGTTTTAAATGGCAAATAAAAAACTGTATATATTTATGATCTAAAATATGTTGTTTTGAAATATGTAAAGCTGGGCATGTTGGTGCATGCCTGTAGTCCAAACTACTCAGGAGGCTGAGGTGAGAGGATTGCTTGAGCCTGGGATGTTGAAGTTGCAGTGAGCCGTGATTGCACCACTGCACTCCAGCCTGGATGACAGAGCGAGACCCTGTCTCAAAAACAAACAAAAATGTATATATACATTGTGGAATGGCTAACTCAAGCTAATTAACATATGCACCAAAGGAAAATCTTTTAACGTTCTATCACGTACTATAAGATTTGCTGATAATTTTATGTTGATGTTTTATCAAATTAAAGGAGTTTCTTTCTATTTCTAGCTACAAAGGAGATATATAATGAATGTCACCTAATGCTTTTTCTGCATCAACCAAGATGATCATTTAATTTCTTCTTTAGCAGGTAAATGTAGCAAATCACATTAATTTATTTTCAATAAATGTATTTTTATTTAACACTTGCTAAATACATTTTTTTTTCAGGTTCCAGACTTAAACAATTAACTGCAGCAGGAAAGAGCAGAACATGGGTGGATGGGACCTGAAATATACCTACTCAAAATGACAAGCAGGGTTTTGAAACTTCTCTCCCACTCTAAGTGCTGAAAGGAGGCTGTAGTTGAGTTGGGATTCAAGTGGTCTGAAAACAGGTTGCCATCCTGGAAGCACTTTTCACTGGGGTCAGGGGGCTCCAAGACCAAGTGCTGGGGAATCCTAATGGACAGATAACATCAAGGACGAAGGTCCTCAGCAGGTTCAGAACCCTTAAAAGTGCTGGATCAGGACACCAGTCGGGATACGTGGGTTGGGGCAGGAGGAAGAGAATTGACAGGAACAAGGCAGAGACCCAGTCCAAAACTGGGACAGCAGCATGAACTTGTGACCAACACTGGAACCACAGTAAAATGTGAGCTATTAGAAGAGAACACTACATCAGAATCTGAAAAATAGTAAAAGTGACCCAGAGAGATGTAATTGGAACTACTTAAATCTTTTATCTCACATGAGGATTGATTTTAGGAGCTGGAAGTAGGGCTGTACCTGCAAAGACAGATCAAGTAGCACCAGGTGGGGGAATGTGAAGGCAGTTGGGGATTGAGATAGACTGGGCTGCCTGAAAAACTTAAAATCCCTAGAAAAGGAGGCCTGGACATGGTTTGAAGCTCAGACCTGGAAAATATAAGAGAGAGAGAAGTAGCATGAGTTTGGTCACATTAGCCTAACCCAACTCTTTCCAGAGGAAGCTGATTCATTCAAAGCCCAGTGCTACAGAAGACCATTTCCCTCGATACACTATGAAATGAGAACATGTCCCTTGCACACCAGGGAATCCACCTGGCTCATGGTAGACTTAGTACATGTTTGTTGAATTCTTGAACTAGCTGGAGTGCCCTGGACACATTTCTTTTTTTCTCTTCACTCCTCAATTTCTTCCTCTACCAAATGAGGGGGTTAGGCTAGATCAACTCTAAGATCTCCGTTAACTTTGTCCTCCTTCATTCCTAGTGCTTTGCATTCTTTCAGGCCTTCATCACTGCTCACCTTTGCAGATCTCCTAGCTGGGACCCCTGCTTTCTGCCTTGCCCACCCCACACTGCTGTCTGAGCTCTCTCTAACATCTTAATCTATGTTACTCCTTTCCTAAAACCATTCAAACACCAGCCTCTGTGGCCAAAAGTCAAACTTCTGAACCTGCCACAAAAGGCCCTACATGTGCCAGCCTCTGCAGTCCTCTCTTCTGTCCAGTGACTTACCTCACATGGCACCCCCGCCCTTGAGCCATCTTGAACAACTTAGAGTTCTTCAGATGTCTCTATTGACTGTTATTGTTCTATAAAATGGGGATATTTACAAGGCTGTCATGAAAAGCAAATAAGAAATGTGGAAACAAATTCTAAATGATCTATTTAGATAACTAATTACCTAATAACATCTCAAATGTTAAGACTGATGGATCCTGAGTGTGTTAAGTCAGCTTGGGCTGCTAAAACAAAATCCCACAGACTGGGTGGCCTGAACAAAAGACATTTATTTCCCACAGTTCTGGATGCTGGAAAGTCCAAGATCAAGGTACTGGCAGGTTTGATGTCTGGTGAGAACTCACTTCCAAGCTTGTGCACAGCCATCTTTATGCAGCACGCTCACATAGCAGAGAGGGAGGGCATGCATGTGAGCCAGCATGCATGTCTTCCGGTGTTTCTTCTTATAATCCGATTATAAGGGCCCCGCCCTCAGGACTTCATCTAAGCCCAAGTACCTCCACAAGGCCCCATCTCCAAATACCATCACACAGGAGGTTAGGGCTTTAACAGATGAATTTGGGGGTGGGGGAAGATATAATTCAGCCCATAACACTGAGCAAAGGGATTATGGTTGATAGTGACTTTTGGTATCCAGTGTCCTGCTCCAGTAGAGCACCTATGGTATCAGGAAGTTCATGTTCAAAACAAGGTATTCTCTGTGTAAAAAACTACCTATTTTTTCAGGAGGCTGAGGTGGGAGGATCGCCTGAGTCCAGATGTTCGAGGTTACAATGAGGTGTGATCGCACCACTGCACTCCAACCTGGGCTACAGAGTGAGTCCCTGTCTCTAAAAAAAACAACACAAAACCAACGAACCAACCAACAACAACAACAACAAACCTATCTATTTTGGGGGGGCAGAGGGAGGGTGGTAGGAATAGAAGAGAAAGTTGAGGATTGTTGGGAAATTAGGAGGGAGAGACAGGCAAAAGCCAATTCATGGAGGGGTCCTGTATTTACCAAAAAAAGGTGAATTATAACTTATGAATGACTAGGATCATGAGGAAACAGGTTCACTGACACACTCGCACATGACTGGCTGTTAGCTTTAAGAGGTATTTAAATTCTCCCCCTAATGATCTTACTTTTGGGAATTTATCCTAAGAAAATAATCCAAAAGATCAGGAGAGGTATGTGTCCAAAGATATTTATTACATTATTTATGATGATAAAAACTGGAAGTAACTCATAGTGGAATAGTTAAGTAGTTATTAGCTAAAGAGTTTCTGAATGAACCAATAAATGCTTGTTGAGTATAAAGTAAAAATGAGAACAGTGAAGTCCAGGTTCACAGAATGGAAAAATCTATGAAGTAAAATAAACAAAATATTAAATTATAGCTATATAACACTGCAACTATATAAATACAGTGAAAAAACAGACAACACTAGAAGTAAATATAGATTAAAATGACAACAGACTATTTGTTACGGTGGCGTAATTATGTGCCACTAAGATATTATGCTTAAAAAGACACTGCCTTTTTGAAAATGAAAAAACAACCAGTCCCGCACAAGGTAATCTGGCTGGCCTGTCTGCAGCACAGCCTCACAAAGTAGCCTTTGTTTGTCCCAGCCTGAATCAACACTTGGCTTTCAGTAACACAAGTGAATTGATGAAATATTTGGGGTCAATATAGTGGAAAGAAGTATTTGTTTTATAATGAAGCCCAGAACAATGGTGACTGGGGAAGCAGGGTGAAAAAGGAAGAGGATTTAAACTGCTAAATGAACTACACGCTCCAGGCCAAAGCATCCATTATCGCCTACAGGCAGGATGAGAAACAGAGTCCTTGTGAATAAATAAACCAAAGGGAACCTAAACCATCAGATGATGCCCGAGCAGAACTATGTTTACCCTCACTTAGAACAAATACTGAGGAGAAAGAGAAGCAGATATTTGGCAACAGTTATGACATTACTGGATTTATAGCTCATCTAGTAATAAGTTTCCTCAAAGGAGAGTTGTCAAATTTCAGAGCTGGATAAGGGGACCAAGGTCAAAAGGGGTAGGTGATTAGGCCAAGGTCGTCCAGTCAGTATACAGCATGGGAATATAAACATGGGCTGCCGGTCACACAGACTGCATGTCCAACTCCAGGACTGCCCCTTCCCAGCTATGTCTTAATCAAGCATTCCCTCAAACAGATATTAAGACAACGTGTGTCTCAAACAAGTCACTCAGTCTTGCCTGCCGTCAATTTTCTCACCTGTAAAATAGTAGGAGGCCTCTGCTGTGGTCCTCTGTGGCTGTCCACCCACCTCACCCTTCTTCAAAACACCCAGAAGAGCCACCTGTCACCAACCCTTAGCCCATGGGCTCTGAATAGGCCCTGAGCCCAAGAGCACATCATATTCTCAGGGACTTGGGTGCTGGGTCAGGAAGGATGTGGGACCCAATGAGAGGTGCTGAGGGGTGAGATCTCGGCAATGACAAAGGATGCAGCAAGTCCTCTTCGCCAATGGCTTCAGCTGCCATGACCTCCATCTTGGCCAACACACGCAGTCAAAGAACAGAGCCAAGAGATGGGAGATGGAGAAAGCGGGTCTCGGAGATAGGGCAAAAATCGCAGAACCAAGTTATTCCTGAAGCCAGCCTTACCTTTTTGGTTGTTGAGCCAATATATTCCTTTTTTTCTGTTGGTGTTTGTTTTACCTAAGCAAGTGTGAGGGATTTTTGCTTTCATTTTTTATTTCAATAGCTTTTGGGGGCTGGGCGTGGTGGCTCACGCCTGTAATCCTAACACTTTGGGAGGCCGAGGCAGGCGGATTGCCTGAGCTCAGGAGTTCAAGACCAGCCTGGGCAACATGGTGAAACCCCGTCTCTACTAAAATACAAAAAAAAAAAAAAAAATGCCGGGCGTGGCGGCATGTGCCTATAGTCCCAGCTACTTGGGAGGCTGAGGCAGGAGAAATGCTTGAACCTGGGAGGTGGAGGTTGCAGTGAGCCAAGATCGTGTCTCTGCACTCCAGCCTGGCGACAGTGAGACTCTGTCTCAAAAAAAAAAAAAAAAAAGCTTTTAGGGTGTAAGTGGTTTTTGGTTACATGGATGAATTACATAGTGGTGAATTCTGGGATTTTACTGAGTTCTTTTTGGCTTAAGATAGTTGGATTTCCTGCCTGGTGCGGTGGCTCATGCCTGTAATCCCCGCACTGTGGGAGGCTGAGGCAAGCAGATCACCTGAGGTCAGGAGTTCAAGACCAGCCTGTCCAACATGGTGAAACCATGTCTCTACAAAAAATACAAAAATTGTCTGGGTGTGGTGGCACATGCCTGTAATCCTAGCTACTTGGGAGGCTGAGGCAGGAGAATCACTTGAACCCGGGAGGCAGAGGTTGCAGTTAGCCGAGATCACGCCACTGCACTCCAGCCTGGGCGACAGAGCAAAAGCAAGACTCCATCTCAAAAAAAAAAAAAAAAAAAGAAAAAGAAAAAAAAAAGATAAAAGATAGTTGGATTTCCTTTCACTTGCAACCGAAAGTTTCTGAGAATCACCTCCCTTATGCAGAGAGAATGCAGGTACAAGTGCCAAGCCTAGCACCTGGCACATGGTAATTGTTCAACAAATGTTGACTTCACTTTCTTCTCTGTCTTCCTTACTGGGATTCCATCTCTTTTTTCTTCACTTCTTCTTTCATCACCAAGTTTCCTCCTTCCTGTAGGGCTCTTTCCCTACCAGTCCTCTTTTCCTGGAAGCACAGAGATAAGCAGCTTTCTCTGCCTCCTTGTAAAACTCTGCCAGCTAAGACTCTGGCATAAGCCTCAGTGAGCTCTGCTCTAGACCTCAACATCCCCCCTGCACATTTCTTTGAAATCAGACCCCATTAATCAGAACTCCTCACACTTATACAATATTTTACCATGGGCCCTCACCTCCAGATTCTCATTTGGTTTGACTTTAGCCACGTGCAGAGGCAGGGCAAGGTGTTCTTGTGATCGTGACCATGACTGAGATGAGGAATGAAACGTTCAGGAACGGGACATTACTTGAACACAGTCACGGAGTGAGTAAGTCTGGGAACTGGGACACAAACACAGGTCCCAGGGCCAAACTCACTGCCCTCCCCGTTCTCCAGCACGGTGCTGTTTCCTTCATTTAGAGTGAAACGCTCATGTGCAGTGGATGCTGTGGTGCTCCACCTCCAATCCCTCTTCAGGTCCGGTGCCCTGTCCTCCAGATGCTGGGCACACTGCCTGCCGATTTTCACAGCTGCACCCCTCTCTGGGAACTGTGGTCAGTGGCAGGGGCTGCCCCACCTACAGTTCTGCTTCCTCCTAAGGGGCAGCTCACGGCCAGTGACTGACCTTCTTGCTTCAATTTAGGACAAGTGAAGGGCCAACCCTGCTCCAGAGCTCCCTGCAGGATCCGGAAAGCTGCCAGGTTTGGGACGCCTGGAGTGAGAGGCAGCTCCACAAGCGCAGTTGCTGTGCAAGCTGCTCTTCCACTGTGGCCACAGAATCCAGCAGATGTGAAGGTATGTAAAGCCTCTATGGCAGATAGGAATGCTGTGAGTGGAGGCTTTGGGTTGAGTACGGCCTCAATTACAACCAAATCACAAGTCAGCTTCTCCCTCTGCCCATTCCCACCTTCTTTCCTTTTTTTTTTTTTTTTTTTTTTTTGAGACAAAGTCTCACTCCTGTCGCCCAGGCTGGAGTGCAGTGGCACAATCTGGGCTCACTGCAACCTCTGCCTCCCGGGTTCAAGCACTTCTCCTGCCTCAGCCTCCCAAGTAGCTGGGACTACAGGCACCTGCCACCACACCTGGCTAATTTTTGTATTTTTAGTAGAGGTGGGTTTTCACCATGTTGGCCAGGCTGGTCTCAAACTCCTGACCTCAGGAGATCCACCCACCTCAGCCTCTCAGAGTGCTGGGATTACAGCCGTGAGCCACCGCACCCAGCCCTTCCTTCCTTCTTTAGAGGCATATTTCCTGAAGCACTTAAGTAAACCTTCTGCATTCCACTCTCCAGCTAAGAGTCTGTTTGCAGGGATTCCTGTCTAAGGCAGTTGGTAAGAGAAGTGATCCTAGGAAGCACACTCTAAAATGGGATTTTAGGGATGAACTACTTGCTGGCCAGCTGGCATGGAAGATTCCACCACTTGTGGTGGGTGGGGTATTGGCAATGTCCCGCTGTCACTGGCAGTGAATTGGGATGGGACACTGGTGACAGGGGACATGCTCCTGTCTCCTGGTATACTTCCGGCACTAGAGAAGAATGGTACCTAAAAAGACAATGGAATTGAGGGCTTTTGCAGGGTACCAATGATTTGATGGAAAGAGATAAAAACAGACTCAGGATAAGTGGCAGACATCCCATCCTGTTTTGCTGGGGTGAATTGTAGCAGATATGTCCTGGGGCTGGAGCTGCCAGTGGCAGTGGCTGCCTCCTGGTGATGCTGGTTTCTCTCCCTAGTACAGTCATGGTCCCGAGGGGACCAGAGAGGGGAACAGCTCTCTTGGCAATTCAGATCGGCATTGTGGCTTTGGTTATTGTGCCTGCAAGCTCAACAGAGATCGATTTCTTCAACCCTTTCAATGATTCTGCAACTGACTGCTGATCAATCTGAAGTCAAATCTTCTGATTTCAAAACCTATATTCTGTCCTCAACACCATGTGATGACTAGCAGACTTGAGATTCCACGAACTCAAATGAACTAAATCAAGAGAAGGAAAAAGTATTGAAGTTGCAAGGATAAATGAGTTCAGTTTTAGACATAGGAGCTTGATGTACTAGTAAGACAGCCTGAGACCATCCAGCAGAAATGTGAGGGGGATTGGCTCTTATTAGCCTGGGGCTAGGAATGTAGATTTGGAGTTCTTTGCTAGAAAGCATGATCCTGGGTATGATCACCCAGGGTGAGTGCAGGAAGAGACCAGGACTACAGGTAAGAAAAAAGATACAGTGGAAAAAAACAAAACAAAACAAAACAGTCATTTGGGAATAAAACACTTGGGTTCAACTCTCCACTTTACCTCCTACTAGCTGTGTGATGTTGGGCAAATTACTTAACCTCTCTGTGCTTAGTTTAAGAGTCAGCACTAAGCATCTTGCTTTACTGGCTCCAATCTTTGGTTCTGTTTTGGGGAAGGTAGAGGAGGCTTATTGCCTAAGCTTGTTGTCCCTAGGCTTGTTGCCTCATGTTTGCAAAATGGCTTTTCATGGCCCTGGCCATTGTGTCTACATATAACCATGTTCAAGACAGAAAGAAAAGAAAGACATGGAATGGAAAAGCTGGTTTTCCTCCTACTAGGAGACAACTTGTCTCTGGCAACTTATCAGCGAATGTGTTCTTATATCTCATTGGCCAGGGTTGGGTTACAAGACCACCCTTTGTTGCATGGGAGTGCTGGGAGAGCAAATGTTCCATCAAGGATTCCTTTGACTGATACTGATCATGATCCATCCTGATCCGTGGCACATCACTGCCCCAAATAAAAGCATGATGTGGTGGTCCACCTCAAGGTGGGTGCTCCACCTCAGGGAACCAGTGATGTGGTGCTCCACCTTTGGGGCAATGATGTGCCATGAATCATGATGGATCCAGGATCCATGATCCACAGCCCATCACTGCCCCAAATAAAAGCAGTCATGTTAGCAAGGGAGAAGGGACTGACTATTGGAGTGACAAACAGCATTGTCTATCAAAACTCATGAAAGTCTTTCTTTAGGGAAAGGTATAAATTTTGAATGCTAGAATTCAGACACGAGGCAGGACTCATCAATAGAGGAGATGGCTTTACCAATGCTATATATTTGTATAGCACTATAAAGTTTATGAAAACTTACACAGGTTCTTATTTGACCCTCACAACGGACCTGGGAGGTAAGTCGAATTTTCATTTTGCAGATCCAGCAAGAGGGACTCAGAAATCATTAAGTGAGAGAAGGGTCAGGCCTCATTCTGGGCCAACATTCTTCCTACTGAGCCAGGTAGATTTGGGACCCCCATGAATAGGCAGCTACCTTGATGTAAATCCCAGGTTACCTCTTCTTCCACCACTGAAAGGCCTGGAACCCCAAGATTCCTATTATCTGGGACATCAAAATTCTGAACAGTAGTAAATTGCCAATTCAATATTGATAGTTTATAGCAAATCAAACCTTTGGTGGAGGGAGGATGGTGGTATTGAAAGAGAGTTGTGGTTTAGTATATGACCATAGGCAAAGAACATAATTATTCATTTAGGAAAAAAAAAATCAAGAAACAAACTGAAGAGTTTCAGGAAACTCTACAACTGAATTCATACTTAGAATTGAATTTTTAAAATAACTTCCCAGCTGGGCGCGATGGCTTATGCCTATAATCCCTGAAATTTGGGCGGCTGAGGCAAGTAGATCACCTGAGGTCAGGGGTTTGAGACTAGCCTGGCCAACATGGTGAAACTTCTACTAAAAATACAAAAATTAGCTGGATGTGATGGCAGGCACCTGTAATTCCAGCTACTCGGGAGACTGAGGTAGGAGAATTGCTTGAACCTGGGAGATGGAGGTTGCAGTGAGCCAAGATCATGCCACTGCACTCCAGACTGGGCAACAGAGCAGGACTCCGTCTCAAAAAAAAAAAAAAAAAAAACAAACAGAGGCCGGGTGCGGTGGCTCATGCCTGTAATCCCAGCACTTTGGGAGGCCAAGGCGGGCGGATCACAAGGTCAGGAGATTGAGACCACGGTGAAACCCCGTCTCTACTAAAAATACAAAAAATTAGCTGGGCGCAGTGACGGGCACCTGCAGTCCCAGCTACCCGGGAGGCTGAGGCAGAAGAATGGCATGAACCCAGGAGGCGGAGCTTGCAGTGAACCGAGATCATGCCACTGCACTCCAGCCTGGGCAACAGAGGGAGACTCCGTCTCAAAAAGAAAAAAAAAAAAAAACAAACAAAAAACAAACAAACAAACATCTTCCCATGGATTATAAGCAATGCAAAATGCTAAAGAACATCCATAGGGAAGAAAGTCAGAACCAGACCATTGATTTGGTAAACACAACAATTCTATTGGCAGGCCCAGATTACAAGGGATTAGAATGAGAGAGGACCACACTTACCTCATTTCTATCTGTTCTCTGTTGGAGAATCACTCAGGAATCACCCAGAAGACTAGATAAAATTGTCAGTCCTCTCCCATATATTGGAGAAGTTGCAGGAGTGGCGGGTGAGTGGGGGTGTGAGTGTGCAGATTTCTCAAGTACCCACAATGTGCAAAGCAGTACTAAATGCTGGGAGGAATAAAGGTGTGAATGAAAGTATCCATTCATTGATTTATTCAGTAACTATTCATTAACAAACATTTATTGAGATGTTTTATGTGTGCAGCATTGGGCTAGGTTCCAGGGATACTTTTCAAAAAGCAGTCTAATTGGTGAAGGAAGGAGGGGGATGGGATTACAATGAGAACATACGAGAATTTTAAATAAACATCTGCTCAAAGTTACAAGACAGGTGCTAACTGCTGTAAATACTAAGGGGAAAAATTCCAGCTGGATCTGGGATCCAGGAGAGGCTTCTTTCCTAAGTAAGCTGGGAATTGAGCTTGGTCTTAAAGGATGGTTAGGATTTTGATAGTATGGATGAGCAGACACCGGAAGGGATCACATGTTATAGTCTTTCCTGGTCTTTTATCTTAGAGGAGACAAACTGCCTATAGCAGATGTCAACAATGCACACAACTCTCCATAGTGAGACAAAGAGCCTGGTATGTACAGAAAGCCCTGCTGATTGGTGTTTCTCAAGCTCAAATCATTGTACTTTATCCTTTCCACTCCACAAATATCTATTGAGCCCCTACTGTGGGCTGAGCACTGCATGAGGCACTGAGGATACAACTATGAATGATACAGGCACAACCAAGACCTTCAAAGGACTGAGGGTATGATGGGAGGGAAGACAGAGCAAGCATTTGTGATACATGCATCTAGAGTTATGACAGTGGAAGAATGAGGGCTATGGAAACACATAGTAGGGGAGCTTAGCCCAATCTGGATTTTCTGTGCAATAAATCACAACAGGCCAGGCATGGTGGCTCACACCTGTAATTCCAGCACTTTGGGATGCTGAAGCCGGCAAATCACGAGATCAAGAGATCGAGATCATCCTGGCCAACATGGTGAAACCCCGTCTCTACTAAAAATACAAAAATTAACTAGGCATGGTGGCAAATGCCTGTAGTCCCAGCTACTTGGGAGGCTGAGGCAGGAGAATCGCTTGAACCTGGGAGGTGTAGGTTGCAGTGAGCCGAGATCGTGCCACTGCACTCCAGCCTGGCGACAAAGCGAGACTCCGTTTCAAAAAAAAAAAGTAAAATAAAATAAATTAATTAATCACAACAATAAGCACTTATTTTTCAACAATAAGTCACAACAATAACCACTTATTTTTCAACAATAAGTCACAACAATATGCACTTATTTTTCTCATTTATCAGCCCATGATCTTTTGGGGAGCTCCACTTCAGGTCGCAGGTTGGCTAAACTTGATTCAAGGTTCATATTAGGGCCAGATCCCCTCCTCATGTCTTCACATTTTTTCTGGACCAGCAGCTATTCAGTTCTCTCTCTCTTTCTCTCTGTATGTGTGTGTGTGTGTGTGTGTGTGTGTGTGCAAATGTGTGCTTTCCACAGGACCACAAGAGGCCAAGCCAAACTTCTCAAATACGTTTAAGGCCTTTGTTTGTGGCCCATCTTACAACACTCCATTGGCCAAAGTAAGTCATGAGCTAAGTCCAACATCAAGTAGGTTGAGACATATGCTCCACCCTCTCTCATGTACAGCAAGGACCCAAATCAGAGGGGCAGTAAATAACTAGGAACAATATCCAATCTACCACATCATTCCTGGTCTCTACAAACCCCTCTTAATTGTCACTCATTTCTTTGCACCTCTTTAAAACAAAATCTCTGTGACAGAATTGTTTGTATCCACAGTGTCATTCATTCAGCACACTCTAAGCCATCTTTCTTTCCCAACCTCCAGCTGAAACTACTCTTGTCAAGGTTGCCAATGGTCAAATCTCACCTTAGCCTACCTTTCAGGAGAATTTGACACTGTTGATCTCTTCATCCTTTTTGGTAGCCTTTCCTTGTTTGGCTTTCAGACACCATCATCTCCTGATTTTCCTGATTTCATTGGCCTCTTCTCAGTATTGTTTGCTAGTTTCTCTTTCTTTTTCTGACTTCTAAATGTTGAAGTGCTTTGGGATTTGGTCTTTGTGTGTCTTGCCATCTGTATCTTCACTTACAACCTGTAAACATGGATTATGTTCAAATTTATATCTTCAGATTCATCCTTTTCCATGCAACTTAGAAATATATCCAATTGCTTACCTGGCATCTTTATTCTTGGATGTCTAATAACCTTTTTGAACCTAACATGTCTAAAACAGAATACTTGCTCCCCTACCCATACCTCTCTACCCTTGAAAAACCTGCTTTTTCCCAGTCCTCCTCTGGTAAATGGCAGCATCATTTAGCCAAGTGGATAAATAGATAATGAATTACCCATTGCTCAGGTCAACATAGATCCTGAATGCAACTGCTGCTCAGCACTTCCTCCCCTGTCTAAGCCACCCCATCTCTTTATATGGACTACCACAACAGTCTCTTAACCAGTCTCCCTATTAGCACCTTTGGTCCCTACAATCTCATCAGAGTAATCTTTAAAAAATGTAAATCAGACTGAAAAGTCTTCTGCATTAGAAAGAAGAAATGTGAAGGGGCTTGTGATAGAAATAAAAATAATATCATCATAAAGTAAACAAATAAAAAATGTATATCAGATATAACGATGTCAATTCTCTTTCAAAATTCCTAATGGTTTTCTATTTACCATCAACTATAAGGCCTTAACATAATCTGCTTATCTCACTGAATTCACCTCCTGTTACACTTAATCCCTTTCACTCGGTTCCCCTACAATGTTCTTCTTGGAACAAGACAAGTTTATTACTACCTTCGAGCTTTTTTCTTGTTTCCTCTCATAATCTTTCTTCCTCCAGACTTTAGAATGGTTGCTCCCTCATTTCTTTTAGGTCTCAGCTCAAATCTTACCTTCTTAAAGACATACACTTGACCTCCCTAACTAAAAATTCAGCCTTCTTCATCTCTACTTCCTTACCGTGCCTTATTTTTTATAGCACTCATTCATTGATTGATTTACACATTTATTTATTCAGCCATTTGAATATAAGTTTGCTAGAATGTAGGCTCCTCAAGTACAGGAATTTTTATATACTCATTATTATATCCTCGTGCCTAGAACAGTGCCTGGCCCATAGAAGTTGCCTCCCTAAAGATTTGTTCAATAAATGCATAAATACACGAATGAATGGTCTTTGCCGCAACTATCCGAGTCAGGTATTATTCCTATTGGGTGACAGAAAACAGTGGCTTGGGAATGTCCAGCAGCTTGTCTAAGCTCTATAGTTAGATGATGGTCCTGTCTTTCCAGAATCTAAAAAGTCTGTCTGATTCTATTAAACCACACTTGGCCCAAGAGTTAGAAAATCAGGTTTCCTTTCCTGGATATTTAGAAAATTTTCCGTGTAACCTTGGACAAATTAGAAAACCTGCATTTTCTAAGCCTTGTTATACTGATCATGTATGTAACAGCAAGGGGTTTTCTAAAATCCCCAAGGCCCTTGCCAGCTCCATTATTTAAATAAATATAAAATAATTCACACTTACAAGATAATCATTGTTATAATATTTGTTGTCTGCCTTGGGGCAAAGAATGGCTGAGAAAATAATGAAGATGAAGACCCCACTGGTCTCACATTTACCCAGCAAAGTCCAGGTCAATCTTTCTTTTTCTTGCCAGGTAATTTCTGTATTTGCTAAGTAGCTGCTGCCCTTGTCCTTGCTAGTTCTCTCATCCTGGGTAAAACATGTAGCTCCTCTAGGCTTCAAATCTTTGTTTTGAAGGTTAAGTGGGATAATATACATAAGACAGAAGTTAAATTGCTTGTAGTTCTGCAAGTGTTATAATAAATCCTACCAATAAACAGATAAATTGGCTTGAATGGTTTTAAGTTTAATGATTGCTGTATGTAGCTCCTATACTGGAAATATTGCTTAACTATGCAAATACAGTAAATATAGGTTCCATGTGGTTTTCCTGGAAAATAAATTAGATAAACGTGTAAACTTTCACAGATTTATTAGAGACAATAGGAATACAAGCTTGAATGTGGCTCACTGATATAATAAATCACTTCCCTCCATGAGCCACCATTCAAATCCATCTGATGTGCATCTTTTAATTTGAATATTCTTGAATAAGTCTATTGTTTTGTATGCATTTAAATGTACAGTATTGTACTATACATCTAATTCTGCTTTTACTTTTTATCACCAGGCACTATGCTTATCAGTGGACTTTCCAAGTTGGAGGCCTCACTGTTGCTTCAAGTGTGGTATGGCAGCACCCATCTGCTGTGTCCATCTACACTTTATTATATATCTATGCACCTCATCAGGGAAGCACGGGAACCCGCAGGCACTGCTAGTAGGAAGGCAAGCTGGCCTGGCCATTCTGGAGAAGAACATGGCAGTATACTCAGTCACATTCCAGTCGCACAGCCTGTGATTTGGGTATGCATCATGGATAAATGTTCATTGTAGTGTTATTTAGGAAATCCAGGAGCTGGAGATGGAAAGCAATGTGCTTGAACTAGGTAGGATGTATACAGCTCAAATGGGCCAACTGTTAAATTTTCAGGAATTTGGTGAGCTAGTTTTTATACCCCGTTATTATTTAAAATCAAATTATATAAACTTACCACTAAATAACATATATTTTTAAAAGTAATAAATACTTAAAACACACTGCTTCCTAGTGCTTTCACTAGACTGAACCATCATCTTGGCTTCTGGGGTCACTGAGGCCTACTGTATCTCCCTGGTGGACATCCCACCTCATGGTGTGCTGCTGCTGCCATTCTCTGCTGGTTCTGTGTTCAGGGATGTCCTGTTGGTAGCTTGAAAGAGGCCATGGTGGGAATAATTACACTATGGAAATTAGCAAACCCTATTTTGGCTAACCCTGACAGCTAATTGTTAAACATTTACCAGTTCACTGGAGACTAGTATTACTCCCCTTTACAAATGAGAAAAATGTGGCTCAGACAGCGTATGAAACTTGCCAAGAACCACACAACTTGTGACTGGTGCAAATTGGATTCAGACCCAAGCCTGTCTCAGACCTTGTACTTTACTTTGATGAAAATTGGAAGTGAGTTATAACGTTTAGACTATAAAATTCCCAATACTTTACCACCAACATTGCACTTATGTTTTTGTTTAAAAAAAAAAAAGTCTATGGCTGCCTGCACCTGAGTACAGTGTGAAATCAAGAAACGGCACAGTTTTTAGAAACATCTGCTTACTGATTGAGCTTCATTAACTCCTCATGTGAGATCCCAGTCCTGAACCACAGGTGCTGTTGCTTACAGTGCGTAAGAAAAATAAATGAGTTCAGCTTCCAGGTTAGTGCTGTGAGGTTACATAAACTAATCATTAAACATGACAGCTAAGATATTTTAGCTACTGTTTAACTTTAAAAGATTTGTTAATAAATAATGCTATTGCACACTGGAGGCCTTGACCCTGTCTCTACCTGAGTCACAAACCTTTGTGTTTGTATAGAAGTTACACTATTTCCTACATTTGACTTGAAATTTAGTCACATTTTCTTCTCATTGTCAATTATCTACTTTCTCTCTCATTCATTCAGTCATCAATAAACATTGAAAATGATGAATGCAACTTGAGACCAAAAGAGTTGGGAAAAATCCTTTCTAACATGACTGAATGAAAATATTTCATGAATCAAATGCTCTCTAAAATGTGAATATGAGGCAAACAACCTCCTGGACGACTAAATGGTCAGATGCAAAGGTGAACTGACATGAGCTCCTAATTGGATTTTGTAGGCCAACATTTTTTTAAAAAGTATTTTTAATAAGGAAAATTTCAAGTGTTTACAAAAGTAGAGAAAACAGTACAACAAATCTCCCTGTACCTATTGTCGAGGTTCAACCATCATTAACTCATGGTCAATCATCTGTCATGCCCATCTTGTTTGATGCGTGTCTGCTTCCAAACCTGTCTGCCTTTCCAATCCCAGCAATGCCAGGGCATTTCACTTTTCAATTTATTATTTACATATATATCCTAAGTGGATACATTCATCTACTGTACTCTACACACTGGGTTCCACAAAAGCAAGCAGACATGTGTGGTGCTGTACAACTACTTTTATAGAACTTGCCACCATACATTTATAAATTATAACCATATAATGTACCAACAATGCTTTGAGGTAGAATACTACCACTTTACAGATGAAGGAACTGAAACACAGAGGTTAGGCAACTTGCCCACCATCACACAGTGAGTTAAGCAGCAGAACTGAGATTTGAACCCAAACAGTCTGGTTCCAGAGGCTATGCCTTTAGCCATGACACCACAGCCTTCACACAGGAATTTACATGCACTACTGAACGCTCAACTGCTTAGCCAAAGCTTCTGCATTGGAATGGTTCCTGCCTTGTTACCCCAGATCAATGAATAGAGACTTTCCTTAAAACACTATTCGGATGGCTCTCCTCATCCCCAAACAATACCACAAGTTACTCCAGGGCATATTCTGTTTATAATTTTGAAATGTCAGGTTTCATTTCATTCATGGCATCAAAACTTTGAAATTTGCTGAGATGAAACTTACGGCACAGTATATGATCAGTTTTTATAAATATTCAATGTGTGCTTGAAAAGAATATATATTCTGCAATTGTTGGGTTCTATACACATCCACTAGATTGTTAGTCATGTGTTCAGCTTTATATGCATATAAAATGTTAAAATTTCTCATCATGACTGTGGATTTACATATTTCGCCTTGTAGATGTGTCAATTTTTGCTTCATGGGTTTTGGAGTCTTTTTTTGCAGATGCAAATCTAGAATCAGTATACTTTGCTGGTGATCTGGACTTTTTAATCATTACAAAGTGAGCTTCTTTATTCTTAGTAATGCCATTTGCCTTAAACTATTTTACATGATAATACCATGGTATAACTTAATTCCATCATTTTACTTTCAACCTAGTACACAGGCTTTAGGTGTACCTATTAAGTAGCACATAACTGGCCAGGCTCAGTGGCTCACACCTGTAATATCAACACTTTGGGAGGCTGAGGTGGGAGGACTGCTTGAGCCCAAGAATTTGAAACCAACCTGGGCAACATAATGAGATGCTGTCTCTACAAAAATTATGTTTTGGCTTCGATTTTACTGTTAAGAAGTGTATTTCTCACTTTTTTTTAAAGGTAAGCACTCTCTATTTTGTGCCTTTAAAATGTTCTCATTGTCTTTAGTTATCTACAATTTTTACTATGTTGTAAATTTCCGTTTATCTTGCTTGACATTTCTATGGTCTTTGAATCTGTGGAGTAATGCCTTTCATCTGTTCTGGAAAACTCTTAGGCATCATCTTCTACAAAATTGACCCCATCTTATTCTTCTCTCCTTCCTCTGGGACTCCAGTTAAACATATAACAGATCTTCTCCACTGTATTATTTAAGATCTTACTCTCTCTTCTGTTTATTCTCTATCCCACATCTTTTTGTCTTTTCATTCTTCATTCTGTATATAGGCATACCTTGTTCAACTGCACTTTGGAGATACTGTTTTTTGTTTTTACAAATTGAAGGTTTGTGGCAACCCTCTGTTGAACAAGTCTGTAAGCTCCATTTTTTCCAACAGCACGTGCTCGCTTCATGCCTCTGTGTTGCATTTTGAAAATTCTCACATCATTTTCATTTTTTAATTACTATTAAATCTGTGATGGTAACTTGTGATCAATGATCTTTGATGTTACTACAGTTGTTTTGAGGCATCGCAAAACAGACTCTTATAAGACAATTTACGTAATTAATAAATGTCGTGTGTGTTCTGACTGCTCCCCTGACCAGTTGTTCCCCAACCTCTTGCCCTCTTCTCAGGCCTCTCTGTATTAGTCCATTTTCATGCTGCTGATAAAAACATATCTAAGACTAGCCAATTTACAAAAGAAAGAGGTTTAATGGACTTACAGTTCCACATAGCTGGGGAAGCCTCGCAATCATGGTGGAAGGCAAAGAGGGGCAAGTCATATCTTACATGAGTGGCAGCAGGGAAAGAGAGAGCTTGTGCAGGGAAACTCCCTTTTTAAAACCATCAGGCCTCATGAGACATATTCACTATTATGAAAATAGCACAGGAAAGACCTGCCTCCATGATTTAATTACCTCCCACCAGGTTCCTTCCACAACATGTGGGAATTCAAGATGAGATTTGGGTGGGGACACAGTCAAACCATATTATTCTGCCTTGGCCCTTCCCAAATCTCATGTTGTCACTTTTCAAAACCAATCATCCCTTCCCAACAGTCTCCCAAAGTCTTAATTTACTCCAGCATTAACTCAAAAGTCCACAGTCCAAAGGTCGGGCATAGTGGCTCAGGCCTGTAATCCCAGCACTTTGGGAGGCTGAGGTGGGCAGATTGCTTGAGGCCAGGAGTTCAAGATCAGCCTGGCTGACATGATGAAACCCCATCTCTACAAAAATACAAAAATTAGCCAGGTGTGGTGGGGTGTGCAATGTAGACCCAGCTACTTAGGAGGCTGAGGCAGGAGAATCGCTTGAACCCAGGAGGTGGAGGTTGCAGTGAGCTGAAATCATGCCACTGCACTCCAGCCTGGGCAACAGAGCAAGACTCTGTCTCAAGCACCTCCACCCCCCAAAAAAGGCCACAGTCCAAAGTCTCATCCAAGATAAGGCAAGTCCCTTTCACCTATGAGCCTGTAAAATGAAAATCAAGTTAGTTACTTCCTAGATTCAATGGGGGTATAGCCATTGGGTAAATATACCCATTCCAAGTGGGGGAAATTGGCCAAAACAGAAGGGCTACAGGCCCCATGCAAGTCTGAAATCCAGTGGGGCAGTCAAATCTTAAAGTTCCAAAATTATCTCCTTTGACTCTATGTTTCACATGCAGGTCTCACTGATGCAAGAGGTGGGTTTCCATGGTCTTGGGCAGCTCCACCCCTGTGGCTTTGCAGGGTACAGCTTCCCTCCCAGCTACTTTCATTGGATGGTGTTGAGTGTCTGCAGCTTTTCCAGGTGCATGGTGCAAGCTGTTGGTGGATCTACCATTCTAGGGTCTGGAGGATGGTGGCCCTCTTCTCACAGCTTCACTAAGTGGTGCCCCAGTAGGGACTCTGTGTGGGGGCTCTGACCCCACACTTCTCTTCTGCACTGCCCTAGCAGAAGTTCTCCATGAGCCACGCCTCCCCCCATCCCCCACCCATCAAACTTCTGCCTAGGCATCCAGGCATTTCCATACATATTCTGAAATCTAGGCAGAGGTTCCCAAACTTCAATTCTTGACTTCTGTGCACTCACAGGCTCAACGCCATGTGGAAGCTGCCAAACCTTGGGGCTTGCACCCTCTGAAGCCACAGCCTGAGCTCTATGTTGACCCCTTTCAGCCACGGTTGGAGCAGCTGGGACACAGGGCACCAAGCCCCTGGGTGGCACACAGGACAGGTACCCTGGGTCTGGCCCACGAAACCACTTTTTCTTCCTAGGCCTTCAGGCCTGTGATGGGAGGAGCTGCCACAAAGGTCTCTGACATGCCCTGGAGACATTTTCCCCATTGTCTTGGGGATTAACATTCAGCTCCTCCTTACCTATGCAAATTTCTGCAGACAGCTTGAATTTCTCCTCAGAAAATGGGATTTTCTTTTTCTATCGCATTGTCAGGCTGCAAATTTTCCAAACTTTTATATTCTACTTCCCTCATAAAACTGAATTGTTGCGGGAAGTCAGGGACCTTAAATGGAGGGACCGGCTGAAGCCATGGCAGAAGAACGTGGATTGTGAAGATTTTATGGACATTTATTAGTTCCTTAAATTAATACTTTTATAATTTCTTATGCCTGTCTTTACTGCAGTCTCTAAACATAAGTTGTGAATGTTTCATGGACACTTATCACTTCCTTAATCAATACCTTTGTGATTTCCTATGCCTGTCTTTACTTTAATCTCTTAATCCTGTCAGCCAAGGAGGATGTACGTTGCCTCAGGACCATGTGATAATTGTATTAACTGCCCAAATTGTAGAACATGTGTGTTTAAACAATATGAAATCTGGGCACCTTGAAAAAAGAACAAGATAACAGCAATGTTTAGGAAACAAGAGAGATAACCTTAAACTCTGACCGCCGGTGAGCCAGGTGGAACAGAGCCATATTTCTCTTCTTTCAAAAGCAAATGGCAGAAGTATCACTGAATTCTTTTTCTCAGCGTGGAACATCCCTGAGAAAGAGAATGTGCACCTGCGGGTAGGTCTCTAAACTGGGCCCCCTGGGCGTAGCTGTCTCTTATGGTCGAGGCTGCAGTGATGAAATAGACTTCAGTCTCCCATAGCACTCCCAGGCTTATTAGGAAGAGGAAATTCCCACCGAATAAATTTTGGTCAGACCGATTGATCTCAAAACCCTGTCTCCTGATAAGATGTGTTATCAATGACAATGGTGCCCGAAACTTCATTAGCAATTTTAATTTTGCCTCAGTCCTGTGGTCCTGTGATCTCGCCCTCCCTCCACTTGCCTTGTGATATTCTAATACCCTGTTAAGTACTTGATGTCTGTCACCCACACCTATTCGCACACTCCCTCCCCTTTTGAAAATCTCTAATAAAAACATGCTAGTTTTTGTGGCTTGTGAGGCATCACGGAACCTACCGACATGTGATGTCTCCCCCGGATGCCCAGCTTTAAAATTTCTCTCTTTTGTACTCTGTCCCTTTATTTCTCAATCTGGCTGATGCTTAAAGAAAACAGAAAAGAACCTATGTGAATATCAGGGCAGATTCCCTGATACTGAATGCCTTTAACAGCACCCAAGTCACCTCTTGAATGCTTTGCCACTTAGAAATTTCTTCTATCAGATACCCTAAATCATCTCTCTCAAGTTCAAAGTTCCACAGATCTCTAGGGCAGGGGCAAAATGCTGCCAGTGTCTTTGCTAAAACATAACAAGAGTCATTTCTGCTCCAATTCCCAACAAGTTCTTCATTTCTATCTGAGACCACCTCAGCCTGAATTTTATTGTCCATATCACCATCAGCATTTTGGGCAAAGCCATTCAACAAGTCTCTAAGAAGTTCCAAACTTTCCCACATTTTCCTGTCTTCTGAGCCCTCCAAACTGTTCCAATCCCTGCCTATTACCCAGTTCCAAAGTTGCTTCCACATTTTCAGGTATCTACAGCAGCTCCCCACTCTACTGTACCAATTTACTGTATTAAGTTTGTTTTAACACTGTTGATAAAGACATACCAGAGACTGGCCAATTTACAAAAGAAAGAGGTTTAATGGATTTACAGTTCCACATGGCTGGGGAGGCCTCACAATCATGGCAGAAGGCAAGGAGGAGCAAGTCACATCTTATGTGGATGGAGGCAGGCAAAGAGAGAGTTTGTTCAGTGAAACTCCCCTTTTTAAACCCATCAGACCTCATGAGGCTTATTCATTACCAAGAGAATAGCATGGGGAGAACCTGCCATGATTCAATTACCTCCCATCAGGTCCCTCCCACAACACGTGGGAATTCAAGATGAGATTTGGGTAGGGACACAGGCAAACCATATCACTCCCTATTATATGAGACACAACAATATTGAAATTAAGCCAATTAATAACTACAATGGCCTCTAAGGGTTCAAATGAATGGAAGAGTCACATGTCTCTCACTTAAAGCTAAAAGCTATAAATGATTAAGCTCAACGAGAAAGACATATTGAAAGCTAAGACAGGCCTAAGGCTAGGCCTCTCATTCTGGTTAGCCAACTTGTGAATGCAAAGGAAAAGTTCACGAAGGAAATTCAAAGTGCTACTCCAGTGAACACACAAATAAGAAAGGGAAACAACCTTTTGTTGACATGGAGAAAATTTTAGTGGTCTGGGTAGAAGATCAAACCAACCACAATATCCGCTTAAGCCAAAGTCTAATCCAGAGCAAGGCCCTAATTATTTTCAATTCTATAAAGGCAGAGGATGAGAAAGCTGCAGAAGTAAAGTTGGAAGCTAGCAGAGGTTTGTTAATGAGGGCTTAAAAAAAGAAGCCATCCCCATACCATAAAAGTGCAAGATGAAATAGCAAGTGCTGATTAAGAAGCTGCAGCAAGTGATCCAGAAAGTCTAGCTAAGATCACTGATGAAAAGGTGGCTACATTAAACAACAAAACAGCCTTCTCTTGGAACAGGATGCTATCTGGAACTTTAATAATGAGAGAGAAGTCAATGCCTGGCTTCAAAGCTTCAAAGGGGTGGATGTGGTGGCCCACACCTGTAATCTCAGTGTTTTGGGAGACTGAGATGGGAGGATCACTTGAGGTCAGGAGTTCAAGACCAGCCTGTGTGAGACCTCACCTCTACTAAAAATTAAAAACAAACAAACAAAAAGAACAAAACAACAACAACAAAAAAAACTAGCCTGGCATAGCAGCATACACCTGTAGTCCCAGCTACTGGGAGGGCCGAGGTGTGGGAGGATTGCTTGAGCCCAGGAGTTTGAGGCTGCAGTGAGCTATGATTGTACCACAGCATTCCAGCCTGGGTAACAGAGCAAAATCCCAATTCAAAAAAAAAAAAAAAAAAATAGAAAAAGAAAAAGAAAAAAGCTTCAAGGGACAGTCTGAGTCTCTCATTAGGGACTAATGCAGCTGGTGACTTTAAGTTAAAGCCAATGCTCATTTACCACTCTGAAAATCCTAGGGCTAAATCTACTCTGTCTATGCTCTATAAATGGAACAATGAAACCTTGATGACAACACATTTGTTTACAGCCTGGTTTATTAAATATTTTAAGCCCAGTGTTGAGACCTACTGCTCAGACGAAAGATTCTTTTCAAACCACTGCTGCTTGTTGACAATGCACCTAGTTGTTGAGGAGCTCTGATGGTGATGTACAAGATGAGTGTTTTCATGCTTGCTAACACACATCCACTGTGCAGCCCATGGATCAAGGAATAAGTTAGACTTTCAAGTCTTACTATTTAGGAAATATATTTTGTAAGTCTATAGCTGCCATAAATAGTGATCCTCTGATGGGTCTGGGGAAAGTAAGTTGAAAACTTTCTGGAAAGGAGTGACCATTCTAGATGCCATTAAGCACATTCATAATTCATGGGAGGCGGTCAAAACATTAACAGGAATGTGGAAGATGTGAGTTCCAAACCTTATGGATGACTTTGAAAGGTTCAAGCCTTCAGTGGAGGAATTAACTGCAGATGTGGTGGGAAGAGCAAGAGAACTAGAAGTGGAGCCTGAAGATGTGACTGAATTGCTGCAATGTCATGATAAAACTTGAACAGATGAGGAGTTGCTTTTTATGGATAAACAAAGAAAGTGATTTCCCGAGTTGGAAACTACTCCTGGGAACATGGTATGAACATTGTTGAAATGACAGCAAAAGATTTATAATATTACATCAACTTGGTTAATAAAGTAGCAGTAGAGCTTGAGGATTAATTTTTTTTTTTTTTTTTTTTTTTTTTTTGAGACGGCATTTCACTCTTGTGGCCCAGGCTGGAGTGCAGCGGCACGATCTCAGCTCACTGCAACCTCTGCTTCCCGGGTTGAAGCTATTCTCCTGCCTCAGCCTCCTGAGTAGCTGGGATTTTAGGCACACACCACCACGCTCGGCTAATTTTTTGTATTTTTAGTAGAGACGGGGTTTCACCATGTTGGTAAGGCTGGTCTCGAACTCCTGACTTCAGGTGATCCACCTGCATCGGCCTCCCAAAATGCTGGGATTACAGGCGTGAGACACTACGCCTGGGCTTAACTCCAGTTTTGAAAGAATTTCTATTGTAGGTAAAATGGTATCGAGTGGCATCCTAAGCTACAGATATCTTTTGTGAAAGCATCAATTAATGCAGCAAACTTCGCTGCTGTCTTCTTTTGACATTGCCACAGCAACCATAACATTCAGCAACCACCACAATGATCAATCAACAGCCATCAACATCAAGGCAAGACACCACACCAGGAAAATGATTATGACTTCTGAAGGCTCAGATGGTTGTTAGCATTTTTAGCAATACTTTTTAAATTAAGATATGTACACTTTTTAGGTATAATGTTACTGCACACCTAACAGACTACAGTATATTGTAAATTTAACTTTTATATGCACTGGGAAATCAAAAAACTTGACCTTCTTTATTGTAATATTTACTTTATTACAGTGGTCTAGAACAGAACCCACAATATTTCCAAAGAATGCCTATAATTTCTTCCTAGCCTATCTTCTCATTCGCCAACTCTGTATCTAATCTGCTGCTAAACCCTTCCAATGAACTTTCTTTAGAACACAGTCAGCCAGGCATGGTGGCTCATGCCTGTAATCCCAGCACTTTGGGAAGCCAAGGCGGGTGGATCATTTGAGGTCAGAAGTTCAAGACCAGCCTGACCAAGATGGTGAAACCCCATCTCTACTAAAAAATACAATAATTAGCCAGCCGTGGTGGCGTATGCCTGTAGTCCCAGCTACTCGGGAGGCTGAGACAGGAGAATCGCTTGAACCCAGGAAGCAGAGTTTGCAGTGAGCTGAGATCGTGCCACCGCACTCCAGCCTGGGTGACAGAGAGAGACTCCATCTCAAAACAAAAACAAACAAACAAAAACAACAGAAAAACAAAAAAAACACAGTCCACTTGTTTTCAGTGTTTGATAATACCAATATATGAAGTCCCCGTGGATCTATTTTTGTTATATTCTCTTATACTGTCTTGTCCCCTTAGGGCCTGATTATCTCTGATTGTGTGCTGTATATTACAATTGAAAATTTATTTGTAGAAATAATTTGAAGCATAAGGATTTTTGTTTGCTTCTGCTAGACACCTGAGAGTGCTAACAAGTTTCAAGATTTTCTGTCTTGGCCACTCATATGACATAAAGCCTGGTTAAACAGATTGATGGCTGGTTTATTTCTGGTTCCTTCATGTTTCTACCTTTTGGGTCCCAGGCAAAAATGGGGGAATTAACAAGGAGAGTACCCACCTTCGTAAGCCCTGAACTTTCGACTTTTGTACCTTGTCCCGAGAGCCATGAATATGCAGCTCTGATCTTTCGTGTTTCTCTTTAGCTTGGCAAATACTCCCAAGACAAAAGTGGTTGCAAGTACTGGGTTCATCATTCTTAGTTTGCACCTTTTCTCAGATCTCAGTTGGTAATTTCTCACTATTTTATTTTTTGCTTTAAAAATTTTTGTATTTGGTCCAGGTTTTTTGGTTGTCTTATGTAGGAAGATTGGTCCAAATTATTGAGACTTCCACCACCAGGGAGAGAAAACCCCACTATTATTTCCTCCCAGACCCCATAATAGTTGAAATTATTTGATAAAGAACTGTTCTCTATAGAATAAAGACATAAAAACTGTACATCAAAGTATGCATGTTCAATATTCAGGGAAACAAAAGGAAGTGAAAGGATCCATAGCCTGGAAGAAAGGAAATACTGGATTTTACACTCATCTTGTTACTGCCATCTTCATCTTTATGATAGCCAAAGCTATACCACTTGAATAAAGCATTATGGTAAATGCTGTTTTCAGCTCTTTCAATTTCCAACCTGTAAGTCCTCTTAAATAGAAACAGAAGATCCTCTGTCCACATATTATCTGATTCACATGATGAACACTGTGTGGTATTATAATACTCATTTTGTAGACAGGGAAAATGAGGCTTAAAGAAGTAGACTGCTCTAATTCCAGCTTCTGTGATCCAAGGCCAATGTTCTTCCTATTCTATTATTTTACTTGCTCATTTTCAAAGTCACCCCTCCACCCTAAGCTTTTCCTTCTTTGAGACAGGGTCTTGCTCTGTCACCCAGGCTGCAGTGCTGCAGCACAGTCATGGCTCACTGCTGCCTTGACCGCCCAGGCTCAAGCGATTCTCCCACCTCAGCTCCCCAGTAGCTGGGACCACAGGCACGCACCACCACATCCGGCTAGTTATTTTATTTTTTTGTAGAGACAGGGTCTCACCATGTTGCCGAGGCTTCGTTTTTTGTTGTTGTTGTTGTTGTTATTTTTTAAAGTAAAACGAGATGAGACAACAAAACTTCTACAGTTCCCCCCTCCTGCTCTGACATCTGGAAAACAGCTAGGCCTGCATAGCTGATGGGCTTTTGTAGCAGTTACGTACGAAGCCACAGGAAGAAAATTGTGCTAGAAGCTTCCTTTTAGTGGGAAGATTTCTAAGCCTTCTTTCTCTACTGCGCTGAGGACCACCTTCATATCATTTGGAATGAATAACGGTGCTTAACTATTTGCATGTGTTTTCCCACACCCATTTGTGCAATCTTCCAAGATGCAGAGTGGTATCTGCACGTTCAGATAATTACAGTGGGATATGGAGAGGCTTTTGTGTACTTAATACATTTCATGCCTTAGAAAGATAAACTTTTCTCAAGATATGAGAAGAAACAAACAGAACTCTGGAGAGTGAAATTCTCTTCCATCCTTACAGAGAAACCCCACATATTCTCATTTAAGGATGCGGTAGAAAGAGTATGTGAAATCAGAAATTCTGGGAGGGGAAAAGCCCTTTGCTAATAATTAGTTCTGTAACCTTGGGTAAATCAGAAACTTATCTTGATTTTTAGTTTCTCCTTTGTAAAATGAGGATGAAAGAAGATTTTGCAAATTTTTTGTGAACTCTTAAATTGCTACTGAAATGAAAATTATAATCTTTTATAAACTAACATCAATCTGGACACTGAATAGAGATTAGTGAAGAGGGAACAGGGGGTGCAGATTTGCTCATCTTCTCCAAAGAGGAAAGAGAGAATTAGAGGGGAGGAAATGAACAACTCAGTGCACTTCTTCTTGCTTCCTGTAACATACTTGACTCTGTTAATAAGGTTTCTTACTGCATGGCCATTGGAACACAACATGGTAATGAAGGGGAAAGAATAGATAACTAAGTCACACGTACCTTGGCCAAACTGTGTGGATGGGAACATTGCCTAACCTCTTTAAGACTCTTTCTCTGTCTTAAAATGGAGGTAGCCTTTTAGGGTAATGGTGAAGGTTTCCTGAGATACCTCATGAAAAAAAATGCCTAATGGTGTTCTGGACATAGTAGATGCTATTTAAATGCAAGTTCTGTTCTCTGCCTCATATAGGGGAATTGCTGCCCTTATAAATTTAATTTTGTCAACTGTGTATTGAGAATTCATTTAGACCCTTCAATAAAATTATATGTAGAAAGGAAAATTTAGGTAGAAAACCTCCATAGAACTTTCTGCTTCTATGACATTGTCTGAGTGCACTAATATGACAATTAGGCTATAAGGAAAAGGAAGCTTTAATATTATCTAAATGATTTTGAAACCTGTGTTATACAATCAATATATATTTAGTGCAGCTTCCAGTTCATTCCATTCCACATTTCAGTGACTCTGACCATCTCGTATCACTCAAATGCAAAACACTCTTCTTTCCAAGGAGCTATTTCACTGTTTAAAAGAAAAAAATGTAGACAAACAAGTATCACTGGCCTTCTTCCTGCCAGCTTTCAAATTACCCCCATTTAACCTCAGAAGAACAATCCAAAGAGCTGCATCCTGTAGGTGAAATTTCAGCTAAAATGTTTCTATAACTTCCCAGCTGAATTGTCATTTGTAAGCCTTTTAAAAATTAATTAAAACCACTTCCATTAGTCTTTTGTTTGGCCTTCATGCAATCATTTTTCTTTTGCTGTTTAACAAGAGAAAACCCACCAGCATTAGCTATAAATATATGGCACCAGATATGGAGAGAAGGCATATGACTCATGCTGGACTGTTCCCTAGGGCTAACTCAGCGATGACTGCATTCTGGGAAGTATGTCAGGTCTACTCTTAGCCCACAGACAAATCCCAATCCAGCCGGCTATATGAAGAGAATTCTCTTTTTTCAGTTCCTTCTATTTCCTTTCTCAGTTTAAGGCACTGGGACACTTCACTCACTTGGTCTGCTGGAATATTCCTTCATCCATCCATCTGCTCGTCAGTCTATCCGTTCATCAAACATACCTGATTACCAACCATGGCCTGGCCCTGGAGGCAGAATATCGAATAAGCACATGTTCCAAAAAGAACACTATTGCAGTGTGGGAGAGTCTGACTAATAAATTACCTATTACAGTGTAGCAAAGTCTATGATAGAGGAATGAAAAGAATGCAAAGGAAGCACAGACAAGGGTATCAGGGCAGATTTCTAGGAAAAGATTATATCAAGGACAACTAAATATCAAAGTGGCAGGAGGATGATGAAGCATTCACAATGGAAGAACTGGATATACGAAGGCACAGGATTACAAAACAGGACATGGTGGGGAAGTAAACGTGGTTTACAATGGCTATATTGGAGAGTCTGTTCAGGCTAGTGGCCAGAGATGAGGATAACAACGAAGGTGGGCTTAACTCAGTGGTCTTGGAATTGTGTGCCTCAGGTGCTAAAAGGGGTAACCAGGGAATCAGCTTAGCAGGTGGGTTCACGTTCATGTGCTTTACATGGTGGGCTTTGGTGAATGATTTCTTTTTAAAGAGCAGGTTCCACTATAAGAAATATTTGAAAACTCCTGGCTTAGATAATTAAGTGTCTGTGCTTAAGCCAGGGAATCTGAACCTAATTCTCAAATAGATGTTCAACAGATTGAGTGACAGAGAAAGTGTCTTGTTTTTTTCCTCATTCCCCGCAGGACAGTGAGTCTCAACAGGAGGAGGAGAATGAGTTTGAAAAATAATAAAATTAACAATTTAGATCATGAAAAAACTGCATACTGTTTTAACAATACAGACTACACAAAACAAAACCCTATAAAACTGGTTGGTGGATTATGGGTTAAAATGTTGCAAAACTGCCAAACAGGTAACCACAATGTGGGACAGACACGCTGAAGATGCAGAAACGTACTTATTTCGCAGCTCATGTACCCTCCTGACCCTGGTAAACAGCAAAGAATACACACTTAGTGGGAATTCACCGTCTATACTTTTTAAATGTGTTATTAAAAACACGACAACTGGGCAGTTGCAACACTCATGCTTGTGAGTGTCTTATATCCTAAGTGAGGTTCCCTTGGCTTGTTTTCTTTCATTTGCAAAGTCTGGCTACAAGAATGATTTAGTTCTCCCTAAAAATCATTGCCAAAAGACAAAAAATGTATAAGTATCTATCTTAAAAACCTTTCAAAGTTAGAAAAAAAGCCTTTAAAACCATATTACAGCATGTTATGATAAACTCCCTATTATACTTTTACAGTAGCAATGTCAATGCTGCTTGAACATAAAACCTGTCATCTACATCAATCTTTATATCTTCCAAGTATTTTTATATTGATCGTTTTATACCCGCAACCCTGAAGGTAGGATAAATGTGGTGACTGAGGCTCAATACATTCTTATAAATACATATAATCAGGAATTGCCTTCAGGGAAAAGGTATAGAATCCTGGTCCACTGAATTCTACCTCCACTGTTTCTCCAACCCCCATCTCCCTCCCTCCAATACCTGGTACTCTGAAATGAGTTTTAAACAATCAGCTGCTGTCCAAAACATCTTTAAGTAGTTATCTGATGTGGTGTGTTTACAAAATTATGTATGTTACATTACAGGCTTTACCCAGACCTTGGGACTGTTCTTGAGTTCTGAAAATGACTAGAATCTTCCATTATTTTCAGGTTTCTTCAATTCTACATGCTTTCTTAATGACTCTCCCATTCACCCGCCCCTATTTCTTGTCCTGGGACCAAATGGTTGCTAGAGGCAACCAGTGTGAATGTTCTAATCTTCCAAGACACACACACTGGCTCACCTAGGCAGGTAACTCAGTAAATGGTAACTCTAGCTATCACTCTCCCTTGCTAGCAATGCCTATTTTCCTATACCTACCAAATTCCTATCCTTGGGGCTTCTTTCAAGTTCCACCTGCTGCAGGAAGCCTCCCCTACCTGCTCCTTGTCCACATGAATGTATTCTTTCCTTGTCTCCTACAATAATTGTGTCTCTTTACTATTTAACACTTGGATCCTAGTTTTCTTATTGTTATGTGAAACACATGTTTAGAAGCCAGAAATCGGGGTTCAAATGCTAGTTCAGGACCTATTATGTTTTAAGCTACTTAACTTCTCTGAATCTCAACTTTCACATGAGAAACAAGGATAATCCTTTTTCAGGCAAACAAGGACAATAGTTAATATATTTAAGTACTTAGCTTTCCTCCACCTGACAGATAGTAGATGCTCAATAAATGCTGAATTGAAAAAAATGCAGGACCCAGGTCTTATTCTTCTCTCATCCCTTAATAAACCTGGCATGAGCTACAAGGAAAGACCTACATGATTATTAGTTATTTTTCCTTATATAGCTCACCTCTTGTCTCAGGAAACCAAAGTGAGTAATGCTTTTTTCCCTTTGCAATTATAATTACCCGCATGAGTGTCATCACAGTCAGGGTACTAGTAATACTTTTCATATGACTAATTGGCATAGTATTTTATCATTTTTAAAGATAAGGTTTTGTGGGGTTTTTTTTGGATGTTGTTTCATTTTATTTTTCTAGTAACTCTTGGAATGCAGGTAGGGAAGGTATCATTAAACTTTATATACTAGAAATCTTCTTATTATTTACTTATTTTTGAGACAGGGTCTTGCTCTGTTGCCCAGGCTAGAGTGCAGTCGCATGACTGTGGCTCACTGCAGTCTCAATCTCCTGTGCTCAAGCAATCTTCCCACCTCAGCCTCCAGAGTAACTCGGACTACTGAGATGTGCCACCATGCTTAATTTTTTAATTTTTTTTTGTAGAGACCAGGTCTCACTATGTCACCCAAGCTGGTATATACTAGAAATCTAAGCTCAGTTGAGAGTGGTTAACATCAGGAATACCACTTTTATCTTAACTTACAGTTTACAAAGCATTTTAATACCCATTTTCTTATTTGATGATTACTCAAGATCCTAATAGCACTTAAAATGTAATACCCTTAAAGTCTTCCAGATATCAGTGGACACTAAACTTGGTGTGATCTGTGTTTTGTGGCAGCTACAAATAACCAAGATTTTTTTATTTTTAAGAAAATACCAATTGGTTACAGTGCATGCTTGAACACCACGGGTTTGAAATGCACAGGTCTACTTATATGTGGATTTTGGAAAATAAAAGTTACACCAACCGTGCCTTGCTTCTCCTGCCTCCTTTTCTACCTCTTCTGCCTCTACTACATCTGAGACAGCTAGATCAACCCCCCTCTTCCTCCCCCTCCTCAGCCTACTCAACGTGAACGTGAGGAGGATGAAGACCTTTATGATGATCCACTTTCACTTAATGAAGTGTAAATATATTTTCTCTACCTTGCAATTTTCTTATTAACATTCTTTTCCCTAGCTTAAAGAATAGAGTATATAATACATATAGCATACCAAGTATGTGTTAATAGACTATTTGTTATCAGTAAGGCTTCCAGTCAATAGCAGTAGTTAAGTTTGAGAGCAGTCAAAAGTTACACTCAGATTTTCAGGGGGTGGCAGGGTGGGGTTAGGATTGGTACTCCAACTCCAATGGTGTTCAAAGGTCAACTGTATATTGCCTCCATTATAAACCAGGGGTGGATTTAATGTCTTGCCCCAAGCCTAAAGAAAACTAACCCCTGCAAAGGCAATGCTTTGTTATTTGTAAAAGAGGTAGCTGTGCATTCTCAGAAAGTTTCTCTTTCTTGTTACTCATGTAATCTCTCAATGTTCTTCTCAACGTAGAGTCACAAAATTAAGAGAACTTGATGTCTCTAAAATGTACAGTACAGTCCTTATATCTTTATTCCTTTATATTTCAAAGATCAAATTTCAAGTTTCCACCATTCAAAATAACTAAATCTGCCAGCACTAAAATATTTCCTATAGAATGCTGTCTTTAAGAATTCACCACGACTTGGGCAATTTACCTACCAAGGCCTGTTTCTGACTTTCCATAGTTCTAAGCTAAGTTGATTTAAGGAAATACATGAAAATATTAATTAAAATAACTACCTTATTTGTTTTACAAGGTCTGTTTTTTCCCTGAGATATGAACCCGGTGGCAGATAACGGAATCATGGGGGTGATTTCCCTCATACTGTTCTCATGGTAGTGAATAAGTATCACAAGATCTGATAGTTTTATAAGGGAAACCCCCTTTGCTTGATTTTCATTCTCTTGTCTGCTGCCATGCAAGATGTGCCTTTTGCCTTCTGCCATGATTATGAGGCCTCCCCAGCCACGTGGAACTATGAGTCCATTAAACCTCTTTTTCTTTATAAATTACCCAGTCTCGGGTATGTCTTTATCAGTAGCATGAAAATGGACTAATACACCCTGCATCTCTTTTTAAGAAACAAAAATGAGACAAGTAAGTTTTATCATCCATTCCATTTCCACCCCCTACCCCAAGCTTTAAGTTTGCGGACATCCTCAAACTATTGTTATGAGCAAATATGTAAATATATATATATATACACACACACACATTTATTTTCAACATATGTTGAAAATAAAAACCTTTGTGATTTTCTTAATGCATATACATCTTTAGTAATTGTTTTGTTTTTAAGTCACATAAATAATACACTATATCAACCTTCTGTTACTTTTTTCTCCAGTTAAAAGTTTGAGATTTCATCCATTTTAGCTGTTTTCAATGTATGAAACAAACTTATTTTTTCATTATATTTCTGCTGGGGTTGGCAAAAGTATTCCGTAAGTCAAGGGTCCCCATCCCCTGGGCCGAGGACCAGTATCGGTCCATGCCCGTTAGGAATCAAGCAGCACAGCAGGTGACTGATGGCCAAGTGAGCATTACCGCCTGAGCTCCATCTCCTGTCAGATCAGCAGTGGTCTCTGTGAACTGCACATGCAAGGGATCTAGGTTGCACACTCCTTATGAGAATCTAACGCCTGATGATCTGAGGTGGAACAGTTTCATCCCGACACCTCCCCCCTTACCCCTGTCCATGGAAAAACTGTCTTCCACAAAACCGGTTCCTGGTGCCAAAAAGGTTGGGGACTGTTGCTGTAAGTGACCAAATAGCAAATATTTTAGGATTTGCAGAACATACAGTCTCTATCAAATATTATTTTTAAAAAACAGTTCTTTAAACAGTTATGGCAGGGTCCCCAAGACCACTGTCCAGTTCAATGACTCACAGAACTCAGAAAAGTTACGTTGACAATTAGTTTATTAGAGCAAAAGTACAGTTTAAAATCAGTACAGTTTTAAAAGGCAGATAGGAAAGAGTTCAGAAGAGAGCAGGACAGGCTTCCAGTTGTCCCATCTGACAGGAGATGCATGCACAGCACTTAATCCTCTCTGAATGAGTGTGGGTCATTTATGAAATATTATCAACCAGGGAAGCTGAGACTTGGTGTCCAAGGTTTTTATTGGGTGTTAGTCACATAGGCATGGAGAACAGAAATGGCAGATGTTATTCAGTTTCCACCTCCCCCGGCGATTAAATTGATACTGCAAGGTGCAATGCCCTCACCATAAATCTGTAGCATAAACTATCTGGTGTGATCCAAGGCCCCAGGTAAACAAAGGCCTTGCATCAGGCAGGATATTCCAGGGGCTTAGCGCTGTGATCTCCCAGGAGCAAGTTGAGGGCTAGACCTTTCTTTGAAAGGTGCAGGTTTCAACACGCCAGATCTATTAAGTCACTCCTTTCATACACACGTTAAAAACGTTCTTAGTTCATGGGCCAGGGAGTAGATGTGACTGGAGACTCTAGTGCTAAGTGTCTTTTAAGTTACCTTTTTCTTCCTGCTATTTCAATAACTGCTGTAAGAAACATCCTTGTACATTTTTCATTGTATACATATGCCATATATTAATGACAAAGTTATGTTCTTTCAGAAGTATGTAAAATTGGAAATATATAAAATATGCGATTCTCTTTAAAAGCAAATCAGTCTCTAATGCTAATCACTAGAACCCCAAAATTATTAATAAATTTCAGTCTTTCTTAGTAAGAAAACTGAATTTACAATCTAGCGAACATAAAAATTTTGTATAGATACTAGATTTAAGCAAAGATCTCAAGAAATATTCGAGTATCATATGTATTCTGTCATAAGCAATAAACTGCTGTTGCTTTTCTGCCATTTCATATAAAAAGAAAGGACCTTTTTAGTCTAATTGTTTTATCATACATATGTTCTCCTAATCTGAACTGTAACCTCTGTGTGAATATTGACGTTATGAAAAAAAAAGCTTTACTTGTCAAAATATGACCAATATAGGAGACTGGTAGTTCATAAACTGCATTTATTAGTATCTTTAAATGTAGATAAATTTAACAAAATACTGTAGTTTTTTTTCCCTCTCTAAATCTAAGGTTCTCTTTTACAACACATCAATGTGATTTCCAGTTTTTGAAAAAAGCAATTCAGTCTTCTCCCAGCAACAAATGCCTACAAGCTTTAAGTGTTCTGACAATTTCTGTACCTAAATATGATGCAAAACTTTAGTCTTATAAAAAGACAGATGTTGAACTGCTGTTATAAGCAATATGTAATTTCAACTTTACTAAAGTATGAATTATTTTCTCAACATGTTTGCCAATCCCTGATATTATCTGACTGGATGTGAAATGGTATCTAACTGTGCTGACTGGCATTTCCTTGACTCCTAGTGAGCTAAAACATTTTTCTGTTAATTGACCTTTTGGTTCTCTCTCATATATCACTCATTTATTCCCCCCTTAAGTAGTCCTTTATGTAATTTGGACACTTCCTTTGTCAGTTCCTGGTAGATAATTGCAAGGTAAGTACCTTCCACGTCTGTGGCTGGCCCTCTAATATTCAGTGTCTTTTGTCATACTTAAGTTTCTAGTTTTAATATAGTCAGATGTGTGACTCTTTTTCTTCATGGTTCCCACTTTGAGTCACATCCAACAACTCCTTCCTTACATTGGTTCAAATTTTCCTGTATTACCTTCTAAAATATTTAAAATGGTATTCCCGCCCCCTCCCCCCTCCGCCACATTTAGGTCTTTAATCTACCAGTTTTTAAAAATATGGTGTGAGAAGGGTATATAATTTTTTCACATACAGACATGCAATTGTCCTAGTGCCATTTATTGAAAAGTTACTAATTTCTCCACTGTGTCACGTATCAAGTTCTCATGTATCTGTTTCTGTACCATAGATTTACATGTCTATCCTGGCATCACAAGGGCTGTGTTATCACTATAGTTTTATAAGCCCTACTGTCTTTTATGATAGGTACTCCCCTATTTTTCCTGTTTAAAAAAAAAAAATCTCAGCTTTGTCTTTCCACATTCAGGTTAGGTTGATTAAATTCCATAAAAAGTTTTGTTGAGAATTTGATTGGAACTTCAGTGAATTTATAGATTTGGAGAGAACTGGTACTTTAATGCACTGATTTTTCCCATTCTCTAACATAGAATACTGCTCCATTCATTTTAGTCTACTTCTACAAAATCTTGCATATTTTTATTGGATGTATTATTAGGTCCCCTTAGAGTTTTAATTGTGAATGAAATTCTTTCAAATAATACACTTTCAAACACACTGAAGTGGAAAAGAACACTACTAATTCTTGCAGATTGCTCTTATATCCAAAATCTCTCAACACTCACATTAGTTTTGCTACTTTGTAGTTTTCCTTGGACTTTCAAATAAACAATGATCTTGCCCATTAACAATAATTGATTCTCTCTTTCCAGTCTTTATGCCTATTATTTATTCTTCTAGTCTCACTGCACTGGCCAAGATCTCCAGTGCAACATGGAACAGATGTATTAATACAATATCCCATTCCTGTACTATTGCTGACATTAAGGAACATCTCTAAAGTTGTACCATTAACTTGTAACAATAACTATGGGTTTTGGTAAGCTATCATTTATCGTACTAATACGTTTATTCATCTATTAAGAGGATGTTTTATTTTTAAAATCCTAAGTGAATATAACTTGCATTTTGCTGGTTCTCCCCCTCCAACTCCCTGCATTCACTGAGATAGTAACATGCCTTTTCTCTTTAACCTATTAACATGGTATATACTATGTGAAAAGATTTTACAGTGTTAAATCATTCTCCCATATGGAAATAATCCTTACTTGGTCACAATGAATGTATTTTAATAAATCATCCAGAGCTTGTGCATTATTCAGAGTAGATTTTAAAAAACAGATTGAGACTTATTTACTAATACATATTTGGCAACACTAATCAAAAAATATCTAAAATTTCAAATTTATTCACATAAATTCACAATCACTTTCTAAATCAAATAATTTTAATTTTATCCGTTTTCATGCCTTATTTCTTTCCTGATATCAAGCTTTTTTTTTTTTTTTTTAATTTTAGACAGGCAGGGTCTTGCTCTGTTGCCCAGGCTGGAGTGTAGTGACACAATTATAGTTCACTGCAGGCTCAAACTCCTGGGCTCAGATGATCCTCCTGCCCCAGCCTGCCAAGTAACTGGGACTACAAGTGCATGCCACTGCACCCAGTTAATTTTTAAAATTTTTGTAGAGACAAGGTCTCACTATGTTGCCCAGGCTAGTCTTGAACTCCTGGTCTTAAGCTATCCTCATGCCTCAGCCTCCCAGTGCTAGGATTACAGGCATGAGCCACTGTGTCTGGCTAAGTTATCTTTTCTTATTGATTAATTTTGCCAGGCGAGTGATAACCTCTACCCTGATTCTATCACCACAAATTAGTTTAAAATGTTCCTTTATGCTTTATGTCCTTTAAATAGTTGCCTACCCCAAAACATGAAGACACTCTCCTGTTTCATTATTTCCTTTCGCATTTAAACCATATTCCACATGGAATTGATTTTTCTATATATATGGTATCAAGGAAGGGGTCTACTTTTTTCCCCAATACAGCTATCTAATTGACTGTACCATTACAATAGTTTCTCTTTCTCATAAATCACAGATGACCTAAATGTGTGGATCACCACGTATACAGAATTCTGTTACTTTGTTCTATTTTGTTCTAGTCTACTTTGCTCTAGTCTGTTACTTTGGTCTATTTGTCTATCCTTATGCCAGCCAACAACAGTGTTAATTACAACTACACTTTTATAATCACAGGTCTTATGTCTGTTGGTGAACATTTTTCAGTTTTATTGCTCAAGTTTATCTTGGATATTCTCGGTCCTTTGCATTTCTTCAGTTTGTTAATTTCTCCAACATACTGTTGGGATTTTGATAATATCATATATTGAAGTTACAGATTAATTTACAAAATTGACTTCCAAGTCATGAACATGGTATATCCATATATTTAGAATTAAAAAAAAAATGCTTAAATGATTGGAAAATTTCTTGTATTTATTTTACACTAGTGTAAATGGTATCATTTTATCAATTTCTATTTGTTTCTGATATATAGAAATACAATTTCTGTATAGTTTGTATTCAGTGACCTTGATAAGTTATTTTGTTTGTTGAGTCTTTTCAAATTTCTATGCACACAACCAGTTGTCTATAAATGGTATTATTTTCTTCTTTCTAAACGTTCTATCTTTTTACTTCAGGCCTTACGTTATTGGCTAATATCTCAAATATGTTAAACAGTAGAGGTTATTATTGTTTTTAGACTTCAAAGAACCAACATTTTGGCTTTCTCTATTGTGTGTTATTTCACTGACTTTTTGTCTTTTATTATTTCGTTGCTCTTCTTTTTCCAGCTACTTGAAAATAGTTTAGGTAATTGACTTTCAGCCTTGCTTCTTTTCTAATGTATGCATGTAAATCTATAAATTTTCCTCCACGCACTGCTTCAGCTGCAACACACTTTTTGGTATGTCATATTATTCACTTGAAAATATTTTTAAATTTGTTTTATTCTTTGACCCAGGGACTATCAAGAAATCTATTACATAATTTCAGAGTAGTTGCGGGTTTCTCTAATCATCTTTTTTACTGTTTTCTAGTTTAATTCCACTGTGTTAGAGAATGTAAGATGAATGCTTTTGATCTTTTGAGATTATTGGTTTGCTTTATGACTCAAAATAGGGTAAATTTTGATAAATTTACTTGAAGAAAATGTGAATTATGTTTTTTAAATCAAGTATTCATATATGTAAAGTTCAGATCCTCTGCATCTGATTTTTTGGGGGTAGGGTCCGGATAGTCTATCAGCTATGGAAAAAGCTGCATAAGCCTCCAGCTATGGTTAGACACTTACCTATTTCTCTTCTTATATGTCATTCGTGCTTTATGTATTTCAAATCTGTTTTCAACACATACAGATTTAGGATCTTTATGTGTTTTGGGTGAATTAATTCCTTCATCATTATAAAATGTCCCTCTTTATCTCTGGTAATGCTTTTTGCCTTAAATCTCATTGCCTGACAATACCACATTCAAACTGTTTTTATTTGGTTTGCTGTGTTTTTTTTTCCCTATGCCATTTACATTCAACCTTTTTGTGTGGCCTTGTATTTAAAGTATGCCTCTTGTAAGCAACATGTAGTAGGGAATTTTCAGCCTGATAAATTTTTAAACTTAATTCAACTAATGACTCATTTAAAGTATTTGGGTTTCTATTTTGCAACTTTAAATTTGACCCATTTGTTTTATGTCCCTTTTCTATTCTTGCCTTCTTTTAAATGCTTTTGTCTCCATTAAATTGTTAGGTATACATTCTATTAGCCTTTTAGTGCTTAAGAGATTACAACATGCACCCTTGTCTTCATAGTCTAAAAAAAGTAATCTTACCATTTACCTACCTAATGCTAGAACCTGAGGACAAACTCCAGTACAAACTTCTCCTGTCTCGTTATTGTAGGTGCATTTTAATTCCACAGATATTTTAAACCACAGAATACAGCCAATATTCCTTCAAATTTACCCACATATTTACCATTTCCATTGCTCTTCATTTATTCCTGCATTCCAGGATTTCCCTTGGAATGATTTTGCTTCTGCCTGAAGAACTCTCTTCAACATTTCTTTCAGTGTGTATGTACTGAAGACAAATTTCCATTTTTCACTCAAAAGTCTTAATTTTGCCATCACATTTGGAGTGGATCTTTTGTTTCTTGCCCATTCTTCCTTATCTGGAATGTGAGCACTACAGCCACCATTTTTTGATCTTGAAGACAAATGCTACATGGTAGAGAGTGGATCATAAAGAACAGAAAAAGCCTGGGGCCCTACTGATCTTGTGGAGTTATAGTACCGGACACCTGGACAGCCTACATCTGAAAGAAAAGCAAAAGCACAACAGTTTAAGCCAATGTTACATTGGTTCTTTTTCTGGAAGCAAGTATCATTCCTGATGTCTTTGGTCAACTCTGGAAATTTCTTGGCCATTTATTGCTTCCAGTATAGCTGTTGTCTGTAATTTACATGGAAATACTCCAGTATACACAGTGTGGTACACATAACTTATGTAAAGTCATCGCTTAAGTCTTGCTACCATCCTGATAGAACAGTTCACTAGGAAGATGAACTAGTGTTCTAATCAGAGAATGCATACTCTAGTGGAAGCTATTCTAGGTATTGTTGACTGCATCTTGATCAACATACAATGTCTTAATTTTCATACTAAATGGTAGAAATTTTTATTAGTGACCTGCTAAAGTAATTTTTTAAATGGGCCTCCGATGGTGAGATTAAAGGTTTTCAGACTGACTAATAGCAGAGTAACACATACCACCATTGCAAGAAGAGGCCATAAGAATCCAGCATGGCCTGTAGCCCTTATATTTTGGGATGATGTCCTAGTCTAACCCCCTAAAAGGCTCTTGTCCAGCCATGAACACACCTTTTGTTAAAGTAATAGAATTCTGCTTCTTAAAGGAACCTTTCAGGCAAGATGGTGGTTAGAGCACCTAAATGGGCCAAGAGCAATTTCCTTTAGCCTGCAGAACATGCTAAGATCAGTTTTCTTGCTCGGTTAATATAACAGAAGCTGGCATGAAACTGTTTTCATTATAACGTAGCCGTTAGGGGGTAATTTGGCAGCAGGAGTATGCATGAGAGAAGGAAGCTACCTGTCCCCCACGCCTCAAAAACTTCAGTGCGTACCATTTCTCTACCAAGAGTTGTATACTACACATTCTGTTAGTTCACAACTGCCTCACACCTTCTGTTTTCTCCTTAAACTCCTAAAATATATATGTATATTGGATCTTCCATGAATTACTTTCAATTTTCTACCTCTTCTGTGCTGCATTCTAGCTTATTCCTTCTGTTTTAAAATTTTCCTTCAGGCCAGGCATGGTGGCTCATGACTGTAATCGTAACACTTTGGGAGGCCAAGGTGGGAGGATCACTTGAGCCCAGGAGTTCGAGACCAGCTCGGGCAACACAGTGAGACTCCATCTCTACAAAAATTTTAAAAACTAGCCAGGCAAGGTGGTACATGCCTGTGGTCCCACCTACTCGGGAGGCTTACATGGGAGGATCACTTGAGCCCAGGAAATTGAGGCTGCAGTAAGCCATGATCATGCCATGCGATAGAGCAAGACTCCATCTCCAAAAATATATAATTTCTTCAAATGCGTCTGAATATATGCCAATTCTTTCCCCTAATGACTTTAAAAGAGGCCCCGAGAACACATACTTCTGTACATTTCATTCATTCCTTTATTAAAGCCAGTAACTTAATGTGCCTCACATTTTTAAGCTAAGCATGGATATTCTGAAAGCAAAACTGAAATGTAAACTTCAACTCTTTCTCACAGACACCTTCCTCTTTCTCCACCCTAAAGTCTTGGGTTCAGACAACTTTGTAGCTTCCCTGGGTTATTGTGTAGAAGTTTGCTCATCCTCCTTCCTGAGGCTGGAGCACCTTCTAAGGTCTTGGCTTTGTGTAGGTCTCAGTCCCAGCTTCCCTGTATAGTCAGGCCATATCTCTTGCTGTTAAAGTCTCAGGGTCCATTGGTGAGACCCACAGCCAACACTATCATCCACCTAGGTCAGTGTACCTTCAGCTGCTGAGTTCACTATTCTGGCTGTTTTTTCTTCACTTCTGGCAGCTGGGATTTCCTTTTTCTTTTGTGGTTAGCTGTGTGTATATTTGTTGTTTTCTATGACATCTCTGTAAGTTTAGAGTTATGGGATTGTGGTGGTAGGATAATTTATGTTAGTCAGAATAAGTAACCTATATAGAAGTTCTTCACCCTTCCAGGAAATCCTCCAATCTATGACAAATGACTACTTAAATTGCCATAAAAGGTGAATTGTAAGTACAATAATCCAAATAAAACTTTGATTTTGCTCAGTGACAATATGCCCAGCAAAAAAACTATGTTTCTCAGCATCTCTTACAGCTAAAAGATAGCCATGTTACGCAGTTGTGGCAAATGAGACATAAGCTGGGAGTTTCTGAAAAAGCTTTGTCTTTGTGAAAAAGGCAGCAAGACTCAGGGGTTAAAAAAAAAATCTTGTTTAAGCTACTGTCTTAGAGTTCTCTGTTACACCATAGCCTAATTCAATCACTAGCTGATACACTTTGAAGAGCAGATCAAATGAAAAAAACACCAAACTCAGAGTTGGAAGAAAATGTTTATTTAGCAAAAAGGTATGGAGTAAAATTGGTAGAATAGAAAGGAGAAATTAGAAGTGGGGAATTCTGAGAGGCTGTTTTAAAACATGGTAACTGGGAAATAATTTTGACAAAATTCTCATAGGTAATGAAGCTTCATATGCCCTTACTGCCTAATTAAAAGGCACCTAATAACCAATTTTATTTGTATTAATTGTATTGGGAATAATTTTCTCTAACCTTCTACCTTTCATAAGGAAAAATACAATCCGTGAACACCTAGATGGTTCTGTTTTCACTGTATGGCACAAAGTATCAATGATTTAACTGTGGAGAGTAGTATCAAGTAGAGACTTGTCTTCTTGTGTTCAGGAAGTATTAGCCTTTAACTATGCATTTTAATTGTCAGGTATGCCTTTGCCATTTGAACTGTGTTACTCTTCCCTATCACAGCATAATGGAGATAAAACCATTGTTTTTCATTACCTAACCAAGAGTATCAACTAATTTAAATAAAATTTCTAGCAGTAAACAACTGTATCTATGTGATTTTTTAAAGTTGGTTTTTCTCAAATTTAAACGATACAGTATTAACTGTAACTCCAAGACATATTTGAGTGTCTTCTACTTACCAGGCACAGTGGTAGTTTGTATGAATATTTCACATCAATCATAACAAGCCAGAAATAGAGATGACCCCTATTTTGTCAAGCCAAAGAGGTAATATAGCTTGATCACTGTCATATGACTAGAAAGTAGCAGGGCTATAATATAAACCCAAGGTTTTTGATTCTAAGATAATACCTTTTTATAGTGCCATTATGTTGCTTTTACACAATTTCTGATAATAGCACTTATTAATTCATATTTAGTGGACAGTTTTCTCCATTTGGCAGTCACTTTATTACTTTATTTTCTTAGTAAAAGGAAAAAAGTGTGAAAAAGGGAAGTGAAAAATTGATCCAATCCTTAGGATTACAATGGCAATTAAATAGCTGTTTAAAAAAGCGGGGGTGTGGTGGGTTGAGAATGTGGCCAGATTTTTTAGAAGACCTGTCACCTTTGCTCCCAGACCATCTTCCACTCAGAGGTGGAGGGGACCCTGCTTAAAACATAAGAATACAATTTTATTCTTTCAGCAAATATTTATCATGCCAATGAATTTATAAATATGAGTAAACCCATCTCTGTCCTCAAGGGGCTCACAATCTAAGAAGGGAAGTGGACACACAGATGAATTAGTAGTACATTTAGCACTAGTTGATAGCAATTTAGCACTACTGAGTACAAGGCACATTTATGGCACAAAGAGAGGACCAACTACCTTGGAGTTCCAAGATCAATATACTATTAAGACTTGACACTGGAACTGAGTTTTGAGAAATGGGATATTTTCTGAGTGCTTGGTATGTGCCAGATAGTGTGCTACGTCAGAGGTCCCCCAAATTTTGGCACCAGGGACAGGTTTCCTGAGACGGTTTTGGGAAGAAACTGTTCCACCTCAACTCATCGGGCATTAATTAGATTCTTGTAAGGAGCACGAAACCTAGATCCCTCACACGCACAGTTCACAACAGGGTCTGTGCTCCTATGAGTATCTAATGCTGCCACTGATCCGACAGGAGGCGGAGCTTGGGCCCTAGTGCTAGCTTGCTCCCTGCTCACCTCCTGCTGTGCAGCCCAGTGCCTAACAGGCCACAGACCAGTACCAGTCAAGAGTCCGGGGGCTGGAGACTCTTGTGCTAAGTGATTTATCTAGATTATCTAATCAAATCCTCATTACAATTTAAGAGACAGGTGGCCCCATTTTACAAATGAATCCAGGTGGTTTAACCAATAACTCATTCTACTAAATACTGTGCTCTACCGACATGCACAAACACACAATAAAATAAATAACTGAATGTAGTCACAGAGGAAAAGGAATTTACAAGACTATAACATTCTCATTTACATACAAAAAATATGAAGTCAAAATGTGTAAGGAATTAAAGGTTACATAGTAAAGATAGAGATATCTCATTTCTTCTATTTAAGGCCTGTTGTATGATCGCTTTTTCCTAAAAATAGTTTTCTCTTCCTGGTTTTGCCTTTAACTCCTTCAAACAATCCATTAGCACTTAGAGCTATCTCAAATCACATGCCAACTTACCAAAGAATGAGGTCATTAAATGACTGCAGCACAAGGACACACAATTTAATAGGGTTAGCTAATATTTAATATAAGATATTTACTGTAAATATCAGTGTTTTATAAGTACTGATCTGAAAAGACTGAGAAACAAGTAAAACAAGTTTGCCACCTTTTATGAACACTGCTTCTTGCATGTTCAACCTGTTACACATGGACATACATACACGGTATAAGTTCAAATCCCAGGCTAGCCAACACAATTTTAGAAGAGACTTCTCTAATATAACCTGCTCTATTCTACCTATCTCGAACGCTTCATACCTTGTAATGTTTTGTTTGTTTTACTGTTCCAACATCCCTGTACAACCTGGACCGCATAAAGCTTTTTAGGCACTCTGATTAGTGTTTTCTAATGTTACTCCTTGATAATCTTTTACCTGCTTTGCCTGAACTGCCTGAGGCAGGCTTAATCATTTTTTAATACATAATGAAATAATACAGACTATTTATCTGTTCAGTTTGAAGCTAAACAGTTGAATGCTTGTGTAAAAAATTTAACTTCCATAGGATCAAAACAAAAACCCTAACGTTCTTATAATGCAGTTTTAAAAACACACGTTAATTAACTTAAAGATTCAAGGTGGATGACCTTTAAGATTTGACTGGGATACACATCATGTGATTTGGTGGTACACACTGAGGGAGCTCACATGAGCTTGGAAGCAAAATAAATTGAAATAGCACTTACTAAACAACTTTGTTGCTAGCACTGTGCAGGGTCCTTCACATAGTTCTCTTATCTAGTCCTCCTAACAACCTGATAGCCACCATTTTTTTATTTTAATTTTTTTAACAGAGAACTATCCAGAAAAGATGAACAACTTGTTCAAGGTCACAAAAATGGCAAGTGAGGGAGCCTAGATTAGATCAGAGGTCTAATTCCCAAGGGTATGTTTGTGATATTGTGAAATATATATTTGCTCTTCATCTCCATTTCCTAAAGCCCTTGGAATCTCTGAAATTGTAAGAATGTCATTTGTATGATAACGAAATGAATGTTGCTGGGGACCCGTAGATAGCTTCAGGGTGGGGTCTGGTCATCGGAAAGATCAAAGCATGATGAGATGGTTGGAGCTTTCAGTGCCACCCTCCAACCTCCAGGGACACGACAGGGCTTGGAGACTGAGTTAATCACCGGCGACCAATGATGTAATCAATCATGCCTACAGACTGCAGGGGCAGAAATGGAGTAATCCCTTTCCTCCCCATCATATATAATCATGGTGGATACCCCTATAATGAAAAAAAGTTAACAAGTATAACAGTTATTACATGCATGTGTGTGCACAGGAGTCATACAAAATGTGAAAACTCAAAGAGCCGATAGATGGCTGACACTTAAGTATCATTTTCATTGGGGAAAGAGGGGGAGCTGTAAATAAATGGGCCGGAAGATCAGACAATGGTTTGTAAATGATTCCCTTTGGGAACTAAATGGGACTGGAGAACAGATAATAGATTGGGACAGGTCATCTGGGCTCCAGGTGTGGTGTTTAATTTTTAGTCTCTTCCTCTGTGATATAAGTTTTAATCTCTGGTTAATAAAATTACAGGGATGGAATCGCAGGCAACTGTGTTCCTCTTTAAGGTCCAGTTTCTAGGTAAATAAGGGAACTTTGGTGAACAGCCTCATCTTGTGCTTTGGGAGAGACAGGATTTGGGTGAGGAGAGCTGGAGAAGGCCAAGAGGCCTTGAGGCTGCTTCTTTAATTCAGCATGTCAAAGCCCCATATTTTGGGGTATTGATTTCTGAACCTTAACGTAATGAAGCCTCCACAGAAACTCAGAAGGACAGGGTTCGAATGAGCTTCGAGACAGCTGAACACATGAACTGACTATTCCCAGAGGGTGGTGCACCTGGAGAAGGCACAGAAGCTCCGTGACCCTTCTCAGTATCTTGCCTATGCTCCTTGTCTTTCTGGCAGTTCATGTGTATCCTTCATAATATCCTTTATAATAAATGGGTAAATGTAAATAAAGTGTTTCCCTGAATTCTGTGAGCTGCTCTAGCAAATTAATCACACTTGAGGAGGGGGACCTCTAGCCAGTTGGTCAGAATCACAAACCGCTAACTGCTTGTGACTGACATCTGAAGTAAGGGGTAGTCTTGTAGGACTGAGCCCTCCACTTGCGGGATCTGACACTATCTCCCAGTAGATAATGTCAGAATTGAACTGAATTAGAGGACACCTGGCTGGTATCCACTGGAGAATCTGCAGTAAAGAACTGCTGGTTGTTGGTGGAGAGAAATCCCCACACACATTTGGTGAGAGAAGTGTTGAGTGGAATGTGAGAGGAGAAAGCACTTCTGGTTTTTTCCTTTATCTCTAATAATGTTCCTTCTCCTGCATTGCACTGCCTCCTTAGGAAGCACCAGGAATAAGAAAGGACATCTGCTTTTCACATGTGTCACTTGACAGACTTGTCATGATGATGGGTTAATAAAGAGACTAAAGAAAACCATTACAAAAAAAAAATCTGAAATTTACTTTGGCCACAAAGATGAATAGCAGTTGGACATTCTTGACAACTGCTTCTACTTTAGGTCTAGTGACTATGAAGCACAAAGATTCTCCACATATCATTAATAAATAAATATATATATGTATGCAAGCATGTATTAACTTTGCTTAATGTTTTAGTTTAATCTGATATTAATTTCTATATGTTAAAAGTTCATTTATCATCCATGTAACATAGTCTTCTGCACATCTAATCATGACATTGTATCAGTGACATAGTCTGGTCACTGCATTTAATACAAATACTGATTTGAAGAATTTATAACATTAAAAAAGTTTAAGATTACAGATTGAATGACCATTTAGAAAGTTATCTGAAAAAGAAGGACTGACAATACCCAACCCACAAACTGTTTCTCATTCATACTTATACCTTTACTTGAAAAATAACTCAGTATTTTGGTGAATACTGACTGTGCTACTGACTACAAACAGGAGATAATTTTTTGTATGTGCTATTGACTACACATAGGAAAATAATTTTGTTATATTAAGTATAAATAAAATACCCGCCCCCCACCAAATTTTCAGATAACCTATAAAGTGGGGAAAGCTTATCATAATGTCAAAATGACTGGGATATCGAAATAAAAGTAACTGTATACCTTTTAAGTGCCTTTTATACCCTTCAACCAAAAAAACCTTATAAAAGTCCTCCCTACCCCCAGGGAATTTGAGCTCTTACAACATTTGCACAGAAAACAAGTGGCAAAGGAAGTTTCTCAAACTAATTTTAAAAAACAGAACAACCCACAAATCCTGTTTTTATTTTTTGACAAAAGAAAAATACTGAACATTTTTTAAGGAATGATTTTGAAACAAGCAAGGAAAAGGTCACAACTTTGAAACCAGTTATAACTGCACCTGGATAGTCCCAAGACAGAAAGTTAAGTAGCTCAACAGGTTCTACTGCTAAGATTTTGAATCACAGGAATAATGTATATTAAATAGTAAAAATACCCTTGGGACTAGTTGTTTTTCATAAAAGTTAAAGAAAGTTAAGGCTAATATTAAAAAATAATCCTAATTTATATACATATAAAAATTCTAAATGTGAAATTGTTGTTTTATAATGTACTAGTAGCTTTGAGAAGAATTAAAATTAAAAAAATAAAAATACCTTTACATTTTAACCTGGAATTTAAAACAAGAATATTTCTAGATTTAAAAAACCTCTCAATATGAAGTCATTATCAATGAAGAGGTTAGTTGATTATAATATTGCATAATATGTTGCACTGAGTAACACTTTTGACATTTACTAAAAAAAAAACACATTAAAAAAAGTGGAAATGAACATAACTAAAAGATAAACTCTATTATATATTACAGATTCCCCCCATCTTGACTGACATTTTTCAATTACTGAAGTCTACAGGAGACATTTAGAACCATAACATTTTCCTATTGGAAATCGATGACAAGAGAAATAAATCATAAACAGGGGAGAAGCTAAATAATTCATGCCAAATGCTCACCAAATAATTATAAGATACCAAATCTTCAAAATTCACAGAAAAAAGTTCAAGTTTAATTTCAGAACATATCCCAAAATTATCAAAGACATCCAATTTTACATTATGTTATCTATTAATACCAAATGGCAATATGGTAAACAAGAGGGGAAAACTGAGACATTTTAACATATATCCAGATTTCATAACATTTAAAACTGATAAGCACACATTAATCAGAAAATATGTGATTAGAATATATTTACTAAAATTCTGTAACAATTCTAATAAATATACAGTGTTTTAAAAAATGAAGGCATGTACCTTCCTGTAAGGGTGGGAGACAGCTAACTGTAAGTAGAATGTTTCACTGCATTAATTCAAACAAGAAAAATACTCAAATTTTCACTTAAGTACAACATAGTTTCATGTATAGCTTCTTCTAAGAGACAAAGTGAGGCAAATCTGATAGCCCACATGATCAAAGACCTTATTACATAATCAGGAATGTATGTAATATAAAGATATAAACATATGGCCATTAAACAAGAAGAAAAAAGGCAATGAATTAAACACTAGAATTAGGAATTTAACCTACAGGCTATTTTGTAGCCTAAACCACATGCATATGCTGAGTATTTTTCACATCTAGCATATGAAAGAAAAATTCTATATTTTATGCACTGAGGTTCAAAAACAAATTGATGGGCAATTCCCAAATATGCTTAATTTGGGAGAAAAACACTTCATAAAACTACCTTTACATTATATGCTTTGTAATGCATTGCAATATGTTTCTCAAAGTACTATAAATTATAAAATAATGTAAAAATTTGGCAAGTTTCAAATTAACATGTGGAGCTCACTAAAACATAGTATGCTATGCACCTAAGTACAGAATAAAACAGCTCTCTCGTAATGACAAAGAAAATTAACAAATTATTCATTAAACAAATAAAATATATAATTAGAAAAACAGCACTCACCTTCAACAAGTCTCCATGCTTTCATTTCACATTTTTATTTAATCATGTATTTCTCATAACATTTAGACATCTTCCACAGGAGCACCAAGCATGAATTCTAATTCTGGATTTAGGCACAGGCAAGAGCATACAGACACTTGCCAAGCTGCTAGGATGTGTGTACTTCTTACATAATTTTCGTTTTATACTTGTTTGTTTTGCTTTTCACCTATACAGAATGTGGATGTATCACCAAAAAAAGAAAAGGCAGGCTGATTTCATGGAACTGAAAAACAAAGCTATAAAAAATTAATTTTCAGTATTTTAAGTAAAGACATGAAAATGGAAATAACGTTTAGACCAATCAGTACATATATAGAACTAATTATCAGGTATTAGCTTATTTTTAAATTGTTACCTCATTTAGTCTCAACAATCCTATCAGGTAGGTGCTATTATAATTTCAATTTAGTCGACTGAGGAAACTGAGGCACAGAGAGATTAATAACTTCCCCCAAAGTAACATAGCGAAGTAACTCGCAGAATCAAGATATGAGCTCCAGAAGCTGGGATTCAAAATTCTTTGCCACTATATTACAACAATATCAAAGATTCAAAGCATTTCCATTAAACCAAAAAGTTGGCATCATCTTTATTGCAAAAATAAAAACAAGTTATGTCTGCTTTAAGCATTATGGCAACTATTTACTGAACACCTACAACACAGCATTAATAATAACTAGCATTTATTGAGTACTTAATATGACAGGTACTGTACTAATGAACAACTTTATATTCATCATGTAAGTCAATCCATGCAATCACATACTTATTTTACAGATGAGAAAACCACTGAGGTATGGAAACAGTGCCTTTCCCTCCTCCAAATCCCGTAGCAAATTCACTTGTGGAGTCCAGATGGCAACAAATGTCTGATGTCAAAGCCCATGCTTGTTAAAGCACACTGCAATACTACAAACCCGACCCCAACTACCAAACAAGGGCATTCTTTTGTCCCAATACCCAGAGCCTTATGTCATGTTAGTGCTATAGCAAAATTGAAAAGATACAATAAAAATTTAAATTGAGTAACAAATTTAAAGGAATTTTAATAAATTTAGAGTAATTTTTCCTCTATAAGCATACTGTTTTTCTGTTTTAACTACTCCTACTGCAACCATGCTTTCTTCTGCTTTTCTCTGCAAACATATTCAAGTAGATCCCTGCCAGCTAGACAATTAACACACTTTTTCTCTGGGAGAACAAAATGGTCTCACATTTCCAACAAACCTTTAATTACATTAATTACATTAAAAATTCAAGCCTCTGTATACTATTCTTGCCAAATCTTTTATCAATGTTAATTGGTTGACATTCCAAGTCAGCTGAAGTAAACATCCACCTCCCAGCCAATCCATGTATTACAGCTGAGTGTAGGATGTTTACATGAACTGAAACTTGGTTTAAAGCAGGACTTAAACTCTTTACTAAGTTTGTACGGTTCTTTACGTAAGACTCTGTTGAAAAAAAGAACAGGCACAGCATTCACATAAATGAGGCAAGACTCAATCGGAAAGATATCCTGAGAGAAAGTGTAGAATCCAAGGAAAAGGCAGAAGTGAGTTGGGTGTTTGTTTTTTTGGAAGTGGGGGCGTGTCCAGGGCAGTGGGGGGCACTACAGGCACGCTACTATGCCCGGCTAATTTTTCTTATTAATAAAATTTTTTTTAGAGACAAGGTCTCACTATATTGCCCAGGCTAGTCACAAACAAGTGATAACGTTTTTCACCAAAGGAATTTACAACAATAAATGCCGACATCCTGTAGTGTTCCATATCTAAATGTAGCTGATTATCCAGCCTTCCTATATCCTTCCCTTCAAAACAATCAAACTTGCATTTATAAGAACTTACTTGATGACCAGTATGATGCATCAACCAATCTTCATTAAGAAGATTCCTCCTTTAGGTAAAAGACAGTTAATGAAACACTGTGAGGAGCTTAGTCATCTCTCCTCCCCCTCAACCCTCTCCTCATCTTCTCCCCCACATTCAGAATTCAGATAATTTCATCTCAGGCACATCTTTCCCACACTCTGATCTCTTTCCACCTTCTACTGTTCCCAGTGTCATTAAGGTGTCTCAAAGAAATGTCTCCCCCTCTTTTTGCATTCTTTCTGATTAAAAATATATTCCCACAAATATCTCCACTAACTATTATCAGTGGTCCTACCAACACACTTGCATCAAAGAAGAGGAAATCTTCAAATTTGGAAGTAAAACTACATATAATAACCACTGCCAGCAAACTTTAAAAATCTTTGGCATTTCACAGGTAACCCAGGACTTTCAGGAACCTCGCCAGTCTCTACCTAGTCTCTTGTCCCTTCGGGCTGTTTTCCAAAAGCATTGGTTCTCAAGATTAAATACACATATACCTCCCCGCCACCCCACTCTACAACCATACTGCTTTTCTGTTTTAACTACTTCTATTACAACCGTATTTTTTTCTTCTGCTTTTCTCTGAAAACACATTCAAATAGGCCCCTCCCAGCTAGACAATTAATATACTTTTTCTCTGGGAGAAAAAATGGTCTCACATTTTCAACAAACCTTTTTATAATCAAACTTCTGGATTAATACATGTTTTTAAGTTAAGGATTTTTCTGTTTTACTTCATGTATTAATTGGGCATAATATCTAGCAGGAAAAGAATGTAAGATGAGCTCTGTGATTCTGAAAGCATGGGCCTAGAGGAGCAGCATCAGCAGTACTTGGGAACTGTGGGGGGAAAAGCACATTCTTATGTTCCACCCCAGACCTACTGAATCAGAAACTTTTTTTGCAGGGCCCAGCAATCTGTGTTTTAATCAATAAGCCCTCCAAGTAATTCTGATGCAAGCTGATATTGAACAGCAATGGACTGTTTCACCAAACCTGTTGGAAAGCTAAAGCAAAGACAGCAGTGAATGTCAAATTACTAGGAAGTTTGTAATATGGTACAGATAAGAAAAAGGCAATGCCAAAACATGTAGCATGGGTCCACCCACAATTAACCAGGCTAGGCAAAGTGTGGCAGAGACTATCTGAAACAGCCTTATTTTAAAAAGTAACTAAGCCCAAACTGATATTCAAACTAAAAAAAAGAAACAAAAATATTACCTGAGCACACACAGCAAATAATGCACATTGATCCAATGAATAAAGCTGTAACAAGAGTAGAAGGGAATCACAGAACATGCTCGACGCAATACCACATGCATGCTGGGGTTTATAGGTTCACAGTCCATTTCTGGGTAACCTCAAGCCCATGACTCATGTAGAAGGAACTGAGGTGTGGAGATCAATGAGAACAAGTCCAACAGTGTATTTATATGACTATTTCTAACCAAGAATATTTGTACAAAAGCATCTAATTTGAAATAAATTGGAAGACCCAATTTTGTAATTAGTTATTTGCTTTAAAAAGTTGTCCCTAAGTCATTTCAGACCATATACTCAGGATAAAATACTGTCATTTACAGAATGGTGTTCAGTAACTAAAAATGTTTTACTTTAAATATCAATTGGTAGAACAAATCTTAAATAATAAGTAATTTCTGTGCTTTCTAAGTCCTATCAATGAATACCACAATTTTTTTCTTCAACACTAAGTTAAGGGCTAGGGAAACAAGTTATTACAGGCTTATTGACAAATACTGATGATCTAACATTTCAAGCCATTTGCTATAAATAATCAATTGCTAACCTTATAGGCCAATGGGAAGTTAGTGGTTCTTCAATATAAAAACATAAAGAAGCCATCTGAAAACTACTAAAAAAGGCTGTACCTATGTATTATACTATACTGAAGCAAGGGCATCCAGAATTAAAACTGACATCGTCTTTGATTCACCTCATTAGAGGCAGAATAATATAGAACAAATGTTACATAACACAGATTGCCCCATTAATCTGTAGCATCTAGGGATAACTGGCCTAGCTGGGCAGAGTATAACAGCTTTATTATAAAGAATGCCTACCCCCTCATTTAGCTTAGGTTTGGCCTTATCATTTTGAAAAACCTTTCAAATTTCACTGCATAAATTATGCATCCATCTTACTAAATTTTAAAGCAGTATATCAAAATTTTTCATAAGAAATAAACAGTGTCACCTGGTCAAACAAAATAATCCTATTACCACAGAACACATTACATTCTACCTTTGGCAGGGAAGACTTCTGAGCTCAGCAATAACTATCCTTTCACTGCTATTTGAGTCTAAGGTTTCCAATGTGCTAAAACAGAGGGCCACAGAATATGCAATAAATCTGCTTTATTTAGAGTTCATAGGAAGGGATGCTTGATGCATGCTAATCATCCAGCCTGAAAATTGTATTTACAAGTTGGAAAGCCACCTGAGTCTGAAGCAACTGACCCCCATCCCCAAATAAGTCTTATAAACTACTACTCTAACAAAAGAGCATTTAAAAAATAAAAGCTGTAGCACAAATACATCTGGGGTAACTACATTATGACCAAAACTGTCATTTGCTCATCTGGATAAAAGATAAGAGGCAACAGTAGACACTGCTGCAATAAGATAATATAAAATCATTACTAAAGTACTATACATGCAAGGTGCTTTACTTGCTGTTTATAACAGGAAAAAATAGAATTATCAAGATTTAATGTCTCTGACCTCAGAAAGCTTATAATCTAATCAAAGAAAATAAGCATGTAAATACATTAGATTGGCAAGACCTTTATCTTTTGGTGGTTTAATCATGTATGGAACCTAACATAGTATGTTTAGCAGTTTAATAAAAATAAATGATTTAAAAAAACCAATGCTTTATTGAAAAGAAAAATGCCAATAAAATAGAAATGTTTTCCAGTGTCTGAAAGACTAACAGAAATAAAATAACAATTTTTTAAAACTCAGAAAATAGTTGCTATAAAATTATACATTATCAATTAGTCCACACTGAGTGTCATCTGTGAGAAAAGCCCTGGATTATTCAGATCTGTGGGGAAACACAAAAAATAGATACAATACAGCTGCTTTCAGGGCAGCTATATTTTAAGGAGGAAGCAATAAATCTGAAAGCAACAATCTGAAAATACTTAGGAAAAATATTAATATAAAAAGACATGCATACCCATTAGCAAATGTAAACAGGCTTAGTGGCTTGACGTCTTGCAGTTTTTCTTAGAGGAGAGTTCTGATTAGGAGCTGTAATATCACTCAGGGTGAGGGGAACAGGAAGTGGGGGGCTAAGAGGACGGAGAAAAATGTTGCACACACATCTCTTTTAAGTATAGGGAAAGCTGAAATTTCTAGATTGCATACTGCTGGGTGGTAGTGATGAAATTATTCTCCAGAACTTCCACAGAATTTACAATGGAGAAAATCAGTCTCCTGAATTGTTGGGATGTTAAACTCCAGCCTACTTGGAAAGGTTATAAAGACTAAAATTTCATTGACAGGGCAGAAACAGGAATAGGCGGTGACACTTTTTATTTAACTAAATTCTCTAAGGCCCAGCAGCAGCACGCTAAGTCTGGGAAGCTCGAGACGGCATATCCTGTTATTAGGAGAGCACCCTACATTCAACTATCATAATACGTGCACTGTCAGTGCAGTAAAAGAATGCAGCTAAAGATTTCTGAGGTTTTCCCACACATTTTATAGCCTCCTCAACTCCACTCCGGGACAGAATTATATCAAGAGGATGTCTGTGAATAGCCGGTAGCAGCAAACATCTGACTGAAAGCTTAGCTGTGTCTTACAGCTTCCAGTCGGGGATGTTTACAACAACAGACTTTCTGAACAAGAAATTTAAGAGGAGGAACAGACATAAATGTTGCCAGTCATCATCTTCAGCTAATAATTTATATAATTTCTAGTGCTGAACAATAGCTGTGACATCTTGAAACAAAAATGATAAAGTTAATGCTAATAATTAAAGAGAAAGTGGTTCACCAAGTGCAATTTCTCCTAAATAAATCTAATTTTAAAAGAAAATACGCATTACAAATTTATCTTGGTAAGTATGAAACATTAAAGATATTACCCTGATATCCTACATGAGGATACATTTTTCCAACATATGCAAAAATAAGTTTTCTTCTCCCTAGAGTTTCAAAATAGTAAACACATTAGAATGATAACCCTAATGATCAGTGACCATACATTTCATGGATGCCTGCTGCCCTGACGTTATTGTTAAAAATGACTCCTTTTATTTAAAAAAGCGTTAATTTAGTTGACAATGAATAGAGTGGGTTTTCCTGGCAGAGGATCTAAACTGAGTAAGAATCTAACACTTTCTTCCCCTGTCTCCAGCTGATTTAGGTTAGGGATGTACAGTTCAAGGAAATGAGCAAAACAAAGAGGATAATAAAAGAAACTCATGATCTTAAATTTGTTTATAAGGCAATATACTAAAACCATTTTGTTTCCACACCACTTTTCTGAAAGAAAGGAAAAAGACTAAGTGAAATATAAGTAAATCTGCATTCCATCAAAAACCAAGATTTGCTTTAATTTAAAATATGTAAAATTGCCAGGCACAGTGGCTCATGTCTATAATCACAGCACTTTGGGAGGCCGAGGCAGGTGGATGGGTAGATCGCTTGAGTCCCGGAGTTCAAGACCAGCCTTGGGCTAAGTGGCAAAACCCTACCTCTAAAAACATACAACATATTAGCTGGGTGTGGTGGTGCATGCGGTCCCAGCTATTCGGGAGGCTGAGGTAAGAGGATCCCTGAGCTTGGGAGGTGGAGGCTGCAGTGAGCTGAGCTCATGCCACTGCACTGCAGCCTGGGCGACAGAGTGAGACCCTGTCTCAAAAAAAATAAAAATAAAAATAAAATAAAATATGTAAAGTAACCTTCTTTTGGGGAAAAAAACTATGAAAACAATTAAAGTCCACAATTAAGTCACAGTGATTTATGAAATGATTTAAGAAATGAACATACATACATACATGAGCATGCATATGTACACACACACTCTACAGAATAACTACTGAAGAAAACCAATATACAAATTCTGAGAGACTATTAATTTCCTAATACCAAATTTTTTGAGAAACTATGAGAAAAGGATTTCAGTTGCTGATATTTACCCTGTGATAATATTTAACGGTTGCTCTCTGAAATACTTTTTGTTTAATGTTGTAAATAACTCTACCCATTATATAAATAATGCTGGAAATAATGAGGAAAGTACATGTGGTCTCTATGGATACAAGATGACCTTCACTGTTTTTGAAGAAAAATACTTTTTTAAAAAGTCCAGTGGCTATTTACAACAACAACTATTCAAACTGTACTACAACTGAAACTTTCCAGATTTAAATCAGGAAAAAAATAGCTATTTCATGCCTAGGTAGGCACATGATACTTGACTAATGAGGATGCTGCACATTAAGTTGCAATAAACCAGTTACCACAAGTCTCCAAATCTCCCCTTTAATTTACCTTCCTGTCCTCAGTTTAATTTTTTTAAAGACTGATCAAAAGACATTTTTATCAGAGCCACTGTATTTAACTCACACAAACAATACATAGAATATTTTCTTCAGAGTTATGAAGGAATTTTGTCAAATGCTATGACTTTGTATAATATATTCTTGAGGAAACATGAAAATTAAATGTACAGAAGTTGAATATTAAGTATATGTGATAAGAAACCCTATTATAAAATACCTTCTATCATTATAAAGTATCTTCTAGACACAATCTTTGTAATAATACACAGTAAGAAGGTAAAGTCTAATGAGGGGATAGCTGAAGCTAAAGGTTTACCATTTTTGGCATGCTTTATGATTTCCATCTTTGTCAAAAACATTACATATTTGCGGGTCAATTTTCTATCAGCATTAGCATTTTACTTTTAACACATTTTTATAAAAATGGGCAAAACACACATGCATACATACAATCTGCTGTACAGACAAAAAAATGGATATTACTGAGCTACTGACTGGAACAGTGCTACTGGTTCAGTAACTGGAAATGTTTGTCAATCTATCAAAAGCAGTTTATGAATATCCATATATAATGTATGCCATGCCACATTTGCCACAGATTCTGTCCTACCACAGATGTCTCAAGTACAATGCTGAAACCAAGTTAGATACCTAAACACATCTCTTCCTATGTGACAATCCAGAACGAATACAAGCCATTATCTCCCAAGAGTATTGTTGTAAGAGAGTTTTACTGGGTTTATAAAATTTTACCAGAATACATAAGAAAACAATTAACAGGAAACAACATTTTGTAACTTAAGATAAATATTCTGGAAAAAAAACCCTCAAATGAAGTAAAATTCTGAATTGGCCTAGATTTCGCATCCCTTAAATCTATTAATTAGCTGAAATTCAGTGATGTCTAGGAAGGCTGTCAGAAATGGTTGGCTACAATTTGACTCTGAACTCTGAAATAAGGCAGGGCAGCTGGGAAGGTAAACACAAAGAGTAGTAGCAGGGTGGTGACAGGGAGAAAACACTTGGCAGAAGGCAAGAATTCACAAACCACCAGAAACCGACCATGGAGCAGAAAATGCCCCCAATTACATGGAAAAAAAAAAAAACAAAAAACACAGATACTCCCAAAGAGACTCTATTCTTGTTTTCAATCCATTCAATAATAATTACCATTCTCTATATATCCAATGTTAAATAAATAGAGCAGAGACAAAAAGAAAAAGAAAACATTATCTAAATTAATAAACTTAATCTACTTGAAAAATTTATAAAATAGAAGGGTGTTTAGGACAGAAAGATGAAAAGGCTTCCTGTTCTATAAGGCTTATTTATCATTTACTCATTATTACTAACTGCCCTTTGTAACAAAAGCTTCAAAGTGTTTTTATACATTTTCTCATCCTTATGCAGTAACTACTTTTAAGGGTAGTAGCAGAGCAGATGATAATTCTATTTTACAGATGAAGAAGAAGGTACAGATTGGAGAAACGATTTCGCTAAGCTCACATGAGTAAGGAGCTGAGAACAAATTGTGGTTTCCCTGACATGCACATGCACACATGCAGAAACGTATGTAGTATGTGTGTGGATGTGAACGCTAGGCCCTGGGAGAAACAAAGACGAGCAAGCCAAGGAGTCCAAGGAGGGCCTGTTCTGTGATTAACAATGCTCACTGCCTAGAAGGTTGAGACTAGGAGACCAGAGACTCAGCCTCCCAGGCTGCTGACTACCAGCTAGCTGTGGATTAGGAGCACAGCACTTACTCTTTTGCCTTTATTTTCTTGACACACAAAATGAGGCTTAGGCAAAACAATTTTAATTCAGTGGGAAAAATACCAAATCCTGATCAGGCAGGCCCACTATCTAGGAACAACCAAGTACCTGGTGACTCTGAAGACATCTAAGCCCAGCACAATGAAGTCTGTAAGATCGTAGCAAGAGTCACAGGGAATGGTAACGTCTGCAGTCCCATCTACTTTGCCGAATTCTGAAGACACCTGAAAACAACCAAATGGAACATGAAGATGAAAGCACTGTGAAACATACTGTCCAACAACAAAGTACACTTTAATCATCACCATGACATCTTATTTGTACCGCATGCTCACACCTTTTATGTAACTAGATTTTTACAGTGATAACTGAGAAGTAGGCAAGATGGGTACCATTATCCCTGCTAAACCCAGCTATAATCAGTTCTGCTATAATAATGAATATCTGCTTTCTGAAGTATCCATTTCAGATGTTGTGACTATAAGACTCAAATTAATTATCAAATCAAAGTTTGCCTAAGATACTATAAACAATCAAAATATATCCATACTGTGAAGGATTTGACAGCTAGACTGTTTTTAATCCTTCCCCTACTTCTGTCACCTCTAACAGGAGCACGTCTCTTCTTGTGCTGTATGAGCACAGTTCAGATACAAATACCCTTTGGTGTTATTGGTGCTTAGACCTGTGAGGCAGAGAAACACAGCTCCCCTTTCTCCACAATTCTGAACCAAGCATCATCATATACTCACACAGCACACAGCCTGATCTAGGCCAGTGGTTCTCAATGCACTCTCCTAACCAGCAGCGTCAGCATGGCTTAGGCAACTGTTACTAAAGTAATTCTCAGACCCCCACCACAGACCTACTCCATCCAAACTAGGGGGATGGGAGCCAGCAGTCTGTTTAACAAGTACTCCAGGTAATCCTGACCCATACAGAATCTTCAAAACCATTGATCTGAGCTTAGTCTATAGTCTCAATAACATGCCTAAAGCCTAATCAACAACACAGCCTTGCCGTTCGGGTGACCAGTTTTCCTAAATAGTATTTTAAGAAATTGTTCTGGTTTGTCCGGGACTGTGAGGGTTCCTTGGACAAGAGATTTTGAGTTTTAAAACCAGGACAGTCCTAGGCAAACAAGGATAATTTACCTTAATTGTGATTACAAATCAAAGCTGAAACAACTATTCACTTAAAATGGAGTGATGCTATTACAGACTAAATGCATATTGCATTTTGAGTGGAGGGCGATGGTAACATTAAAATCCTAGGATGCATGAATGGATAATTTTGTTTATCATGTCGGTAAACTGTCTGCATAGGAATGCTTCAAACCTAGAGGGGAGGTGAAGTGGGACAGTGCTTTGAACAAAAGGATCAACTACTTTTTATTAAACTATAGGGCATTCAGAATTTTTGTTTTCAAAATTCTCTGACCATAATTGAAACCGACAGTGAGTTGAATAGTAGCCAGTACCTTCCTAGATTCTTGAAACAGTGCCCACTCAAAGACCTAGGTCATAAATATAGTAAAATTTGTCACCACCAACACATAGAGCTAACTGAGTGTTAAGACCACTTAGAACAAGAGAATCTGAGTGGGTATGTAGCCCCACAGCACTCAGATAACTGAAAGGCAGAGATCCTAAACTCTGCTTTAGAGACTTAACTAAACACCATGAACTACACCCAAAACAAAACTGATAACCACTATAGATTCTATAGTGCGTTCCATGATTCATACATACAATAATACATTTAAATTTCCAAGAATCCTGGAGGGTAGCACTATATAAACGCAACCTACGTTTCAATAAGTATATTTAATTTTCAAAGTCCACACCTGGAGGAAAATTGCTAACTTCAGTCTCAATATATAAGCAAAAAGAGATTTCAGAAAATAAGGATTGAAGAGACCTTAACTGTAAACCTCATTGACAGAGAATATGTGTATAATGTCCAACGGATGCCAGGCTCTGAAGCAATTCTTATTATGCACCTAATTTCAAAGCAGTTTTAATTTTCTGAAATGCATTTTCAAGCTTTTCTAGTAAATAATCTACTTCACGCTCTACTTGAGAAAAAGAATCCTCTTTACAGACAAGTGAGATAAATGACTCTCCTACCAATTTATCCTTCATAAAGTCTGACTATTTATACTGTTTCCTGGAAGAGGCCACACCTGTTCCTTCAAATCCTTGTCCTTCCACTTATAACTAGCTATGTAATCTTGAGTAAGTCATTTAACCGCTCCACACCAGTTTCCCAATCTGTAAAATAAGAAAACCCTACAACATAAAAGAATAAAGCTCTCACAGAATAGTTGTGAATATTAAATAAAATTATGTGGTACAAAAACATTTGAAAACAGTAATGCAATGTGCAGATGTTAAAAGCATTTACAGATTGCAGCCACACTTTTTTGAAAACCTTCCCCCTGAAAGTCTGTATCTGAATAGTCTGCTGACCATGAGGGGCATAATCTGTGAGTACAACAGAGTTCTTCAGTTATATTTGACATGGTATTAACTAACATGGGGGGGAAATCAGTAACACTAGCTAGCACCTGAGTCACTCGCTACATCTTCTGAAAAAGTTTTAAACAGTAAAAGAAAAAAAAAAGCATCAAAAACACAGAAGAGAGAAACAACCGTCAGTTAATTAATAGAAGGAAATAGTACACAGGGACCAAAAACAATTTAATTCTGAACAAAGCCAGTGAGATATGTGAGTGGAAAAAGAATGAGTATAAAATTATTAATTTCTTAATTCCCTAAACGTTTCAAAAGAAAGATGATGTGACAAATAGCTAGAGAATGAAGGAATGATCAGTAACAGAATTAAGATTATCGTTTTTATACTTCAAACAAATTTGACAAACATGAAACCATAAATGCTGAAGACTGGGAAGCACAACTGTAAACACGTCTCTGATGCAGGGAACTCAAAAGGGTACTCAGTCAATCCCAGGCAACAAAATTTGGAATATAAGGTGTGCATCTGGATATAATTGGGGATATCTGCATAATTTCTAGTAAGAAAGGTAACAAAAACGCCAATAACCACAATACCATTATTCCCAGGTCAGAAAAAACAAGTACTTCCATAGTGACAGAATGATAGGGGAAACAATGTATTTGGCAAGGACAGGCATGTCTGTTTCTCTTCAGCCTTTGAAATGACCAGCAAACACAGCATCCAGAGTCTCTCACAGCAGCAAAGTGATCACATGCAACCTTAATAGTATAATTCTATTAATGTTTTGAACTCCAACCCTAGAGCACCCATTCTTTTAAATATCTTTAGGAATGATAATCTGATAGTCTACTGATAGGAAAGCAGTATTAGATACCAATTAAAAGCATGGGCTTTACAGTCTGACAGAACTAGGCCAAACATTTGACTTTGTGAGTTTGAAAAAGTGGCTTTACTTTTCTGTGGCTATTTGCCATCTGTTAAATGACAATTTAAAATACCTATCTTGCCTGTGATCCTAGCACTTCGGGAGGCTGAGGCGGGTGGATCACCTGAGGTCAGGAGTTCGAGACCAGGCTGGCCAACATGGTGAAACTCTGTCTCTACTAAAAATACAAAAATTAGCTGGGCATCATGGCAGGCGCCTGTAATCCCAGCTACTCGAGAAGCTGACACAGGAGAATAGCCTGAACCTGGGAGGCAGAGGTTGCAGTGAGCCGAGATCGCACCACTGCACTGCAGCCTGGGCGACAAGAGCAAGACTCTGTATCAATAAAATAAAATAAAATAAATAAAATAAAATACCTATCTTGGAGGGTTATTATGAGGATTGAATAAGATAATGTAATGATCATCAAATGCTAAGCTCAGAGGCAGGCACATAGCTAGTATGCAATAAATGGAAACAAAGATTCTTTACTTCCTCTTAACAACTTAATTCACATAGCTTTTACCATTTTTAATTCTTTATGTTTCACTTTTACAAATCCTATTTATCCTTCAAGGACCAGTTCAAATGCCAAACTCTCTGAGAGAACTTAACTAATAAAACCAGCCACTTAAAATGTATTATACAGCCAGGCGCAGTGGCTCATGCCTGTAATCCCAGCACTTTGGGAGGCCAAGGCGGGCAAATCACTTGAGTCCAGGAGTTCGAGACCAGCCTGCCTGGCCAACATGGTGAAACCCTGTCTCTACTAAAAATACAAAAATTAATTGGGCATGGTGGCACATACCTGTAATCCCAGATACTCAGGTGACTGAGGCAGGAGAATCATTTGAACCCCTAGAGGCAGAGGTTGCAGTGAGCCAAGATTATGCCACTGTACTCCAGCCTGGGCAACAGAGCAAGACTCTGTCTCAATCAATCAGTCAATCAATCGTATTATAGATATGCAGCAACAAACAGTAAATACATGGTGCTTACTATCTCTGAGGCAATGTTCTAAGTGTTTTATATATATTAACTAATTTAATCCCCATAACAACACTATTAGGTAGGTACTAGTGTTATCTATCCTCTTTTTGTAAATGAGAAATGAGAGACAGAAAGCAATGTACCCAGAGTCACAAGAGCATTGGTAGACTGGCTTCAGAGCCTACTCTCTTACCTGTGCTGTACTGTCTGTGCTGTTAACTGAGAAGGATGATTAATTATTGCAAGGAGATATTCAAAGAACTGACAGCTTTATATTTAACACAGCTGGAGATGTTTTCTACACAGGCTAAAATCACTCACTTTGGATAGCTTATTCACCCTTTCACAGAAAATACTTGCAAAGTTCAGTTTCTTGATCTGCACAAAATAAAGATGAGAAAACAATAATTCATACACAATCTGGTTGTATTTTTATATCAGTTTTATATTTTAGGCTGCTAACTTGTGTTCAATTTTCTCAGTTCAAATTTCTAAGATTCTGGCTGCCTTCTTCCTAAGGCCCAGGACATGGATAACCGAGATGGGCAGCCTTATCCTCATGTGACCAAAGAGACAGATAATACCAGATCACCTACCACATTAGATTGCTAAAGCTATTGCCATCTAATTCTTTTTTTTGAAACAGAGTTTCACTGTTGTTGCCTAGGCTGCAGTGCAATGGCGCAATCTCAGTTCACTGCAACCTCCGCTTCCCCGTTCAAGTGATTCTCCTGCCTCAGCCTCCCAGGTAGCTAGGATTACAGGTGTGGGCCACCACGCCCAGCTAATGTTTTTGTATTTTTAGTAGAGACGGGGTTTCACCATGTTGGCCAGGCTGGTCTCCAACTCCTGACCTCAGTTGATCCACCTGCCTCAGCCGCCTCCCAAAGTGCTGGGATTAGAGGCGTGAGCCACCGTGCCTGGCCTGCCATCTAATTCTTTATACAACTATAATATAGTCTTCAGGAATCACTAAATATTCTCAAAAAGGTATGCCGTTTTGATTTTATACACACACACACACACACACACACACACACACACACACGTCAAAGATACTTCTTTATAGATTAAAAAATATATATATTATTACTCTTTAAACAAAGGGAGGCTCAAGGGTATGGCAACAAGTCATACCCAAAAATTACAATTATGAACATTCTTTGTGTGGGAGACAAAAAGTTAATATCTTTCCTTTTTAATCAAACTTTATAACACAGAATCAAGAGAAAGAATAAAACACACGTGCCCAAAGGATAATGTTTGGTTTTTACAGAAAATTATAAGCTCTTGAAAGAGAAAGGGCTTACAAGAAAACTACCATTTTTCCCTAATTATAGTAGTGCTACTTTATCTACTTGTTCTATGAATGTATTTTTGGTACCTTGTTTTAAGATTCAGAATATGTTATAACATCAACAATGAACTCATGTGCTAGCGTTCTTAGGAATGGCTATACTTCAAAATAAAATACAGTAAAAGGAGCCAAAATTAACAAAATGATAGCTGTTTCTCAATTTCCTTTCAGGATTTTTCAAAATACAACGCTTAATAAAACCTACCTCGCTTAAGAGAAGGAATACATCTATTCAAGACCAACTATTCTTATATTAGTCTCTAACCAGGTTTCTATTTAAAATAAGACATGCTGTCATCATGGTGACTGTCAAGATAGGTAGGTCTTACTGGTCAGACATGGATTAACCCACTAGACCTGATGGATCATGGCCTTCAAACTGGCTTATGGCTGGGAGGCAAACAAGTGCAAGAAAGGCCTAACAGCCAAGGCAATATAATATATATTAAATTGAAATGAGAAGCCAAGGACATTCAACTCTGTATGTAAACAGACTCTAAACAGGGACACTTAACAGACACACCCATCATGCCCTCCACAACACACTAAGCTTGCCTTTATCATATGATGCCTGCAACTTGTGTAGCAACTGTGTTTACTTGTCTGTTTCCACACTAAGGGAGCAACTGTTTGACACATCCCAATACCCTAAGTCCAAAGATAAGTGTGAAACAGCATAGATGTAAAATAAATGAGCAACAGAGAAGGCAGCAGATACAAAGCAAACAGATGTCACTATCTTCTCTCATTCCACATTTTGCCTCAAGAACCTGTCATCCTACAACTAGAAGAATAGTAAAATCCAGGTTTATTTTTTAAATGTTTAAATAATGTGAATCACTTAACCCCTTTGAATCTAAGTTCCCTCTTCTATAAAGGAAAAAAGACCAACTCTTAAGGTCCATTCAGCTAAATAATTTCAAAATCCTATAATGAAATATATTCTGGCAATAGATCCTTGTTAATATTAACTTAATGCTTCTATGTGATCAATCATCATGCTCGTATCTGAAACCAGAGTTGTACTTTTTACTGCTATGCTAGTCAATTGCCACATGGACTCATAAAAGGAAAACAATCCACAAAGCACTATTTTTGAAAACATCTGTAACATCTATAATTGCATAACAAGTCTTAGTAAAATTAAAAAGATATAAAATGGTATTTGCTCTAGATAACCTAGACTTGCTTTTGCTAGAGACTTGCTGGGATTTTTTTTAATCAGGGAAAATAAATTGTTTACCCTCATGTTTCTTGGCCAACTAGAAATCCAAGTTGCTAGTATTTAGTTTGCTAACGTTTCACAGCTAAGTTCACATTTCTGAAAGTCCACAGCAACATTTCCATCTAATGATCACAACACCTCTGTTTTAAAACCCTCCAGTGGCTTCTCTCTGCACCTAGAATAAAATCCATTCTTCTTATTGTGGCTTGTAAGACCCTACACTAGCTGGTCCTCTCTGACTTCTCCACTACTTGCAATCAGCACCTCTAGGCTTCATTCAATTCTCTCAATTTGTCACATTTTTCTCACTTTAGAGGCTTTGCACTATCTCTTCTCTCTGCCAGGAAACTTTTTCACTCAGATCTTCACATGCCTAGTTTCTCCAAAATCCTAAGGGCATTTCTACTCAAATGTCACCTTTTTAAAGAGGTCTTCCCTGACTACTTAGTCTGAAGTGGGCTTTCACCACAGCAATTCTTTATTACCACGCACTCTTTGATTTTCTTTACACTTCTTACTACAATCTGAAATTGTTTAGTTTATTCCTTTCCTTGTTTATCTTCCTCTTCTGTCAGAACAGCCAACATAGAGGCTCTGTAAGAATAGGAATGTTGCCTATCTTTTCACTCCTCTAATTCCAGAGTCTGGAACAGTGTCTGGCATATAGTGAGTGTCAAATATTTACTGAATAAATAAAAATATAGTAAAGGGAGCTGCATCTATTTAGCAGCACTAGTCCAGGCTCTTTACACAAAGCATCTCATTTAACTTCATGACAATTCCACAGGAGGTGGATATTACTCTACTTTACAGATGAGGAACTAGGACTCAAAGAAATTAAATGACTTTATCAAAGAAAGAGACTAGCATAAAGGTCATACCTAAAATATGAACCTTAACTTCTCTCCCAAACTTCCTATATCTCTGTTTTTGGTAACATGTCTATTTTGCCAATTATGCTCTAAATTGACCTAGAATTTTAATCTCTAAAATATTTAAGGACTGTTACAATCCTGTGATGAAAAAAACAACCAGAACATGGCCCAGAAAAATAAGACAAGACTCTTGAAATGAAATTGCCATTTCTGTCAGATGATTCCAGTAAAAAGAAAAAAAAAAAAGTGAGAGATTAAGTAACAACATTAGGACTTTTCTTTAAAAAATTCGTATTTTTAAAGGATACGTCTAAAAATAGAGGGTAATCCTAATTTCAAATGAAAAGGCTGCTAGTCATATGAGTTTAATAATGAAAAGAAGGCTAAAGTATTTTTTAAAAAGCAATAGTGAACTAGCATCAATCAGAAACTGAGCTTAAAAATGCATACCACTGGCCAGGCACGGTGGCTCACGCCTGTAATCCCAACACTGAGAGGCCAAAGTGGGTGGATCAGGAGGTCAGGAGTTCGAGACCAGCCTGGCCAATATGGTGGAACCCAGTCTCTACCAAAAATACAAAAATTAACTGGGCATGGTGGTGCATGCCTATAATCCCAGCTACTCAGAAGGCCGAGGCAGGAGAATGGCTTGAACCCGGGAGGCGGAGGTTGCAGTGAGCAGAGATCATGCCACCGCACTCCTGCCTGGGTGACAGAGTAAGACTCCATCTCAAAAAAAAAAAAAAAAAGTATACCATTTACAAAAGTATTTTAAAATATGAAATATTCAGGGATTGCAATGATATTAATAGTTAATTTAATGTGTCAACTTGGCTAGGCTATGCTGCCCAGTTGATCAAACACTAGTCTAGCTATTGCTATTCTGTAGATGTGATTAACGATAACAATCAGTTGACATTAAGAAAAAGAGCTCTCCTCCATAACATGGGTGGGCCTCATCCAATCAAATGAGGCCTTCAGAGCAAAACCAGATAACCTAAGGAAGAAGGAATTCTATCTCAAGACTGTAAGAGAAATCCTGCCTAAGGTTCCATCCTGCCTGCCAATTCTATGAATTTTGGACTTGCCACCCACCACAATCACGAGCCAATTTCTTAAAATCAATCTCTCTGTCTCTCTCTCTCTACACACACACACACACACACACACACACACACACACACACACAACGCACCCTTATTGATTGTTTCTCTGCAGAACCCAACTTACAGAGGCATATACGAGACCAAAATATAAAAGACTTGCATCCTATAAACTACCAAACATTACTGAGAGAAATTAATGAAGCCCTAAACCAAGTGCTATACCATGTTCATGGGTCAGAAGACTCAATAATTTTAAAATGTCAATTCTTTCCAAATTGACCTACAGATTCACTGCAATTCCAATCAAAACGTCAAGCAAGCTTTTTAAAAAAACTGACACTTATTCTAAAATTCATAAGGAAATGTAAAATACCTAGACTAGCAAAAATAACTTTGAAAAAAAGAAAATTGGAAGACTACATGATTTCAACACTGAATAATCAACGCAGTGCAGCACTGGTGTCAAGATCAACAAATACCTCAATGGAACAAAATCGAGTCCAAAATAGAACTACTACATATATAAAGTCAACTGATTATTCACAGGGGGAAAAGGGAATTCAATAGAAAAAGGATAAATTTTCAACAAATGGTGTCTTAAGAACATCCAGATAGAAAAGTTTTCTATACTCAAAACTTAACTCAAAATGGATCACTATATTTAGATAGAAAACCTAAAACTACAGGGAGAAAGCACAGGAGAAAACCTTTGTTGACCTTGAATTACGCAAAAAAAACATTTTTAGATACAGTACCAAAAGTACAATCCATAAAAGAACTGATAAATTAGATATCAAAATTAAAACCTTTGCCCTTCAAAAGACATTGTTAAGAGAATGAAGAGACAAACCATAGACTGGAAAAATATTTGCAAATCATAAATCTGATAAAGGATTTATACATAAGAACCCTCAGAATGCAGTAAGAAAACAACCAACCAGATTTTTTTAACGGGTAAAAGATTTGAACAGATGCTTCCCAAAAGAGAAAGGGATGGCAAATAAACATATGCAAGGATGCTAACCATCAGCAGTCATTAGAGAAATGCAAATTAAAACCACCACTACTCACTAATTAGAATGGCAATAATTAAAAAGACTGACTGCACCAAATGATAGCATAATGCTGGTGGGAATGTAAAATGGTACTGCCACTTTGGAAAACCACTGGCAGTTTAAGAAGAAACTAGGTAGGTATAGAACATATAGCTACCATATGATTCAGTCATTCTACTCCTAGGTGTATGCCCAGAGAAATGAAAAGTTTATGTCCATACAAAGACATGTACATACATATTCATAGAAGCTTTACTTTAAAAGTCAAACACTGGAATCAACCCAAATAGATTATCAAAAGGTGAATGGATACACAAAATGTGGTATATCCATACAATGGAATACTACTTACCAATAAGAAAGAGTAACTATTGGTGCATGGTACAACACGGATGAATCTCCAAATAATGCTGGGTGAAAGTAGCCAGACAAAAGGAGTGCATATTGTATTCTAAGACATGCATGCCAATGTAAAGTAAAAGAAAACAGATAATGGTTGCCTAGAGAATGCAGGGGAGGGTTATCAAGGGACATCAGAAAACTTTTGGGGGTATATGTTTAGTGTCTTGACTGTGGTGATGGTCTCATGGATAAACACGTCAAAACTTAACAAACTGCACATTGTAATATATGCCATTTATTGTATAACAACTATATGTCAATAAAATTGTTTCAATAAAAATAGAGACTTGCCGAAAGTGTTAAGGACAATAAAAAGACTTAAATACATTCTCAACAACAACAAACAAAAGCCAGGTTACTTACTTGCAATAAAACTGCTAACAGATAACCTACATAATTGTTTTACTCCTGCCTTGAATCGGTCTGGGAGTGGGAAGGGGAAGAGGAAGGGGGTGAAGGAAAAAAAAAAGGAAAAAAAAGAATGATCTTTTAATCTGTGAAGGATACGGATTAAAAGAAAAATCAAAGTCCAAGATAGGAAGGAGACAGCAAAAGAAAAGTAATCACTTTTAATTCATGTTTATAGGTCAAGAAAAATATTATCCCAAGACATTAAATGTATCTGCAGATTTGGTAATTTCCAAGGAATCACAATGAAACGCCATGAGAACTGCCGGATTTACCACCCCCCCCCCCCGCCCCCCAACACACCACAAAAGCTCTGATTAATAAGGAACTGGTTTCTCTGACATTACATTTGCTCCCGCTCCTCCAATATTCTAATTAACTACACCTTCTCTGACTTCTTTCTGGGCTCCTATTCCACTTGTCCCTTAAATATTGGTGCTCTTCAGATCCTTGTTCTACTTCTAGTCTCACTCTTCAACAGGGTTTACAACCTTCCAGGGGAGTTTTTGATTTCCTTTGATAATATGATGAAAGCTAGGGACCAGAACAATGTATATTTACATAAAATTTTACATGTAATTATTTCAAAGGTTTCAAAACTCTTCTGAACCTTGGCCATGTATGTATTCCTTAGCTTCTCACGGGGGGAAGAAAAAAAAAAAGATTCCTTTTGGAATCCCAGCCAAGGTTTTGTTTCTTTAAAATCCCATGCAGAGTGAGAAGCACACATAGACATGACAATGGGAAATTTAAATGCTCACAAATAAAATTCACATAGAATCTAGGACATCATGATATCTTTCTGGATAATAGAGAAACAGTTTAACTGGGTATATTCTTAGCTTGCTATTAAATGCTGATTAATAGATTTATGAAGGAAGCTTATAATCACAATTCTGTAGAAGTTCATCCTCTTAAATGTTTGTTTTAAAAAAGGTGATTTGAATGAGGGCATAGAAAATATGCCTATCAAATTTTGGACAATAAGAGGTTGTGACAGTGAGTAGTGGATCACAAACCCAGGGTTTAAAACATATTGACTGATTCAGCCTAGGGATGAGATGGAGGTCAGGAAAGATCCTCAACTTCAAAGATCCTTATGTAATATTACTCTCCTTTTCCTCAACTCCCAATAACCTGTGGAAATGTAATACATCTACCAAGACTGTAAGCTCCTTTAGGACAATGCCCAAGTCTTATCATCATCATACAGCACCTTGAGTGATGCCAGTATCATCGCTTGAACTATATTCTGCTATGGTAACAAATGTCCAAAATCATGGTGCCTTACAGCACAGTATTTATCTCACACTTATATGCTTATCACAGATTGGCTTCAGCTCTGCTCCATTATTCTGGGACCAGCCATAGCTAAGTCATGCTGGTTCCATGACAGAGGGTCAAGGGCCACTGGCAGAACCACAGGATGAAAAATATCTGCTCAAACATGGGACATGTCACTTTAACATTTTATTGGTCAAGGAAAGCCAAATGGTCAAACCTGATGTCAACAGAATAAGAAGTATAATCCGACTACAGAAAGAACCCTGATAGAGAGAAGCAATAAATATTTTTGAAATAATAGTCTACCACAGTGCCTTCCTTATGAAAAGTGCCTAGTAATTGGTAGTATTTATACACCAGATCATAAACACAAGGATAGAGACTGTAATGTGTCTCGCCCCTGACACACCAGCACCACATGGTGCCTACCATATATGAATGGACACACTAAATGCATATTAAGTGAATGAATAATGATGAGATGAGCATGAGATCTGGAATCAAAAAGCTTGCAATGAAGTTCTACATGTGCCAATTCTAGACTTAGTGGAAAGTCAGTTTTTCTGATTCTCAGATGGTTGTTGTGAAGATTAAATAGATGTGAAAACACCATGAAAACTGTGCTATTTTATACAAATGGTGATATCTTCAGATATATAAATTCATTTAAAGTTTTATAGTAATGCAATACATAATATCCTACATTTACTTTCAAAGCATCAACTGGCAAGTAAAGAGTGACAAAGATTAGACTTAAAGTAATTCACATGAAAAAAAGACAAGGTTTTAGTTGATTATAAGCTGAATGTGATCAAAGGGTAATGTGGCTGCCAAAAAAATGCAATGCAAATTTCAGACTACATTAATAGAAACACAGTATCCTAGATAATAGCTTCACTGTATTCAGCAATGGTCAGACCACATCGGAAGTAGTCAGTTCAGTTCTGGCCACTGTATTTTCAGAGGTAAACTGACAAAAACTTTGTCATGAGTAGAGCGATATAGATGGGGAAAGGTCTGTAAACCATGTCACATGCATGCGGTTTAAAAAAAAAAAAAAGAATTTTTTCCCTCAGTTTGGCAAAAAAGAAGACTGAAGTAGAACAGTCATTTTCAAATACTTAAGAGTTATTGTGTACAAGAATAAGAAGTTTCACATACATAGTCCTAGATTTCCAAGAACGAGTAAGAGAGGAAATACATTTAGCTCAATGAAAAGCTGTTTCTATGAGAAACCTAAAACAAGGAAAAGTGGATGAAAACATGGTTAGAAATGCACTTGAGGAGATCAAATTGGGTGTGAGTCCTATAAATCTAACTCACTCCTCTGTGTAACCAAACATTTTTGAGGCATATGAAAAGGCCCAAACAGCATTTCTTTTCTAATTAAATAACAACAACAAGGAAAAACAAAGGTAAGAAGTAAAACAAGAAGTTGTTTGGTCTAATAAACATGGAAATGCATGCTGTTGAGGGAAATGAAATTTTAACAATAGATAACATTAAAGATAGATACAGCGTCTTGGGTTTTTATAGAGAAAACCGGTTTAATCAAAATTGTATTTATTCTAGAATTTATTTTTCCTAATATGACCTAACTCACCATTTTCAGGGGAAATGCAAAACCTATTTTAAAAGTTCCTACGATGGCTGTTGAGAAAAAAATTTGTTAATATTAAGAGTTAGTGTTCAAATTACAAGACAATATTAGTATACTGACCAATCGTATAAGCATTCAAATTTCCCATGGTAGACTATTACACAGCATGTCACTGGCATTGAAAAATGATCCCTTGCTAAGTCTTCCTTTATTTCCTGGCACTATTCAAAATCCAGCACTTTTCCAGTCTCCATTCCCAGCTTCCAAATTCCCATATGTTCTCTGCATACTCTGGACACCCTAGTAGGTCATAAGTAATAAAGATAAGTACCCGATTTAGCTTTATATCCCAGCCCCTCATCTTCAACTCACAGCTTGCATAAAAAACACTAAAATTTATTAAAATTTGAAAAATTTCTGATTTTCAAAACACATTTCCTTCCTATAATGAAAATTTTTTAAGTTACCCAAGTAACTTTGATTATATTTTAATTGTTATGAGAGCATAAGTGTGAGAAAGTAAAGGTGGGCTAGAAGGACAGATGGGGGATTATTACAAGAAATATACTTTTATAAAGAATACTTTATAAAATAACTTGGAAAAAACTCTTCTTCCCTTAAATTTTTCTTTGTGTACTACATGTGCATATTTTCACAGGATTTAATAGGACATGGTCCCTGACACAAATTACTAAAGCCCTACCTACTTCTCTCACTGCAGGTATGCATCTTACAAAGTAAGATTAAAAAGCGGCTTCATTGACTTAGGAAAATTAACTTGCACATGCCTTTTTGGAATATAAATTCAGATTTTTAAAAAATCTATTCCCCCAAGCCAAAAAAGGAAAATGTGGGGGAAAAAAAGGGGAACATCTGTTCTCTACTAAGGAATATGAAAGTTTAGGACTGACTTAAAGTACAGGTTAAGGCTTAAGAACTTGCCACTGGAATTCTGTACTATTTCTCTTCCTGCTCTGTTGTGGACACTACCAACACCTGGTCATGGGAACTCAATGATAAGCTCAGAAATCAGGAGAACTAGTTTCAAATCTCCCATGTCAATCCATCCAACGGGAACAGCCTACATTTCACTGGGAGACAGGACAATACCTCAGTAGAGATAGCAGTTTTGGAAAGTACTGAAACAGTTGCCAGTCTAAAACACAGTAACTAACTAAAAATCTTAAGTTTAAAAAAAATTAGATACTCAAGTATTAAAGCAATTATCTTTAAAAGATGAAAATGATGCACAATAAATATTGATTTAAGAAGCCACTTCAAATTAATTACAGTTAACATGTATTGAGTATTTTCTGTATGTCAGGCATTCTTTTAAGTGCTTATATACATTAATTCCTGGCTACTCTTCCCCACAGCCATATAAAGTAATATTATCATTGTGTTCATTTTACTGATGAGAAAAAGGAGGTATAGAATGGTTAAGTAACTTGCCTAAGACAACACAGCTACTGAGAGACAGGAGAGTGATAGGAATTCAGGCAGGATAGCTCCAGGTTTCATTCTACCTTTAGAGTTGGTATTGCTGTATTACATATCTTGACACTTGAAGGCCCCTTTAAGTCTATCAGCTTTAATCGCATATGAAATATTATCACAGGCAGCCAAGGCTGTATAGAATTATTAAAATGCTTTCACAATCAACTTTTAAGATCAGATCACTGAATCTAAGATATCACTTAAGCCATTAGAATCTAATATAATTTAAAAAAATATTTTGGATTTATTATACTTCATGATAAGTGCAAATGGGTGCCTTTTATATATTTAGCATAATGTCGGACACTGTCACTAAAACTCTTTTGCACAGAACTAGATCTGGGATATTTTATTCACATTAGTGTTTATTAAAGTAATTTTACTACTTCTCAAATTCTAAATGCAATAATTCAACAGACATTTGAATACTGAATAAACACCAAGTAGTATGAATACAAGATAAATTAGATGGTCTCTGCTCTCAAGGGAGGCCACGGTTACAAAACAATGTAATAACTGCTTTTATGGAAAGATGACCAAGGTTCCAAGGGAATTGAGTGCTGCCTAGCTCAAGTGAGAATGGTGGCAGTTCCATGTGCGAAGGCATGCAGATGTAAAAATAACATTTTCCTCTCAGGGAACATCAAACAATTTAAGTAGAATTAGAATGCAGGGTTTACATGGAAAGGAAAAAGTGATCAGAGATAAAGAATAAAGTTGGAGCTAGGGAAAGAAAAGTCTTATCAGTCGTAATAACAATAAAAAAATAGCAAGGATTTAAGCAGGCAAGTGATAAGAGCAAATATGGTAACAATAGAGGCTATCGTATTTTTAAACAACAGAACCTTGCTCAACTGAAATACTATGCAAACTTCCACGCTTAAAATTAATCAAAATAAAACAGCACTGGTTGAAACCGGGATGAAATGCTTGACTTCCTCCAGCACACTCTCAGCAAGAGTTTCAAAATCACTGCTTTAGAAAGTAAAATTATTATCTCTACACAAATATGTTCTACTTACTTCATGCCTCTCCTGACATGATTCTAAGTGCTCAAGTACAATAATTCATTCTAGTAGTTGTTCATCAATTACAGAAGTAGTCATATACAGAACTAATCATATAGCATGAGATCTTCAAAATTAATGACAAAAAATTATAATACAGAAAAAAGAAGATAAAAATTACCAGCTTTTTCACTCAAGTTAAAACTATCATTTAAATGAACACATTTTCTAACCTAAAAGTCAGAATTCATGGTTGGACAAATACTAGTGTATTTATGGACACAGAATATTCAAAACTGGTACAGTGCAGTGCTGTAAGGCATAGAATGTAACTGGCATAAGTGTAATTTTTTTTCCAAGATTGGTAAACTTGAATTTTCCTAACAATGACCTTCTGTCTAAAAGCCCTTCTCCATCTATAACTATGGTGTCTATTCTTCCACCTTATAAAATTTGGAAATCTAAATGTGATTACTAAAAATGATCATCATTGTGAAACTGTTTGTCTTCCTTATTGCCATCTAATATTCCCAGCAATAACATGTAAAACTGGTTAAAGAGGTACATATGCCTCTCTTACAATTCACTACTCCTGACTCTTCACAGTGAGAAGCGTGAATTAAAAATCAAGGTTATAATCCCAGGGAAAAGGCATACAATGATTAGCTCAACATGTTTTAGAACGAAACAATTACACTTACTTTATACAATCTAAACTAATCCCTATGATCTTTCTCTTTACCTTTACCCCCTTCCCTCCCAGTACTAACATTTGTGGGGAACACAATCACTCAGTCTTAAGAATTTTTAAAGAATCATCTGCTTTATAATTAACAGATTGAAAAGAAATGTTCAAAACAATGTTTAACACACAATAAGAGTTACACAAGGATCTCAGATAGTTATTTCTTTACTCCATCAGATAAAACATTAGAAAACAACAACCCTGGAGCACTCTATCAGCGCATTAGAAGTTCACTCACAGAATACGGCTGAAGACAAACTATTGACAATTACTAAAAGGAAAAAGGAGTGAGAGAAGCATACGCTACAAATTAAAGCTGTCAATACATCATTTGACCAATATGTGTAGTATATTTACTTACAGGCATACTTAAGAAATGGTCCTCAGGCTGGGCGCGGTGGCTCATGCCTGTAATCCCAGCACTTTGGGAGGACGAGGCGGGCGGATCACGAGGTCAGGAGATCAAGACTATCCTGGCTAACATGGCGAAACCCCTTCTCTACTAAAAATACAAAAAAATTAGCCGGGCGTGGTGGCGGGCGCCTGTAGTCCCAGCTACTCAGGAGGCTGAGGCAGGAGAATGGCGTGAACCCGAGAGGCGGAGCTTGCAGTGAGCCGAGATTGCGCCACTGCACTCCAGCCTGGGCGACAGAGCGAGACTCTGTCTCAAAAAAAAAAAAAAAGAAAAGAAATGGTCCTTAATCAGTAACAATATGTCATTACAAGCAAAAAACCATTTCCATATGATATTTACTCAATCGAACACTTGGCAATCAGTTCATTTCTGGGCACATTCCAGATTCCCTAAATTTGCAAAAAATAGCAAACGATTCAGCTATAAATTTGTTTGGGATAAAGACATCTCTGCACATTATAGTAAAAATAAATTACATCACCTGCTCCAACTAGTCATTTTACATAAACAGCTTAATAAATCACTCATTTCTACTTCTTTCAACTACAAAAGTCTGAGGACTACCATATAATCACGAAGAACAAAACAACTTTTTTCTTTTAGAGAAGCTTGTTTATAAATCAAAATTAAAACCTACTTAAAAGTAGTTCCACAGAAACATGTAAAAAATCCTCACATGTAAAATAAAAACAATCAAAACAATACCAGTATCACACATTTAACTATACATTCACTTTAATAGTAAAATTTCCACTCCATCTATTTAAGAGCATGTTTTTCAGGTCCTTTTGAAAAATATTCCACAGAGAAACAGATTTGTTTTTAAAAGACTGTACACCTTACTACATTGATTTTAACAATACAGCAAATAAATTTAACTTAGAACAAATGCCAACAGAGATATTAAATTATACATACTGTGCTTAGTTGTCCCCACAGGAATATAAAAATGTTCATAAACTTAAGATAAATTTATATTTCCCCTAGTTTGTGAAAATTGCAATAACCTTTCTATTTAGAGTAACCGATTAAACTACATTTGGCAACTGAAATTCAAACAAAATTCTCAGATGAAACAGCTGGGAGAAAATAAACGGAACAGTTTTTACAAATGAACTTTGTATTGACGCTATAGGTAAGATGATCCAACACCTAACAGTAGCATGAGTGGAATCAGGAAAACACAAACATGTAATAGTGAAAGAAAACCCTTTAGGGAGAAAAAGAAATTGCAATTTATAGGGTCACCCATGACTAAAACTCTGAACTCAGCCTTTCTTTTTTAGGGGTGTCCGGAGAGGGAGACAGGGTCTTGCTTTGTCATCCCAGACTGGAGTGTAGTGGCGTGATCTCGGCTCACTGCAGCCTCAACCTCCTGGGCTCAAGCGATCCTCCCACCTTAGCCCCACAAGTAGCTGGGACTACAGGCGTGTGCCACCACATCCAGCTAACTGTTTTGTTATTTTTGTAGAGACAGGGTTTCACCAGGCTGGTCTTGAATTCCTGAGCTCAGGCAATCTGCCCATCTCGGCCTCCCAAAGTGCTGGGATTACAAGCATGAGCCACCACGCCTGGCCTGAACTCAGCCTTTCTTATTTTTAAGAACTGTTGCCTACAGTTCTGCAGATCACAAAATCTAAACTTTTTAAAAATCCCATGTAGTGGACATACATATACATATTATTAGATAATATTTTATGCTTAAGAAATCTAGTAAATTGGCTGGGCACGGGCTAACACCTGTAATCCCAGCACTTTGGGGGGCCCAGGAGGGCGGATCACCTGAGGTCAGGAGTTTGAGACCAGCCTGGCCAACATGGTGAAATCCCGTCTCTACTGAAAATACAAAAATTAGACAGGCGTGGTGGTGGGTGCCTGTAATCTCAGCTACTTGGGAGGCTGAGGCAGGAGAATTGCTTGAACCCGGGAGGCGGAGGTTGCATTGAGCCAAAATCGCGCCACTGCACTCCAGCCTGGGTGACAGAGTGAGACTCTGTCTAAAAAAAAAAAAAAAAAAATTCTAGTTAATATTATTTTGAAACCCCAGTTTACATAAAGTATGGTGCACTAATGACTGCATTTTATTGAAAAGAACATTGGGAATAGAAAAATTAAGTGACATTTTAAAAGTGACATTGGCTTAAATAATGAAATTGAGAACATAAATCAGTCTTCACTTCCAATTATAATTTCTAATCATTACCACTAGCCTCACGTATCTTGGCACAAATATTTGTAAACTGCAGTAGTATACTCACCTTTTTTACATGTATTTTTTAAAAATTGTAATTGTGTCCTCATTAATCATAAATCCAATGTAATGTACTTTTTAATCTATGTTCTGAAATTAACAGTCATTTGAGACAGTCCCTTGGGATTTTTTAAAAAATGGAAAACACTTCTTTTAATATCATCTCTTCTTTAATCTTCATTTTTACTCATTTGTTCAATTGAGGAACTAAGAGCCTGTACTAAAAAAATCAATGGCACCATTCAAGCTGTTCCTTCCATTTTTATAATATTCAATTATGCTAAGAGGTATGAAACCGTGCCCAGTATCCCGAAGTTGGGCTTTTGACCCATATTCAGTATTAAAATAATTTCTTGCTTTCTAATGTATAAAAACAAAACAAAATACTATTAAGCATTCTGAAGATATTTTTTACTTCTTGTATGCCCTGATGCTTAGCTCTTATCCTTCAAACCCCTTCTCTAAGAATAAAATTTCTCGAAAACTAGGAAAAGGTGAAGGCGTCACTGTTACCCAAGCCAGGCATGAACAGTATAAATCAAATGAAACTTGATTAGTTATCCTTAATAAAGTTTGCAGCTACTTCCTCCCTTTCCTCCTTATCCCCACATGAAGTACGAACTAACCCACAAATAAGTTCTCCTATTAACTCACATTCCTTTTTTTTCTACATAAGCAAAGCAAAATGATTTCTGAATTAAACTTCCCAAGTACTTCATTCATCATCTCCTGCAATTCCAAATAAACGCAAATGCATTAACACAAAGGGAAAAAACTCCTTTGAAAGAATACATAGTTGTTCTTTTACCAAAATAGCATTTTTCACAAGTGACTCAAACAGAATTACAGCTTAGGAAAATCAAGCCTTTAATTCTGAAGAATAATTTGCACCTACAGAAAATTTCAAGGTAACGGTTTTTACTGCTTGTGGACTTTAGACCAAATCTACTTATTTTGATTTTGCTGAAGTTTGGGTATAACTGCTTGTTGGCCTCTGCTGGGGGACCACTGTCCTAGTGAGAGTGTCTGACAACAAGGTGCTTTTGATACTCCACTAACTAAACTACCTTGGATGAGGTTCCTGACAAACCTGATCATAAAGTTTTACTCAATGGTGAAAAGCATTTTAATTAGGCTTCAATGTACTCCTTAAATCAGGCTTGTCCAACCCATGGCCCAGGACAGCTTTGAATGAGGCCCAACACAAATGTGTAAACTTTCTAAAAATATGAAATTTTTGTTGCAATTTTTTAAGCTCATTAGTTATTGTTAATGCATTTGATGTGTGGCCCAAGACAATTCTTCTTCTTCCAACGTGGCCCGGGGAGGCCAAAAGATTGGACACCGCTGCCTTAAATGATATGGGATAAATCAGATGACAATTTTCCCACTCAGTTAAACCATTATAGGTGGCATATAAGTGGAACAACACTGAATTTAACTTTGTCCCCAAATACTTTTGGTAAAGAGAGAACTCAAAGAACACACTGATAACCCTTACATATGCCAAAAATCTGTTCCTAAATTGTTGTATGCCAACTGATTATTCACAAATCAAATCACATTAGATAAATACCATTTAAAGGGATTAAGTATTTGAAAACAACTTTTAGTGAATCCCTTTTTTAAAATTCTCACATAATATAACCAACTAGTAATTAATTTGTTTTGCAATCTTACACTTTTAAATGTCAAATTTCTTAAAGTAGAGCACAGCTGTTTTCATAAGCTGAAACATTCACATCACATTACTGCCCTTCTTTCTAGTGCCCCTCAAGCAAGCTCTAAAAATGTCACCCAAAAAATGAGTTGTTCACCTGTGGTAGAATATACAAGAAATACTAGAAAAATTGAAAAATAAGCAATTCTTAAAAATGTAATATAGAAATGTGTGTATAGTATTTCAAAAAAAGTCAAAGAATTATTTTATTTTTGGCCATGATCACAATAAACGCTCGATAAAAATGATTTTTTAAAAAACCAAGATACGCACAGCCCAAATCACTTTCCCATGTGTTTTTACCACCTGGAGTAAACCGTTCAAGAACTGTTTATCTCCATGAACATATGACCTCCACGATGCCACCAAGGTCAACAAGACCTACAGGAGGGGGACATGCTAAGTGTTGATTTGTCCAATTCTACAGTTCCCTTGAAAAAGAGAGAAGAGAGAAAAACATAAAAATTTATTTATATATTACAAGAAATAATCTTTTCAGGTTGTAACAATTAAGTACCCCACTACAGGACTGTATACAGACATATGTCAGCTATGGCCAATAGGAGCAAGATGTAAAAGAGACCTCACAGCACAAAAGTAGCTGCACAGAAAGAATTAACAAGATCCCAAACGGACTGATCTCTCTCTGCATCTGGTACTGAAAACTTTTGGTATCCCGGCTACATGCCACAAGGACTCAATTTCAAAGTGAGGGTCCTCTGTTGAGGAAACTTTTTGAAAATGACAAATAACCAAAGATACATAATCAACAGAAAAAGCACCCACATATCAGAAATGCTTAGGTAAGGAGCAAGTGAGTATATGCCGAGACTGCTGGTTAACACCAAATTCACAGGTTGTTCTCTTATTCTCTACCAAAAATTCTCTCTGGCATTTCCTCAGCTATCATCACAATCCTGCACCTTTCACAAACCAGGAAGTTTTCTTAGATGAGATTTAAATTTTAAAACACATCCACTTGGGATAATGTTTATGCTAGACTTAAGTTCAAAAAATCCCTATCAGCTTGAAACCATTATATCGGTAATTTCCAGGTAACATTCAAATATATATATTTTTAAAGACATGCCACAGCTAGTACCTGATTTAGTGATTTAGTGGAGAGTTTAACTATGGATAATTCATTCTAACGTTTGGTAAACAGGTAGCATACACATACATGATGACAGTGTAAAATTAAACAGGAAAAAAATCAGCAAAAGCACTGGTTATTCACAATCAGCACAGGACTGTCTCGTAAATTACTTTCAGAGAAGCTCCAAACTGGTGGGTGGCACCGGGTCAATGCGATTACTTAACCCTGGCAGTTACAACTAAACTCCACTTTGATGGTATCCAAAGCTTATTACAAAAAGATGACTGCTTGGGCATATCAAGTACTTCGGTGTCCTCCTATTTTGTTCCCACGGAACACGGAGCCTGACACCTGAAACTCTTCAGACACACATCACCTTGCTTCGGGGCTTTAGAATTTTGTGTATATTATTTGTAAAGTCCACTGGACATAAATTCAGTTGTGTGTGTACAGGATTAATGTATTTCCTGCATGCACAAGTGAAGAACTCATGTCAAATCAAGCAGTTCCCTCTCTCCCAAGTAACTTTTTTATCATTTAGTCCTAAAATAACCATAAGCAACAAACATTAAACACTGGCATAGCAACGTGCACACATCATGCCCTGGTGCTACACACAGGCGGATTCGTTCATCTCTGGTCCCCATCCAGACGGGTGCTCCCGGCCTCTCTCACTCCCGGCCGGTCCAGCCTGGCTTCACCCGAGTTTTGCTGTGAAATCCGCCACTTTCGCTGGCCCCGGCAAAAAGCAAGGCGCCTCGTCCCGAGGGCAGAGTTTCTTGCAACTGCCGGATAAACATTTCCCGAAAGCTTCCCGCGGCCCCCACGCCCGGTCCCCCCACTTCACGAGCCCCGGGGAGGGGCCCACCTGCCTCCCGCCGCCCGCCCCATACCCTGTCGCCGCGGCTGCACTCCAGGGCCGCACCGCAGCGCCCACTTCCCGGCCCCGAGCCCCCCACGACTCGGACGCCCGACCCTGAGGGACGGGGGCGCCAAAAAAGCACCCCCCGACACAAGTGACCCCACGACGCCCCCCAGAGGCCGTGTCCCGAGAGCCTGTCAGCGCCCCGGAAGGGGGTCAGGCGGGGGGCTGAGCGCCCGGTGTCCTCTCCGCTCCGGACGCCCTCTCCCGCCCCAAGGCACTCACCTGGCCCGGGGTCGGGGGTCGGGCGAGGAGGCCGCCGGCCCGCCGCGGCCCCCACCCTCCCGCTCCCAGCGCCCCGCGCCCCGAGCCCGAGGCGCGCCTGGAGCGGCCGGGGGAGAGGGCGCGGGGACGCGCCAGCGCCAGGGTGAGGGGCGCGCGAGGGGCGGGGGGCAGGGGGCGCGGCGAGAGCTGGGGATCGGCGGCGTCCGCACTGAGAAAGCAGCCTCCGCCGCGTCCGTCATGGCGCGCGGCGGCGGCAGCGGCTCCCTCCGGTCTCTCTGCTCCCTCGCCTTTAGTTTGACCTTTCCCTCCAGTGTGTCTGAGGGAGAGCGGCTGTGCGCGCGCGTGTACATGTCTCTGTGTGTGTGTGCGCGCGCGCGTGGGGAAGGGGCCGGGTTCGCTCCCCGACGCCTGACGTCACTGCCATGGCAACGGCAACCCCCGCCCCTCGCTTCCCATTTCCTGTCCCCGCCCACTGTGCACGTTCTGGGGCCCTCACGTGCTCACTCACACGCACGCACGCAGGCACGCACTCTCGGGGCGCGCGCGCCCAGAGCGCTGGGGTTTGGGAGGTAATTTGGACCTCCGCCTGCCTCCCTTCCCTCGCTGCCTCCCGGAATTTGACCAATCCCGTGAGGAGGAGCCGTGGGCGGGGCGGGCTCGGCTCCCGGAGTGGCGTGAAAAATTTCCCGAGGCAGAGCGAAAAGTCTTCATGCGTTACTGAGCATGTCCGGTGCCCGAAGGGGCGCTTTGGACGCCAGTGAAGCGAGGAGAGGCGGAGAAGGAACCGAGCGGGCAGTTGAGGGAAATCTCGGAGGAGGTTACCTGCGATCAAACTGGGGCTGCGTAGTGTTAGGGTCAGGCAGCTTTGAAGTGGAATCCGGATCCGCCACTCTCGCTGCGTGATATTGGGCATGCCATCAAAGCGCTCTCAACCGAACGTCTCGGGTAAAATGGGATTAGTGAAGTCTACCAAGGTAGTTGTGAGGATCAAAAGAGATAACGCGGAAAACGCCTCACCTGGCACGTTATAGATCCTAAATGCCTAGCTATTATTATGGAGCCCACAACCTCCATATTTTACAACTGGGAACACGGGACTCAAAGAGATTAAAAAACTAAATGACTCACTCAAGGTCAGGTAGTGGTGGAGACCCAGGCTTCAAGTTCAATACTCTTTGTCCTACAAAGCCTTCCCTTAAGCAGGGGTAATAAAACATTTCAGAAAAACCACCTTAAAGAGCATCGCTTGTGATCTGTGGATCACTTGGTAGTCCCCACCTCCCTCCCATCCCCGCAAAGGTTTAGAGCTGGACATAAGGGCCTTGGTGCAACTTTTGGAGGGCAGTTGTTCAGCTTCTGAATTTGCATCTGAACGAGCAATAAGGTGGGGTGCTTTCCTCAATTCCCTTGGGGCCCCTACATTTTGGTTAAGGTGTAAACAGCAAGGAGCTCCAGGTCCTCCACGTCTCTAACTAGCTGAAGAAAGATTAACTCAATTAACCAGCATTTACCCAGCATCCATCAAGTAGTAAGGTTTTCCCAGCAGGCAAGGAGCCTGTGACCTCAGGGCTGTGCAGGCAGGCACCTTGGGATTCAGACACACTTAGACTTCCAGCCCATTCCTCTAATTTAGCTCTTAATCACTTACTGCCAGGCAGTATTTCTTGAATGTTGTAGTACTATGTAATTTTAGCTATGCTGTTAACTTTTTAAAAAAGGATGTGTCTGTCTCCCTGTCTTGTAGCCCCAAACGTATACTTGATCTTGGTAAAGGATGTCACCCAGTATCTTAAATAAGCCCTGAAGTTTCCCATGTCCCAGGAATTATTCACTTGACCCTCCCAAGTTAAATGCAGTGTCTTCCAAAAAATCTTGGTGGTCTACTTCTTTGGAATACATTAGTATCTTTTCTACAGCATTTGGCAGCTACCTTGCTTTAAACACTGTTCTCTAGTTTTGTGTTCTACTATTTATGCATATTATCACCTACAAAAAGTTTCTCTAACATTCATGTATGAGTTGGCTGTTCATATGGATCAATATATCACTTATTACCCAATCCTTTAAGGCTTGATTTATTTTCCTTTCCCTTCAGATTGTAAAACTCTTGAATGGCAGGAACCCTGTCTAGTTCCACATCGAATTTCCAGCCTGTTCCTCAGTAACAGCACCACTCAACAACTAGCTATTGAATGGCTGAGTGAGCTCCCTGCCTATCTTATAAAATTATTAGGGGCATACTTTATTTTTATATTTATATCTCAATACCAGGAATTTTCTGGGAAGTTAAGAATTTCCAATAAATCTTGGACTACTCTAAAATGCACCAGAAATTACGTGGTCACACTCGTGCAGTGAAAGAAGGCTTTGGCAGTAGCATAAGACATTAAGCAGAAGTAGGAAATGCAGTGAGGAAGAAGTTGTAATGTTTTCAACAGCTGCCACTATGGATCTAGGATGAGAGCTTTCCACATGTTGTTAAGAATGAGAGACAGATTACTCCAAGGTAGGTAAGTGATGTTGCTCAAAGAGGAATTTTGAAATCAAACAGCGTTTGCTTACTTTGAACTTGTACTATTTGTCCCTTTGTCTAATTTGGCACAAAAATGGAAAGCCTGGTGGTATGCTTGCATCCAGTATTGTTCCCCTCTTGATATGCTGTTTAACTCTCTCCATGTGCAAGTCCTCACCATACCTAGTCCTTTCATCCCTCGTCATACTATGGCACGAGCAAATGCCCAGTAGCATGATCTTGAAGTTATTTGCAGTTTATCCTTATCTTTATTTGTCAGTCTTCAAGTCCCATAAAGTCTTCCTCTTAAATGGTAGTGAGAGCGATTAACTGTCTTCCACGCCCTTGGTCACTACCTTAGGGTAACCCCTTGTATCTCTCACCTGGACTCTTACCAAAACCTGCTTCCTAACTGGTCTTTTTGCTTCATCTTAGGCCCATCTATCCCAACTTCCAACACACCCCAGACTCTATAGACAGACTTAGAACTTACATTTTATGTTTTAAAATATAAATATTGAACATATAAGGATAAGATGTTTAAAATTGGCCATTGGGATCTGAAGGACCCATCTAAGGCTTTTTTTGGAGGCTAAACAATGAGAACATCTTTGAATTAGTGACATTGTGAATTAACAGAGAGCTAAGATGTCTCTTGGTATTTAATAGGCAATCCTCAAAAAGTTGGATTAAAAAAAATGCCACTGTGTGTGTGTGTTTAAGTACCTTATTACTAAGAGAGAAAGAACATTCAGTTCCCATTTTAGGGGCTCTCCTGCTCCAGGATTACTGAGGGTCCTCTGGAGTGTGCATGGGCTCAGGTGAGGTTATAAGCACATCCTTGACAGGAGGGTGCTTCTATCAGGGAAGGCCAATATCTTTCCGAGAACGTAAGCTTGTGGGAGGAGGTGGTAAACGAGGAAGCAGTGGGGACATGAAGTGAGAACGCAGTACTCAGCCAGACCAGCTCAATCAGTCCTGGTGATGAACAAGGTGAATCAGCTGCACTACCCTTACGGCCTGTTAGGACTGATGTATTCAAATTAGGCAGCTGCATGCACAGTATGCACTGCACAAACCCAGGGAAGCTATTTGCATGGGAGTCTGTGAATGGCATCCTCTGGGACTGTGCAGTGCTCAACCTCTATGAACATATGTAGCAGTCCTGAGTGACATGTACATGGCATGTCTCTGTCTACTTTGGCAATCTAAATTATCCTGATGATATCTTCGATAATAGAAATAAACATTTGTGGGATATCTACCAATTGTCATCTCAAAAACTTATTTTAATGTACAAATTTTATATCTAAAGATTTGCGCATGTTTCAAAATGCTTATTAGACTGATGTCATTACCATTCATTTATTCTAAAAAATGACAATTGAGCTGCTAAGTTTCAGGCATGATTCAAAAGCCTGGTTCTATAAATGTATTGAGCACCAACTACAAATCTTAGAAACACCATTAACTGATTTCTTTAAAATATCAGCTTATGTTTATGTTTTTTTCAGTTTATGCCATTTTATAATATGAAGATGTCCTCTATATCCTCTTTTTTAGAGATGGAATCTGGCTCTGTTGCCCAGGCTGGAGTGTAGTGGCACGATCTCGGCTCACTGCCACCTCCACCTCCAGGGTTCAAGCACTTCTCCTACCTCAGCCTCCTGAGTAGCTGGGATTACAGGTGCCTGCCACCATGTCTGGTTAATTTTGTATTTTTAGTAGAGATGGGGTTTCACCATGTTGGCCATGCTGGTCTCGAACTCTTGACCTCAAGTGATTTGCCTGCCTCAGCCTCCCAAAGTGCTGGTATTACAGGCATGACCCACCGTGCCTGGCCTCTAAATCCTCTTTATTTCATAGACAATCATCTATTAAAATCTGGAGATGAAATGTTCTTTCATTTCAGACAATTCAATATAGTAGGATGCCTCAGTGAATATAAAGCTTTTACATAATTTTTTTCCTCCTGGCGTTATCAGAAGAGGTAACAGAAAGTTAAGTTGGCTTTGTTAGGAGTCTCCTGGGAGCCCTAGGGAAAGCTACCTTAGTAGAGTGGGTGCAAGACCCCACTGGCCAGAAAAGAGTATAATTATGCTTTGAGCCCTGGATCATTCTGTAGAGGAAAGCTGCCCTCCAACCAGAAACATCTAATTTAGATGGTTATATGAGCGAGAAATAACTGAAAATTTGTTTGTTTGTTGTTGTTATAGCAGCAAGCTTTACTCAATGAATTAATTGGAAAAGTAAATAATATGACCATATTTGCACCCCAAATTTGTGGAGCTGCTCATACTAACAATTTTAAATTCTTTTTTTTCAATAGCTTTTAGGATACAAGTCATTTTTGGCTACATGGATGAGTTATATAGTGATGAATTCTGAGATTTCAGTGCTCCCATCACCCAAGTAGTGTACATTGTACCTAATGTGTAGTGTTTTTATCCCTGGCTCCCCACTCCCACCCTCTTGCTTCTGAGTCCATTATATATAAATGATATAAAGTGATATAAAGTCCATTATGTCACTCTGTATGCCTTTGCATATTCTAATAATGTTAAACTCTTAATTTCTGAACATGCAATTAAGTGAGCCTCTGCCTCTAGTAGTCTTTACAGTTGACCCTTGAACCACCCGGTTTGAACTTCGTTGAGCTGCTATACTTGGATTTTCTTCTGCCTCTGCCATTGCTGACAGTACAACCAACCTCTCCTCTTTCTCCTCTTCCTCATCCTACTCAACATGAAGATGATGAGGATGGAGAGCTTTATGATGATCCACTTCCACTTAATGAAGAGGAAATATATTTTCTCTTCCTTACGATTTTTTCATTAATGTTATTTTCTCTGGCTTACTTTATTATAAGAACACAGTATATAATACATATAACAAAATATGGGTTAATCGACTGTTTATGTTATCAGTAAGGCTTCTGGTTAACAGTAGGCTACTAATGGTTATGTTTTTGGGGATTCAAAAGTTATGCTTGGGAGTTTTGACTGCGCATACAGGGGTTGTTCCCCTAGTTCAAAGGTCAGCTGTATTACATGGCTTCCAGGTCTTTGATGGCTGTGCTATGCATGAGTGTCACTGCTGGAAAACTGTTATGTGCAGTTCCAGAAGCTGACATACTTAGTTAAAAAAAAAAAGGGTTGGGGGGGGCTACTCAGGAGGAATCAATACACACATACATATGTTGAATCACACAGACACTCACGTACTCACATACACACACACACACACACACGTACTCACACATGCTACACAATAGTAGGATGCAGAGTTCCATCATTTGAAACTCTGGAAAAACTTTCACCATTTTTACTATTATTACCAGCATCAACATCTTTCTCGCCATTGTAAGTCAAGACATTGGAAAAAGTCTGAAACAATAATCTTGACTATTCACAGTAACTCCGGAACAATGAAGGAGGAAGAATGAATGAGTTGCGCCCTGAAGATGGTGGGCTCTCCTTTATGCATGATCATCACGATCTCTCTGCAATGTCTGTCCTGTGACCTCGTGAGGTGTGCAGCGTCATGCCAGACATCTGTGTTTGGATGGCCCTCTGGCTCCTCCACAATTACTGCAGAGTCAGAAGTGGAATTTCCGCCTGATGTTTTATGTCAAAATCAGTATGAAAGACTGCAGCATGCTGAGTGAGCTTTCCGTTCTCGCTGAGATGCAATGCAGGGTCCACCCTCTGCAGGCCACAATTTTGCCTGGAGGCAAAGCATTCAGTCTTTCCATTGGCCTGACAATTTGAGCCAAGCTTTGAGGCCAACAGACAAAATGCACTAGCAACTGGAGAGGTGAGTTTTGTTAAATTACAATAACATCCATGCATCCAGGGGAGCTGCAAAAGTCATTCCTGTTCCTGTCAGATGCACTCAAAATCAACAGCCAAATTATTCCTGCCAAATGCTCTGAGGCTATTGAATAGAGTCTTGCACTATTTTAAATAGTAACTTAAAACCTCTAGTTTCATGGCTCAGTAATAATCATGATAATTCTAATCAGTATCCTCATTAGTGAATGCTAATAACTGTTTATTGAGTGGCCACCATGTGCAAGTGCTTTGCTAGATACTTTATGTATGCCAGATATTTAAGCTTCGTAATCGCTTTGTAAGGTGGATGTTATTATCCTGTCCTATCGCTGGAGAAACAAATTCAGGACACGTAAGCAACTTGCCCAGTGTTACCACCCACAGAGATGACGTCAGTGTACTTAAAGAATACATGGGCTAGGCACGGTAGCTCACGCCTGTAATCCCAGCACTTTGGGAGGCCCAGGCAGGAGGATTGCTTAAGCCCAGGAATTTGAGACCAGCCTGGGCAAAATGCAAAACCCTGTCTCTACAAAAAAATACAAAAACTAGTGGGCATGGTGGTGGGTGCCTGTAGTTCCCACTACAAGGGAAGCTGAGGTAGGACGATCACTTGGGCCTGGGAGGTGGAGGCGCAGTGAGCTGTGTTTGCACCACTGCCCTCCAGCCTGTGCTACAGAGAGATTCAGTCAAAAAAAAAAAAGGAATAGTCTTTGAAAAAAAATGGCTTAAGACTTAAGTATGTAAGAGCTACTTCCTAGCTCAGGGATATTTTAAACAAGCCTTTTATTAGAAAATTGTAAACATACAAAACTAGAGAGCTATACTCATCAAGCAGCTCCTATCAGGAATAATTTGGAAGTAAAGGGTTTTGAATGATTTCTACCTTATTTTTCTTGGAGGAGAGCCAAGTCCTTAATAAGAATTTCTGCAGAAGAGGAGCCTGGGGCTGAATCTTATTTATAGAGGCAAAATACTATTTTTATTTCAATCTCACATTCTTACTGTCCCCTTGAATTTTCCAATTAATGCTGAAATAGCAAATAATATGAAGACTTAATTTTGAGTCGTCTAGTCCTCCTCATCCCTACTGCAAATCCTCAGTTTAGGTTTAAGGCAGGTTTATGCTGAGTCACATAATAGTCTCCTCCCTTGTTATAATCCACAGCAAGACTGCAGGGGTTCTTCATATTGTGGAACAGGCCTAAGTCAACTTATGTTTAGCAAATAATTGATTTAAACTGAGGTTGATTCAGTGGTATGCTGTAGCATGCTCATAGTGGCTCACAAGAGCTAATTGTACATGTCTCTTTCTAATTTTACATTTGATGACATGACACTGGTGACTTGAAATTGGCCACGGTGAGAGTATTTATACCATGGAAATTGACAAATGTACAAATCAGGGCTTCTGTTCCTCCAGAGAGGCAGTTGTTAAATATTTATCAGCACATTACTGGGTAGATTCTATTATTTGCTCAAAAGTATCTGCTGTCCTTCACTGTGGGTCTACTCCCCACTACTCTTCCCTGTGAGACTAGTATGTTTTTCACCCATCAGAAGTCCATCTTCGAGGGATAAAAGACTACAAATATGGTGCAGTGTATACTGCTTGGGTGATGGGTGCACCAAAATCTCACAAATCACCACTAAAGAACTGACTCATGTAACCAAGCACCACCTGTACCCCAATAACCTATGGGAAAATTAAAAAAATAATAAAGTGCATAGAAGGAAAAAAGAAAAAAAAGTTCATCCTGACCACGTGACTTGCTTTGGTCAATGGAATGTAGCCAGAAGTACATATGCCATTTCCAAGTAGAGGAATATGTGCCTTTTTTTTTTTTTTTTTACTTTTTACTTTGCCCCAAGCCAACATGACCCAGATAATGTCTGCTTCTTCAGTCTAAGTCCTAGAAAAAGATGACGTGTTACAAAATGACAGCCAACCTGTAAAGGACATGGACATATGCAAGGAATAAATCTTTCTTATTGTAAGATTTTTGGATGTGTTTTTTGTTACTCCATCACGACTTAGGCTAAGCTAATTAATACTGCAATTAAGACTTATCACTGAGTTGCTGCCATAGCAGGAAACCTAAATTATGTCACATGAATTCTGAGGCTTGGGAGTGGAAAGCAAAAAATAACATTGTTGGATGGAAAAATGGCAACCTGTGTTATCTAGTGGCAAGGTATTAGGTAAAACTGTCACCTTTAATCCCTAGGAAGACAGATAATGCACTAAATGAGTTTATGGCTTTAGGCAAAGTTGTGAAATGGAATGTTACTCTCATGCCTAAGTTGCTGTGGGCTGCACGTAGTGAAATGATATGAAAGTTGAGCTTAGGTAGGAATTGTCCATTTCGGGGAGATCAAAGGGAGTAGAAAGGGTCCAGAAATTTCAGAACTCAGAGGACTAGAGGGTGTAATTGATTTTGATTTCCAAACAACAAAAGATAAAACTGGAAATGTCTTTAAGTGACAAAGACTGACTAAAATTGAGCCTTGTGGCAAGGACCAATCAAAGGTATTGTTCCTCTATTAAAACCTCTCAACTGATTACAGTGGCACCAATTAAATCCTTCCAGTTGGACAAAATGACTTAGGGAAAAGAGATTCTAAGTGTAGTTCTTTCATTGGAGCCAGATAAATTTAAGTTACCTGCAATTAAGTCTAGAGGGAAAGTCGCAACTAGGAAAGAATTACGGATGTGGCCATTGGCACATGAGGCTGTTTGGAATCAAATAGATAAGAATGTGAGAAAGTTATGTTGCCAAAAGAGTCACCGGCTCATACTAAAATAGATTATAACTGTTTGAGACTTGAAATGACCTTTGGATTTCCAACTTTCTGTGGGAAGAAGACAGAGAAGCCTGGCCAGCTTCCAAAGAGGACATATTGTCCTTTACAAAAAATGCTTTAGGAGAACAATTGAAAAGGAAAAACCTCCCGGAGGACAGTGCCAAGCACCGTGCAGAACAATAGATTGAGTGTTATTGTTCTAGGTCCAGAATCAAGTCCTAATCAAAGAACGTTTCCAGTCTCGGTGGAAGGTAGTCTGCAACTTCTGCCCAAGGGACTTTCAGAATTGCCATGGACAGGTGACTTCTGCGTTCCTCTTCTCCTCTCACTTTCTGAATGGGAGTGTTTGTTTTAGGTATCCTGTTTCACCATGATACACTGGGCATATGAGGGGCAGATAACTTGTCTTTTTGATCCATAGGTTTTGCTCTCAAGAGAATGAACATCTGGGCCTGGTGTAGAGAACTCCATGAGCTCATGGAATTCAAGCCTGATGCTGTAACCGAATGGAATCTTTAGGTTATTTTTCTTGAGTAGGGTTGCCAGATTTTGTAAATTAAAATATAGGATTCCTAGTTACAATGGAATTTCAGATAAACAATGAAAAAATTTTTAGTATATCTCACTGTGCAATATTTTCCACTCATAGATGGGAATTGAACAATGAGGACACGTGGACACAGGAAGGGGAACATCACACTCTGGGGACTGTTGTGGGGTGGGGGGAGGGGGGAGGGATAGCATTAGGAGATATACCTAATGCTAAATGACGAGTTAATGGGTGCAGCACACCAGCATGGCACATGTATACATATGTAACTAACCTGCACATTGTGCACATGTACCCTAAAACTTAAAATATAATAATAATAAAAAAAAGAAAAAAAAATATTTTGGGCATACTTAACCTAAAAAATTACCCATTGTTGATCTGGAATTTAAATTTAGCTGGGCATCCTGTATTTAATCTGGCATCCCTATGGGAAAGAATAGATGTATTTTGCTTACAAATAGAGGAAAGTGGAGACTCATGATGCAGAATTCTGGTAGATTGCACTATTTATCCAAAACTTTGTTTCTTTTCTTTTTTTAGGGCCTGCCTGGTGGCCCTCCCTGTGAGAAGGTATTCTTCCTGCTCCATTGACATCAGGCTTATTAGCCATGTTTCTGGATTTGGTCCATTTCATGTGAGTGAAAATGATAATTGCCGCTTCCAGATAAAAACTTTAAGTGCCATCCTCTGATTCTGACATTTCTCGTGTGCCTCTACCATGATTCTGGTGTGCCACAGCTCAAGGTTGTTCCTTTGGTCTTGATTCTAGCATAAAGAGAACATGGAGCAGGGCTGCAGCTGATCTTCAAAGGGCATGAACACAAGCCAGAGAGAAGCCGTTATTGTTGTAAGCCCTGAAGATTTGGGGGATATTATTGCAACACAACTCAGCCCAAGCTGACTAATACAACAAGTTTCTATGTATACATGGAAATGTATGTAATCTTAGCCTCAAAAAAAAAAAAAAGAAAAAAAGAGTATCTGAAAATCCCAGGATACTCGGGGCTCATGGTGCGTAGTCAATGAAATGATTAGCTCTCTTTCTTCATCCTTCCCTCTCCAATCTTTTCTTTTCATTCTCCTTCATCTCATTCTCCTTCTCTCTGTGATTTACAAAGCTGGTCATGGAAAAAAAAACATAGGAGTCAGAAGGCTTCGATTCTAGGTTCATATGTATGAGATTTTTTGGAAAAAACTCATACTCTCAAGGAGTCTCAGTTTCCTCATCTTCAAGTGGGGATAATAACACCCTCTTTACCTATTCTGCTGGGTTCTTTTGTAGATCACATGAAAGAGAGGTTATGGAAATCCTTTATATATGTTTTGAAAATTCTATCCAGTTGCTGTGGCCTGAATGTTTGTGTTCTTCAAAATTTATATGTTGAAACCTAATCACTGATGTGATGGTGTTTGAAGGTAAGGCTGTTAGAAGGTGATTGGCACAAACCCCTCATAAGAGAAGCCCCAAAGAGAGCTAGCTTGCCTGTTTCACCATGTGAGGACATGGTGAGAAGAAGCCATGTAAGAATCAGGAAACAGGTCCTCACCAGGCATGGAATATGTCAGCACCTTGATCTCGGACTTACCAGCCTCCAAACTAGTGACAAATAAATTACTATTCACTAGCTGCCCAATTAATGGTATTTTATTATGATAGACTGAACTGACTAGGACACTAGTTATATGATGAAAATACCCTACTACTATTACTACTGCTAGTACTTCCTGTATTTGCTCATATTTTTGGAGGTCTTATTATGTTCCAAGTATGGTTCTAAGTGCTTTTCATCAGTAACTCTTGTAAGAGCCTATTTTTAATTCAGCAAAGGCAACAAAATACTTTCCCTGGTTTAGTGAGGAGTATTAACTAATTGGGGGTATAAACATAACATGGTTTCGTTTTTTCAATAGTTGCTACTACTCTTGTTCTCCATAGCAACTTTGGTTTCAATTCCATAACTTTCCTGTTGTTTCTGGTCAAAGGAACAGTTGCCTCTAGTTCCTCTGTCTATTTTAATATTTTGACCCTCTCCATTCCTGTCAGGACAGGTGGAACTCGTGGCATAGGAAGTTCAAGTGGCAGAGGGGGCCCAGTCTGTACTTGTCTCTACTCCCCCAGAGGAGGAAAGAAAGCAAGACAGATGCTCCCTCACGTGGATGTCCATGGTATAGTTGCTGTCCTCCCCTTGGGTGGCCATGACTGCTATTCCTGTCCACTGAGCTTCATGAGGGTTGGGGTGCCTCCCTCACCAGGATCAGACTCTGGGGTCCCCCAGCAGGAGGTACCGTGTGTATTCCTCTGTGGGCCTTGTATGGTCCTCCTTCCCCTTCTGCTGCGTGGGTCCCTAGGGATGCCATTGCTCCAAAAATACTTGCTTTCCCAAGCTCTTCAACTCCAGGGCTCAAAATCCCCTGGGGATCCCCTTCCTGTAGGTCTTGAGAATTGCAACTTGGGGGCAGTCCTGACCTGGTCATCATCCTCCTCACCACCTCACTGTGCCATCTCCTCACCTCATTCTCTAACCCCCAAAAGATGACCACTGATGACCAGTCTCCAGGTCAGTGGAGAACGTGTGTGGAGAAGTGCAGGAGGGGTGACAAAGCATCCCCAAACCTTACAAGTTATTTCCTTGATTTTGGAGAAGAAATCCACTGGGTAGTGCCCACCACCCCCTCACACAGCTCCAGCTAGAAGTAACGATTTACTCCCTCCCTACACTCCTCTTATTTTGTCTTTGAGGGTGGGGGTGCTGGTTTTGCTGAAATGACTCTGCTCAGTCAGGCTTTTGAGAGTGGGAGGGCAGGGGGCAAAGGCAGAAAGGGAAGCAACCAGGCCTTTCTCTGCCTGTTCTCTGAACTCAGAGCATGGGGTACTAAGGACCTGGGTTCTCTGCTGTGGGCCCAAAGAGGAAACAACAAGATCCACTTGGTACCTAATACCCTGTCACACAGAGGTACAACATCTCCAGCTTGAGGTGGTGTCCTGTGAGTGATAGCAGCTCCAGGATGGTGCATTTACCACTGAGGAAAAGTAGAATGAGCCCCAGCGTTGGGGGAGCGATCTGGGAACTGCCCTCCTATTTGCTCCCACAATATCCTGCAGGTTCTATGATACAGGTAGTTAGAGCTACTCACTAGGCTGCCTGTCTTCCCCTCCACTGCAGGACATGCCTGTATTTTGTCCTCATCTGTTGCTGTAGTTTGGATGTGTTATTTTTTTTTCCTTTGCATGAGTTTCCATGCAGAACACATGTTGGAATTTAACTGCCAATGTAATGGGTGTTGGGAGGTGGGGCCTTTATCCAAACTTTAATTAGGTCATTAAGATGATTAGTGTCCTTCTCTGGAGAGACTGGATTAGGTCTCTTGGGAATGAATTAGTTCTCGTGAAAGCTGGTTGTTATAAAGTGAGGCTGCCTCTCGTGTTTGGTGTCTTTGTACGCTTCTGCTTCCCCTTCCTTCTGCTTTCCACCGGGAGTCAAAGCAGCACCAAGTCCTCACCAGATGGGCTGCTGGATCTTGTACTTCCCAGCCTGCATGACTGTAAGCTCCATAAACCTCTTTTTATTCCTTGTAAATTACCCGGTCTTAGGTATTCAACAGAATTGAATTGCTTAGGTAGCAACACAAAACAGATGAAGACATCTGTATTCCCAGGACCTGGGACAGCACCTGGTATATGCAACCTACTCAGCAAATGTTCTCTAGAATCTTTAGAGATTTGGGAATATGAAGGAAAAAAAAACTAGAAAAATGGGGTGGCAGATATATTCCAGATAAAAAATATTTCAGGTGAATTCTACAAATCAGGGTGGGTTTCAGACAACTGTGAATCATGAGTATACTTGTTGGGGGAAAAATTCACATAGCAAAGACAGCTACTTCTTGCGGTACCCACTGAGGGACTGGGGCAAGGGCAATGAGAGGCATAAGCTGACTACAGATAGTTAACCCTGACATTTTCAACTTTAAAACAGTTTCATTTCCTGTTTGAAAACTTTGAGGGTCTTTTTCTGAACAACTTTTTTTTATTATACTTGAAGTTTTAGGGTACATGTGCACAACGTGCAGGTTAGTTACATATGTATACATGTGCCACGTTGGTGTGCTGCACCCATTAACTCGTCATTTAACATTAGGTATATCTCCTAATGCTATCCCTCCCCCCTCCCCCCACCCCACAACAGGCCCTGATGTGTGATGTTCCCCTTCCTGTGTCCAAGTGTTCTCATTGTTCAATTCCCACCTATGAGTGAGAACATGAGGTGTGTGGTTTTTTGTCCTTGCTATAGTTTGCTGAGAATGATGGTTACAATAGCAAAGACTTGGAACCAAGCCAAATGTCCAACAATGATAGACTAGATTAAGAAAATGTGGCACATATACACCATGGAATACTATGCAGCCATAAAAAATGATGAGTTCATGTCCTTTGTAGGGACATGGATGAAGCTGGAAATTTTTTTGTAATAGAAGGGGCAGACATCAATTTTGTAAAAATTTCAATCTCTAGGTTTTGTTTTTAGGAACATTTCTCAGAGGTTTTTCATCATGGATATTTGAAAATGCTGATGTAAAGAGACACATCTCAATTTCAATGCTGTCACAGCCATATTGTCCTTCTTTGGAGAGTCTTCGAACTAGAGTAAGCCATGGAAGCTTGATAATATACAATGTGGTTGCCTATGATGACTCACTGACCTGTCCAGATTTGTAATCTGCACATTTTAATGTAAATTGAGTGGTTGATTTAAAGACATAAATTATTTTAAAAACCAGTAGACTATATTACAACAACAACAACAACGACACCCTAGGATTTCAGCATTTTCAAACTTCAAAGAATACTGAAAACTGGCTTAGACTCTTGTTCTGGGGATGCTCAGCTATGCAGAGGAGATGCTGAGATTTCTGGCAGCCATCTTGTCTACTACATAGTTAGACCTTATATGGAGAATGAAGCCAAGGAAAACCAAGAAAGACACAATCCTGATAGATGTCTAGGAGTCCCCAGACCCAATGTAAATGGAGCCAAATTAAGACAAGCAGAGCAGAGAGATCAGAGGGAGACATCCCTGATAATTCCACTGGAAGTCCAAATCCAGCCATGCTTGAAGTTATCGCATCCCTGCTTTTCCCATTTTCCCAGTTTTCTGAGAAATAAATTCCCCTTTCCTCTCTTGGTTCTGACTTTAACTAGTTTGATTTCCGATTTAATCACCTGTAACTAAAAACATTCTCTGTAATAAACTGCATCACGAGTTTATTGGCAGGATAAATTGAGTTTATATACATAAAGCATTTCTTTGAGCATAGTAAGTGTTCAATAAATAGACTTTAAAAAATAAAATCTATTATAATCTGAGAGTAGCTCTTGTAACTAACATAGGTCAGACAGCAAGTAAGAAGTAGCCAAGATTTCACAGTTTAAAAGTTCAATACTTATAATTTCAGCAAACAGAAAGGATCTGGGGTGGAGCCAATATGATGTGGTGGATAGAACTTGGGTCATAGAGTCAGATAGACTCGAGTTTGAAGTCCAGCTCTGCCACTTTGCCATCTGAATGACAATGAGAAAATTGCAAGCAATTCTGAGGCTTTGTTCCCTCATCTTATAAAATGGGGATAATAGTGATAGTGGCAGGAGGCAGTCAAATGCCTAGGAAAATAGGGCAGGTCCCTGGTGAAACTGGACCTTCAAACCAAAGAGAATTTAAAGCCTGAAAGCCAAGCTACAAGTCTCAGATAAATCCACGGACTGGATTGAGATCCTCTCTTCCTATTTGGTGTGCTTTCCTCTGGTTGATCCCCACCCTTCACCTATTTTACATATACCTACCCTTCCCTAATTTGTTATTTGCACTGTCATGCCCATCCTTGAGTGGTGCCTTTTTTCAGCCTTTTTTTGCATACTCACAAACCAATCAGCATGCACTCCCACATTCTGAGCTCATAAAAACCCCAGACTCAACCACACTTGGAGGACCTCCTGCCTTCAGGTGGGTGAGACTCCCCAACTTTGGGTAGGGGGAGGCCAACTCAGGTTCCCCTCTCCGCTGAGAGCTGTTTCATCACTCAATAAAACTCTTCATCTTGCTCACCCAACAGCTGTTAGCATAACCTCATTCTTCCTGGGTGTGGGACAAGAACTCAGGACCCACCAAATGTTGAATGTGAACAGAGCTGTAACCCTGTAGCACTCCCCTCCTGCTCACCAAGCAATGGGAGAGGGAGCTGCTGGGTGCCACATGCCCCAGTTTGTTGGGACAGGACTGAAAGAACTGTTAACATGCTGTAATACCCCCTTAGGGGCTTTGGGGTAGCTGGCATCCGAGTTTTTCGGTTGCCACCATGTTCCCTTCGTCCATATGCTGGTGCCAAAGGTGGGAGCAGGTCAAGACATGCCTGGCCCATCCACAGGCTGGAGTGCAGGCCAAACACAGCTGCTGGGCCAAGTGGTGGAGTACCTCTTGTGGTGAGCCCAGAGCCAAGCATGGCACTGGGCAGGGGCATCGCTGGCTGCAGAGGTCACCAACTGGTGAAGCGACACCCAAAAAATCCTGCATCAATAGTACCTCCTTGTAATAATTAAAATAATCAAGAATGTAGCATTATTCCTGGCAAATAGACTTTCAGCAAATGCTGGCTGCCTCCCTCCTCCAGTATCTGCCACCTCTACAGGCTGGCCCCTTTTACAGGTTAGAATTTTATTTGTCAAAGCAAAGCACAAGGTTTACTGCCCCAAAGTATCTTCCCTTATGATGCTTCTGAAGGTGTGGTAAGGCTGTTGAAGAGTTGTAAAGAGGGGTTTATTGTTTTATATCCAAAGTGCTTTCTAATGAATATTTTATGATTTTTCTCACTGTTTGATAATTTTGTAGGATTCAAACAAGTGAGGAAACTTGATTTGTTTTGGAGAAAAAAAGAGAGAGAATCACTATGACTAATAACAGAGCCTATCTGTTCTGGGTACCAGAGATCCCCGGTTGGTGACCCCATCCCTGACTGCAGCATTAAGTCCTGAGTCATCTATCCCAATCAGCTCGTAGCAGTCTTCTTAATGTCTCCTATTGTTTAAGCATGGTCATTTGCCTAAATCGATACAATAAGACTAAATTAAAGGATATATACTTCAGTAATTTACATGCTTCAGGTAAAGATTTCTCACCCTTGCTGACATGAACATGGAGCACAAAGCTTTTAAGACCACGGATTTTTTAGCTGCTGTCTTGGCACTATGAGGGGACCCAGCCTTAGGATGAAGCCAGGTGCTGAGGACAGCAGAGCACAGGAATGGAAAGAACTCACGTCTATGATAACATCTTTGAACTGATAATTATACTGCACCTGGATGCCTCTTACCTCTGGACTTAATGTTATGTGAGGCAATCGATTTCCTTATTCTTATGAAAACCAGTTTCTGTGAAACTGATCAGTATCAAGCATGAAGCATGCTTCATGAAGCAGCATCAGACAGTAGAAAATACCAGGGCAGCTGCAGGTCACAGCCCTGAAATCTGGCCATGGGGTTCATATCCTGCTTCCACTTGTGCTAGCTGTGTGGCCTTGGGGAACATACTCAACCTCTGGCGGCTTCAGTTTCTGCATCTGAAAAACAATGATAATAATAGAGTTCCTCACAGGATAAATGTGCGTAACACACATAATGTAGTGCCTGGCCCATGGTAAGTCTCAATAAAATCTGACTTGTAATTATGGTTCCCTCTAGGTGTGAAGATCATCTCAGGATCCACAGATTGATTTGAAAGTGGATTCCCAGTCCTCTTCCTTTCTGTCATTGACTCTGTGTCTCTTTATTACTTTGGGTTTTTCTCACTTTTCCTTTCCTGATCTTCCTCCTCTCATTCCTTTAACTAGCCATAATTGGGATTGATTTATAGCTTTATTTGTTGTATTTTAAAATATGTAATTTTACATTTTCTCTTTTTAATTTAAGAAGTCAAAGAATGGAACATTTTATATTTCCTTCAATAAAAAAGAACCTTTTTATTTGATTTTTATATATATCCCCATTAAATTTCATCTGCTTGGCTTTGGTCCAGTGTTCCACCTTGTCAGAATCATTTTCCATCTTGACACTGTCAGTTATTGGCTTTGCCATCCTTCCTGGCTTTATTTCATCTGCCTTTTAAACCTTCACCAAGTTCTTGACAAAACCTGCAATTAAGGACGGCTCTATCAGTTAGCAGGTGAGGTGTATGTGCTGGAAAACTCTAAATCAATGCTCCTCAAACTCCGGTGACCATAAGAATCACCTGGAGAGCTTGTTAAAGCACAGATTTGTGGTCCCCTCACCTGAGATTCTGATTCAGTGGGTCTGGAGGGGGGACTTTGCATTTCTAATAAGCTCCCAAGTGATGCTGCATAGGGCTGCCACAAATAGTAGGGGCTCAGTCAAGTTAGTATAATAGGATTTTTTTTCCTCTTATGTTGAAGTCCATAGGCAGGTAGTCCAGCCTAGTACCAAGGTTTCAGAACCTAGGCTTTTCCCCCTCTCCTTCCTGCCTTAAATGGCATTTGGTTTCCTACTCATGTTTCAGAATGTTTGCTTGAGCTACAGCCATCATGTCCACATTCAAACCAGTAAGAAAGAGGAAGGGGGAAAGGATGTCTTCTCTCTTTTTAAGGACATATCTCAGAAGTTGTATGTGACACTCTACTTACATCTTCTTAGCCAAAACTTCCTCACAAATCACACTAGCTGCAAAGAAATCTGGAAAATATAGTTTTTATTTGGGGTGTCATATGCCCAGCTAAAAATCAAGGTTTTATGATCAAGGCAGAAGAGAATGCACTTCTGACATTACTGATTTTTAATGTTACAGCAAACCTTTCCCAACTCTCCAGCCAGAGGTTTGCAATCTAAAACCTGCAATGGGCTAGGAAATTACAATAAAATTCTGAATTTCAAATTCTGATCACCCCTCTACAGGTAAGTATTATTTCTTTCATTTCTGTGTTCAAGAAATTGAGTCTCAGAGAGCTTCAGTGACTTTCCTGAGATCTCTCGGTAACTAAATGCCCCAACCAAGATTTAAACTCAACCCTGCCAAAGCCCAGGCTTCTAATGCGTCATTCTACATCACAGGAATCCCACATGTGTTTGCAGGATGAGCCTTGAATCAACCAACTACTGTTGCATACTATGCAACCACAAAACTCTGAGACCTAGACACTTATTTTACTACCATGTCTACAAGTCAACTGGAGACCAGCTGCTCTAGGCTGGGCTGGACTGGACTCCCCCAAGCCACAGCTGGGTCTGAGTCTGCTCCATGGTTCTCCATCTTCCTCAGACTTGTGGGCCTACCAGGGTAGAGCCTTCTCATGCCAAAAGCAGAGAAGCACATCTCACTGCTGCTTGTCGTGGGTCTGCTTCCATTCCCTTGACTGAAGGAAGTCACATGGCCAAGACAAAAGCTAGGCAGTACAGTCCTCCAGGAGGGAGTAAATATTTCTGAATATGTTCTTATTTACCCCAAGTCCCTATGCAGATGCATTGGAATGGGAAGAGCCCCAGACTGAGAATCAGAAGTCCCTAGTTCTAGTCCCAGACCTGCCATGAATGACTTGTGTGGCCTTGGACAAATACTAGCCCCTTCTGGGCCTCATGTTTGTTCTAGAGATCTCTAAGGCATACGCAGGCTTTAACTTAAGAAGCTATGGCATGAAAAAACAAATAGTTGCCTCTCAAAATTCTAATCTCCTCTGAATGTAGCTTAGTCTTTATGCAAAAATAAACACACACACTAGAGTGTCTTCAAAACCACTGGGCTAATAATGTTCATGATTCTGTTAATGACCAAACTGGAGCACAGTGCAGCTGGTCCTGCTGGTCACAGGAAGGCCCCAGAAAGAAATGAAGCCATCAAGAAGCCATTGATGCTGTGACCTTCTGTTGCAGGCTGCTCCTCTACTTAGACAGGTGAGATTTAATTTTGGTGATTTATGATAATGCCTCTAAGTGCACGGGTAAACATGTCATGGTTTATTTTGCAGAATTAATGAAGTCTGATTAATCTCCCGATCCCCAGCAGATTCTGCTCTGAGAAATGGAGCAAGACTGCCAGGCTTTTGTGCAAATTATGGCGGGAGGATTGATAGCATGAGAATCATCTGAAATCCACACAATCTGACCTTTTTAATCCCATGGATCCTTTAGTTGGATTTGTTGCCATCATACTGGATGACTGCTGGCCAGGGAGAGACCCTTCTATGAACACAGTGTGCAATACCACAATTGCAGCTAAAGTTAATCAAGCTAGTTCCGTGCATCAGGCACTTCACATGGTCCTTTATCCCAAGGATTGAAAAAAGCACACACTTTTGACTTGGATGGATAGCAGTTCAAATCCTAGTCCCACAATTTAGAAGCTGTTTGATCTTGGATGTATAGTGCAGGTACTGTTGGTGTCCCTCTGTGTACATTCAACCCTGTGTCTTCTCTGTCCATCTGTGTCCTACACCATGGACAGTTTCAGCATGTTGCCTTTTCATATTTTGGTAGGAGAGATAAATATATAAGCAACAAGTTATATTGGAAATAAAACCCATGGGCGACTCTAAGCTGCAGATGGGAAAACTCAGTTTATCCACAACACTGGGGTTAAATCCTTCTTACTAAGAATTGGAGGCCAGGCATGGTGGCTCATGCCTGTAATCCCACCCCTTTGGGAGGCTGAGGCAGGTGGATCACTTGAGCTCAGGAGTTAGAGACCAGCCTGGGTAACAGTGAAACCTCATCTCTACACACACACACACACACACACACACACACACACACACACACACAGTTAGCCAGGCATGGTGGCATGTGCCTATAGTCCCAGCTACTTGGGGACTGAGGTGGGAGTATTGCTTGAGCCTGGGAGGTCGAGGCTACAGGGAGCTCTGATGGGGCCATTGCACTCTGGCCTGGGCAACAGAGTGAGATACTGTCTCAAAGAAAAAAAAAAAAAAGAATTGGAGATGGTAAAGATTCACAGCCAAATTTAGGGCTTTTGTGAGTTGAAATACACAAACAAGGTGGGATAGATTGTGCTGCAGCAAAAGGAGTGCTGTGATAGCCATCAGGAATCTGGATTTGAGTCTTGATTCTGCTGACTACAAAATATGTGACTGGGGGCAAAGTTACAAAACTTTTGGAATCTTGGTTTCCTCATCTGTAAAGTGGGAATGATAATGCCTGCCCTGCCTATTGCACAGAACTTCTTGTGGACATCCCGGAGATAAAAGCTGTCAATGATTAGTAACTCCATTTTACAGATGAAGAAACCGAAGACAAAAATGTAGGCGGTGGAACAGAGACCTAGATCTCGTAGTTCTTCTCCTACTTCATCTTTTACCACTGTTTTTCCCACTCACTGCTCCAACCACACTAACTTTTTGTCCTTCCCTTGAATAAAACAAGCTCATTTTCACCTCAGGGCCTTTGCTGTTTCCTCTTTCTAGAATGTTCTTCCCCTATGTCTTCATGCCCTTTGAGGAAGGATTGGCCTTCCTTTCTTGATATGCAGGAATCAGTACAAACATCTCTTCCTCATAGAGGTCTTCCACAGACCCCCATTCAAGGTGATCTCTCTCCTAGGCTCCCTTTTGCATACCATCCTGTTATATTTTTGCTCTATCACTTCCTGAGATTATCACATTTATGTATTGACTTATTAATCATCTCCCACTACTCTTTCTCCTTGAGAAGAAAGATCCTGAATATCTAATTTTCTGTTACATTGTCAGTGCCAAGAACAGGACTTGGTATATTGTGAGCATACAGTACATATTTTTTTGAATGAACAAATTAGCATGTATAGACTTATTTTTAATGACTATAATATGTTGCATGAATATACCATCATTCATTTAACCAGAGCTTTAGAGATGGATATTCAATTTTTCTTTTCTGCTTTTATTTATTTTTATTTTCAAATTATTTTGCTACAGCAAAAAAATGAGTATAATCTGTGTATACTTACTTGATTTTATCCATAGAGCATATTCTTAGCAGTGGGATTGCTGGATCAAAGGGCATGTACATTTACAAATTGTGATACATATTGTCAACTTCCCCTATAAAATATTTTCATCAATTTATGCTCCCATCATCTGTGTATGGCACCACCAGCTTGGGGTTCCCTCTAAGTCCCCGCTAATAACACATTATTGCTGAGAAGCCTTTGCTGCCTTTCAACTTGCTCTCCAAGTGTTTCATCTACTTTACTCATTACCCAGTGAAAGGCTGTGTGTGCAGCAGCTCTGCTGTGTTTCTCTGAGATCTAAGTGCTTTGGATGGTATTCTCCTCTCATTTAATTTGCATTCTCTAGACTGCTGTGGCAAAAGAAGGGACATTTAAAATATATGGTAGTGTCTGTAAAGATTAGATTATTGTTCAGTAAATATGCATTCTCCTCCCCCTACCCTGTGGCAGGAAAGTACTTTCTATACTCCCTAACTTTGGCCTTGGCCTCGTGATTAGTTTTGGCCAGTAGGATGTTCACAGAGGTGATATGAGCGGAAGATTCAAATATGCTAGTATTGTTAGGCTTGCTCTCATGCCCTTGTTTTTTTTTTTTTTTTTTGTTGCCATGAGAATAACATGCCTTATTTATCTAAATCAGCTGGATCAGATGAACTCCAGCTGTCATGTAGATGACACCAAGATTTTTGTTCTTATTTGTTACACAGCAAAAGCTGACTGACACAAAGTCCAAAATGAAACTAGAGCTCACATTTTGCAGCACTTGGCACTTTCTATGTTAAATATTAAATATTTCCTAGGGCAGTGGTAGGAGAGGAATATTTGAACCTATTGACATTCATCTTTGTGTGAGTTTAATTGAGTCTTGAAGAAAGTATAGGGCTAAATGAGTCCTAGGTGAGGACTCATAGCAGGAGGAAAGGTGTAGAAGAAGGACTGTGCAAGGCCTCTCTTAGGACTAGTGAGCAGACTAAAATACAGGCTACATGTCAAAGAGTATTGTAGGAGCTAAGGTTTGAGTTAGGAAACAAAGAATTTGAAGAAGTTAGAGATAGCTTTTATTCTTTAGCTACTGGTTCCAGCAAAGAAATATAAACTGCAAGGGAACCCTGGATGCCAATTATGTATCAATTATACCATAAATCATTGACATTCCAAGGTCAACTACATAATGAAAACAGGTAAGAGCCTAAGAATAGTCTGGCTGTGCCAAATAGAACAGGCTGGTGGGCAGCTTTATTCGTACTTGTATCGTTTCCATTTAGAACATCATTATTAATTAAGCTGTATTTAATGTAGTACCTGCCCACACTTTTGCTTCTTAAATATTGTATGACTATGGCTTTGTCTTCACAGAAAACAGACATCAATTGCAGTACTCAAAAGTTATTCTGAACATAGCCTCATATTTATCCACTTTTTGATAGCACATTTTTTTTTTTTTTAGACAGGGTCTTTCTCTGTCACCCAGGTTGGAGTGTAGTGGTACAGTCATGGCTCACTGCAGCCTCCACTTCCCAGGCTCAAGCGATCCTCCCACCTCAGCCTCACAAGTAGCTGGGACTACAGGTGTGTGCCACCAGGCCTGACTAATTAAAAAAATTTGTTTTTGTAGAGATGGGGTCTCACATGTTGCCCAGGCTGGTGTTGAACTCCTGGGCTCAAGCAATCATCCCACCTCAGACTCCCAAAATTATGGGTTACAGGTGTGAGTCATTTTGCCCAGTTGAATAAAATTTTAAACAATTATTTTGTGGGTAGTTTTTGATATTTAATCAAATCAATTGTGGTAATATTCATTCGTCCATTTTAAAATATTTAGCATCATGAGAAGTCATATAGATGCGAGTCTGAATTCCAAGTTCATCACTTACTCGTTATGTGCCCTTGAGCAAGTTATTTTACCTGGATAAGATTGTTTCTTCATCTGGAAAAGAGGGTGAATAAAATCCACCCCATAAGATTGCTGTAATGATTAAATTAATCAGTGTGTATTGAGCTGTATTAGTCCTTTTTCATGATGCTGATAAAGATATACCCCAGGCTGGGTAACTTATAAAGAAAAAGAGGTTTAATGGACTCACAGTTCCTCGTGGCTGGGGAGGCCTCACAATTGTGGGAGGTGAAAGGCACATCTTATATGGTAGCACACAAGAGAGGATGACAGCCAAGCTAAAGGGGAAACCCGTTATAAAAACATCTGATTTCATGAGACTTATTTACTACCACAAAAACAGTATGAGGGAAACCACACCCATGATTCGATTATCATCCACCGGGTCCCTCACACAACACATGAGAATTATGGGAGCCTTAATTCAAGATGAGATTCAGGTGGGAACACATCAAAACCATATCAGGAGCACATAGCATTGTCCCTGGCCTAAGGTAGGCTCAGTAAATGCCATCTCCTGCCATGCAGTTAAACATTTATTGAGAAGCATGAAGGGTTATGAGTTAGGTATCATGCTGGGCACAGTGAAGGAAGGAAACAGAATATTTGTTCTCAAAAATCTCAAAGGCCAGAGACAAACCAGCCAGGGCTGACTTACAAACATAAGAAGGGAAGTGAGGGATAAGGCCTCAGTGTAGCAGTCCCTGCTTTTTTGTCTGTCTGTTGTAGAGGGAAGTACGTAAGTAGTAGTCATGATTCAATCACACAGCCACATGCTTGGATGCCAGGTTCTTAAAACCTCACCATCGTGACTAATCCAAAGCTGGGCACCTAACCCTAATGGGGTCAATCAGTTCAGTCTTCTCCAGAATTTTGTATTTATTCTGGATGGCAAATGAACTTACTCCAGGCTGCAGATCATTCCTTTATCTTAAATTTGATTTTTTGGTTAATAGGAGTATCATATACACCTTGAAAGTGGTACCAGATCCTTTGCTGCCTGCCCTACCTCTGTTCCTCCTTGAGGGGAAATGTGAATTTATTGGTTGGAGCCTGAAGTACAGATTAGGCTATACTCACGAGTGCCACTGGGTGGGTTCATTTTGTGTTGAAGGGTAGAGACTGGTTCTCATGTCCCTCTTCACACTTCCCTTTTGCAACTAGAGCTGGTTGGGTAAACTGAGCTTTGCCTGACCCTCTGAGACAGAGGGTCTGAGACTCTTCTCCCCACTCTGTTTCTCTCTCTTGTGTCCTCTTGCTGCAGTGGTGGAAATTGCCTACATCTGCACTGTCTGCTATGGAAGCCACTAGTTGTGTGCGGCTTTTGAGTACTTGAAATGTGGCTAATGTGACTGAAGACTTGAATTTTCAATTGTATCTAATTCTAATTAATTTAAGCCCAAATCTAAATAACTTCATGTAGCTAATAGCTCCTGTATTGGACAGCACAACTGTGCCAGATAGAAAAGGCTGGCAGGCAACCTCATTCACAAATTTTATCATTTCCATTTAGGGGAGCAGTATTAATGAAGCCGCTTCTAACATAGTGCCAGCCCACATTTTTGCACCTTAAATATGGAGGAGAGAGTGAGAAGAGTCAAAATTGGATTTTTTTGGCCGGGGCGGGGGTAGGGGCGAGAGAGGCTACACTTAGCCTCTGGTCTAATCTGTGTGTTTTAATTCACCTGTACCAGGGAAGATTGAATTCAGGTGCCAGTTGCTGGCTTACCTAATAACGAAAAGGTTTTTTGTTCCTTTGTTTCCTATATGACCACTGTTTCTTGTAGATCTATCTTTTAGGACTTCTTTACTCAGGAAGGGTAATTGATGGGGCAGGGTTCAGGCATTTCCATGGGCTCCAGAAATACTACCATGGCTTAGATGATGTCACTCCCTCTCAAGTGTGGCTTTATCAAATGCGATGGGACAAGGCAGGCTGAGGAACAAACGTGTCCCAGGAGTGCTGGCCCAGCTTGGGAGTTTGAATTCCAGGTGCACCACCTATTGATTGCATGACGTTGGACAAGTTACTTTACCTTGATAAGACTCAGTAATGTATTTATTATAGGTTGAGGGGTGGGGTGTCTTTTGTCTTTGCACCAAAGTGATCTCCAGGTGAGATGACTCCAATTTGTCCAAGGGCCATCCTCTGGAGAAGACTGCAGGTGAGAGGTGTTAGCATTGTTAGCTACAACTACCTCCCAATTTCTAGATCCCTCACCTTATTTCTTTCATCCATTTCTGCCGATCTTGACTTCAAAAATTTCCCCAGATACGATTTCTTATGCTTTCCCCAGTACCAGTTATTTTCTATGATACCAATTATTTGATTTAAAAAGTGATTAACACTCCCTAAAATTGTTGTTTGAGTTTCCCTCCTAGACATGAGCTCCTTAAGGGCAGGAATCTTGTTTCTTATCTTCACGTCTGTATTCCAGTATGGAGAAATGTGCAGTGAGGCTCCATCATGAACCTGGTTTTCCTGGATCCTGATGTAGTCCGTACTCAGCTGGGGGTGCTCAGGACCTGTTTGGAATTAAGCAGACCCAACAGCCAATCATGGCTCTGCTGCTAACTAGCTGAGACTGGGTAGATGAGTAGGTGGCTCCAAGTCTGTTTTCTTACCTGTGGAATGCAGATAGATGACAGCTACTCAACAGTGGGGTCATAAGAACGGAATGTCATAAGGTATGTACAGTACTTAGTAAGGTGCCTGGCACATGGCAGACACTTAATAAGTGGAGTTATAACCATAATTAAACATTTATCACAGCTTGCTTTTGTTAGAAATGAATACTAACATGTTGTCCCTCATTTGACTGTTAGCTCTTTGAAAGCAGTAACTTTGTTTTTTTCCTTTTGGTATCCTTGTTTATCCTTTCCATCCCCAAGCACTCAGCAAAGAGCTTGGGACATGGAGGGGATTCGTAAATACTTATTGGGTTGAAGTCTTAACACATGACAATTCCTGTAATAGGTGGAAAATCGAGTGGAAATAGGGTGAGACAGTTCAGGGAGATGATGTAAAAAGACCTCATGACAGTAGCATCTCCTTTGAAAAATATAGGAATGAACTTATCTATATACTGCATTCCTCAAGAGGAATTTTTGTAAATATACTTAAATGCCTTACGTTCCCTAAAGGGGACTATTTCAAACAGACGCAAATACTTGACTGTGTCTTCTAAAGGACTTGTTTACTCAATTCGAGAGATGAAGAGAGAGGCAGGTGGCTGAGATTTGAAGGCAGGGCTGCCAAGAATTCCATTCTGCGGCTGATGAAATGCAGCACTTTCTTTGATGGATGGTTCTTACTTTCTTTTACACAAGAGAGGAAGTTATTTTCAGGGCAGGTATTGTGTCCTTTTCAATTTTGCACCCCCACACCTAGCTCAGTGTTCAAGTGGTATAAGATATTTGATGTTAGGTATTTGTTTAATTTTAATTTATGAGTATTGGATCAGTTGGATTGTGTTTCTTCATCTTTGTTTTCATATCCTAAGAAAGGGTTCTCACCCTAGCTGCACATGTGAGTCCTCCAGGGAGCTTTTGAGAATACTAGTGCTCAAATCTGCTCTGCAGATGTTCTGACTTACCTGATCTAGGGGAGAACCTGAGCAGGTGATGGTCAGTAGCACCCCGGTGATGCCGCTGGGGGGTCCGATGTTGGGATCCACTGGTGAGGACGAGAGTCAGTAGAACTGGGTTCCGGTCCGTGTCACCCACTTGTTATGTGACCTGGGGCAATGACTCTTTCTCTGGGTCTTGGCTTTTTCATCTGTAAAATGAGGGCATTGGATTAGAACAGGCAGTTTTAATTTTTCTAGTGCAGAAGCCCATTAAGAATGGGTTTTCCTTCTCTCCAGGAAAATAAACATACTTATGCAAAATTTGCATATATTTCAAGGAATTGATGAAATTTCCTGTATTGGTTAGGATTCTTTTCTTCACCAGTAACAGAGACCCAGCTCAAATTGGCACCTACCAAAAAGCAATGTAATAGTTCATGGTCCTCATAAATCCTGGAGTAGAAGTGGCCTAGACATGCTGAACCAGGAGCTCAAAGATGCCAGGAGGAACTTAGGTCTATATCTTGCCTCTGCTCTCTGAGTTTTTGGCTTTCTTTTTAGGAAGGGTCTCTCCCAGTGATGGCAGAGATGTCCATCAGCAGCACAGGCTGGTATTCTACCCACCTAGCAACCCCAATAGAAAAAGCACAACCTTTTTTTATGGTCCTGGTAAATGTCTGGCCCAGCCCCAACACAACCCCTGTGGGTAGAGGGTTGGATGCTCGGCTGGCCCCATGCTTGTCACTATTACATGGAGTGGGTGGGCTCCAGTTGATCTTGGTGGAGAGCAGAATGGGGGTGGTTTCCCAAAAGAAAATTAGGCCATTGTTACCATAAGACAGAGCAATAAATACTGGGAAGGCAAGGATACAGATAACATCTTACCTTGGAAGGCTGCACATCTATGGAACCCATAGAGGTGCATGGCCCCAGGTTGAAAACATCTGAACCCACGAGCTCTGAAGTTGCTCTTAGTAATGTACAATGACAGATAAGCATGGTGTTCTTATTTTTGAAAGCTTTTGGATATATATATGACATTTATATATAATATATAATTATATATAATATCAATATATATAATATTATACATAATATTTTAAAATTTATATGTAACAAGGGCTATTGATTTTCCTTCCATGTTTAATTTTATATTCCACTCACTTCTGGAGTGCCAGTTATGTGCTAGATCTGTTAACCCCATTTGTTTTGATGGCAGTAATGAAGCTTGGCAGGGGCTGGAAATTTGCAAAAACCCCACAGAGAGGAAGTATAAGAGCTGGGATTCAAGCACAGGCCTCCCAATCCACACACAATACTGCTTCCAAGAAAATACTACCTGGTATCCTGTCCTGTTTTTTTCTGTTTTGAGAGATTCACCCTATAGAGTACTGTTTAACTTGAATGAATGGTTCCTCCTTGATCATTTCGGTGAAAGTGCTTTCCTGCGTCAAGGCCTTGTAACCCATCATCTGATGAAATGGAGTAGTTTTGTCTGTTTAAGTTGACCTTTTTATTTTAAGAAAATAATACACCCAGTGATTTTTGCCTACCTCTTATGACTATACTTATCTAGATCATATTAGCCCCTGTTGTCTAGTATGTGAACCTCAGCCCAAGAGACATGCCTGCAACCAATGAGTGTGACAATTATTCCTGTGTCCAGAAAACCATAGGTGATTAGTGGAAGAGGGGTTGTTAGGTTTGGTGCCCTGGAGCACCTCAGGTTTTTTGAAATGCTAAGACCAGAACACATAACTTGTCATTTTAAAGACAGTATAATTTTAAAAACAGTGGTCTAGCCCAAAGATACTGGACATGACTTTTGTCTGAACTCTCAAATTAGTATCTCTAATAGTTATCTAATGAAAAAAGATTCACTGCTTAAGTTACCAAAAATGTATTGCTCATCTTCCACAGATATTTGGAGAATTAGTCTAAAGGAAGAATAAAACATGCTGTCTTATTATGTGTAGAAATATTGTTGAAGAAAAGGAATAAAATGAATGATCTAGAAAAAAGGCATTAACTATTAAAGTCCATGGCAAAGTACATGGACACAAAGTAGAGGTGACTTCTCTAAATAGGTTCTCTAGGCCCATGTCGCAATTCTAATACTCCTTTGCCTTTGAACTTTTCAGGACATTTGGGCACTTACTATCACATGCAAATTCTCGAACAACTCACCCACATCCTCTCTAAACCGGGACCCAGGTTCAAGTCCTAGCTTTTGCGCTTAGTAGGTCGAGTCAATGAACCACCATTAACATCTTGTGATATCTCCTTCTAGCCGTTGTCTTTAGCATTTTCAACCATTGAGATACTAGTGCATGATTTTGTATTCTGACTTCGTCACCAAATATAAACTCTTTATTTTCATATTGTTGAAAGCTCTGTTTTCTATATCATTTTAAATAGCTGCATGCTATACCTTTGCATGGATACACAATGATTCTCATGTTTCTTTCTCTGCCATCAGAAGAAGTTCCACCAGGGAGTGACATGATGAGATTTGTGCTGGTAGCTGCCTGGAGGATGACTGGAAAGAGTGTGGGTTCAGAGGGGCCAGAGCTACTAAGAATTCCTTTCATTAAATGATTATTACAGGAAAGTCTGAGCAGTATCACTGAGGAAGACCCTAAAGTCTATCAGTATAACTTTCTTGATTTATAATGGAAGAAATGGAGACTCAGATTGATAAAATGACCTCACCAAGGTCTCCCAGCCTCACCTGGGCGATTTCTAACTCTCCATTCAAGGGGCTCTTTCTATTCAAGTTCAACTTCTACCACAGCCATATCATAACTGAACATAGGCTAAACCCACTTCCAGGGGACTGTTTCAGTAAGAAATAGAGATCCAGTCTTGAAATGCATTTAGCTGTTCATTTTTTTTACAAATTGTCAGTGTTATTAGCGATTACTGGCTGCTGGCTTCAAACCATTCCTTGCCTATCCAAACACAACAAATTAAGGAGAACAAATGATGTAACCTTGTTTTTAAAAAAAGCCATTGAAATGTCCCCCAAAGAGAGGAAGCTATTATTATCCCAGACTTATTAATGGGAAGATGGGAAGAGAGAGGCTAGGCAACTTCTCCAAAGTAATCAGCCAGAATTAGAAGTCAAAATTCCTGATGTCCACCAAGGGGCAAGAGCTCTGCTGGCAGTTTGGCTTTGCCCGCCATAGGGAGGGCCAAGTCAAACAGGATACAATTAAGGATAGAATTCCCATGCCTTCTCCTGCTCTGTGACCCCCTGACCAAGCAGCTCTTGCCAAGTTTCTTTGCTGCTGCTGACTCTCATGCTGTCAGCAAGATGAAGCAGAAACAACTGGGCAGGGCTGACTCTTCCACTGCCTCCTAGCCATGCCTCACCCAGCAGTGGCTTCACCTCTTGGATCACAAATATTCCATCTGGAACTGGAGATGAGACCTAATTGCCTGCCCAGCTCCATAATCCAAGATGTAAAGTGAAGGCCCGGCATAGGGCCTCACACCTGTAATTTCAGCACTTTGAGAGGCCAAGATGGGAAGATTGTTTGAGCCCAGGAATTTGACACCAGCCTGGGTAACATAGGGAGACCTTATCTTCAAAAAAAAGAAACAAAAAACCCCACAAAAACAAAAACAAACAAAAAAAATAAGATGTAGAGTGAGAAGTATGTTTTCAAAAGGCATTTGCCAGGACTTTCTTGGTGGCAGGTAAGAGAATGTCAATTCATAAGAGATTAGGCAAAAGATAAATTCATAGCAAGAACTTTGAGCAATTTAGTGCCCACATTTCCCTGCAAAACATAGGATAATAATAATAATAATAATCCCTGCTTATAACTGCATTAGATGGGGGCCTAAGCCTTGAATGACTTGTCTCATTAAATCCTTGCAAACTCTGAGATGCCTAGATTTGTTTGTTTGTTTGTATTTTAGAGATAGTGTCTCTGTTTCCCAGGGTAGAGTACAGTGGTGTGACCATAGCTCACGGGAGCCTGTAACTCCTGGGCTCAATGGATCCTCCTGCCTCAGTCTCTCAAGTAGCTGGGACTTCAGATGTGCAACACCACATTCAGCTAATTTATTTTGTATTGAAAAAATTTTTTTAGAGACAGGGTCTTTCTATGTTGCCCAGGCTAATCTCGAACTCCTGGGCTCAAGCAGTCCTTCTGCTTCAGCCTCCCAGATTGCTGGGGTTACAGTCATGAGCCATTGAGCTCAGCTACTGAGGTGCCTAGTTTTATCAACCTTGTCTTATATAGGGACAAACAGGGCCTGGGAACCAGAAAGCTGTCAGGCACAATCCAGTCTCTGTAGGTATCAGGCTCCAAGCTGCCACTTGCTCTCTGCCTTCTGGATTTGAGGAAGGACAGACACAGGCATTTGTAAGAACCTTGCATCCTGGCATTGTGACAATTCTTTAGGGGAAGTGTGATTATCTCCAATTGACAGACAAGAAAAGTGAGGCTGCCTCTACAAGAAGAAAGTATTTATTTTATATTTAAAAGAGCATATGGATTATGTTTTTTTCTTTATGGTTTTGGGATCAAACCCAGTCAGGGTGCAAGGGTGTCTATGACTGAGAGGACAGCAGCTTGACCCTGGAGGGCTTGTGCTGAAGAGCTGCAAGCTGAGGTTGGTAGTTCCCCAAGACTTGCAGGTATCTGTATGCATAAATGAGTAAATTAACATTTACTGATGCCTTTGTTGGTCAGACCCTTTGCTGGCCAAAGTCACATTTGCCATCTCATTTAAGATTCACAGCAACTGTGGAGTAGTAGTATTATTTCCATTCTACAGATGAGAAAATTGAGGCTCAGAGAGGTGACATGCCCTGGATCATTGAGCTAGCAAATGGCCAAGATAGAATTTAGACCCACAAACATCACATTCTGGATTTGGGGCTCATTATGTTTTTCCTCAATGGTTCTATTTGGAATGAACACCAAAACTTTCTAGGTCCTTGGCCAAGAAGAGCAAAACAAACCACAGAAATACTTTACGTCCCACAGAATTACAGAATACCAGAGCTAGAAGGGCTGTTCAAGACTAGGAAATTTTATATTCCTTGAATTTTGTGGAGTTTCAAAATGCTTTGACACTTTTCTTAGAAAAATCCACACAGCACAGATACACAAAATCTTGCTTACAAGTCTGGGGGGAAGAATCACCCATTGCTTCATTTGCCTTCATATCCAACATGATTTAACATGATGAAAAGAAGTGGTAAACAGCAGCTCACTAGACTATGAACTTCTATATTATTAATAGTCAGGATTCTCCAGAGGAACAGAACCAATAGAATGTATGTGTGCAGATTTATATTCAGGAATTGGCTCATGCAATTCTTGGGGCTGGCAAGTCTGAAATCTACAGGACAGGCCAGCAGGTTGGAGACTTAGGGAAGAGGTGATATTGTAGTTAGAGTCCAAAGACAGTGTAAAGGCAGAATTTTCTCCCCCAGGGACCTCAGTCTCTTTCTCTTAAGCCTGTCAACTGATTAGATGAGGCCCACCCAAATTATAAAGGATAAGCTGCTTTCCTCAAAGTCTACTGATTGGAATGTTAATCTTATCTAAAGAATACCCTCACAGTGACATCTAAACCAATATTTGACCAAACGTCTGGGTGCCATATTCTAGCCAAGTTGACAAGTAACAATTAACTATCACAGCTCTGCAAAACAGAGCCTGGGTCTGATTCACTGTGTGTCTCTGAGGCTGAGTGCAGTTCCTGGCATAGACTGGCTGCTCATGACATGTTGGCAAATAAATGAGTCAAATTCTAAAGCTCCCAGAATGACCTTGGAGGAAGCATGGTAGAAGGGAAAGAAGGCTATGCTCAGGCCAGAAGATTAGGTGTGATTCCAAGAAGCAATTGGGAAGCAAAGAGTTGTGGGTTAGAGAGGTGACATTCAGGGACTTTGGCAGAGGTGTGGGCTTCTAGTGACCTTGCAGGTGTGTCTCAGTGGAGCAACCCTGGTGGGGGCTCTGCACCTGCTGAGACACTGCAGCGCAAGGGCTGGAGTGGAAAGTGGCCTGGCCTGGAAGCGGGAGCTCCGGTCCCTGTGCTGCCTCTGGTGATCATGTGCTGTGGTCCTGGCAGATTGTCTTACCTCTCCGGACTCAGGTCCTGCGTCTATGGAAGGGTCACGAACTGGCCATCTTCAGGCAGGATCTGACCCACAATCAGGTATGTTTGACCCAGGCAACATTTACAAAATGGTTTAAATAATTGCCAATATTAAAACACGGGCAGATTTTGGCCAGGCATGGTGGCTCACACCTGTAATCCCAGCACTTTGGGACGCTGAGGTGGGCGAATCAGTTGCACTCACAAGTTCAGGACCAGCCTGGGCAACATGGTCTCTACAAAAAATATACAAATTAGCCGGCCATGGTGGTATACACCTGCAGTCCCAGCTACTTGGGAGGCTGAGGTGAAAGCATCATTAGAGCTTGGGAGGCAGATTTTGCAGTGAGCTGAGATCTTGCTTCTGCACTCCAGCCTGGGTGACAGAGCTAGACCCTGTCTAAAAAACAAAACAAAACAAAACAAAAATTATATAAAACAATTGGCAGATTTCACACAAAAAATGAGGATTTATGGCTTCCCTGAAAATTTCCCTGAAGTCAGGCCAACAAATCTGGGCCTGGCTTTATCTGGTAGCTACCAGGCAGACAGAGGAGCCACTGTGTCCTTAGCTAGGGAAAGCCCTTGTGCTGTCCACTGCGAGGCTCCCATTACTCTGTGTGGTCTCCCTGAGGCGGAGGTTGCAGTTAGCTGCCAGTCGTCACTGAACTTGTATGGTGGTTTTTCACTCTTCTGTATAACCCCGCCAGGCCCTGGAGACCTTGGAGTTTCTAGACCTTGTTCTAGATGCTCTTCAAGGTCTCTTTACATGAATGCCAATATGTTCCTCCAACTGGGCCCTAACACGTGTCAGGCATAATGCTAGGCAGTTTATGTGTATCACAGAGGCAAAACATTCCAAGATTCTTAATTAAAATGCTGGACAGGCTTGGTATGGAGCATTCACAGGGTGGGGCTGGCACAGAGTGGGACGGAGCAGTGAGAGGAACAACATTGTCTGGCTAATTGCATGACTTACAGTCTGAACAACACTAAAGTGATGTTTTCTCATGGTCCAGCTGCCCTGAGAGTTCTTGCATAACATGCCTTCTAAATATATATCTCTATACCTTTCCCAAAAGAGTTTGAGAAGATTTCATTTATTTCCCTAAGTCCTTCAAATGCCTGGGCTGGACATTTGCACAGACACAGCCGTTCCTTCATATGAGAATGCCCAGGCTGTAGCCTTATTACTCACTCTGGTTGACCTTTTGACGCCCACTCTTGCTCAAGAATCTATGGCTGTACAGTAAGAAGTAAACCTCCAAACTGTATCTGTATTTTCTACGACTCTTTGGTGTCAAGAAATCTAATTTGAAATAGATCAGATGCAAGGGAAATTTTATAGGGAAATTTTACCCATACCTGACTTAAAGCAGTTTGTGGGACAGTGGATGACAAGAAGACATAATCCTAGGTCTCAAGAAGCTTGTGCTCTTTCCCATGGGCAAGGGGAGCCTATAAGAAAAAAAAAATTACATTTGATTTTGGCATAGAAAGAATATGGGATTTGGGGCCAGGAAGCCCTGGCTTTGCCATGTACTAGCTTAGCAAATAGTGAAGTCTCTAAAGTGAGGCACTCATCCTCCCTTCCTTCCATGTTTATTTTGAGAATGGGCAAGATGTGTGTAAAGTGTCCACCACGTTGTTGTCTGTCACATACTAAGAGCTTAACACATGACAGCTGTGGTTGTTCTTATTACCATAGCCAGTAGGTGGTCTTGGAGTTGCAGAGACCCCTGTGGTCTGATGGGTCTGGGTGGTTTCAGAAAGGAGCTGGGCTCTAGCTGGGGCTTGGAGGATGGGTAGGATGTGGGTGGGTTGTTAGCACTGCAGGTGAGGGAACAGCGTGTGCATGGGCGGAGGCAGAGGTAAGCACGGCATGTTCAGGGGACAGGTCAGACTGGCCTGGCTAGACAAGAGGGTTCACATGGGGGCAAAGGGTTAGAACAATGCCTGGCTTTTGTGATAGCTGGTTAGAATTGCCCCGTGGTCCTCTCTGAAATATCTGCCCCCTTTGCCAAGTGGAAATTTGCATTCCTTGTTCTGGCCAGATACTCTTTTCTCCCCTGCCTGCCTACCTGTAGGCACAGGCAGTGGAGCCAATGAATTGCCCTTATTCTCTGCCAAGTTTCCAATTAAGAGATTACATACCTGGCATTTCTATGGAGCCGGCCTAGGAGTGTGTCCTGAGTGAGGGTCAGCCAGGCCCAAAGAGCCAACCAGCATGCAGTGTCCAGGGACAGTGGAGCAGACCAGGCTGGGGATCCTCTGACTTGGGATGGCTGTTTCCCAGGTTTCTCTCCCATTTCTGTGTGAACAAAATAACTAGAAATTCAGAGAGGGAACTCTTCACCCTGGTACACAGGATATTTTACTGGGAAGAGCCCAGAGAAGACATCCAGTGCTTAGTCCAACTTCACATCTGGCTTTGCAGAAGACACTGCAGAGCTTTCTGAATAGGTGGTTGCAGCTTCTACTTGCAGACCCCAAATGCAGGGGCTCACTCCCTCCACCACAACCCTTGCTTCTGTTGACAGCTTCAGCAGTTTGCAAGCTTGTCCTTATATTGAATTATGTACCAATACTCCTTGTGTTTTCTTGTACTGCTTTTTGTTTTATTTCTGTTTATGTCTAGTTATAAGGATGGATAACATTATCTTAATAGCACTTCATAGAGAGAGCCTAAACTCTAGGAACAGAGATGTGTAAATAAGAAATGCATTCTGAAACCAGCCTGGGAAACATAGTGAGTCCCCATCTCTACAAAAAATACAAAAATTAGCCAGGGCTGGTGGCATGCATCTGTGGTCCCAGCTACTTGGGAGGCTGAAGAAGGAGGATTGTCTGTGCCCAGGAGGTCAAGGCTGCAGTGAGCCATCATCGCACCACTGCACTCCAGTCTGAGCAGCAGAGCAAGACCCTGTCTGAAATAAAAAAGAAATGTGATGGAGAGCTTGAGAGGGGAAGGGAGTAGGGAAAATTCTGGCTGAGGGTAGAGGCAAGACTTTCTTAGGTTCCACACTGGGCACTCATCTTCAGGGGTCTCATGGAGGCGTGGCCAATAGGGAGAAGACCACTCAATTTGTGGGAAAGGAGAGCAGGCTTGCTGGGGATGACTCTTCCTAGGACCCCCTTCCCCCCTGACCATGACAACTATCTTGTTTGTTTTCATTCTATGGAGCTAAAGAATGAGTGTGGTCTCTCTCATACAGGAGAGCTCTTTGAAATTTCCTTCCTTTGGGTGAGTAAGGCATAGTCCCTGGCCACAAGGAGATCATAGTCTATAGAGAACAAGAGAGATCTAGGAGGAAAAGTATATGAAGATACTCTGTCCTGGGATGGGGTGTATATAACAACCAAGAGAAGGAAGACGAAGGCCCCTAATCCACTCTGAGGCATGGATCTTTCCACCCTCTTATCTCCACCTTAAGTCTTCTCCTGTACTTTGCTGATAACATCAGTGGTCATTTTTATCTTTTCTGTTTCTAGCACTCTCTGATAGTAACATTTTACTGAATACTTAGCGCATGCTGGGCCCTGTGCTAAGTGCTTTTCATAGATTATTTCACTTAACAACACACCAGGAAAGGATTGCTCTTCTCCTTCCTTCATGACTGAAGACACAGGACAGAAAGGTGAACTAACCTGTTCCAGGTCACACAGCAAGAAGGGGCAGAGCTAGAATGTGAATCACAGCCACCTAACCACACAGCTTCCATTCCTTCCCCCTGTACCAGTCTGAATACTTGATAGATAATACCACAACAGGTTTCTCTCAACAAATTAGGGTTGGTTCTATTCAATTAGGGTTGCTTAGAGTTATTGAGAAGAAGAATAAATGGGTGGGTGTAAATTGTGAAAAGCCTTCTATTTCATGGATTCCATTTGGATTCAATCTATAGGCATTAGGGAAGCATTGCAGTGCTTTAAAGAGAGCAGTTATATCAGATTTGCATTTAAGGATTATGTTTCTGGAGGTGTTGTGAGGAAATTGACTGCACAGAGGAAAGTAGAGGCAGTGGGCAAGGTGGCTCATGCCTGTAATCCCAGAACTTTGGGAGGCCGAGATGGGCAGATCACTTGAGTCCAGGAGTTTGAGACCAGCCTGGCCAACATGGAAAAATCCTGTCTCTACTAAAAATACAAAAATTAGCTGGGCATGGTGGCACATGCCTGTAATCCCAGCAACTCGGGAGGCTGAGGCATGAGAATCGCTCGAATCTGGCAAGTGGAGGTTGCAGTGAGCCGAGATCACACCACTGCACTCCAGCTTAGGGGGCAGAGTGAGACTCTGTCTCAAGAAAAGAAAAAGAAAGGAAAAGAAAAAAGAAAGTGGAGGCAAACAGATGGCTGGGAGGCTGTTTGGCTTTCCAGGTAAGAGGTAAGGGTGCGAGGGAACACCATTTGGCACTAACTGGGTACCAGCCATGGCGCTACACACTTTGCCTAATAATTACATTTGATCTCTACAACAATTTTGTGAGGTGCAAATTGAAGCAGTGTTTCTCAACTCTGGCTGCCCCTGTAATTACCTGGTGAGCTGTAAAACAGTGATTCTCCAAGTGTGGTCCCCGGACTAGCAGCATCAGCATCCCTGGGGACTTGTTTACAACGCAAATTCTTGAGTCCCACCCCAGACCTACTGAATCAGAAACCCTGAGGGTGGGACCCAGCAATTTCTGTTTGAACCAACCCTTCAGGTGACTCTATGTGAACTCGTGTGTAAGAACCACTGGACTGCAGGTTAGGTGTCTTCCCTAACCTGGAGATTAGGTCTCCTTGTTCCTCCCCCATTCCCAAAGCGAGTGGCTGGTCTGAAGTTGTGAAGGCATTGACATTGTTCCAGGGGCACAGAGAGAGCTGCTGGATGGAATACTTCAATCAGGAATTTATTAAGTGCCATGTGTGTACTCAATGCCTTGCTATATGCTCTCAGGAATTTGAAAGTCAGGGCTCAGAGCCCACCTTCAAGCAGTTGAAAGTATGTTACTTATTCGTCCATTCATTCCATAAATATTTCTTGAGGACTTATCATGGGTCAGGCATAGTACTGGATGTGGTGAACAAGATACATGGTGAACTGTGAACAAGACAGATAAGGTTGCCACACTCAGTGTCTTTTTTTAAAATTTATTTTTATTTTTATTTATTTATTTATTTTTGAGACAGAGTTCGCCCTTGTTGCCCAGGCTGGAGTGCAATGGCACAATCTCGGCTCACCACAACCTCTGCCTCTCGAGTTCAAGCAATTCTCCTGCCTCAGCCTCCCGAGTAGCTGGGATTACAGGGGCCCGCCACTACACCCGGTTAATTTTGTATTTTTAGTAGAGGCAGGATTTCTCTATGTTGGTCAGGCTGGTCTCAAACTCCTGACCTCAGGTGATCTGCCTGACTCAGCCTCCCAAAGTGCTGGGATTAAAGGCATGAGCCACCACGCCTGGCTCACTCTCAGTGTCTTAATCCTATGTGGGAAAAATAGAAGATGAACAAGTGAGCAACTACATAAATGTAAAATGGTGATATTTACTATGAAGGAGAGGAAGCAAGGTCAAATGTCAGAGCGTAGGACTTCCAGAGGTGGAAGGCAGGGATGGGTGTCTCTCAGAAAAAGGGTGATTTGAACTGAGACCTGAATTATGAGAGGCTTGAAAAGATCTGACACAGGGCATTCCAGACAGAAAGAAGAAGGTTTGTGCAAAGGTGCTGAGGTGGGTGGGAGCTCCGTGAGTGTGAGAAAGAGGCAGGAGGTCCATGTGGCTGGATTTTGTAGCAGGCAGAGTCAGAAGCTAGTGTGGAAGAGCACAATAGGTGGGCACCAGTGGTCCAGATGAGGACTTCAGAGGTCACTGGTCACTCTCAGAGGGGCCTGAGAAAGTCTGGCACGTCCACACAAGACCCGGAGATTATCCCCAGGCTGGCCAGGCCCCTTCCTGTGATCCCCACACCTGGAAATCATGGGATCTGTCTTTGGTTCCTGAGATTCCAGGAACCTGTGGACTCTTCCAATCCGAGCTTAGTCTCCAGGAAACCCATTTGTGTGTCTTTCTTTTTCTCATTCTCTTTCTCTTTTAAAGAAAAATAAACCAGGGAAAGGCTCCCTTCCAGAAGGGGAACCTGAAAGCCTGTTGAAGTTTTTATAAGGGTCACACTCTCAGAAGCTCCAGTGTTAGCGATGAATCATCTAGTGCCTAAGTCCAGTGTTGCAATTTTACAGATAAAATTGTGGCCCAGAGAGCAGGGGCTTGCCACTGTAACCAGGAGATTGCTGACCATGTGTTTAAATTTTTTTAGGCATAGAGTCTCACCGTGTTGCCCAGGCTGGAGTGCAGTGGCTATTCACAGGTGCACTCATAGTGCATTATATCCCTGATCTCCTGGGCTCTTTGGCCATGTTTCAAAGTTTCCTCAAGTTGCAGGTGGTGCAGCCTGAATGCCTTCAGGTTCTTTGACTCCAAGGCACTGCCTGTCCTTCCAAAGCCTGACTGCTTGTCCTAATTACAAGCGAAAAATGCAGGAGTCCCACCTTGACTTGTGAAAATGAGGTTATTGTGTTAAGCGATCCTTCTGCCTCAGTCTCCCAAGTAGCACGCCACCACACCTGGCTCTGGCTACAGGTTTAATACTTTATCTTTTTCTGTTGGACATTGAGTTACTGACTCTCAGCTCCAAACCCACTCTTTGCTACTCTGATTTATGATGCTGGGGCTGGGACTCTGCAAACCACATTTCTAGCCTGTCCACTGGCTCTGAATTTAGGTTCTTGGATGGGGGTGTGAGAGAGGAAGAAAGCCTTGGGCATCTCTGCATCCTCTGTCCAAGAATGACCCCAGCAGCAGTAGTGGACTCCAGAGTCCCCTTGGTTTCAGGTTGCAGGCGTTCCACACTCCTGGGATCAGCCTCCTTGCACCCCCAGTACATACCAACTGGAGCCCCTTCTTTAGACATCTGTGTTCAAGCTCCAGAGGGCCTCCCTCCTCAGAGATTCTACATTCTAATAATCCCGATCTTTTCTTCTGTTTCCTAGCCCTTGGGTTGGGAGCTGCTTTGACAGTTGCTGCTGTTGTACTTCTTAGTGCTCCCCCTTTTTTTCTACCCAGTACTTGGTTAATGATTCTTTGTATCAAGGTCTCTCTGTTAAAATAACCGGTAGAGTTTCTGTCTCCTGATAGGACCCTAACTAGACATGCTGTTTTAAAAGCCCCATTTGCATCCTTTTGCCTCCTCTGGTCTTTATTCTTATCTTGTGAAGCAGGGTGTGTTAATGTTATCAGGGAAACTGAGGCTCAGGCAGCTTTGACCATGTTTCGAAGTTCCCTCAAGTTGCAAGTGGTAGAGCCTGAAGGACTCCAGTTTCTTTGACACCAAGAGCACTGCCTGTCCTTCCAAAGCCTGACTGCTTGTCCTAATTCCAAGGGAAAAATGCAGAACTCCCACCTTGACTTACGAAAATGAGGCAATTGTGTGCTCTATTACAAGCATTATAAAGACTATGCTTTAAATGATATATTCCTTGGAAGTGAAAGGGCAAGAACTAGAATTTGTTAGTAAGTCTTCATGATAAGTTCCAAAATCTCAATAAAATTGGATTATTCTATGAGGCTTTCAGTACTAAAAAAATTTTACTGTGAAAATGGTGTAGGTTCTTGTTTATTTTTTGTTCTTCTCTATAAGACATTTTATTGGTTATATATTTTAGGGGCAAGTAATTAGTTGTATATTTTTCTATATGTCTTGTGGTTTTTTTTTTTTTTTTTGTGACGGAGTCTTGCTCTGTTGCCCAGGCTGGAGTGCAGTGGTGCGATCTTGGCTCACTGCAAGCTCCGCCTCCCAGGTTCACGCCATTCTTCTGCCTCAGCCTCCCTAGTAGCTGGGACTACAGGCACCCGCCACCACGCCCGGCTAATTTTTTGTTTTTTAGTAGAGATGGGGTTTCACTGAGTTAGCCACGATGGTCTCAATCTCCTGACCTTGTGATCCACTCGCCTTGGCCTCCCAAAGTGCTGGGATTACAGGCGTGAGCCACCACGCCCAGCCATGTCTTGTATTTTAAAGTGCATAAAGAATATGTGTGTTCCTCTGTAGTATCAAGGAATAGGGTTTCTCCTTACTTGAATATTCTGTTGGAGTGACTGTAATTGTTATATTGGCTAATCATTTGAAAATAATTAGAATAATGTGGCAAATGTAATATTTACAGTGTGCCGTGCACTGTTCTAAGTGTTTTACATATATTAAATTAACTTATGTAATTTCCACAAAAACCCTGAGAGTGGATAGTATTATAATATTTTTTTCATTGATACCATTAAGGCACAGGGAGAATAAGGAACTTGTCCAGAGTCACACAGCTGACATGTGTGAGAGCTGGGAATTGAACCCATGATATCTGGCTCAAGAGTTCTTGCTCCTATGCAGTATACTGACTCTGTTTCTCAGCTCACTCCTTTTTTGAGTCTGCAGTTGTCATAGTCAGGTTGTTTATGAGTGCTGGAAAATAAGAAACAGAACAGCAATGCCAAGTCTGTAGAGCATATAAACATGTTGGTGCAGTGCTATTTTAACAAAGGGTTGCCCCCACCCCCAGCGCTTAGAAAGTATGACGGATTGATTGCATTAATAGCCCCAATTATTCATGCCTCTTTTTATTCTACTTTTTGGTAATGCTCTCCCATGCTGACTCTGGGATTAACAATGTCAACTGCTGTATTAGATGTCTATGTTGTGTAACACATTACTACGATCTTACCAGCCTAAAACAAAGTATCTTTCTTATTTCCCACAGTTTCTGTGGGTCAGGAATCTGAGCAGGGTTAAAGGGGCCCTTTATTTAGGGTCTCACAAGGCTGCAATCAAGGAATCAGCTGTGCTACCTTCCTTTCTGCAGCTCAGGTTCCTCTTCCAAGGTCACATCGTTTGTTGACAGAAGTTAGTTCCTTGCAGTCATAGCACTAACGTCCTCATTTTCTTGTTGGCTGGTAGCTGGGGACGACTCTCAGCTCCTAGATGTCACTGGCTGTTCCTTGCCACATGGCCCTCTTACACTGTGACAGCTCACTTCTTCAAGGCCAGCAGGAGAATCTCTTATTTATGTTCGCTATGATGGAGTCTTATAGAACGTAATGAGATCATGACAATGACTATTCCAACACCTATGTACCATATGAGGGGACTTCCAAAAGTTCACAGAAAAATGGAATTAAAAGATACAAATTTAAAAATATAAACTTTATTTCCCAACACAAGTTCCATCAAGTTCAAGAAACCTTTGTAAGTGATTATAAAAGTCATGGCCAGGCGTGGTGGCTCACACCTGTAATCTCAGCACTTTGGGATGCCGAGGCGGGCAGATCACGAGGTCAGGAGATAGAGACCATCCCGGCTAACACGGTGAAACCCCGTCTCTACTAAAAATACAAAAAATTAGCCGGGTGGTGGTGGGTGGGCACCTGTAGTCCCAGTTACTCAGGAGGCTGAGACAGGAGAATGGCGTGAACCTGGGAGGCAGAGGTTACAGTGAGCCGAGATCACACCAATGTACTCCAGCCTGGGTGACAGAGCAAGTCTCCGTCTCAAAAAAAAAAAAAAAAAAAAAAGTCATTTAGTTCATCCCTAAAGAACTGAGGGTCCTGGGAATTTAACCATGTCAATGCAGTCTTTTAACATTATTAACTGAAGAAAAATGGATGCCATTTAAAGATTTTTTTTAAGATTAGGATACAAAAAATAAGTCAGAAGAAGTCAGGTCAGGAATGTAAGGTGAATGCCTAGTGATTTCCCTTCAAAACTCTTGCAGAATTTTCCTTGGTTGATGAGAAGAATGAGAAGCAGCACTGTTGAAAGACTCTCTGGTGAAGCATTCCCAGGCATTTTTCTGCTAAAGCTTTGGCTAACTTTCTCAAAACACTCTCAAAACAAGCACATGTTATTGCTCCTTGGTCTTCCAGAAAGTCAAGCAAAGTTCCTTGAGCATCCCCCAGAACCGTTGCCATGACCCTTGGTCTTGACCCCTCCACTTTTGCTTTGACTGTAAACTTTCATCTCTTGGTAGCCATGGCTTTGATTGTATTTTGTCTTCAGGATTATACTGGTAAAGCCATGTTTCATTTCCTGTTAAAATTCTTTAAAGAAATGCTATAGGGTCTTTTTTTTTTTTCCTGAAACAGGGTCTTGCTCTGTCACCCAGGCTGGAGTGCAGTGGTATGATCTTGGCTCACTGCAGCCACAACCTCTGAGGCTGAAACCATACTCCCACCTCAGCCTCCTGAATAGCTGTACTACAGTTATACACCACCACATCTGGCTAATTTTGTTTATTTTTTGTAGAGACAAGGTCTTACTATGTTATCTAGGCTTGTCTCAAACTCCTGGTCTCAAATGATACTCATGTCTCAGCCTCCCAGAGTGCTGGGATTACAGGCATGAGCCACTTTATCCAGCCAGCTTTAGCATCTTGATCCCAGATGTTTAAAATTTCCATTGAAAGTTTTCCTCTTGTCTGCAGTTGATCTGAGTGCAACAGTTTTAGCACCTATTGAATGGACAGTTTGTTCAACTTTAATTTTTCAGTCAAAATTGTGTAAGCCAAACCAACTGAGATATCTATGGTGTTGGCCATTGTTTCTGGTGTTAATTGTTGGTTCTTTTCAATTAGGGTATGAACAAGATTAATTTATTCCTCACAAATTGATGTGGATGGTCTGCCACTGTGGTCTTTCATATTCAACATCATCTCATCCCTTCTTAAAACAAGTTATCCATTTGTAATTTGCTGATTTCTTAGGGGCATTGTCCCCATAAACTTTTCACAAAACATCAATGATTTCACCATTCTTTCATTCAAGCTTCACTGTAAATTTGATGTTTGTTCCTGCTTCATTTTTAGCAGAATTCATGTTGCTCTAATAGGGGCTCTTTTCAAACGGATGTTTTATCCTTCTTAGGGCCTCAAATTAAATCCTGTTAACATAACAAGGTAGTATGGTTTCATTTTGGTGCAAAAATTTTGAAATCCATGCATAGTTTTCTTAAATATGCCATGTCCATAAACTTTTTGAAGGACCCCTTGTATTCTATTGGCCAGAAGCAAGTCCTAGGTTCCACCTGTATCCATGAGTAGGGGATTATACACGGGCGTGACTCACTGGGGGCTCATCTTAGAATCCTTCCTACCACTCTTGTTTTAGCCAGTGGGAAGTGGCAAACTTAACATTAGCAGAAATGTGCTTGCAGGTTTCTGCTGGGCCCCTAACGTTGCCCTGAGGCCATGCCTGGGCTAATCTACTGGGAGAGAAAGTGAGAGACATGTAAAGGAGAGCTGAGCCATTCCAGCTGAAACTTAGACCAGCTTAGAGCCAGTCAAACTCCAAAAGTGTGAAAGAGTCTGACCAAAATCAGAGCTGCCTATCCAACCTGCAGCTGACTGTAGATGTGTGAGAAAGCCCAGTCAAGAGTAGAATCATCAGCTACCTCATAAGTTTGTGAAGAGTAATAGGTGGTTGTTGTTTTAAAGCTGCTGAGTTTAGGTGATTTTTATGCAGCACTGTGCTGTCAACAGATAATGGATACAGTGTTACCATTCATTGCATACCCATTTCTTGCCAGGTATCATGTTAGTTTTTCCATGCTTACTTACTCATTTAATCCTCAAAGGAGCCCTGAATGAGGGTTTGTATCTAATCAGTATTTTCATTGTAGACATTGGTGAGGACATCAATATTATGATTGCTAATGGCCAAAAAGCTCCTGAAAAGATGCTCAACATCACTAATCATTAGGGAAATATAAATCAAAGCTACAATGAGATACCACTTTGCAATCAATTAGAAGCAACCATTTAAAAAAAAACAGAAAATAACAAATGTTGGAAAGGATGTGGAGAAATTGGAACCCTTGGGCACTGTTGGTAAGACTGTAAAATAGTGCAACTGCTGTGGAAAACAATATGGAGGTTACTGAAAAAATTAGAAATAGAATTACTGTATGATCAAGGAATTCCACTTCCGGATATATACCCTAAATAATTGAAAGCAGGATCTCAAAAAAAGTCTGTGCATGAATATTCATAGCAGCATTATTTACAACAGCTAAAAGGTGGAAGCAACCCAAGTGTCCATCAGCAGGTGAGCAAATAACCAAAATGTGACATACACACACAATTGAATATTATTCAGCCTTAAAAAGGAAGACAGTTCTGACACATGCTGCAATGTGAATGAACCTTGAGGACATTATACTAAGTAAAATAAGCCAGCAACTAAAAGACATGTACTTTATGATTCCACTCCTATGAGGTATCTAGTGTAGTGAAATTCATAGAAACAGAAAGTAGTATGGTGGTTGCCAGGGGCTGGAGGGGAGAGGAGTAGGGAGTTATTGTTTAATGGATACAGTTTCAGTTTTGTAAGATGAAAAAACTTCCAGAAAAGGATGGTGGTGATTGCACAACCATGTGAATTTATTTACTGTACATTTAAAAATGGCTAAGATGGTAAATTTTATGTTATATATACTTTAACCACGACTTTAAAAAGCAGATTACGGCTGGGCACAGTGGCTCACACCTGTAATCCTAGTACTTTGGGATGCCAAAGAAGGTGGATTTCCTGAGCTCAGGAGTTTGAGACCAGTCTGGGCAACATGGTGAAACCCCATCTCTACTAAAAATACAAAAATTAGCCAACATCATGGTGCACACCTATAGTCCCAGCTACTTGGGAGGCTGAGGCATGAGAACTGCTTGAGCCCAGGAGGCAGAGGTTGCAATGAGCCGAGATTGCACCACTGCACTCTAGCCTGGGTGACAGAGTGAGACTGTCTCCAAATAAATAAATAAATAAATAAATAAATAAATAAATAAATAAATAAATGCAGACTATGATTACTGTCTCTTCTACTTGTAGTGCAAATCCTCCTGTAAAAAGCCTACTTTTTTTTTTTTTTTTTTGAGACGGAGTCTTGCTTTGTTGCCTAGGCTGTAGTGCAGTGGCACAATCTCAGCTCACTGCGCCCTCCACCTCCCAAGTTCAAGTGATTCTCCTGTCTCAGCCTCCTGAGTAGCTGGGATTACAGGCAAATGCCACCACCCCGGCTGATTTTTGTATTTTTAGTAGAGACGGGGTTTCACCATGTTGGCTAGGCTGGTCTTGAACTTCTGACCTCAGGTGATTCACCTGCCTAGGCCTCCCAAAGTGCTGGGATTACAGGTGTGAACCACCGCACCCAGCCTTATTGTTCTTTAAACTGCTTTCTCCAAGTAGCCCTCCTTGCTGACATGCCTCTCTCTCTTTTTTTTTAATATTCCAGTTTATCTTTTGTTAGTAAGACCCTATATTTAAGGGTAAGTGATGCATGGAGTTTGCAAAGTCTGTAAGTTCAGAGCCTCTGATGTTGGACTCCCTGGGTTCAAATTTGGACTCTAACCTTGACCAGCTATGTGGTCTTGGGAAATTTTTTTAATCTCTGTAAGCATCGTTTTTCTCATATGCAAAGTCAAGATAACAGCACAACCTCATAGCATTGTTGTGAAGATTGAGTGATGAGAGACATGTAAAATGCTAGGCACAGTGCCCAGCAAGAAGTAAGCACTCAGTAAATGTCAGCTGTTGTTGGTACCTGATAAAAGATAATACCTGCCTAGTGATCCTAAAAAAAAACACAATAGATACTCATCATTATGCACAACATAAAGAACATAATTAAGAACTTGGCAACTGAAAAAATATAGCATACGGTTTCATACCTATTGTATGATCCTAAGAACAAACCATTTGTTCTTTTCCTTTTAGTTAGTATTCAAAATTAAGGGAAAATTGCTTACAATTGAAATCTGGGCATTATAAAAATGGGTCACAGTACAAAGCCTTCCACAGTCAAATGACTCAATTAGTGTTGAAATGGCCACGTCACGGCATTAGTGGCTCTTCCCTGCTCACCCTCGCTTACAGTTGTCTCTCCCCTCTTGAAGATTGTGGTATGGTGTGTCTTATATGATCAGTGTTGTGCAGTCCTATGTGGCTCAAAGCAGGGTGAGGTTTTTGAGGGATGGGCCATGTCTGATTCACCCCCTGTTATATCACTGTGCTTGACACAAAGAAGTCTCCCATGAGTATGCACAGGATTGAATCAATGATGTTGTGAGGACTTAGGGGTCATAGTTAGAAGTTTCCTAAGAATCGGGAAACATACTTCTACACATGGAGAGTTGAACTTTAAATTCCACACTTAATGGATCAGAAAAGAGTGGTGCAAAATGTAGCGATTTTAGCATGAAGACACTCAGGCCACCTGTCTTGATTGGCCAGGGCAGCTATAACACATTATCATAGACTGGCTGGCTTAAACAACAGAGAATATTTCTCACAGTTTTGGAGCCTAGGAAGTTCTAGATCAGAGTGTCAGTGTGATTGAGTTCTGTTGGGGGCTCTTTTCGTGGTTTTCTGACGGCTGTCGTCTTGCTGTGTCCTCACATGGTGGACAGCACAGAGAGAGGAAGCAAACTCCTATCTCTTCCTATGAGGGCACTAATTCCATTCTGGGGCTCCACCATCATGACCTAATTACTGCCCAAAGACCTCATCTCTAAATACCACCACACTGAGAATTATAGTTTCAAAATATCAATTTTTGGCAGGGGGCAGGGGACACATTTACTACACAGCCACTTAACACTTAGGATTAACCTTTAAAGAGAAAGTGGGGATCGCACCATTGCACTCCAGCCCGGGCAACAGTGCAAGACTCCATCTCCAAAAAAAAAAAAAAAAAAAAAAAGAGAGAAAATGGGACCATCAGAAGTTGGCACTGGCTGGTGGTGTCAGCGGTGGTTTGTCGGACTTGGAGGGATGGCAAAGGGAGTCACAGATGATAAATATCGCCAGGACCCTATCCAGCTTTCATCAGGGTGGGAGTCATACTGGTTTCTGGGTCCATTGGTCAAGTTATGCCCATGGTGGAGGTAGATACCATTGACTGTGTAAGCCTGACACCACCTAGGCTCCAGTTGCATGCTCACCAAGCCTGTGGGTAAGCCTGCCTACGGGGAAATCATGGAGTGGTGAAATGGACTCAAGTATTCTTGTTCTCATGTGTGGTAGGTGGAACCAAAGATGTTCACATCTTCATCCCCGGGAACTGTGACTATGCTGTGTTACACAGCAAAGGCAAGTTAAGGTTGCAAATGGGATTATAGTTTCTAATCAGCTGACTTTAAATTAGGGAGGTTATTCTAGATTATCTGGGTGGGCTCAAGGTAATCACAAGGGTCCTTAAAAGTGGAAGAGGAAGGCAGAAGAAGAGTGAGGTTAGAAGGATGTAAGCTGAGAAGGATTCAGCCCACTGTTACTGGCTTTGAAGACGGAGGAAGGGGCCATGAACCAGGGAGTGCAGGAGGCCCCTAGAAGCTGGAGGAGAAAGAACAGGGATCCTGCCTTAGAGCCCCCAAAAGTAATTTTCCTACCAACAATGAGACCCATGCCAGACTTCTGATCTGCTGAACTGTAAGATCATACACTGGTGATGTTGTAAGCCACTAAATTTGTGGTTTTGTTACAGCAGCTGTTGGAAACTAATACACCAGAGCAGTGATTTCTCAGTGTAAATGAGTAAATTAACATTTTTATTTGTTTCAGCCTCAGGGTATGTGGTTTAAACTCTCCATGGGATGATACAATCTGATTTCTGACTCTGCAAAGCTGACCAGACTTAGCCCCTTGCAATGAACTGAATGTTTGTGTCCCCCCAAAATTCAAATGTTGAAATCCTGCCCTCAAATGTGATGTTATTAGGAGGTAGGGCCTCTGGGAGGTGCTTAGGTCATAAGGATGAAGCCCTTATGAATGGGATTATTACCCTTGGAAAAAGGACCCCAGAGAGAACTCTCATTTTTATTTTTATTTTTTTGCCATGTGAGAATACAGGGAGAAGATGGCCATCTATGAACCAGGAAGCCCTCACTAGACCCCAAGTCTGCCAGCACCTCGAACTTGGATTCCTCAGTCTTCACAACAGTGTGAGGTAAATGTTTGTTGTTTAAGCCACTCAGTCTATGGCATTTTTGTTATAGCATCCTGAATAGACTAACATATGCTTGGCCGACTCTCCACTAAGAGATCATAAGAATCGTCATCATATATTGGGAGCTTCTATGTGTTGAGTGCTTTACCAGTGTGTTGCCTAGTTATCTCTATCACCCTATGAATTAGGTATGGTTATTCTCATTTTATAAATGTGATAACTGTGGTTCAAGTTGAGCCACACAACCTCAGATGATGTGATGTGGATTTAAACCCTGGTCTGGGTTCTCTACTCATGTTCTTTCTAACACCCCTAGCTGGCTCACCGCCATGCTGTCTCTGAGAAGACTCCATCTCTCGGAGAACAATCTGCCTTGTTCATGGCATGATGCATGAAGAAAAGCAGCCGGGCAGGAGAGGGACAGGAAAATCTCCCATCTTCCTGCATAGCTGAGGCTTTCCCTACTCCTAGGGAGAAGGCACTGAAGTGAATCCCATGAACATTCTCAACTGTTTCCAAAATGTTGCCAATATTCTTCTGTATATTGATATTTTGAAATCCCCAATGTAGTGGTATGTTGTATTTGAGCCCAGATTTAAAATTGTATATGTTTCATTCTAGCTTGGTTTCTGTCATTCTCAATGATTTCTTTATTTTCTTAAATATTTCTGAATAAAAGGGCCTCCTTAGTTAACCTAAGACAGGTGTATTTAACCTGAACCAGGTATAGTTAACCTGAACGAAGAGGAGGCAGCTGGCAAATGGTCAGAGAAAGCTGATTAGGAAAAGAACATCCTGTATGGTAGAGGTTCTTCTTTGTCATCCACACAACTCTTGATGAAATGAGAATACATAAAATCAGCACCAGCAAACCTGCTTGGTTTCACCTGCTGCCTCCAAGATTGTGATTGATCTGCAGAGCAGAGTTGAGAGCAGATATCATTTGTCTATGGTCTGTTCCAGTGGAATCATATGACATGTAATATCTGACTATGACTGCCCAAATCTTCCCGACTCACTTTGCCAAAGAGGGAACTAGGTCTTCAGGGTTGGAGTGACTCACCTAAGGTCATTCTATGGCAAGGTGGCAGGGCTAGAATTTAAACCCAGACTCTAGGTTCCAAGTGCACACCCTTTCTACTGTACTATCACAGCCTCTTGTTTCCCTGCAGTACTTAGCTCAGTTCCTTGAATGTATTAAGAGTCAGCTCTGTAAGTGCTTCCTGAATGAAGCTGAGGTTGTGCACATGAGAATAGTGAATACGATTTTTTGTTTTCCAGCAGTTTTGCTGGGTGACTGCAGGAAGCACTTGGCTTTCATCATTGGCCAACTGGGGATATCCACCCCTGGAAGTCATTTGATCACTTAAGCTCCCAACTCACTCAAGAGGTAGCCTGCAAGGGTCTTGCAGCTTTGATCCAAATTTTCCATCCAAACAGCCATGTAAACGGAGAGGCTCCTGATTCCAGCCAAGGCCCAAGTTGCCGCTCTCTTTCTCAACGAAAAGAAAGAAAATGTGTCTTCCACTGTGGCTGAGCTACCTGAACAGATCAAGTGCTGGAATGCACTGATTGCTTTGAGGAGCAGGATCCTTTTTGGCTTCATCTTTTCATTTTGCTGCCGGGCTTAAGGAGGCTCAGAGTTTATTGCTTGTTATAAGCCTCACCAGAAAATATTTCAATCTCTTCATCTTCCCCATTCAGGCTAAGGCCAGTGAATGCAGTTCAGTCCCAGAAACAGTAATCATGCACCATCGTATCCAAGCACTGTGTCAGGAGTAGGGATGTGGAAGTCAGTGTGGGGCCATCTTCTCTCAGGGAGGGCACAATATCTGGCCCAGCAGAGGAAGAGTTAATCCAAAGCAGAGTTGTCTGTGTTAAGCTGTGGCTGAGTTGCCTGACATGAGCATGAAAGACAATTCCTTTTTTGAGTTCATACTGTGTGAAGCCTTGTGTCAGCTGCCAGATGCTTTCATGACCTGAATTATCTTTGGCAAACCCTGTGACAGAAGCAGTGTTCTTCCCATTGTACAGACAAAGAAACCGAGGCCCAGAGAGAGGAGCCAGAGCATTGGAGTGGAAAGGTTCTGGGGGATCTGGGTTCAAACCTTAGCCACAAATCCTGAGACTTTGGACACTTTTCTTAGCCTCTCTGAGCCTCTGTTGAGTCATTTGTAAATGTAAGTAAGTGGTCGTGAGGTTCCACGGGTAGGTACAGGTGTTAAAGGGGTTAGCTCGGTGCTGGACAGAGTCACTGCTCTCACAGCTCAGAAGATCCTGTGAGTGACAGAAGCTCAGGTGCCCCTCTCAGCTGAGTCTCATTGTTTCGAGACTACCACTGGGTTATCCTATCAACCCTGAGGAAATGCCCGAATGGATTCTGGAGGAATGTGTTTATTGGTTGTGTTCTTCATTATTGATCTCTCTGGAGGGATGTCTGCATCACCCCTCTCGGGCAGGCTTGGAATTGATGGATGAGAGGGGAGGGAAGAGCAGCCTGGTTGGTCTCCCTGCAGGAGCCTGGCCCAGAGTCTACTTGCTTAGGGGTAGCCACCCATGCAGTGATGGTCCTGCAGCCTCCTAAACTCCTGACCTGTCTTACTACTCCTGTTTCCCACCTGGGAGAAGGTGGCTGAAAAACCCACTTGCCTGGACTGTAGGATAGTGTCTGGCCCTGGTTTTGTCCTGGGTGGCGAAGGGACTACCTGGGGAGACTTTTATTGATTTGGGATGGTTCTTCTTTTCCTTCCTTTCTTGTCTTATTTTATTTCATTCAAGCGATGGGCTTTCTTCCCACTGCCTTTGAGACAACCCTCCGGAGAGTCTGGCCTGGGTCTTCCTCACTAATGCACATTGGCTCAGGGCTGCTTTGATGGATAGAGGCAATTTTCCTTGGAAATTGGCTGCAATATTGGCAATTCCATGGGACATACATTACATTCCTCTCAGAGAGAGATTTTCTGTGAGGTCTTGAGATGGAGCAATGCTGTTCAAGAGGGGTTGGGGGAAGTTGAAATCACCTGAAAGGAAAGGCCTCTATTTCAATGTTTGACATAGCTGCATCTCCTGGCGTATGGGTCCAGCCCACTCTTGCAAAGTGGCTCCTTTTAGAAAATGAGGGAACTTGTCCATGGCTTGTTAAAGGTAGATAAATTAAAAGGTGAGGAAACAGAAACACGTCCAAGTAGAACAGAGCTCCTGCCAGGTGCAAGAGGACTCAAAGGCCCCTGTATCCCGGAACTCTTGGTTTTCAACTGAGATAAGAAACCAGTTGATCAAAGGATGTGTCACACATGGTGGAAGGTTCTGGGCACTCGGGAAGAACAGGGCACAGTCACCCTCCTTTTCCTACTAGAGTTGACAGTTCCTCTAGGGACACACACATGCACAAATAACCCTCTTGATATAATAGGGCAAGTACTAATAATAACGGCTAAAATTTGTTCATAATCTGTAAAAGCATTAAGTAAATGACATCCACCAAAACTTTTCAAGGTAAGTATTATAATTATCATCTCCATTTTAAAGGCAAGGAAACTGAGGCATGGGGAAGTGAAATAATTTGTCTCAGGTCATCCCTAGTAAGTAGAGGAGCTGGGGTTCAAATCCAGGCCCTCTAGTTGCCTCGCCCCTGCTCTGTGCTGCTGTGTCGCTCTCTTGCTGACCTCTGAAAATGCAGAGCCATCTGAAAGCTTCCAGAGGTGCATTTGCTGGCTCTTAAATCCCAGATCCCTGTTCCATCAGCCCAGCACCCTTTCCCCCAACCTCACTTCTTCTTGGAAACTTTGCCTCCTTCTGTGTGTCTTGTCTTGTTGTGGTCGAAGGGCAAGGTCTGGAGGCAGCAGGGTGTGGGGTAGGAGGGCAGACACATCGATCCAGAGGAAGCTGCAGGTTTCATCCTGGGAGCATTTGTTCGAGAAATCTGGGTCCGCTCTGGACCAAGCTCTGTATTGGGCACTAGGGATGTGCTGGTGAAGGGTCCCTGTTCTCCTGGATCCCTGCTCTCTTGGATCTTATTGTCTTGCTGGGGCACCAGACAATAAGCAAACCAACACAGGGAAACCCAGGTGGATGCTATGCAGAGCATTAACACTGGATGCTGTGAGCAGGGATGATGAGTGCCTATTTTGGGTTGGATGACCAGGTGAGGCCTCACAAAGAAGTGACACTGAAAATGAGATCTGGATAATAAAACAGAGCCAGCCCAGGGATCATAGGAAGGAAGGGTGTTCCAGGGAGAGGAACCTGTGTGTGCCGAGGCCCAGGTAGGAGCAGGACGGGCAGGGTGTGTGTGAAGACAGAGGCTGTGCAGTTGGGAGCATGGGGATGGGGAGGGCAGTAGGAAACGAAATAAAAGAGGAGGCTGAATAATCATGTAGGGCCCTGTAGATCATGAGGAGGAGTCAGAGTTTTATTCCAGGTGTATTAGGAAGCCATGAAGGCTGGAAGATGGAGTAGGGACATGATATGCTGAGATGCTGCCATTCCATGGACACTAGTCCCTTGACCTTGGTTCTAGGCATTCCAGCAGGTAAAAACCTTGTGGCAAGATAGTGAGTCCTGACAGTCAGAGCCCTGGTCAGGGATCAGAATGGCTATTCCATTCATTCTCTTGTTCTTTATTTTGCTAGCTAGCACTGAGGTACTTTGCTAGCTAGCACTGAGGATACCAAGCAGTCTGGGATAGTACACCCCCAGCCTCCAGGAGTGCCCCTTCTGTGGGTGAGACAGGGAAATGACTGGTCCAGCACAGGCCAGCAGGGGTGTGACAGTTGGTTTCCCCGACGGCTAAAAGACACAGGCAGATCAAGCCCTCCAGCCTTTCGTGAAATGCATATGAGATACATTAAAAAATAAGAGCAATCTTCTAACTATGAAGAAATCTGAAGACAATACAAACAATTACAATGCAATGTAATAAATATTAATGGAACAATTAAGTTTGTCTGCTCTGCTTGGGGAGACTCACAGGGAAGTGAAATGAGTAGAAGCTGTTTAGGGTGAGGAAAGCTTCGGGGAAGAAGAGAAGGTGCTCAGGATCCTCTTACTGGAGCACTGGAGTCGGGAGGAGAGGGAGCCGGTCATGCTTAGAAAAAAAAAATCTTTGTCGTTCTTTCATACGAATGTCACAAATGAACATTTTAGCCAGGACCCTTTAATGTGCAGGGATATTAGGAATGCTCAGAATGAATCAAATCCCTGGATGCTACAAACTTAGAAGACCTTGTTGAAGATCTGGCCTGGTAAAGAAAGAAACAAGATTAAAACCAAAACCAACTTTCTTCTAAATGCCAACGTGTATTGGACTTCCCTCTAGTGGTTACATGCAAAATGACAAGCCTATAGTTCCCAAACAGAATGTTGTGTTGTTCTCTACACTGTTTACTTAGCAATCAGCATATTTACTGTGCTTCACTCCATGTACCTTCCATTCACACACTTGGCAAACACCATATCTTCCATGATATTCTCCTGTATCTCCATCTAGAAATAACTTCTGCCTTCTCAGTTATCAGTGGTCATCCACCCAACTTTCACTTGTCTACTGAGAACTGTTATGTGCAGGACCTGCAGAAGTTATGTTTCAGCCCCTGCCTTACATTAGCGCGATCTGGGAGGACACATCTGTCTTCCCTGGGTACACTATGAGCTTCTGGAAGGCACCGAGTCTGATATATTACCCTCTGTGTTTAATAGAGGAGGAATAACATTAATTAGAACCAAAGCAAAGGTGGCTGGCCACTAGTGCCTTCAAAAGGGATGTATGTGTGTGTGTGTGTGTGTGTGTGTGTGTGGAATAATTCACACAGAATTGGAATAAGAAATCATTATGAGTTGATCCTGCTGCTAGCTAACATTTATTGAGTGCTTACAGGCCTGAGGGCTGAGTCTTTCTCTGCCTCAACTTATTCATCTGTAAAATGGAGATAACAGTTCTTAGTGCACAGAGAACGGTGCAAGAGTTAGCTGAGTTGCTGAGTATGCTGTCTTGTGGTTAAGAGGGGCCTGTGTCTGAATCCTGCTCTGCCATTTCCTTGAAAGTGACTATGGCTTATGGGATTTTAATAACAAAAATACCTATCTTGTTGTGATGAGTAATGATGATAATGCGTGGCACATACGAATAGCCCAATAAGCATTAAATTACTATAACAGTACATGCCGTGAAAAAGTAAATGTAAGATATTAATCTTACCATCTCATTTACTTTGCCCAACAAAACACTGAAATACTGCTGTGATTAGGCCCACCGTGTAATGAAGAAACTCAAGCACAGAGGGGTCAAGAGCTTGCCCAAGGGATGAGCCAATCTTTGAACACAGAGCCTGATTACAGAATTGCCCTCTGCACCCCTCTTTTCTGGCTGATATGACTGAAGAACATGGGTCATAATATTAAAACATATTGGTGAGCCCTTCAGGTGCAAGTATGCAGACAGAGCTAAGTCATGGTGTATGGGCTGGAGAGAGATGAATTACTCAGATGAATAAAAGAGTTATTTGATGTTGTTGCTGGTGGTAAAGGAGAGATAGAAGAAGAGAGGGGGGAAAGCAGGCAATGCAGCAACAGGCTAGTATTTGAGGAGATAAATACTAAATAATTTATGCTTACATTCTAAAAAATTAAGATCTAATTCACACACCAAAAAACTTACCCTCTTGAATTGTGCAAATAAATGGTTTTTAGTATATTCACGAAGTTGTGCAACTATCAGCTCTATCTAATTCCAGAACATTTTTATCTCTCTAAAATGAAACATTGTACCCATTAGCAATACTCCCTATTCCCCCACCTCGCCCTCCAGGCCCCGGCAACCATGAATCTGCCCTCTGTCTTTACACATTTGCCTATTCTAGACATTATGAATGGAATCACCAATATGTGGTCTTTTGTGTCTGTCATTTTTCACTCAGCATAATGTTTCTAAAATTCATGCATGTCGTAGCATGGATCAGTACTTCATTTTTTTAATGGCTCAGTAATATTTGCCTGCATGGAGTGACCACATTTTGTTTACCCACTCATCAGTCGATGGGCATTTGGATTGTTTCTTCCTTTTTTGCTATTCAAGTAACACTACTATGAACATTCCTGTCCAGGTTTAGTGTGAACATATGTTTTCACTTCTCTTGTGTATACTTAGGAGTGGAATTGCTGGGTCATATGGCAACTCTATGTTTAATTTTTTGAGGAAGTGGCAAACCATTTTCTAAAGTGGCCACACCATTTTACATTATCACTAGCTATGCATGAAGGTTGTAATTTCTCCACCTCCTGGCCAATGCTTGTTATTTTTAATTAAAAAATTATAGCCATCTTAGTGTGTGTGAAGTAATACCTCATTGTGGTTTTGATTTGCATTTCTCTAATAACTAATAATATTATCTTTTCATGTATATATTATCCATTTGCATATATTCTTTGTGGAAATATCTACTTAAATTTTTTACCCTTTAATAATGGAATTATTTATCTTTCTATTGTTGACTTGTAAGAGTTTTTTTTAAAATATATTCTGGATACAAGTCCCTTAGTAGATATATGATTTGCAAATACATTCTTCCATTCTGTGGGTTGTTGCTTTTCTTTCTTGATAGTGTCATTTGAAATACAAAAGTTTTTAGTTTTGATGAAGTCCAATTTTTTCACACTTGTGTTGTTTGTGATTTTGGTATCACATCTAAGAAGTCATTGCCTAATCCAAGGTAAAGAAGATGTATGTCTCTTTCTTTCTTCTAAGTGTTTTATAGTTTTAGCTCTTACGTGTTGGTCTCTTATCTATTTTGAGTTAGTTTTTATATATGTGTAAGGTGAAGGTCCACATTCATTCTTTTGCATGCATGTGGATATCCAGTACCATTTGTTGAAAAGGCTTTTATTTTCCCCATTGAATTATCATGGCACATGCTGAAAATTAATTGATCATAAATTTAAGAGTGTGTTTCTGGGCTCTGAGTTCCATTCTTCTGCATGTCTATCCATATGCCGATACTACACTCTCTTAATTACTATAGCTTTGTAATATGATTTAAAATTGGTAAGTGTGAGTTCTCCAAGTTTGTTCTTCCTTTTCAAGATTGCTTTGGCAACTCTGGGTTCTGGGCATTTCAATACGAATTTTAGGATCAGCTTGTTAATTTCTGCCAACATGAAAGGTAGCTGGGATTTAACTGGGCCGCATTCCATCTGTAGGGGGCTCTGGAGAGTATGCGCGTACTGGGGAGTGTGGCCATCCTCACAATATTAAGTCTTCCAATCTAAGAACATGGACTGCTGTCCATTTACTTAGGTCTTTAATTCTTTTCAACAATATTTTGCATTTTTAAGTTTATAAATCTGGCACTTCTTTTAAAAAATTTATTCGTAAGTATTTATTTTGATGCTCTCCTAAGTGAACTGGTTTTCTTAGTTTCATTTTCAGATAATTCATTGTTAGCATACAGAAAGAAATACAACTGATTTTTGTATTGATCTTATATCCTACAACATTGCTGAACTCATTTATTAGCTCTATTTACAAGACAATGTCATCTGCATAAAGATAGACTCACTTCTTACTGTCCAATCTGGATGCCTTTTATTTCCTTTTCTTGATAGTGGTCCTGGTTAGAATTCTCAGTACAATGCTCATATAAGTGGGGAGAATGGACATTCTTCTCTTATTCCAGATCTTAAAGGGAAAACTTTCATTTTTTCATCATTAAGTATGATGTTAGCTGTTGCTTTTTGTAGATGGCCTTTAGAAGTTGAAGAAGTTCCCTTCTATGCCTAGTTAACTGTTTTTATCATGAGAGGATTTTGTTGGAGATAGAATTCTTGAGTTTTTTTCTTTCAGTAGATTGAATATGTCACCCTACTTCCTTCGGGCCTTCATAGTTTCTGGTGAGAGATCTTAATAGAAGTAAAATTATTAATTAATTTATTATATTATTAATTATACTTCTTTTAAGATTTTCTCTTTGGCTTTGAACAATTTGATTATGATGTGTGTAAGTGTGGATATCTTTGAATTTATCCTCTTTGGAGTTTGTGGAGCTTCTTATAGGTGCAGATTAATGTATTTAAATCAAATTTGAGAAACTTTTGGTTATTATTTCTTCAAATATTTTTATGCACTCATCTGTTTAACTTTTGGGATTCTTATTATGTGTATGTTGATACACTTGATAGTGTCCCACAGGTCTCTGAGACTCTGTTCATTTTTCTTTTTTTTTTTGAGATGGTGTCTAGCTCTGTCGCCCAGGCTGGAGTGCAGTGGCGCGATCTCGGCTCACTGCAAGCTCCGCCTCCTGGGTTCACACCATTCTCCTGCCTCAGCCTCCCAAGTAGCTGGGACTACAGGCACCTGCCACCACGCCCAGCTGATTTTTTGTATTTTTAGGAGAGACAGGGTTTCACCGTGTTAGCCAGGATGGTCTAGAACTCCTGACCTCAAGTGATCCACCTGTCTCGGCCTCCCAAAGTGCTGGGATTACAGGCGTGAGCCACGGCGCCCGGCCCATTCCTTTTTTTTTTTTTCTGTTCCTCAGACTGGATAATCTCAACTGATCCATCCTCAAGTTTGCTGATTTTTTTCTTCTGCTATTCAAATCTGCTGTGGAATCCCTCTAGTGAATTTCCCATTTCATTTGCTTTGTTTTTTTAAACTACATCTCTTAAGTTTGGGACAGTTATTATAATTTTCATCTCTAAAATTTCTATCTGGTTCTTTTAAGAAAATAATTTGTATCTCATTTTTCTGACAGAATAACATCCCCGCCCCCCTTGTTCACAGGGGATATATTTAAAGATCCACAGTGGACGCCTAAAAACGTGCATAACATCAAATACTATATATACTATGTTTCTTCTCTACATATATATCTATGGTGATGTTTAATTTATAAATTAGGCACAGTAAGAGATGAACAACAACAATAAAATAGAAAACTTCTAACAATATACTGTAACAAAAGTTATGTGAATGTGGTTTCTCTCTTTTTCTTTCAAAATATCTTATTGTACTGTACTCACTCACTTCTTGTGATGAGATGATACAATGCCTATGTAATGAGAGAAAGTGAAGTGAATGATGTAGGCATTGAGATGTAACATTAGCCTACTATTGACCTTCTATATTCCTTAATCTATGTAGCCATCCCTTACTTGCTGTAAATGTCTTGGTGCCACTTGTTTCAGGGACCTCCTTGCTGAAGTCTTTGTAAAGGCTCAATACTTTCTGGAAGAACACATTGTCTTCAGTTGGAACATATTTTCTGTTCATGTCTTCTACTCACAAATTTAATGTTTTTTCCATCTCAACTAAGCATTTAGCACACATTGTAGCTGCAACTTTTGCAGTGTGATGTATGACAGCAAAGCTAGTATGAATTTCTTTCTCCTTCTCCACAGTTTCTTGGATAGATTTGTTTGCATTGTGGATCTTACCAATCTAAGCATACATCTTTTTCCTTTCCTTGTTAATTAGAGAACTTTCACCTTTTTACTTAAAGGAAAACAGTTTACACCTTCTCTTTAGCATAGATGAATTGCTATTAAGTAAAATAAGGATTACTTCAACGTAAGCACGATGGTGCTGTCAGAATCGATTTGATATATGAGACAGTTCCTAAGTGACTAGTGGGCAGGTAGCCCATACAGTGTGGACACCCTGGACAAAGGGATGATTCATGTCCCACGTGGGATGGAGTGGGATGGCATGAGATTTTATTGTGCTACTCAGAAAGGTGCACAATTTAAAACTTATAAATTGTGTATTCCTAGAATTTTTCACAAATTTTTGGACCACAGTTGACCCTGGATAACTACAGCTGTGAAAAGTGAAACCTAAGGTATTTCCATGAATAGCACAGTAGCACAGGCATCATCATCATCATCACCATCATTATTTAAAAGACTTTTATAATAACAACAACAATAAACAAAGTCACTAAACAATAATACTTTTGTTGTTGTTATTATTATCATTATTATTATTTTGAGATGGAGTCTTGCACTGTCACCCAGGCTGGAGTGCAGTGGCATGATCTCCGCCCACTGCAACCTCTGCCTCCTGGGTTCAAGCTATTCTCTTGCCTCAGCCTCTCAAGTAGCTGGGATTACAGGCACCCAACACCATGCCCGGCTAATTTTTTTTTTTTTTTGTATTTTTAGTACAGACAGGGTTTCACTATGTTAACCAGGCATGTCTTGAACTCCTGACTTCATGATCTGCCCACCTTGGCCTCCCAAAGTTCTGGGAATACAGGCATGAGCCACCGTACATGCCATTATTATTTATTGTTATTGTTGTTGCTGTTGGTTTGCTGAGTGACTTCCCTAAACTAATTATATAAAGTCTCTATTCTTTATTGTTTGGGGCCATTGCCATCTCCACTTGATTAATTTAGTGGTCAGTGAATAATCAGAGAGTTATTTCCTTTAATGCCTGGGACCAATGAGTCTCCTAGACTATACCAAAGGGCTCTTTGTGTGTTTGGGACATGCATTCAATGTTCGTTTAAGTAGCTTACAATTCTGCCTTAGCCTTTACTTCCTGTTTGCATAAAACCTCAAGGTGAGTCAGAAGTGAGAGCTTAGGGCCCACTTGGGTCTTTCCTGGGCATGAGTACAGCCCCACACATGCATGTGACCTTCTAGATTCCCAGGAACTTTGCAAAGCCCCCATTGGACATCTCATTCCCCTATTTTCCTTTTTTAAGTTGGTCAGCCTATTGTTTGTCCCAACTGTGATTACTGCCTCAGGCAGCTACCATGTCTAACAATTGCTACTAAATATTTTTCACAAATGCCCACTGGGAAAGCTCTGAGTCAGTCAAATAAAGACAAGTTCTGCAAATAAAGTTTTCCAGTGAAATACCAGAGAGGTCAAATAGTCTCAGTCTTTTCAAAATGAGCATTTGGAAGAGCTTCAGTCCCATTCTACTGCCTTCCAGTGGCTTGCAGGCTGCTGTTTTTCACTGTGATTTAGTGCTGTTGGTTTTCAAGCGTGGTATGGAGCAGAGGAATGGGGGAATGGAAATAGGGCAGGTTAAGATTCTACATGGCTCGCGTTAAAAAAAATAATAATAAGATTCAGCTGCTTTACTTGAGTAAATGCTTCCCAGCTTGCTACAAGCCTTTGTTTAAGAGTCCTGAAAAAATAGATTTTGGCAATTCTTGCCAGTGTTCGTGTGGCTTTTATGGAAGAGTGGATTTTTCGACGTCCTTACCTCACCACTGCCACTGATGTCATCCTCCAAAATAATTTTTAGGAACAATTAACTTGCATTATTTGCATTTGCATTGTGTGCAATACTCCCTTTCTTCTCTCCTCAAATATTCAGTAAATTCCTCCAGAGAGTCACATACCTCATACAAGTAAGTTTCTTTGTACAAATCAAGAGGAAGAGTCAAGAGTCCCATCTAGGGCAAGAGGGTACAAAACAGGGACAAGAAGCAGGAAAGTAAGAACTTAGAGCCAGGGACAACAAGGAAAACAAAAACTCTTCTTTACTTCTCTCCCTCACTCTTCTCCTAAGTCCCTAAAGAGATTGCAATGGAGGTGAAGCTTAAACACATTTCACTTAAATTTCAAAAGACTGAGAATAAGGCAGATATCTTGGAATATACCAAAAGAATATTTGCTGAGTACACACTGCAGCCAGGGACTTGGTGTCCAGAGATGAGTACAACACAGGGTTTTCTTTTGAACACCTCTTGGCTTAGTGGAGAAATAAAGATATGTGATTATGACAGATGAAATCTCACTGAAAATTCAGTCACTTAACACCACAAATGTTTATTTTTCACACACATCACTTTCAGATACAGGGTGTGTCAGGGTGGGTCCCTCACAGACATTCAGAGACCCAGGTTCCTCCAATCTTGTGGCTCCCTTCTTCTCTGGGTCCTTGGAATTCTCTGCATTCAGTTTGATAGAGAGGGAAAGGAAGTCAGAATTGTGAATGGGAGGGCACAGTGGGTCAACTCAGATGTGTACTTCACTTGCTCATATTCCCATGGCCTGAACTCAGTCATGTGAACACACTGAATTGCAAGCGAGGTTGGAAATGCAGTTTTTGTGCTCTGGGAGAAGAAGAGAGCACGGATGCTGGTGCATACCAGCAGTCTCTGCCACCTAAGTCAGGCACGTACATGGCTGTGATGCAAGCTTGGAGGGGCCAAGTGTCCTATGACGGATCATGGGCAAGTTGGTGGGAGGTTCTGAGTGAGGAGGGGGAACTTCTAACTGAGAGCCCTGGGAACATTTTCTGGAGCAAACCATCCTCTCAGCTAGGCCTCAGTGGCCCAGGCGTTATGGTGTAGAAAGGGGATAAATGTGGGTGGTGTGGCCTTCAAATTCAGCTTAGGCATCATCTTCTCTAGATGAATTAAGAATCCTCCCTGACTACTCATGGCAGCCAGGCCTCGGCAATATTAAAGTAATTTTAATTGTTTCTCTACTTGTGCATCAGTTTTCAGACTCTGTCAGTTGCAAGGGATAGAAATAAAGTAGCTTAAGCAAAGAGGGGCTTTATCATGTAAATGGTATTGTATTAGGCTACCATAAAGAGACAGAAATCCACAAATACACATGAACAGGGTCAGTTTGATATAAAGAAGCGTTGATTGTAACAAGGGATTAGAGTAATGAGGCATTGGCTTGAAAAAAGCAAGAGAACTGAAAGGATATAGCGCTAGCTGATATAAGGAGCAGCCACCACTCCTGAGGCTGAGATCAGAACTGGGTTGGAAGTGGCTTGGCTGAAGCTTGCTGAAGAGCAGAAAGTTGCTGTGCTGCCATGCCAGTGTTACTGGAAACAAGCCCTCCAGAACTTGCCAGAAATCTCTGCTCTCAGGGGTTCAAGGAAAGGTGCTCACAGGGAGATGTCTCACCAGCGGCACTGTGCTGCAAAGTCACCTGAGGGCTGCCAAGGGATGCTGCTGCGCCCTGCAGGAGCCAGGCGCTCGGGGAGCCATCTGTGCTGCCGGAGCTAGACCCAGAGGGAAGCTGTGTGTGTCCTAGGAGTTGGCCCAATTTGCATCCTGGGACCAGGAGGAAAAAAAAAATTCACTCTCTCCTGTAGTGTCTCTCCAACCCCCTCTACTGATAAATCTTAATGTTATACCAACTGGCAAAGAGAAGGGTATTGAAAAGATCCAGGTCTATCTTTGCAGAGTAGGTAATGGAGAAGACATTTGATGCTGAAAGGCAATAGATAGATGATTGGCTCAGTAATCAGTGGGGATTTGTGACCTCCAGGTAAGGCTGGATCCAGGGTAGTTTAAAGACATAATAAATAAAACTTCTTTTCAACTCTTTGTTCCACTTGTCTTTCCTGAATTTCATTTCACAGGCAAGTTCTTTCCCATGAGTTGGGCTAGGCAGCTTTTGGCAGCTCTAGGCTCGTGGCTTCTCAGCTTAGGCACGTCATAGGAAGAGAACTTTTCTGTCTGCATATCAATCCCATGGAGGAATCTAACTGGCCCCACTTGGGCTGCAACCCATCTCTGAACCAATAGCTGAGGCTTCGTCAGACTGAGTCATTTGCCTTTGCTGTTGCGTACCATGACTGATGAGCCCACCAGGAACACTCAGAAAAGAGGAGGAGTCCCCCCAGGAGCCAGTAACATGGACTTTACAAGGCCAACACTGCACTCCCGATCCTCCTCACCTCACCTCACCCATAGGTTCCTCCATTTTACTTACCAGCACCACCATCCTTCTGGTTGTTCAGGCTCCATACATTGGGGTCATCTTGCTGTATCTTTTATCTTCACGCTCCACACCTGATCAGACAGGAAAGTCTCCTGCCTCTGCTTCCGCTGCTGCTCCCTGCCTATCCGCCACTGTCTCTGGTTAGATACTTGCCACAGCCCCCAGACAACTCTTGCCTCTGCCTTTGCCCTCCCTTGTCTATTCTCTTCATCGTAGTCTGTTTCTGTGAATTTGTAAACTAGCACCTATGTCCTGTAAATTTTAAGTCAGGCCATGTCACTGCTCTGCTCGAAACATTCCAAAGGCTCCCACATTCCTCTTGGTGTCCAGACAAGTCTAAAAAAGATACACAAGGATTAGTGAAGCAAACCATATATGAGTCAGCCTGCTGGGGCGATTCAGACCTTCATCTCCATAGCACTGAGGTCCTCAGTTGCTTTGTCCTCATCAGGGTTTGGTTGGTGGGATTTCTGTAGCTACTCTTGGTCTTGGAGGCACCAAGACCTCCAATTGTTCCACCTGCCTTGCTCCTCTTCGAATGAATTCCTGAAGCACAGCTTCCTGCCTCCATGGTAGAACAAACCTACTTCTTCATGTCAATCAGTGTATTAGTCTGTTCTTGTACTCCTATAAAGAACTCCTGGAGACTGGGTAATTTATAAAGAAAAGAGGTTTAATTGGCTCATGTTTCCACAGGCTGTACAGGAAGCATGGCTGGGGAGGCCTCAGGAAACTTTCAGTCATGGTAGAAGGGGAAGCAGGCAGGTCTTATGTGGTCAGAGCAGGAGGAATAGAGCAAATGGGGAGGTGCTACCCACTTTTAAACAACCAGATCCTTTGGGAACTCACTCACTATCACCAGAACAGCAAGGGGGAAATCCGTCCCCATGATCCAATCACGCTCCTCCAACATTGGGGATTACAATTCGACATGAGATTTGAGCAGGACACAAATCCAAACCACAACAATCAGAATCATTCACCCTCTGTCTATATGCTAATGACTTACCTGGTAACAAGACCCAGACCCTCACCAGTGTGAGTCTGAGCACTTTCTCCTAAAGCCAAGACCTCCAATCCACAGACCCCAGAACAGTGGGAACAGGAAGCGCATAATCCCCCAGTAGGTTACTGAGAGTGATGGTAAGTGTGGTCACTCATTCTTCCACCTCTTGGTTTCCAGACCTATGGTTTGGGACTCCAGTTGTATAAGACTGTTGATTTAGAGTACATGCTGCATTCTGGGAGATGGTGCCTCGTCCTAACGGGACATTCTTTCCAAGTTGGTATCTAAAACGGGCTGTTCCACTGCTCAGTCAGACCAGCAGCTGCAAAGTGATGTGGTATATAATAGGACTGGCACATCTTGTGGTTAGTGCCTACTAATGTATCTGTTTAGGTCCAAGGTGATGTTATACAGGTCTACATGCCAGTAGATCAAATACTTTGTTAGTCCTCATGTAGTGGTTTTGGCTGAGTGGTATTGACTTACGAGGACAGGTAAAGTCATACTTGGAATATGTGTGTTGATTCCAGTAGAGATAAATTGGTGTTCCCTCCAAGTGGAAGGGGTCCAATATAGTCAATTTGCCATTTAGAGGCTGGTTGGTTTCCTAGAGGAATGATGATGTATCAGGGGTTCCATGTTGTTCTCCGTTGTCCATGTCTTTATCAGATTGGTGAGTCTATCAGATACAATTGAGCCCATTCATGGCCATAATTCCTGCCACCATGACTGCTTCACTTAGGTATCCATTGTTCCATTAACGAATGGCTGGTAATGTAGTCTGAACGACATCAATGGGCTGAGTCATTCTGTCTTCTTGTTTAGTGCTTCTTCTGTAATGAATATTCTTTGTTGTCTCCTTGGCTGTCATCTGACTTTGCCACTCATCATGACAATTGTACTCAACTTGCTTCTGGTGGAAAAGTACCACCACCCAGCCCCTATTATTTCAAGATCCTATTGTTTCCATTTTGCCAGGGAGCCCAGATACATAACAGCATTTCCTATCCTCTGCCATGCCTTCAGGACTACAGAGGAGAGCCACCATTGAGCTTTGTAATAATGCTGCTGTTCCTCTAATGGAGAGTCTTTCAGGCCCTCCCACGATGCATAGTCATCTGGTGGGGTTCTAGTCTTAAATAATATATATACTCTAGCGTGTCCATTTCTATGAGCCTTTTGATTTCTTCTCCTTCCACCTTCCACATTTCAAGTACTCAATAGCTGCATGTGGTTACTGCCTGCCATATTGAACGGTGCAGCTCTCTAGAATCCCATTTCACCCCTGGCGAATGTTTTCACAGTTGCATGGCTACTTTGCAGGAAACCATGAGTGTTCCATTTGCTACCAGCAATGGGTCCTCTTTTTTGGCCAGCAGATGATACAGTTCAAAGTTTCCTTTTAGAATCTCCTTTCTTAGATCACCCCTTATATGAATAGGAGTGTGTCATTTAGGAATCAAGCTTTGAGATGGAGAATTTGAATATAGGAAGTTCTCTTGCTCTCTCCCTCTCTCCTATTATATTTTGCTCTGACCCATTTGAGAGTAAGTTGTAGATACAATTCCTATCTCTCTCTGAATATGTCAGTTTGCATTTCCTGAAATCAGGGCATTCTTTTACATAATCCACAGTGTAAACATTAAAATCAGAAGACTAACATTGATGCAATGCTATCATTGTACTCTTCTATCCACTGTCTCCATAATGCCCTTAGTAGCAAAATACAATCCAGATCTCTCATTGCATTCAGTTGTCACATTGCTGTAGCCTCCTTTAATCTGAGACACTTCCTAAGTCTTTATGACACTGACTTTTTTTTTCTTTTTTAATAAAATTATTATTTTTTTGAGACAGGGTGTTTCTCTGTTGCCCAGGCTGAAGGAGTACAGTGGTGTGATCATAGCTCATTGCAGTCTCGAACGCCCAAGTTCAAGCAATCTTCCCATCTCAGTCTTCCGAGTAGCTGAGACTACAGGCATGTACCCGCACAGGCAGCTGATTTTTAATTTTTTTGGTAGAGATGGGGTCTTGCTATGTTGCCCAGGTGGGTCTTGAACTCCTCGCCTCAAGCTGTCCTCCCCGCTTGTCCTCCCAAAGTGTTGAGATTACAGGCATGAGCCACTGCACCAGACTGACACTGACATTTTTGAAGAGTGCAAGACAATTATTTTGTAGATTTTTCCTCAATTTGTCTGATGTTTCCTTGTGATTAGATTAAGGTTTCTTTTTGACAAAAAAGACCACAGAAGTGATGCTTTATTCTTCACTGTGCTTCATATCAGAAGGCACATGATGATGTTTTTTTCTATAATTGGGGATGTTAACTTTGATCACTTGGTTAAGGCAATTTCGGCCAAGTTTGTCTGCTCCAAAATTGCTATTCTGGGGAAATTATTAGAAACTTAGGTAATTATCTTGTTACCTTCAACTTTTACCACTAGTTTTAGCATTCATTGAGTCTTGCCTATAGATTCTGTCTTGTTTGAATGTTAATATTTTAGGTCATTTATTACACTTTTTACTTGCAGATAACTTTTAGAAAAAGAAACTCCTGTAGATATTTTCCTAATTCTAATAAAATCTGCATCATCTTTCTACTACTGAGATATTAAAATCTAGAGTGAGGTCATAGGCAATGGGTTAACTATGACAAAGTTGGTCAGGATGACTTTCCTATTTATGGCAATTTACAGGACTTGCCTACTTATGGCAAACACAGATGACAGCTTTAAGTGAATGAACATGGTTCTCTATAGTTAAGCATTCTAGCACATGTAGCTTCATATAACAGATATTTATAGTCCCAAGGTTACAAGTCGATGACCCTTGGAATCTTTAATATTATTGGAAATAATATCCCTTGGTAAATAGGTATAGGTAAAAATGTAACCTGATGACTCAGGTACAAAAAAGTGTAAATTTAACTTAACTCTGATAATTGCTATATAAATATTTGCAAACTTTGTCTTTGTCTTTTGTTTTTTTTTTCCCCAAATAAAAGGTAAAGGTTAATCCAGCACTTCAAGTTTTCAAAAGGATTCGGGTTAACAGCTTCTCGTTAAGATTCTTCATAAAGAACAACGTTTGTGGTGTCTGGTTGTACAACTTTAGTTTTAATCAAACTTTAAACATAAGAGCTAAGGAAAATTCATTTCTACCCTTTTCAGAGATGGTAAAATTTGTTTAATAAATTGCATGAAGTAAGTATATGGCAGAAATTGACTCTCATAACATTTTCAAAAGACCTCAATGCTGTCACTGCGGGAATGTTATGTGGCTTGCCACAGTGCTTGGTGAGCTGACTCTTTTCTTGGCAAATTGGTAGTAAGCTCAGCTTCTCAGAACCATTAGTAGTAGGAACAAGAGAATGAATAATCAGGCCTCTTTGACTTGCCCTGATGGAGAACTAAGTGAGAATAGCTACGTAGAAGGGAACAGAGCATTTCCTGTAGCTGCCAGGTCCAAGGACGGTCTAGCTTCAGGCACAGCTAGATCCAGGGGTTCAGTTGAAGCCCTCAGAGCTCTCTTTCTTTCCATGTCTTTTCTTGGCTTTGTTCTGCAGGTGGCCTCTCTCCATATGCTGGGTATATTAATTTCTTAGGGATGCCAAGACAAATTATCACACACGGGGTGGCTTAAAACCAGAGACTTTCTCTCACAGTTCTGGAGGCTAGAAGTCCTAAATCGAGGTGTGGACAGAGCCACACTCCCTGGGAAGGCTCTAGGGGAGGATCCTTCTTTGCTTCTTCCTGGCTCTGGTGACTCCCAGCAATCCCTGGCATTCCTTGGCTTGTAGACGCATCACTCCAGTCTCTGCCTTCATCCTCACATAGTCTCTTCTCTGTGAGTCTCTGTGTCTTCTTCTCTTATAAGGAATACCAGTCCCACTCTAATCCAACAGTAAACTTTATCTTAGGTTCACTAATGACATCTACAAAGACCCTACTTCCAAATAAGCTCATATTCCGATATTCCAGGTGGACATGAATTTTGGGGACACATTGTTCATTCTACTGTACTGGGCTTTTTATTATCATCTGCATACCGCCAGTGCCTAGCCAGGGCATATAGTTGGTACTCAAAATGTTTGCTGAATTGAATTGACTCGATTTCGAACAGAGGTGTGCTGAAACCACATAAAGATGGTATCAGAGAGAGGATGGATTTACTCTCTGGTCTTCTGCTCCTGTGGACCCTGGCAGAAGATACCTCATGTCTCAAGCTGATGGAACATGCCTGCTCGTGGGGCTCTGCCTGCTCTCTCTGACCTTTCTGGGTGCTTCAGGTTTTAGGGTATTTTCTTGCTGGACTGCCAGGAGAATGCAAAATAAGAAAAGAAAGAAAGTGACAAGCCACTAGGCAGAGTGCTTCAGGGGCCAGCCCTCAGAACTTTTCCCTTTTTTCCCAACAGCTGCTCTTCTTCAACTGGCTTCGAACCTAACGAGGTTTGAAGCTTGGAGGCGTATTCATTCCCCTCCTGCTCATTTCCTCTCCTCTGAGTCACTAAGACTTATCTGTTTTCCCTCTAAAATGCCTCCCAAGAGTTTCTCCTCTTCTCAACTGTCTAGTTCAGTCCTGGGGACATCTTCTCATGGAATCTCCTGCCTTCAATCTCTTACCTCAAACCATCTTTCCTGTGGTCCCCAGGGAGATCATTCTTTTTTTTTTTTTTTTTTTTGAGATGGAGTCTCGCTTTGTTGCCCAGGCTGGAGTGCAGTGGCGTGATCTCGGCTCACTGCAAGCTCCGCCTCCTGGGTTCACACCATTCTCCTGCCTCAGCCTCCCGAGTAGCTGGGACTACAGGTGCCCACCACCACGCCCGGTTAATTTTTTGTATTTTTTTTTAGTAGAGATGGGTTTTCACCATGTTAGCCAGGATGGTCTTGATCTCCTGACCTCGTGATCCACCTGCCTCGGCCTCCCAAAGTGCTGGGATTACAGGCGTAAGCCACAACACCCAGCCTCCCAGGGAGATCATTCTTAAACAAAGGCCCAAGTAGGGCTCCTTCCCCAAAGCCCCAGTTGCTTCCTTCTGTGGCCCAACTAAGCTCAAGTTCATAAGACACTCCTCCAGCTCCTCAGAGATCTGGCCTTCACCTGCTTTTGTAGCCTCATGCTCACTTCATCCTCAAGCTTCAGCTCGATGTAACCCGGGTCTAAGTCCTGTTCTCTGTTCCTTCCCTGGCTGCCCCAATTCTTCAAGGCATGGTGCAAAGAGTGGGCTGTTTTCCTGATGTCCCAACACCAACTTGGTCCCTCTTTTGTGTTCCTGGAGAATGTTGATGGTCTTTTTGTTGGTTACTGAATTTATGCTTACAAAAATGTTGTGGCTTTCTCCTCAGCAGAGGGACCCTGTATAGCAGGTGGATAGTTTGTAAAAAGCAGAGTTTGGGATTGATTTGGATGTCACTCTTGGCTTTTCCACCTACACTGTCTGTGGCCTTCTTCAAGGGCTTTAACCTCTTCCAGGCTGCAAATCCTTGTTGGGATATGGGGGTAGTGGCTCCTGTTGTAAGGATTCATTTTTGTATTTACATGCCCCCAGCACCACTAGACCATGGGATCTTGAGGCAGAGTCTGGATTTGATTAAACTCCTGGTGCTTATTTATTCCCACAGAACTTGTCCTGCTCACATATGCCAGCTAGAAAGGGAACTGGAGACTGATGAACCTATGGCGGGGCCATGGCATTTGGCTACCTTGCTCCTGCTACCTCTGCCAGTGGGTCCCAAGTCTGGCATATTCTTGCCCACTTCTGCAATGACCTCTTTGTGAATCCAGGTCTCTGTGGGGGCACAGGGTGTCACAAGGTAGATGACCTACCCGCTACAGCTCCACCAAGCATGCTGTTCCATGCTCTCTTTCGTCTGACTTTGCATGTTCTCTCATTGTTCTTGTCTTAGCCTGAGGGTAGACCTCTGGCCTCTTCAGACATGATCCCAGCACCTGCTTCTTCAATCCAGAACCTCCCCTGGGCCTTGGAGTTGAGCAGGTTGTCCCAGTTCTTCCTTTGTGTTGGGCTCCCTTGTGGTTCTCTTTCCTGCCAGGGGACCTTTTGTGACCACCTTAGTTTACAAGAGAGGTTCCAATAGCATTGACTCTTCAAAAGGAATGTGTGGGAATTTCTGGTCTCCTTGTCTCTTGGCGAATGAGCATCTCTCCCAAGCCTTGTCTCTACAGAGGAGGGGTACTTGGAGAGACAACCTTTGTGATGTCACCAAATAGTCCTGTTATATTTTTTCTTCCAGGGACACATGTATATTACAAAGAGGCGCCACAAAAGTCACCATTTGTAGAACAAAGAGGATTAGCTTCAAGCTCTTTCTGAATCCATCTAGACCAGGAAGCAAGGCCACTTTTTCAGAGGGAGTCTCTTTTTTCAAGATCTACTGCAGGATTTCTCAAAGTTTAAAGCACTTATGAATTGCCTGGGTATCTTGCTAAAATTCAGTAGTTCTGGGGAGGGGCCTGAGATATCCCACATGTTTAACAAGCTTCTGGGTGACAACCTTGGTGCCTGTCCTTGGACTAAGCTTCAGAAACTAGGGTCTGGCTACGCAATCAGACACCTGGCCAAATCTGTATCCCCAACACTTAGTATTAGTCACCTGGTAAACAGTGGACAATGGGTAAATTGTTATTGGGTGGATTAAATCATTAATTCATCCTAATTGTAATGTTCACAATAAAAAACCATTCATTGAGCTTTTAATATCTTCCAGACACTGTGATTTACATCAATTCCCACAAGAGCCTGGTGAGGGACTTGTAATCATCACTTTCATTGGCAGATGAGAAAACCAAGGCTCAGAGAGGTTGAGTGGTTGTCCTGGTGATGAAGCAAGAATGTGAACCCACAGCCTGGGCCCTGAACATCTGTCTTATCCAGGCTCTCTATAGGAGGGCGTAGAGGTTGTACTTCTGCATCCCTTGCCAACTCTACAAGTAGCTTTGAGTATGTTGCAGGTGCTTGATAATTTCTCTTATTTAATTAATGAATTACACTTATCTTCAAGTTAATGTCAAAATGCTTTAAAGTAGAAAATGTTGTCATTTTTCTCTAAGCATAGATTTCAGGCCAGGTGCAGTGGCTCATGCCTGTAGTCCCAGAACTCTGGGAGGCAGAGGTAGGCAGATCACTTGAGCTCAGGAGTATGACACCAGCCTGGGCAATATGGCAAAACCTTGTCTCCACTAAAAATACAAAAATTAGCCGGGCATGGTGGCACACACCTGTAATCCCAGCTACTTGGGTGGCTGAAGCAGGAGAGTTGCTTGAACCCAGGAGGTGGAGGCTGCAGTGAACCGCAGTCGCACCACTGCACTCCAGCTTGGGCAACAGAGTGAGACCTTGCCTCAAAAAAAAAAAAAAAAAAAAGCAAAAAGCATAGCTTTCCAAGTGATCAAGACAGAAAAATCCTTTCAAATAGGAACTGTTACTTGAGTGCTTGGAGAAGCATCATAGTTTCTGAAAAACTTCTGAATTGTATGCAGCATTTTTCTATATATTATGTGGGTGCATTTTCTGGTGGACTGAATCCATAGATTTCATCAGACTTTCAGTGGGTATGTGACTTCAGAAGAGCTAAGGACAACTCCTTCAGGTAATTAAAATTACATCAAGGATTACACTTACGTACATAATTTACTCTTCAGAATTGTTACATAGAGGAAATAATTTTGCATGTGTGACCCCCCAAAAAAAGGGCAGAATTGCTAAAGATTTGTTGACCTGATTATGAACTGCTGAGTGGGTCAGGCGCTGTGACCTCGCTCTTCTAGTTTCTCTCAGATCCTTCTCAAATAATTCGAGTCTCATCTCTTACTATGTTCTGTTCATTATTGATTCTCTGAAGTCTGGGTCAGTGTCTGGCACAGAGCAGGACAATTAAAATGCTGGAGAGATATCTGCACTCCCATGTTTATTGTGGCACTATTCACAATAGCCAAGACATAGAATCAACCTAAGTGTCCATCAATGAATGAATGGATAAAGAAAATGTGGTATATATACACAATGGAATATTATTCAGCCATACAAAATTAAATCCTGTCATTTGCAACAACATAGATGGAACTGGAGGACATTATGTTGAGTGAAGTAAGCCAGACATGGAAAAACAGATATCATATGTTCTTACCAATTTACGGGAGCTAAAAAAAATGGAACTCATGAAGATTGAGTAGAATGATGATTACCAGAGGCTGGGAAGGGTAGTAGAGGTGGAGGATATAAAGGAGATGGTTAATGGGTATACAAATACAGTTAAATAGAAATAAGATTTAGCTTCAGTAGTGCAATAGGGAGACTGTAGCTAACCATAATCTATTGTATATTTCAAAGTAACTAAAAGAGTAGAATTCAAATGTTCCTAATACAAAGAAATGATAAATGCTTGGTGTGATGGATACCCCAGTTACACTGATTTGATCATTACACATTGTATGTTTGTATCAAAATATATGTACCCCATAAATATGTGCAACTATTATGTAACCACAGTAATTAAAAATAAAAAAATTAAAAAGACAAAAATGTTGGTAGAACTGTTAAGCTTGAGTAGCTTAGCCTTTTTTAGAATTTGATATCCCACCAAAAATGAGGATATCCTGTGCTTCCTATGAGCCTGTGATGATGGCGAGATGAAGTTGCCATCTCTTAGATCGCCACTAGGCTGTGCTATTGATCTGCAGTAGGGTCCCTCTGTTGCCTCTATCTGCTCTGTGATGATCCATTATTCAAAAGGGTGGTGCTACCAACAGTTAGATTTATTGTGTATAATGTTACACAAAAATGATCAATGCATTTTGCATCTGTGCACAGGGCAGATGATTAGCTGCATTCCACCTCCCTTGTACCTGTTCTTGCGTGATGGTACCTGCAGGACTGAACGCCACCACTTGCCTATGCCGTGAGTCACAGATTCATTGTGAAAACCCACAGGCTGCTGCCAACTATTTCAAAGGAATATGTCTTCCTCGCTCCATGTGCTTCATCATTAGGTGGATGAAAAATGATCCCTTTAGCGAAAGCTGCACCTACTTTCAGTCTCAATTTTAGTTTGGCAACATTAGAGTGTATAACTTACAAGAGTGTCCCTGGAGGGGCGTGCAGGACGTTTTAAGTCTGTGGGCAGCAGCGGGAGGCAGAACTGTGGCCACCCCTGGCTAGGGTGGAAGTAGATGAAAGTCGACTCTGAGGCTGCTCCCAGCATCCCTCTTTCCCCACTGTGGCCCTGCCACCTGCCCAAAGCCCGCCTTCCTTGGGTCCCTTGCTCTAGACTGCCCCTAGGCGGCAGTGTCACATAACGGAAAGCGCTCCGGAGCTTTCGGTTCTAGCTAGTGCTGGTTCTGCCTGGAACTTGCACTGTGTGATTTTAGGCAACTCACTTCCCATCTCAGGCCTCTGTATTCTCCCCTGTAGTATAGGGACACTAATAGCCACTCTGTCAGGGTATGTGAGGCTCTTCCTATACTGTGATATGCTTTTCAAGTGGGAGGCCCTTCGAGGAACTGGGAAACCTATGTTCTAGGTCTTGATTTGCCTTGTGGCGTTCAGCAAATCTCTTAACCTTTCTGGGCCTAAAATCACTGATTTGTAAAAGACAAGGTTACAGCAGATGATGCTTATCTTAGTCCATTGGGCTGCTAGAACAAAATATCTTAGGCTGGGTAATTTATACATAATAGAACCTTCTTTCTCACAATTCTGGAAGTGAGGAACTCCAAGATTAAGGCACCAGCAAATCTAGTGTCTAATGAGGGCTCTTTTCTACTTTACAGGTGAGGCCTCTTGCTGAGTCCTTTCAGGGTGGCAGGGGCCAATAGTTCCCTTTCACTTCTTTATTTTTTATTTATTTATTTTTATTCTTTAAATTTTATTTTACTTTAAGTTCTGGGATATGTGCCGGCTTGCTACAAAGGTAAACGTGTGCTATGGTGATTTGCTGCACCTATTAACCTGTTACCTAGGCATTAAGCTCCACATGCACACATGCATTAGCTATTTGTTCTGATGCTTTCCCTCCCCTTCCCACCGCCCCCCATTCAACCCCCGACCCCCGGCAACAGGCCTTGGTGTGTGATGTTCCCCTCCCTGTGTCCATGTGTTCTCATTGTTCGGCTCCCACTTATGAATGAGAACATGTGGTGTTTGGTTTTCTGTTCCTGTGTTAATTTGCTGAGGATAATGGCTTCCAGCTTCATCCATGTCCCTGCAAAGGACATGATCTCATTCCTTTTTATGGCTGCATAGTATTCCATGGCCTTGCACCTCTTTATAAGGTCACTAATCCTGTTCACGAGGACTCTGCCCTCATGACTTAATCAGCACCTAAAGGTAACATCTCATTTTTAAAAATTTTTAAATTTATTTTTATTTTTATATTTCAATAGTTTTTGTATAGGTGGCTTTCAGTTACATGAATAAATTATTTAGTGATGATTTCTGAGATTTCGGTGCACTTGTCACCCAAGCAGTGTACACACTGTACCCAAAGTATAGTCTTTTACCTGTCACCCTCTTCCCACCCTTCCTCTTGAGCCCACAAAGTCCATTATATCATTCTTATGCCTTTGCCTCCTGATAGCTTGGCTCCCATTTATAAGTTAGAACATACGGTATTTGGTTTTCCATTCCTGAGTTACTTCACTTAGAATAATGACCTCCAACTCTGCCCAAGTTGCTGCAAAAGCCATTATTTCATTTTGGTTTATGGCTGAGTAGTATTCCATGGGGCATATAAACCACATTTTCTTTATCCAGTCATTGGTTGGTGGATACTTATGTTGGTTCCATATTTTTGCAATTGTGAATTGTGCTGCTATAAACACACATGTGCATTTGTCTTTTTCATATAATGACTTATTTTCCTTTGGGTAGATACCCATTACTGGGATTGCTGGACTGAATGGTAGTTTTGCTTTTAGTTCTTTAAGGAATCTCCATACTTCCCACCAGCACTGTAAAAGTGTCCCCTTTTCACCACATCCATGCCAACATCTATTATTTTTAATTTTTAAAATTATGGTCATTCTTGCAGGAGTAAGGTGGTATCTCATTGTGGTTTTAATTTGCATTTCCCTGATAATCAGTAATGTTGAGCATTTTTTCATGTTTGTTGGCTGGTTGTATTCTTTTTTATTGTCTATTCATGTCCTTTGCCCACTTTTTGACGGGATTATTTGCTTTTTTCTTTCTGATTTGTTTGAGTTCCTTGTAGATTCTGGGTATTAGTTCTTTGTCAGATGCATAGTTTGAGAATATTTTCTCCCACTCTCTGGGTTGTATGTTTACTCTGCTTATTATTTATTTTGCTGTGCAGAAGCTTTTTAGTCTAATTAGGTCCAATGTATTTTTATTTGTGTCACATTTGCTTTTGGATTCTTAGTCACAAATTCTTTGCTTAAGCCAATGTCTGGAAGTTTTTCTGGTGTTATCTTCTAGAATATTTATGGTTTCAGGTCTTAGATTTAAGTCTTTGATCCATCTTGAGTTGATTTTTGTATAAGGTGAGAGAAGAGGATCCAGTTTCATTCTTCTACTGTGGCTTGCTAGTTATCCCAGCACCATTTATTCAATAGGGTGTCCTGTCCCACTTTATGTTTTGGTATGCTTTGGCAAAGATCAGTTGGCTGTATTTGGCTTTATTCTGGGTTCTCTAATCTGTTCTGTGGGCCTACATGCCTATTTTTATACCAGTACCATGCTGTTTTGGTGACTATAGCCTTGTAATATAATTTGAAGTCTGGTAATGTGATGCCTCCAGATTTGTTCTTTTTGCTTCGTATTGCTTTGGCTGGCAGGCTCTTTTTTTCGGTTCCATATAACTTTTAGCATTGTTTTTTCTAGTTCTGTGTAGAATGATGATGGTATTTTGATGAGAATTACATTGAATCTGTAGATGCTTTTGGTGGTATGTTCATTTTCACAATATTGATTCTAACCATCTATGAACATGGCATGGGTTTCCATTTGTTTGTGTCATCTATGATTACTTTCAGCAGTGTTTGGTGGTTTTCCCTGTAGAGATCTTTTACTTCTTTGGTTAGGTATATTCCTAAGTATTTTGGTTTTATTTTTTGCAGTGGTTGTAAAGAGATTGAGTTCTTGATTTGGTTCTCAGCTTGGTTGCTATTAGTGTATAGCAGTGATACTGATTTTGTACACTGATTTTGTATCCTGAGACTTTACTGAATTTATTTATCAGATTCAGGAGCTTTCTGGGTGAGTCTTTAGGTTTCTCTAGGTATACAATCATATCATTGGTGAACAGTAACAGTTTGACTTCCTCTTTTCCAATTTGGATTCCCTTAATTTTTTTTCTCTTGTCTGATTGCTCTGGCTAGGGCTTCCAGTACTGTGTTGACTAGAAGTGGTAAAAGTGGGCATCCTTGTCTTGTTCCAATTCTTAGGGGGAATGCTTTCAATTTTTCCCCATTCACTATGATGTTGGCTGTGGGTTTGTCATAGATGGTTTTTATTACTTTGACTTATGTCCCTTCTATGACAATTTTGTTGAGGGTTTTAACCTAGGGATGCTGAATATTATCAAATGCTTTCCCTGTGTATATTGAGATGATCATGTATTCATAACTGTTTATGTGAGCAACACCTCTTAATGATATCATATTAGTGATTAAGTTTTAACACATGAAATTTGGAGGGACACAAATATTCAGACCATAGCACCACTTCAGGTCTTTTCCATGCTACACTTCAACCTGTCCTGTGTTCTACATCTTTACAGCCTTAACCTGGAAAATAATCAGGTAGACTAAAGAATACAGAAGCAAGTACACAAATGGGCAATCAGGATGACCTGGATTACTCCTGCAGCATAATTCATCTTTTACCAGGGGACAAAAATGCCAGGACACTTTCTTTTCCTGGTCTGCTAGAGAGTTACTATTGTAGCCCTGAGACCACCCCACCCCCTCTGACCCCAGTGCCCAGCTTTTTCTAATACCCTCAGCCAATGTGAAGTCTTCTTAATTCTGTGCTTGTTCATTACACCTCACAACACAAAAATTATATTTGTCATGTGTTTGTCTTTGAATTGAGTCTTATTTTTTCCGTTTTTATTGCTCTTTTAGCCTGTCATAGATAAAACTTACTTTATATTGTCATTATCTGAACATGCCTGTTTCTCTATCTGTAAAGTGGATATCTGTAATGGGACTGTCAGTCATTTCCATACTCTCAGCAGCTAACACAGTGCCTGGCACATGGTAATCACTTGAGAAGAGATTTTTAGATGAAAGAATGAGTGAGGAGAATAGATGACAGAAAGAATAAATGAATGAATGGAACATCTCTAATAACGGGGTTTCCGGCCCCACGTCAGTGCTGCTGATAGGGACAGATTTTATGGCCTCATGCAATGTGTTAAGCTGCCTCCTTTACCAATGCAGATGAAAACCATCCTTTTTATACTGTCCAAACAATTGGTGTCGAGGTTGTACATTTGCAATCTCAGGCTCAGGTTTTTTTTTTTTTTTTTTTGGATGTTGTGTGTGTTCAAGTATAGACTTCATGTTCTCTTTTATTTTCCTTGAAGGTTAAACTTTTGCTTTTTTTCTTTTATAAAGATGTTTTTAAAATCCCATCTTGAAGCTTTAAAGATTTTTCTCCCAGCAGATAGATATGGATATATAAAATCCACCCACCTTACAAATGAAAATGATTGATACACATCAAAAGTGTTACCAGCATCGGATAATAAAACCCAGCTCAAGTCTCTCTTTAAAAAGCTCACTCAAGGAATTTAACTGAAAAGGCAGATTCCTTAGAGACTCAATGATAGGGAATTTAAGAATGAGGAGAGTTGGTAATGGTAAAGAAAGTTACATTTGTTAACGTTTCAGGCACTTTATATAGGATACATTTTCTAATCCCCCTCATATTGCAAGACAACCAGCATCAGCCCCAGTTTTGCAGGAAAGGAAACTTGAGGCTCTGATATGTTAACCAGTGTGACCAAAGTCATGCATGTCATTGGCAGTACTGGTCTCTGATTAGGTTTCTGTGCATGTAGCCTCCACATGAATGATCCCACCATCAAGAAACCCCATGAAAAGGGCCATTGGTAAGACTGTGGCTTCATGCAAAAATTATGTGTCTCTGTTGTTGCAGGCCTCCTTTGATTGCTTCTTGCACAAGGCTGAGTCCTGGTGCACCTTTGTCATCCACAGAAGAGTGAGGGCTGGCAAAGTGGGCAGACACGGGGTCAAATCCCAGCTTCTCTGCTTATTAGCTGTATAGCTTTGAACAAATAACTCTCTTGATTTTCTGATCAGTAAAATGGTGGTGATGATGTTGCCTGCTTCACAGGATTGTTTTGAAGATTGACATACTGAATAGAAAGTCCTTAGACATGTACCTGGATATAGGAGGTGCCCAGTAAATGTTCACTCAATAACTGGATGTCTTATTGAGAAATTAATGGTGTAGTGAATTTCCCCCTTTTGCTTTGTAATAGACTCCTCCCAACCCCACCTCTAGCCCTAAAGATACCTTGCTATGAATTTGCAAAGTCCTTCCCTCCCTCAAGATACTCTGTTTTTGTCTTCTGGAGATGCTCTTAATAGTTACATCTATGATGACTGTGAATATGAACAGCATTTTCTAGGGTTATACAGGGTGAAACCTCTACAATAGTTCTCCACCACCCCGAATCACAAAGCACCATTTTCCTTTTCCTGAAAGTAAGAGGAAGACTTCATGTCTTTGGGGGATTGCTCTCCCTTTTCCCAGGGTGGAACTGACCCATGGGTGGAGGCTCAGCTCTTTCCTGGTTGGGGTGGGAGTGGAAGCTGATTTTCCAGAGGAGAGAAGGACACAGGCTCAACACTGGAAAAGGAGCGTTGAACTTCCTGAGCCACAACGATGAATATGGGAGGGTGGGATGAGGGAGATGCCGAGGCAGTAAGACCTTGAGATGGGATACAGTGGGAAGGTTCTGGGTGGACTGAGCCTACTTGTGCTGTGGTGTGGGCTCTGGTTGACTTCTCCTGGTAAAGATCTCCAGGTTCAGGGGAAGTGTGGTCCCCAACGAAGCCTTTCCCTTCAAATGGACCCTAAAGTACTTGACAAGGAGAACTGGGAGCTGCCACGGCAGCCTTGATAGACCAGAGGCTCTTCCTCATGTTTTTGACTGTAAAAACCTCACATCACATGTGTTATGGTGTGTCCGTTAATAACATGAGATTTAGAGGCACAGTACTTGAGATGAGATCTTTCTCTGTCAGTACCTTGACCTTGGGCAAGTTAATCAGTTTCCTTATCAATTGCATGGAAATGCTAATAGTGCCTAACCCAAAATGTTGTCATGGGGATTAAATGAGTTAATACACATGAAGTGGGCAGAACAGCAGGTGGTATACAGTAAGCGCTCAATAATGTGCTAACTATTTGCATCATTTTAGAGTCTCCAGGGAGGTGGGAGGTCTCCCAGATCCCTCCACTCATTATCTGAGAATGGGTTCATTGCCAATCTTGGCTGATGAGGCTGACATAAATTTATTTTTATTTAAAAATACATGAAAATATGCCATTTCTGGCACCAGAGTGTTAATGAAGCCCTTCATAGACACTGCAGCTCTTGTCATCATCACTGGGGTGTGTGGTGTTCTGCAGGCCCAGGGCCTCAGCTGCTGTCCTGCTTCAGACGCTTTCATGAGGTGTCCTACAGCTCAGTGTTCTCCCATCACTCTCCCATCCCAGCTGTTATCTCAGCTGTTTTCTTGGTTTGTGGTTCTTTATTCCCTTTCTGAGCTATTCAGAAATGCTGTCCATTCTAGGCTCTGCTTTCTGACTCCTACACACAGGGCTTGGCCTCTTCCTATCTTCAGTCACTTCTTCCCCTTGATCTTCCCTGTTTCCCAAAGACCCAAGAAGTATCCTCCAAAGGCGTCTTAGCCACAGAACACAGAGCTCAAGGCAAAGCTTACATGCCAGGGCTTTGTTGTGAGGTGCAAGCCCAGGACAGCAAGAGAGCGTGAACAGAAGAAAAGTAGACGGGGAGAAAATGAAGGCAAGGATGCATCGTGGAGCTACTGGAACTCCACAAGAAAACACGTTTGGGGGCTGGACGTAGTGGCTTACACCTGTAATCCCAGCACTTTGGGAGGCCAAGGTGGGTGGATCACCTGAGGTCGGGAGTTTGAGACCAGCCTGTCCAACAGGGTGAAACCCCGTCTCTACTAAAAATGCAAAAATTAGCTGGGCATGGTGGTGGGCACCTGTAATCCCAGCTACTCAGGAGGCTGAGGCAGGAAAATTGCTTGAACCCAAGAAGAGGAGGTTGCAGTGAGCCGAGATCATACCATTGCACTCCAGCCTGGGTGACAAAAGCAAAAGCCATCTCAGAAAAAAAAAAAAAAAAAAAAAAAGCAATACACATTTGGTTACTTGGTCATGTAGGGTGTCCTTAGTGAACCACAACTCAGAACAATCCGTCACGGGGAAGAAGGGACAGAATATAGCTGCCAGCTCTTTCTCATCTCCTGCCTCTCATTGGTCAAAATTTGCTCCAGGAGGGTTAACTCTTCTGCACTTTCCGGATGTGATATGCAGGTGCTCTGGGGGCTGATGGAGAAACCAGACTCCATGACTCAGAGCACAATCCTTCATCCTGCATCTTGAAGTGGCTGGGGGGCCAGACCTGGGCTTGTTCTGGTTGAATCTGAACGTCCGAGGTGCTTTGGCTCCCACTGCAGAGGGTGTCATGGGGGATGCTGAGAACAGTTGCTGGTATTAGGAGATGAGGCAAGGAGGGCAGTGCCAGGGTCTTCTTTAAGTGGCCAAGTTGTGTCCTGGGGAGGCAGGTAGGTGGGATGAATGTGCATCTGGGTGTGGGTGCTGCCCTCCCTCTAGTGACTGAATGACCTAAGCTTAACTCCATCATGTGCCATCACCATCGCAACATGTGGCTGCAAAATTCACTGCCCAGGGAAAAAGCATGATGGATGAAGCCCTCAGGTTCTTATCTCCTTCACTTGAAAGGACACATTCCACTTCTGCTCATCGCCTGTGGTCCTGTCAATGGCCTTACCCTTACTTCTCGTGAAGCTGAGAAATGTAGGGAGTCACCTGGAGGAGTCTTGTGATTGCTCCCTCTCTCTGCAACACCGCCTCCAATTTCCCCTCTCCTTTCCTTCAGTGTTAGTTGTTTGTATCAATACTCAGTATTTACATGACAGTGGTCCTGAAGATTCACCACTCCAGTCTCTTGCTGTGGTTCCAAGCTGCTGTCCTATTGGAACTGCCCCGCATCAGGCTTCCTTCAGCTGTCCCCAGTCAAGTAGTACCCAATGCGTGGGTAGTAATTCTGGCACCTTTCTTCTAGGTGTGAGATTCTTAATGAGGAACTTTGGCTGGAAGACTCCGCATTGGCCTATCCAAAATGTTCTTGTTAACTTTCTTTTTTTCCAAAATATCAGAACTGCCAGGTCTTAACATTTCCTCCCCTTTCTCCTTTACTGGTGTTTTCTCCAACACATCTCTTATACCTCTTGTAGTGTACACTTCTCAGAGAACCGCAGCTAACACATGCTTCATGATACTTTGTAGATGTTTTCCAACTCTGAGTTAAGGAGTGTACTATACTTTCCTGTAGTTAAAAATTGTGTCATGTATTTCATTTAGTTTTCTAAGGATCTACTATTTACCATTTTTACATGAACTAATGTCACAAATGCCCTCAACCCATTTTATTTGCCTGAAGACCTTCCTCCAGGTATGTTTTGGCCCCTTCCCCAGTGTAGAGTGGGGCTCCTCCAGGCCTGGATATTGTGCTGTTTAGATCCTCCCTTTGCCTGCATTACATTTCCTATATTCCTCTTGACTTACTTTCTTGTATTGCTCCAGTGTAACCTCCAGTAGCTTTCCAAGAAAAGTTGCATACAGGATAACAAGGTAACTTCTTAGGCTGGGTGTGGAGGCTCACCTGTAATCCCAGCACTTTGGGAGGCTAAGGTGGAAGGATTGCTTGGGAACAGGAGTTTGAGACCAGTTTGGGCAACATGGTGAGACCCCGTCTCTACAAAAATAAAAAAATGAAAAAAATTAGCTGGCTGTGGTAGTTCACGCCTATAGTCCTAGCTACTAGGGAGGCTGAGGTGGAAGGATTGCTTGAGCCCAGGAGTTTGAGGCTGCAGTGAGCTATGATCCTGCCACTGCACTCTTGGGTAACAAAGCAATACCCTGTCTCCTAAAAACAAACAAAGAGAAAAGATAACTTCTTGACTGCAAATATTTGCAAATGTCTTTATTTTAATCCTTCCATTGAAAATAGTCTGATGGTATTCTGATTCCAGTTTCTTTGTACATGACTTTGTTTCTTGATGTGGAAGTTCGCAGGATCTTAGAATACTTTGTCTTAGTGTGGGTCTTATTTACTTTACTGCACTAGGAATCGATGGCTCTTCTCCATCTGAAGATTCAAAAGTTACTAAAAGATGGATGATGAAAAGTCAGTTTCCTCCCTAACCCTGTCTGCTGGCTGTGTTCTTTCTCATCCCAATCAGTTACTCGTGTACGTCTGGAGCTCAGCCATTATGCTCAGGCTGCTTTGTCCCCTGGCATTACCTTCAACATTATTAACATTTCCTCAACCCATTAAAAAGTCTTTGCAAACATCCTTTTAGTAGCATCTCAATATTCTAATACATGGATATATCATAAAATTGATTTGATCAATTCACTCATGTGAAGTGTCAGGCTCTGTCTACTTTTTATATTGTAAACAGTGACCTGATAAGCATGCCTGTAAATCTTCATATATATTTCAAATTCTTTCTCGATATTCTGTTTCCAAAGTATGTTCACATGCAGGATCTCAGTTTTGGGGTTAGAGTGGACATGGTCTCCTGTGGTTTGATATTCTGTTCTCCCCATGGACGGTTAAGGATGGGGCCTCATTTTACAGGTAATCAAGCACGAATGTCAGGGAACATTTGGTCATCTCTTGCTCACACGCAGAGTGCAGAAATTCCCTTCCTGCAAATCACTTTTTGCTAAAGGGAGGCTTTCTCACTCATGCCAGATGACATCATCTCCAGGCCCAGCTGTCCGCAGAAACTCAAAGCTGTGAGCCTTAGAAGTCACGATTTTCCAATCCTACTTTGAGCTTCTAAAGCAATGACAACAAAAAATTATACACCTTGTTCTTCCTCTCCACAAGTTCTGAATACTTAGAGAGTTCAGACGGTTTTAGAATTCTGCTCTCAGCAAGATCTGATGCACGCAGGAGAAGTACTGTATTATATTGGTTGGGCCGTTTTCCTCTTTAAAGCATTTTTATATCTGGAAACACATCTGATCCCCACTCCACCCCTGCAAGGTCTCAGAGCCAGGCTTGCTGTCCCTCTTTATGATTAAATGGTCTCAGAGTGGGGTCAAGGTCACACAGTGATTTCAAGGCAGATCTGGGTCCTGATCCCTGGCCTTCCAAGCTTACCTCCAGCTGGTTTCACTAGGCAGCATAACTGGGGTGCTTTTAGAAAACAGAAACATCATCAGAGAATCAGGTCGAGTTACTGGTTAAAAAAAAAAAAAAAGACTTAGGATCTCTGGAGTCAGGAGTGACCTGGGTATCAATCCTAGCAAATCTCTTCTTGTCTGAGTCTCATGGTTTTTAATTTAATTTTTATTTTTCCTGCAGGGAGAGAATAATGCCACCTATCTTCAGTGTTGTTATGAGCATTAAAACTTGAGAATGAGAACATATATCATAGTGCCTGTCATATAGCTAGGATCTCAACCCTTCTGAATGTCCTATTCAACATGGTGGCTCACAGCTCCCAAAGGCTTGCATGCTGACACAGAGTGGGTGAGCCAGGGGGACGCCTACCATGCAGCATCACTTCTGCCACATTTTATTGGTTGAGGGAGTTACAAAAGTTTGCCTGGGTTCAAGGGAAGACAACAGAGATCCTCCTTGATGAAGGGGTGTCACACTCTAAGAAAAGTATATGTGATGATATTTATATTGGTGCAACCATCTTTGGAAAGCACAATCTACATCCTACCATTTGCATGACTCTTGGCTCCTGTACCCACAAGGTCTCTAGTGATTATTTTCTTGGACAAGGGTTGTAGTTGCCTGCTCACCAGCCATTCTACTTCCTTCTGGCAGCTGCACCCTGATTCCCATTTGGGAGTTGCTCCCCCAGGATGTGAAGTTTCAGTGGGACTGTCAAATGTGGGCATGAACCTCAAGCTTAGCCAGTCAGGTTCTCTCCTCCAGGAATCTGAGTCTTGAGTGGAGTTACAGGAAGCAGAAACTGAGAAACAATAAATGGCTAGAGCTATTTCTCCTGGTGGTGACCAGGACCTGGAAGCTGCTCTCCTTGCTGACCTTTCTGAAGCAGGCTGTTCCGCTTTGCTGCAGATGCTTAGAGCTACTCCATATCCTTCCCTGAGTTTATTTTTTTTCCCTAAAGTTAGCCAGATGGACTTTCTGTTGCTTGCAACCAACAAAGTCTAACTGGCACCATTGCTATTTAAAATGCTAATACACTGTCACTCTTATAATGCAATTAACTGCCATTAGTGCTGTATTCCACCAACCAATAGCTAAAGCAAAAGAGCGAGAGGCTCTGCCACCTGCTCCAAAGTAAAGACAGGGATGACCTCCTTCCCTCTGGATTCACTACAGTGAGATGTGTGGAATGATCACTCCCAGATGGAAGCAGGAGACATGGGCTTGAATTTCAGCTGTTCTGTGTGACCTACAACAAGTTATCACACTTCTCTGAGCTCAGGTTTCCTCACTGGCATATGGGTCCGGAGGATATTCACCAGATATAAACTTAATGAGAGCAGGCATTGTGTCTTATTCTCTCTGTATCACAAGGAGTAGCACATAATATATGTTAAATAAATAATGGTCACATATAGGAATAATGGGACATTGAAGAACTACTTTACAGAACCACCAGATAATCACCTCTTTTAGGTAGGGACTATTTCTATTTTATTTGTTTATGTACAGGCCCCAGCACAGCCCTGAAACATGAAGTAATTAGGCTAAATATATTTTATACTTAAATTCGTTAATGTATATAGTATAATATGACATAATATAGTATAATGTAATGTAAGTGCCAGGCATGCATTTGCTGGTGCACAGAGACTCTTGCCTAGGAAAGACAAACTTGGAGAAAGTGTTCATTTCCAAAGTTTGCTTTTCCAGTTTGAACAGTGCATTAGGATTTCAGAAAGTGAATTTTGAATACTAACTCATCTGTTTCTGCTTTTATTTGACACCTCTGATTCCCATCTTAGGTTCTCCCAGCTCGTGAATGAATTGGAGTTGTTCCGCTCTGCTGCCAGTGATGCAAAAACTGTGTGCATGTGTCTGTGTGTGTGCATGCAACACGGGCATGTGCGTATGTGTATATGTGCATCTGTGTGCATGGGTGTGTGCAGGGCAAATGGAAGCCCACTGGCTACCTTTTCTTCTTTTCCAGTGCTCAAGGTTTTGGTGAGAGCTGACCGTGCGAGGGTTACTGGCACGTAGTTCTCAAGGCAGTTCTCACCTACAGCACTCCATGCAGGTAGAAAAAAAGAGGAAATGATCTACTTTCCCATTTTCCCAGCCTCACAGGAAGGAAGGGCTTTAGGGGATGGCTGGCTGGAGTTCATCCATGACAGCTTCGGTTTCCTAATTCTCAGAAAGGTCTGTCATGGGTGACTGCACACATGTGTCAGTTAACTTTTGCTGCATAACAAACCATGCCAAATGTAGTCGGGGAAGATAGCAAGCATTTCTTCTTCTTTTTTTTTCTATCATTCTGTGGATTGGCTGGGTGGTCTTCTATTCTGAGCTGGTGTGGCTATGTTTGAGTGCTCTAGAATGGCTTTGCTCTCTTATCAGGGTCTCTAATGCAACAGCTGGGACTCTCCACCTGGTGCCTCATTCTCCAAGAGGCTAGCCCAAGCTTGTTCACATGATGGCAGAAGATTCCTGAGGAGCAAAGAAGAGCAGATCCCAATGTACATATGCTTTTCAAGTGTCAGCTCGTATTATGTTTGCTGTTGTCCTCTAGGCTAAGGCAAGTCACATGGCCATGCCTAGATTCAAGGTGGGAGCAATAAATCCCACTATTTGATAGAAAGAGTGGCTGAGACCCATCGCAAAGGAGCATGTGCCCAAGTGGAGGGAATGCATGGCCACTTGCAAGCTACCACAGCACAGATAGATAGGCCAGGGCAGGCAGTAAGATGTGGAGAACAGTGCAAGACGATAGTCATCCACCTGGTGAGCTCTGGAGGACACGGAAGCATGCCATCTGTTTGTTAATCAAGCAGAGAGACAAGCCTTGCTTTCTTCTCTGTTCTCAGTTGGATACTGGAGAAGCAGACAGTCCTTGTCCTTAAGGAGACCACAGCCTGGTGAGGAAGGCACAACTCTGCCTAGGGAAGATCATCATGGGCAGCTGTCAGAGACCCTGGAGAAACAGGCTGAGGACCTCTAGGAGCTGTAGGAGTAGCCAGCACCTGCGGGGGGCTGAATGAATCAGGAGTGGACAGCAGGCTGAATCTGTGGAGGACCCAGAGACTAATTCCAGCAGCAGCTCAGGTTTGACCAAGAACATCCCAGATTAGGGCCTGGAGAATGCTGAAATCTTAAAACTTTGCAGCTGGAAGGAGGTTGGATTTTATTCTCTTCAGTCATCTTGTTCTATAGCACCGTGACCATGGCTCTTATTATATATTTTTAGAACATGATTATTAGTCAGGACAGGTTAACCGCTGTAACAAGCCAACTCCTGAATCCCAGTGATTTACCTGTTAAAGGTTTATTTCTTATTCTCACCAAGTCTGTTGCAGATGCTCCTAGCCACAGGTGGTCTTCTATGGGGTCATTCAGTGACCCAGGTTCCTCCCATGTTGTGGCTCTGCTCTCGTCCTGGGCCTGGGGGCCCTCTGTTAGACCCTGCATTTGGCCACCAAAGGAGGAAGAGGCTGTGGGAGCATTTTGTGGGCCAGGCCTGACCACATCCCCATCACCCACATCCGCTGGCTGGAGCTTGGTCACATGGCTCACATTGCAAATAAGCTAGGGAATAAGGATTAGCTGTGTGCCCATGAATACAGTGAGATGGGCTAGGGAACACATCTCGGTGCCTACATGTGAACACCTCTTTGCCTGGAAAGCAAGTTCTTCAGGTGACTGGAGTCATATTTGTCACACAGTCCCAGGACCTGTCCCAGCCTCTAGGGAAGGGAAGGTGCTTGACCCACATGGACTGAAGGCACCCAACTCTTGGACTTTGCCTTGACCTTGGGCTCTATCCTCATTCATTGGAGTCAGTGCCTAAGCCCAGCTTTCTGTTTTTCTCTGGCCACAGCTTTCTTGGGGCTCACGTCACTCTGGCTATTCTTGATCCTGGCCTCTATCCTGACTCCAGTTTCTTGGCTGCAAACCCCAGCCCTGGGCCCATCCATCTCCCTGTGAAGACCAAGACAATCAGACAACCAGGAGTTTCTTCCATCAGCCTGTCCTCTACTAAAGCATCATGGATCCTTTAGTCACATCAAGCTTCTAGCCCCAAACAGGCCTCCACCAAAATGACACATCCAGAAACTTTCTCAGCAAGAAGAGAAGCCTGGTCCATCCCAGGCCTGTTTGTGTCAGATCAAAGACACAGCTGGCTGGAACACATAATCAGCCTGACCCCAAAGCCGGCAGGGCCCTGAGGCCCCTGCAGCTGCAATGAGGCCTGAGCAGATAATTCCCCCTCCCCAGGCCATGCCAGTGGGCAGCCTCTCCCCCTGCCAGTCCCTTGTCAGCCTCAGACCCAGAAAGGGCAACTCTAGGGAGGAGAGATAGGAAACAAAAAACCCCCAGCATGCTGCCCAGTGTTATTTCTCAGCATGGAAAAAGAATGCCAGTTCAAAGGGCTGCCCCACTTTCCAGCAACAAGGTTTACCTTGGGGAGGAAGGGGGCATGTTGTGTTGAAGCCCAGGGGAACCATTAAAAGAGATGTTTTGGAGACAGCAAGCAGGCATGCTTTTGATAAAGAACTTTGGCTTCATCTCTGAAAAACAGAAATTTGAAATTAAAAAAAGATCAAGACAGCATTGGAATAAATAATAGCTGCCATTTTTTTCTGTCTCTATATGACAAGTACTTTTTATGCCATTGAAATAATCTTCCAAAAAGCTTGTAAGGTGGGCATATTAACAATATTTTATAGATGAAGAAACTGAAGTTCAGAGAGTCCGAGTAACTCTGTCAAGGTTATATGTTTCCGTGTGGCTGGGTCAGGGCTGGAACCTGGGACTTTTCTGATTCCAGAACCTATTTCTCCCCTACTATTTCATACTTTCCAGATGCCAGGTTTTTCTTCCATAATAAGAAAGGGTCACTGCTGCCCTAACTTAGCCTTTATAATCTTGGGGTATTTGTGCCTAATAGCCCTTTCCACTGTATATCAGTTAAAGCTCACAACAGTCCTATGACAAGTACGCTATTATATCCCAAGCCTTTTGAGGATAAAAGAAACCGAGAAACCTGAAATGACTTGCTCAAGGGCCAGGATGAGGTAGAGGCAGGAATGGAACACAGCTGCCGGATTCCATATCCAGTGCTCGTTCCTCCACACCAGGGATTGGCAAACTATGGCTCCTGGGCCAAGTCTGTTGAGCTGCCTCTTCTTGTAAGGCCTGTGAGCACTTTTTTTGTTTGTTTTTAATAACATTTTTAAGATTTGTTTTTACATTTTAAATGGCTTTTAAAAAGTCAAAAGAAGAATAATATTTTGTGGCATGTGAAAAATTTCAGTGTCCATAAAAAAGTTTTATTGGCACACACCCATGTCTATTTGTTTCTTTATCGTCCATGATGCTGTGCTTCAGGCTCTGCTCTCGGACGGCCCTCAAGAGCACCCTGTCTGGGGCACTTCCTTCCTCTCTTTGATGTACTGGAATGATGGACCACACCCATTTTCCCCTCACCCTCTAGGAAATCTGAAGAAGGCTTTCTTCTAGGAAAGATATATTTTTATTTTTTTGCAAAATGTTTAGGCTCTAGGAGTAGTGAGTAATCAAAATGCAAAAGTAAGAAGGAGGCCAGGACTTGAGGGAGGAGAAACTTCTGGGAGCAGGAAGAGGTGAGGACTCTGCCTGCCAGACTCAGAGATTTCCCTGAGCAGGGTTGGGTTGGGTAGGAGGAGGGCTAAGGGTCTAGGCTCCTAGAGGGTGAGGGAAAACAGGTGTGGCCCATGACTCCAGCATATCAAAGAGAGGAAGGAAGGACCACAGCCAGGGTGCTCACAGTGCAAGTAGAGCCTGGAGAGGAGGAGGAGCAGAATGACAAGAAAGGATGTTGAAAAACGGGGCCCTGGGTCTTGGGGTGCTGATGTCATCAAAGGTTTCCCCGTGCCCAAGCTGTGCAGCTGCAGTCACCTGACTCTGAGGGGCCACCGTGTGTTTGGAGGATGAGAGTGGCATTGGCAACTAGGAATGAGTGTGGAGGAGAAGCTGCTCCCTGCCCTGTGGGAACCACATGGGATTCCTGGGACTGGGTCCACCTTAAAAAGTGAAGGGGCCTAAAAAATGATCAAAAAGGGATTTTCTGTCAGCCCACATGGGATAGGGGTACAACGCTGAAATTATGTTGAGTTTAAAGAAGATACATATTTCTTAACCATCTTGTTACGCGTGCGTCTAATTGAAGAGACAACCTGAACAGGCTAAGTGTGAGCAACAAGGCTGTTTATTCACTTGGGTGTGAGTGGGCTGAGTCCAAAAAGGGAGTCAGTGGAGGGTGGTGGGATTGGAGCTAGTTTTACAGGTTAGGGGTAAGCAGTGGAAAGTTACAGTTAGGGGCCCTTTATTGTGGGCAGGGGAAGAATGTCCCAAGGTACATTATCACAAGGTGGGAGGGGTCACAGAGCACAGTGTCACGAGGTTGATTGATCAGTTAGGGTAGAGCATGTTACAATGGTAGAATGTGGCAAGGTTGGCTAATCAGCTAAGACAGGAACTGGCTGTTTTTCTTCTTTTGTGGTTTTCCCGTTGTCCCAGACTTTCTGACTCCAGGAGACCTTCTGGATGTGTATGTGTGTGTCACAGGGGTTATAATGGCTTGACCATAGCGCAGCCTGCTCCAAGGACCTTACACATCTGACTCTTTGGACTGACAGCCATGTCTGCTACAGGTGTGAAATGCTTTGAATAGCCAGGCCCAGGCTGGACACTCAGTATTAGCTCCTCCTCCTGGTCCCCCTCCTTTTTATCATTATTATTGCTAAGACAAAGCTGAATTTTGACTCCTCGTTTTCCTAATGTTGTGACTCGTCCTAAATCAATAGCTATTGGGAATGTTCTGGGTGCTCAGTTGTTTTGTAGGTCTTGATGGGAAGATCTGAATAGAGATGTGGTTTCTGGGTGGATCAGAAACTCTGGAAACTGGAACAATGATGAATGATGCAAGAGAACATAGATGTGTGTGGCACAGCCCAGGAAGGGGTGTTCACAGAAAGGACAGGTCATCGAGATCTGCAGGAGAAGCTGAGTCTCAGGATAAGGGATCGTTAAAGGAGGAAGATGTGAAAGGAAAATAAATCTTGGGGCCCCCAGATCACTAAGCTAATGGGAAAAGTCAAACTGGGAACTGCTTAGGGCAAACCTGCCTCCTATTCTATTCAAAGTCACCCCTCACTGAGATAAATGCATATCTTATTGCCTTCTTTGTAGAGGGTAATCAGAAACTCAAAAGAAGGCAAACATTTGTCTCTTATCTACCTATGACCCGGGAGCCCCCTCCCTGCCAGTTGCCTTGCCTTTGCTTTGAGTTGTCCTACTTTTCTGGACCAAATCAATGTTCATCTTATGTATGTTGATTGATGTCTCATGTCTCCCTAAAATGTATGAAACCAAGCTGTGCCCTGACCACCTTAGGCACATATCCTCAGGACCTCCTGAGGCTGTCATGAGTGCGCATCCTTAACTTTGGCAAAATAAACTTCCTAAATTGACTGAGACCTGTCTCAGATTTTTGGTGTTCACAAAGACAGAGATGACCAAGTACAGCCCCTTCATTTTACGGATAAGGAAACTGGAGCCCAGAGAGGTTCAGACAGGTCGAGAGACTTGCATGAGGTCATACAGTGAGTTGGGGGAAGAAGTAGAACTTGAGTATAATTACCTGGATATTTTCATTTCAAAGCATCCAATGGCTACCTCCCTAGACCTAAGATGTCCATTAAATTAATAATGATGATAATAGTTAACATTTATTGAACACTCACTCTGTGTCAGTCATCATGCTCAGAACTTTATTAGAAATCATCTCCAATGAATCCTCATGGACTCCCCACTGTTTATAGAACATAACCTAATTTCTTTAGCAAGAGCTTCATGGTCTGACCTCAGTCAGCCAATTCTTCTTCTTCTCCTTTTTTTTTTTTTTTTTGTTGAGACAGAGTCTTGCTCTGTCACCCAGGCTGGAGTGCAGTGGTGCCATCTCAGCTCACTGCAACCTCTGCCTCCTGGGTTCAAGAGATTCTCCAGCCTCAGCCTCCGGAGTAGCTGGGACCACAGGTGCACACCACCATGCCCGGCTAATTTTTTGTATTTTCAGTAGAGACAGGGTTACACCATGTTACCTAGGCTTGTCTCTAACTCCTGACTTCAACTGATCCACCTGCCTCAGCCTCCCAAAGTGCTGGGATTACAGGCATGAGCCACCGCGCCGGGCTCAGCCAGCCAATTCTGGCTTATTTTCCATTACTCCAACTTCTGCAGTCTGTGCCTGTGTCGACAGCTCCCTGACCCATCAGTGTACATATTGGCACCCTTCACTTCTGCCCTACTCCTTCTTTCTCATTCAGGCAAGGCCAGCTGGAGCTTTGACTTTCCTTTCAGGACTTGGCATATGGTGGGTTTGAAAGCGTACATCTGCAGCTGCTTTCAGGAGAGTGAGTGAATGGTGCTTCTTGGCTGAGCAAGAAGATTTGAGCAGAGTGGAGGATGACGGGGACAGGTCAGAGGAAACTGGAAGCTACACAGAGCAAACATTATCCCTTTCTTCTTTTGTACACCCATTCTATGAATATTTACCAAGCCCCTGCTGCTCCACGCAGTAGGTAGTTGGGGATTGGGAGAGGTAACAGGCATAAATGATTCCAATACAGGGAAGAGAGTGCCCAGAGCCATAAGGGAGCTGATTCATCACGACAGCTGAGAAGGGATTGGTTATTTCTGTCTTTGCTATGCGGGATGCTTTCTGAAGAACTACCATTGGTTCTGAGTCTAGGTGGTGGGGTAGGTTATAGAGGTGCAGAAATGAGGGGGAAAGGAACTCCAAGTGTGATTATCAAAGGCACACAGGTGGAGGGGAGTTTGAATTGTGGGAGGGTATGTGAGGTGAGAGGAAAGCCGAGAAGGACTAGAGCAGTAAGACAGTGCAACCGAATTGGATACGAGTGAGCTAAAGGCATCTGTGAGGTGGGGATATCGACAGAGACCTCTCACCCTTATTGAGTCTGTATGATAAGCAAGACACATGCCTAACAGCTTTCAAAGTAGTAGCTCCTGTTTTCCGTACAACATGGTCCCCATTTTACAGATAGGAAACGAGAAAATAGAAGTGAAGTGACGGCCTTTAGCCAGGAAGTGGTGGTCACAGGATTCAGGCCTGGGGAGTGTCTGCTACTTCTGCTCCTCCTCCACTTAGCATGGGGTAGAAGGGGCTGGAGGCAAAGAGGCAAAATGAACTCGGTTCAGAGGAATGGTGGCTAATTCTTATGTGTAAAGTGGATCTTCCCAACCACGAAAATCAGGGTCATTGGAACCACAGGCTCAGTCATGTCCCTGAGGGTTGCCAGATTGCAGTCCTGTGATAAATCAGGTGGGGTGCCCAGGGCCCGTGAGGAACGCCAGAAGGGCTGCGGGGCCTCGAAGACCTTCCAGTTACACATCTGGTAGAGCCACAGCTCCTCGTGCTCTGTCATCCCTAAGCCCCTGCCTGTCTCCCTTTGTTTATGATTACTGAAGGCATTTGCATGAAAACAGGCTTTTCTGTCTTCTGAAGGCTGGGCTTCCTGCCGAGGTTTCTCACCTGAAGCCCCTGAAGCCGTAATTCTCCATTTGTGGCTCCATAACCATCTCCCGGGTGGCTAATTACAGGCCATATGTTCCTGGGTGTGTGCTGGGAAGGCAGGCAGATCAGCTTCCATGTCTGCTTCCGTTCCCGTTCCTCTTTTGGACTCGCTTGCTCTAAGCCTGTCCTCCATAGCGTCTCTGCAGGGCCTCCGTGAGACTGTTTTCCTCCGCAGGTAGTGTTCCATTTTGCAGATGACCCCAGCTGGGCTTAACTGGGCATTCACAAGTCTGCTTGCCAGCATCTCAGTGTCGGCCAGTTGGCAAAAATCAGCAAATGGGCAGGTGATGTCTGCTGCTTCAATCTCATGCAGGTGGGATGATGAAGTGGAAAGAGCTTTGGCGTAGGATTTTGGAAGTTGAGTTCCGGTCCTAACTTTGGAGAAATCTCTTTACCTCTCTGGTTCTTAGTTTTTTCTTATATAAAATGAGATTTGATTAGATCAGTGGTTTCTAACCTGATTCCTAGGTGTCTGAAAGATAGTGATGATCATGGGGGGCATTAAAACAGCTTTGAACTCCTTCCAACTGCAAACTCCTGGAGAGAGAGAATGGCTGCCGATTCATCTTTGAGTCTCCATTATCTAGGACAGTGCTTGGCTCAGAGGGTGCAAACAATGACGTTTGTTGAAACATGAAGGCCTTTCGGAAAGTCTAACAAAACCTGTTCGTTGACCCTGATGAAGCTGGGTAGGCTAACAAAACTTTGAATTCTTTAATGATTAGAATTACATTAAGGCTGTACTGCTCATGGGTTTTTTGACTGCATAACTGAGTCTGCATAACTTAAGCAAGAAGATGACCTTTGGGAAGTGTGCTGGTGAGATACAGGAGTGATGAAAAGGCTGGAAACCAGGCTCACAAAAATGACAGACACCACGGGAGGGAAGGTAGCTGAGAACACGGGAGCTTCAGCGTTCAAGATAGGAGAATCCCGTTGGATAAGCCTAGGTTGTGTGGCTGCCCAGCTGCTGCGTAGCGAGGAGAGGGGTTACTAGGGCTCCTGAGGTTTCTATACACTGTGCTTATCACCAAGACTGTAATACAGTTTGGGGATTACTGCCAAAGAGGAAGGAAATTTACATTTTGGGTAGCCAAAACATGACAAAGAACCACTGCACCTAGTACCTCTGTTTCTGTTCTGCTTATCTGGAGCTCTGCTTGGGAGTGGCTTTGGTGAAAAGGAATGGGAAAATAAATTTACACATGCATTTTGATATATAAAACATGTGCATTCCTGGCCAGGCGCAGTGGCTCATGCCTGTAATCCCAGCACTTTGGGAGGCCGAGGCCGGTGGATCACGAGGTCAGGAGATCGATACCATCCTAGCTAACAGAGTGAAACCCCGTCTCTACTAAAAATACAAAAAATTAACCGGGTGTGGTGGCGGGCACCTCTAGTCCCAGCTACTCGGAGACTGAGGCAGGAGAATGGTGTGAACCTGGGAGGAGGAACTTGCAGTGAGCTGAGATGGTGCCACTGCACTCCAGCCTGGGTGACAGAGCAAGACTCCATCTCAAAACAAAAAAAACAAACAAAACAAAAAAAAAAAACCAAACAAATAAAACAAATGTGCGTTCCTACAGTCTACGTGAAAGAAATTATAACAGGATGCTTGTGGATGAAGATGGGCACATTTTTAGCCTACAAGGCTCAGGTTTTCTATCTCTGGGTCCAAGATAAATGCCCGTGGAATCCCCTGTAGAGATGCAGATACAAGTGCCGAGGGAGACATCTTTTCTTTATGTCTAGATGTTTAGCAGGGTCTCCTGTGATGGCTGTCTTGTCTACTCTGATCTCTCCCTGAGCCTCATAATCCTGAGCAGTTTACTTCACTGGGATTTCATGAGGTCCAATAAACAGCAATGTTAGCAATACCTACTTCTGATCTGGATGGGGTAGGTGGGGAAAAACACCTTCCCTTTTCCTTCTCACTAATTTATATTAATTATGTTCATTTTGTCTCTGCAATTGACATATGTCATTTGTAGCTGCCCAGTATCTTTTAAATAACATCACTATATCTTAATTATTTCTCCTGCTTTCTCAAAGTAGAATCCAGAATATTTTATCCTGAGGCCTGCTTCCAGCTGCATAAAGGCAGGAGACCTCAGTCCTTATAGTCAGATCAACCTGGTTGAGATGTGGAATCCAAAATGAGCAATATGAAACTTTAGTCTGGAAAGGGAAGATTCTTGTTCTGAAAGTGGGGGGCTATTGGGTTCTTCCGGGGCAGCAGTGATAGGATTGTTGTCATTCAGTCCTGATCATCTAGCTACACTGTAGCAATGGTGGTGATGATTTGGTTAGATAATCCTCTTAAGTGTGTTTGGACTTTGTAGCTTCAGGGTCAGTTCTTTGCCCTTCTCAGAGATGTTTTGTGCTATCCGCCAGCCTTTAATATGTTTGTTTCATGCTATCCACCGGCCTTTAATACGTTTGTTTCATGCTTATATTAGGCAGAATGAATTATGTTGTTTGCATCTAAGAACCCTCCCTGATACGGGGAGTACACCTCCCTGGTGTAGGAATTCACTTGAAGTGGGTTCTGAAAGTTACAGAACCTTATACTCTATATGGAAATGGCTTCATTGAGGTAGTCGGGCATCAGGAGGCAAGAACCCACCCACTGCTGGCTGGGAAAGGAAGTCTTGTCTTCTGTGTTGGCAAATCCATGCCAGTGTCCCCTGCAAGTTAATCCTTTGTTGGTCCTTGGAACACTGACCTCTGCCAGTGGAGGCTGCAGAATTAAGGGAAATGTAAGAGAAATCTTTTCAAAAATAAAGTTATCTCCCTAGTCTCGAGCAGTGGTCTGGGCATCTCCTTTGTTGCCTTGGTTCTCGCTGAACTCATACTCACAGGGGTTTTTCTTTTTTCCCAAGTAACCTATTAGGGATATGTCTATAGATATTCTACATATAAATCCTTCGTTGGTGCTAGTTGGGAACTCCATAAAAATTTTCCCTCTTTTACAAATGGATGTTGTAATCCTTGGGAAAATGTGGACAGATAAAAACTAATGGAGGAGATACATGTGACAGAGAGAGAGAGAGAGAGAGAGAGAGAGAGAGAGAGAGAGAGAGAAAGTGATAGAGACAGAAAAAGGGCCCTGGCCCCATCAAAACTTACCTTCAGTGAATTTGCTTCTGTGGCAGTCAGCCTTTACTGTCAGCCTTTACTGTGGCCTTGGTGATCCCTACTTCTAATATTTATGCCCTGTGTAGTTCTTTTCCACATGGAAACAGGGCTGGCCTGTGTGACCAACAGAATATGGTGGAGGTAATAGTGTGTGATTCCCAAGGTTAGGTCATAAAATGCATTGCAGCTTCCAGCATGGCCTCTTAGATCATTCTCTCTGAAAGAAGCCAGCTGCCATGTTGAAAGGACACTCAAGAAGCTCTGTGGAGAGCCTGCCTGAAAAGAAACCAACTGGCCATTTCCAACTTGCTGGCCACGTGGGTGAGCATCCTTGGAAGGATGTGGGGCTTCTGGCCTCAGTCCATCATTATAGATGACTGGCATGCCAGCTGATATCTGACAGCAGTCACCGGAGAGACCATGAGCCAGAAGTGCCCAACTGAGCTGCTTCTATGTTCCTGATGTGCTGAACTAAGAGAGGTAAGAATTGATTGTTTTTTAAAGCCACTAAATGTTAGATTATCTGTGACACAGCATTGGATAGTTAGTACAGCCCCCCGGCTGTCCTTCCTTGTGATAAAGAAGCTATGGTTTCTGAGGTAGGTGGATGCCATGGAGATGTTTGGGAATCTGTCTTCTTGCTGGTGTTATTGTTCTGCTTCATAGCCTCACTCATTGTTCACTTAGTAGAAATTTCTCTTGGGCTGTGGTAGATAACTGAACATTATTTCTGGCTTTCACAGTTATTGTACCTTTAGCTCTCTTGGGTCTATTTTCATAAGTATTTCAATTGGAAGGTAGATGAGGATGAATCCGATGCTCTTATCTTGCTGTCCTCTTAACCAGGAAATCTAAAATCTCCAGGATTTTGATTGTGCATTCTATCAAATTTTGAGCACACATCTTCAAAATATATTTTCTTGCATATTCCTTCATTTATTTATTATTTACAAGTGCCACTGTGTTGTTTTATTGTACAAATTATAAGGCATACATAAAATACAAACTTAGAAAATATTAGAGAACAATAAATAGAAATAGAAGTTTGAATATTTTCTTTTTCTATCCAAGTGGTTGTCTTGGGTACAGCTGGTAAATGTGCTCTTTCTTCCACTTTGTAGACCCCTGCTCTATGGTTAACTTTATGTATTATAGTATCCTGGTAAATGTGCCCCTTCTTCCACTTTGGAGACCCCTGCTCTATGGTTAACTTTTTATATTATAGTATCCTGGTAAATGTGCCCCTTCTTCCACTTTGGAGACCCCTGCTCTATGGTTAACTTTTTATATTATAGTATCCTGGTAAATGTGCACCTTCTTCCACTTTGGAGACCCCTGCTCTATGGTTAACTTTTTATATTATAGTATCCTGGTAAATGTGCCCCTTCTTCCACTTTGGAGACCCCTGCTCTATGGTTAACTTTTTATATTATAGTATCCTGGTAAATGTGCCCCTTCTTCCACTTTGGAGACCCCTGCTCTATGGTTAACTTTTTATATTATAGTATCCTGGTAAATGTGCCCCTTCTTCCACTTTGGAGACCCTTGCTCTATGGTTAACTTTTATATTATTGTATCATCTGCATGTTCTTTAAGGGAAAATATTGTGCCTTATTTATTTCTTCCAAGATTTCAGGGTAGCTGCTCCATTCATGTTTCTCAAAAGAAAGAAAAAAGGAATGAATGAATGAATGCATGACTGAATAGAGGAATGGCATTTATGTTTCAGCACAGTACTAAACGCAAGATAAACAAAAATCAGTAAGATATGTGACATACATGAAGCTTAAATTTGGTCTTTTTAGCTCCCTGAACATTTTCAGTGGTTAGGATTTAAGCCTGGCTATGTGATCGTAAAATCGTGTTAACCACCGAGCTACCCCCAAATTACAGAAGCCCGTCTCTACCACGCTCACTGAGAATTGCCCCTGTGCTAACTTCCCCATTGGAGGGAAAGGTTCTGGACTGATTTCTAGGACAAATTGTGTTCTATATTCCCTACCCATCCTGACCCCCATGCTGACATACACAGGCCCCCACATCACACCCCCGCACACAACAGTTTTCTCCTTTTTCCTTCAAGCTGTCTTCCAGGCCTGGCTCTCTGGCAAACACCCATCCTCAGTAAAGACCTTTCTAGTGAGTACATATGTGGGGGAGGATTTTCCTGGCCCCTTAACTAGCTTGCCTCACCAGGACTCAGGCTGTCTGGATTTCTGTGTTCTTATATTTCCTGGAGCTGCGGAGTTGTGGCAGACACAGTTATAACCAACTTGTTAAGTCTATTTATTCAGCTGGGCATCTCTCTTTCCTGTCAGTTGACTTAGCTCTTCATCCCCATTTAGGCTTCCGAGCAACCTTGCAAGTTAGAATCAGTGTTGTCATTTCTCTCCTGCAGTCCACTGGCTTTCCTGGCCTGGGGTCGTGTAACAGCTGGGAACCTAGAAGAAGGCAATGAAGGAGCAGCTTCTCTGTGATGACAGATAGCCTTGTTCTCTGTGTGTGTGTGTATATATATGTGTGGGCATGCATGAATGCATTCAGGAGTTATGGGAGGATATACCAAGTTGCATTGAGAGGATTTTAGTTTGACCTTTGAATTCATTAATTGTTGCTGGATCTTGACCAAGATAGCTCCATTGTGACCAGTGGATAAACATTCTTAGAGACATACTTGGAAGCATACAATTACAAAATAGTGTGTAGTAAACCTGCTTTAGGCTGTCCTGAATATTTTGAACACTGGGATGAGCTAATTTAGGCCCCCAAATCTTAGTAGCTTAACACAACAAAATTTATTTCTCATCAATGTTGCATGTCCATCATAGGTCATCTAGGGGTTCTGCCTTACTCTGGGACTCAGGTTGGTAGAGAGGCTGCTGTTCGCCAGTGACTATGACAGGAAAGACAAAGAGCATGATGAGCTTTGCACTGCTAAAAGTAAGACTGTCATCCATTTCTGCTTGTTTTTCAATGGCCAAAGCAAGTTGCATGGGCATGACTCTTTTCAATAGGGACAAGAATGTGCAATATCCTATGTAACCAGAAAGAAACAGAAACATAACATATGTGTAAGCAGCACTAGTAAAGTCGCTGATTTTGTTTTCCATTTTTGAAGAATTTTCTACTTTTTGAATTCTATCTTTCTAAGATTAAATTCAGAAACTCACTATGTTGGGTAAAATAATGGCCACCCAAAGATGTGCAGGTCCTAATCCCCAGAACCTATCAAATGTCAACTTGCATGGCAGAGAAGACTTTAAAGATTTGATTAAGTTAGTGATATCAAGATGGAGGATTATCTTGGATTATCTTGGAGGGCCCAAAGCAATCACAAGGGTCCTTATAAGCAGAGGGAAGCAAGAGAAGCATATTCAGAGGAGACGACATAAGGATGGAAGCAGAGGTCAGAATGATGTGAAGGGGACCATGAGCCAAGGAATGCAGGCAGCCTCTAGAAGCTGGAAAAGGCAAGTAATGGGTTCTCCCTTAGGGCTTCCAGAAGGAACACAGACTGCTCAATATCTTGATTTTTAGCCCATTGACACTTCTGACGTTGAGACTGAAAGAAAATAGATTTTTGCCATGTAAGCCACCAAGTGTATTATTAGGGTAGCAATAGCAAACTAATATACTCACTTTTCATGGTTCCTTTAAAGGTAGGATATAGTACATGGCCCAGTTTCTATTCCTCAGAAGGAATGACATCAAACTTGGATTTAAAAGTGGGACATAAAGAAGCAGACAAAACTTGAAATCCATTCTAGTGATGATGATGAAGAGACATTCAGGTTAAGGGGTGGACCTCTTGACTGTAGTAAACATGGTGTTAGTCAAGGTGACCATGTTAGGCCAGCAACACTGGGACTCCATCAGAGCCATCAGTGCAGTAAATAAGATTTTGTTACTGGATATATAGCCTTCAGGCATGATTTTAGGGCCCTCTCAGAAATTCTTTCATTGTCTAAGTTTCCTTTAATAAAAGACTGAATCAATTCTGTTGTTCGCAACTGAGAGCCCTGACAGATAGAGGTGTTTCAGTCATCTTTGGTTGCATCACAAACCACCCTCACATTTAGTGGCTTAAAACAATTAGTGGCATATTACTATTCATGATTTTCTGGGTTTATTGGGCAACTTTTCTTCTTCACGTTGCCTTGCTGGGGTGCTGAGAAGGCTTCCCTCATGTGGAAACTCAACTGGGAGCTCAGTTGGGGCTGGAACTTTGGGGGTGTCTAGAAGGCTGGAATCGTTGAGAGGCTTGACCAGAGCCTAGCTGGAGTTGTCAGGCAGGGGCCACAGTTCTCATTCATGTAGCCTTCTTGACGTGGCTGCTTGGGCTGCCTCATGACATGGTGGCTGGGTTTCTAGAAGAAACTTCTGAGAGGGAGGAAGCAGAAGTTGCCAGGCTAAATTACGGGCTAGCCCTAGAAAGGTTACAATGACAATTTTGTTATAATCTATTAGTGGGAAGGGACTCTATGAGGGCATGGATTCTGGAAGAAATAGTTCCTTGAAGGGTTACTAGGCAGCAGCCTACCACAGCACGGGATACATGCTCAAAGGATTATGAACTGTGAGAGCTAGAGGAGAGAGTGGCTGACTCTGCCTAAGGAAGGCAGAAGCAGCTTCATAGAGGAGGCGGCACTTGGGAAATAGCAATGCCTTGTCCAAACTCACAGAGGGTAAAAGGTTTTGAGGTATTTAGGGGGTCATGTTTTAGTCCAATTTTGGCTCTCGGAATATACAGTGAGCCATATGTGGGGTGAGTGAGAGGCCAAATAGAAGGTGGGAGAGGCATGATGAAGCCACATTAAAAGCCACCAGTGCCTGACAAGGTGTCTATGACAGCTTGTAAGTAACAGAGAGTTTTAAGTAGAGAAGGGGTATGAGCAGATCTTTGTAAAAAGACTGAAGTGACAAATTAAATAATATACTTTACTTTTTTGTTTACATTTAATCACATTCTTCTTTTCACTCCATTTGAGACACATTTGGTTTATTTACCCAATAACAATAAATAAACACCTTACATTTGTCATGTGTTATAATGTGCAAGAGACTCTGTCTACTACCATGACTTCTGATTCAGAGCATGATGCAAAGAGTTCATCAGAATTGATGCTGCCCTCATTTCACCAGTATTCAGTCTTTTTCGCTGTGTAGAAATCAGCCATAGACTCCCACTAGTATAAAACAATGAGTATTTATTCCCTTTGTTCATGGGTTTTCTGATTGACTGTGGATAGGCTGATCTTGGCTAGGCTCCGTAGGGTGGCTCTGTGGGACTGGCTGAGCCTTGCTCCAGCCTGCAGGTTGAACTCAGTTCTGGGTCCTGGGCTGAAGGAATAGATACTGCACCTCAGGGAAGCTCAGGTCAAGGCAGATCACCAGAGCACAGAAGTAGGCTCAATGGCAGCCCAATCTCATCTCAATTCTCCCCTCCTGTCATGACAGCTAACATTCCGTTCCCTAAGGCAGGGCACATGGCCGAGTCAAAGCAAAGGCATGGCTAGGGAGGGTGAATGCAGAGTACTTGTACTGGGGTCTGAAGAACTGGATCCAATTCAGTCTGCCACTATGGAGAAAGAAATTTCAGCTTGAAGAAATTAAGGTTATTTCCGTGGATTTTATAGGACCTAAAGGTAAGTCTTTTGAGTCAAAACTACTTCTCCATTCATTACCCTGCCCTGTCACCAAACCAGATCTCATGAAAACCTCCAGTAGTATTTATCCTTCTATGTCTGGCTTATTTCACTTAGCATAATGTCCTCCAGCTCCATCCCTGTTCTCACCACTGGCAAGATTTTCTTATTTTTAATGACTGAATAACATTCCACTGAATGTATATAGCACATTTTCTTTATTCATTCGTCTTCCTGTGGACACTTTGGTTATTTCTATGTATTGGCTATTGAGAATAACGCTGCAATAAACATGAGAGTGCTGATAGTTCTTTGAGACCCTTATTTCAATTGCTGGGTATATAGATCTAGAAATGGGATTACCAGTTACTACAAAAGAAAGACACAAGTAAAAAAAATAAAGGGAGCAGGAGGACACTCTTGGAGATGATGCGTATGTTTATGGAATTGACTGTGGTGATGATTTCGCGAGTGTATACTTAATCTAAAGTCATCAGGGTGGCTCACAACTGTAATCCCAGCACTTTGGGAGGCCAGGGCAAGAGGATTGCTTGAATCCAGGAGTTCAAGACCAGCCTAGGCAACATAGCAAGGCCCTGTCTCAAAAAAACAAAACAAAAATACAACTTATCAGGTTGTATACATTAATTATGTACAGCTTTTGTATGTCAATCATACCCCAATAAAGTTGTCTAAAATAGAAGAAAAAAAGAAAACCTCCAGTGACACATTTTTCTCTAATCTTGTCTTTCTGTTTCTGGAGGTTTAGCTGTTTTCAAACTACAGAGCATGAACAACGACAGCTCACTATTTATCCCTCTGGGGGACCCCTTCTCTCTACAATCAATTCCACACCCCATTCTTGAGATGACACATCTCTCTGCAGGCCTTTGTCTACTCATCTGTAAAAAGATTAATTTTTCTGTCACATGTCTGTGGGGCAGCAGCTTCCTCCATACACAGGAACCATTTTGTTAGCTTTAGCAGGCTGCTCCGGAGCCTCTTCCTTGCAGCTCTATCCTGGACCACAGGCAGTGAAGTGATGGTGCTGTCAGAAATATAAGTCTTGTCCCAGGCACGTGCAGAGACGAAGGTGGTCTGCAGAGGAGAGGAAAGTCTTGCGCTGAGGGCCTTGGGCCGCTCAACCTTTTGTGGAGTATTATGTTTGGGTGGGGTCACTATAAAGTGGGGAGTCGTTCCTTGGGGTGATTGTGGGGTCAGGAGAGGCTCAAGACTCTGAGGCACATTTAGCCTGGGGATGAGAAAACTCGGGAGTGGTAGCTTGCCAGGTGTCGCTGTCAGCAGATTTAATTCATTTCAACAACCATCTCTTGAGCTCTAGCCACATGCCAGGACCTCTGCCAGGAACTGAGGTCTCAGAAGTGCACAGGACAAATACAGACCCTGCCCTTGTGAAACTTAGGATCCAGCAAGGAAGATGAGGGCATTAAACAAACAACTACATTCCCTTCTTTATGCCTGGCCAAAACCATGCAGACAACAGCAAGGGTGTTGTTTAAACAGATTTTGGACCTTGTCTCCAAAGGATAAGCAATTCGTTTTCAGTCTTGTTGCAAATAGTGAATGGCTGCATTGCTAGGGAACTCTTATCTCCAACTCTTAGTGTTTCTGCAGGGAGAATGGAAATCCTACTTCTCAAGAGGGAAAGGTTTTGGAGGAGCACTTCTGGCATCTTTCTCCATACCTACAACCCACTGATTCCTCCCCAGAGATAAAAAAACAATTGGGATCCAATTAATGAATTCAAGGGAAAGAATGGAGTGGGGCCTTGAGTTCCTGGTGAGTGATAGGACCATCAACATGAATTGGAACCTGTTTGGGAACTGAGGTTCAAGGAGGTGAAGTAACTTCTTTATTGTTGTGTGTAGCAGAGGCCGGACAGCCACATCTCATGATTGCCTGTATGCACAAAGAAGGGAAAGGCTTGTGGCCGGGAACCAGCTGGCTGCCATGCTGATGATGGAGTGATAGGTAGGTACACACCAGGCAGGTCCAGGAGATGAGCAGAAGCTTGAATCAGAGGAGGCTCTGAGGGTCAGTGGATAGGTATTTGGAAATGGATCCAATGGGAGTCAGAGGGAGGAGCTGATGGAGAGTACAGTTCCCAGAAGAGGTGAACATGTGGAAAGATGGTGACATCAGGGGCCTCAAGAGAGCTTATGATGGCATCATTTTGGAATCACGATGCTGGTCTTGGGTTCCTCTTGAGCAGCTATGAGACGTCTCCCCAAGTGACTCTAGAATAGAATTTACACAGTGGGGTGTTCAGGGTGAATGCAGCCTGCTGATGTGTTGTATTGAACCCAACAATTTTTTTTTTTTTTTTTGAGATGGAGTCTCACTGTGTCACCCAGGCTGGAGTGCAGTGGTGCGATCTTGGCTCACTGCAACCTCCACCTCCCGGTTTCAAGTGATTCTCCTGCCTCAGCCTCCCAAGTAGCTGGGATTACAGGAGTGTGCCATCACACTGAGCTAAATTTTTTTTTTTTTTTTTTGTATTTTGAGTAGAGATGGGGTTCCACCATGTTGGCCAGGCTAGTCTTGAACTCCTGACCTCAGGTGATCCACCTGCCTTGACCTCCCAAAGTGCTAGGATTACAGGTATGAGCCACCACGCCTGGCCAAACCCAAACAATTTTAAAGCTGTGAATTAGCTAAAGGAAAGAAAATAGGTAGATGATTATAAATAAAAATCTGGATTTTCTATTTTTGTCTTAAAATCAAATAAAGACAGACTGGGCAGAATGGCAAAACCCCGTCTATACAAAAAATACAAAAATTAGCTGGGCATGGTGGCACACATCTGTGGTCCTGGCTGATTTGGAGGCTGAGGTGGGAGGATCGCTTAAGTCCAGGAGGTTAAGGCTGTGGTGAGCTACGATTGTGCCACTGCACTCCAGCCTGGACAATGGAATGAGACCCTGCCTCAAAAACAAAGAAACAACCGAAAAAACAAATAAAGAATCAGGAGCCCTTGGGCCCACATTCCTGATTGACAATAATCTCTGAGTAGTGGTTACTGCCTTTGTTGGGGCTGGAGCTGCCAGGTTGCCGCTGTCCACACGGGTCCATTCGTTTGGTTCCTTGCCCAGCTTCCACCCAAGACCACCTACCTGGATTCGGTGGGCATCTGAGTTTGCAGCCTTCTTCCCCATCTAGGATGTTGGATTTAAACTCTCTGAATTCTTTTTTTTTTTGAGACGGAGTCTCGCTGTGTCACCCAGGCTGGAGTGCAGCTGCGTAATCTCAGCTCACTACAAGCTCCACCCCCCGGGTTCATGCCATTCTCCTGCCTCAGCCTCCCGAGTAGCTGGGACTACAGGCGCCTACCACCATGCCTGGCTAATTTTTTGTATTTTTCAGTAGAGACGGGGTTTCACCATGTTAGCCAGGATGGTCTTGATCTCCTGACCTTGTGATCTGCCCGCCTCAGCCTCCCAAAGTGCTGGGATTGCAGGTGTGAGCCATTGCGCCCAGCCTCTGAATGCTTTTTGATAATTTTTTTCCCCCAGCTTTATTTAGGTATAATTGAAATATCAAAATGGTATATATTCAAGATATACACATGTTGATTTTATATACGTATACATTGGGTAATGGTTACCACAAGCAAATTAATTGACACACCCTTCACTACACTTAGTTACCATTGTGTCTATGTGTGTGGAAAGGACACTTAAGATCTGCTCCCTTAGCAAAGTTCAAGTAAACAATAAGGTATTATTAACTGTAGTCCGTGCTATACATTATATACATATATAACCCATGCTATACATTAGATTCCCCTGAACTTATTCACCTGATAACTGAAAGTTTGTACCCTTTGAACAACATGTCCCCATTTCTTTTGAGACTTTGATGTAATTTAAAGACCTTCTCTTTTGAGAGATGCACCCTGCACTACAAACAATGCATATAATTACAGGTGGTTCCCGGGCCCCTTAAAGCTGTTTAGATCTTCAACCTCAAGTTAAAAACCCCTGCTTTAAGAAGGATCCCTCAAGGTCTCTGAAATGTCACTTGCATGGGCACTTAACAGCTCATAAAAGACCCCCCCACCTTTCCTTGCAAAGCATGTACATGTCTCTCTCTTATTTCCCTCCCTCATCCTCTCCATGCCCCATCCTTGCTCCCTCTTTAGGGAGGTGGGCGGGGGTCATCTGTCCTCCTTTATAGATCAGGACCTGGGGCCAGAGACTCTAAGTGGCTCCTGCAGAGCTGCACAGCTGGGAGCTGAAGGGGCTGGCTCTCAGCTCACTCCACTAATCTCGGATTTCTTCTTAGCTCCCATCCCACTATCTTCTATTTGCCAGTCAGTTATAAATAGCTCAAAGAAGATTTTATTTTCAGTTCCGAAGTGACATGTGCTGTCAGCAACACCACAAAACACTTCATTGATGTTTTCAAGGAGGTGGGGAAGGGGAAATAAAATTGCTTATTTGCCCAAAGCAATGTTCGGTGAACGAAAATCCATTGACTCTCTTTGGGACTCTCAGCTTTTCCCCAGTGAATGGATTTTCAAATTTGGAGCACAGGTGGCCTTCAGGCTGAATGGCTGCCATCCACCTCTTGAATTAATTCAGTCAGTGCCACAGCTCAGGGGTGGTTAGGAGTTGGAGTTCCCCAGCCCCACCTCTGCCTGGCCCCTGAGACTGGGGAAAAGCGTGTGTGAGTGGGAGCAGGGGAGTCGGAGGGGTAGGCAATTCCTAGCAGATTTGGGGGCCTTGTCTGGAAAGGGTAAGTGGTTATTTTTCTGTCTTGATGCTTGTCAGAGCAAAGGTAGGAGAGGGGAGGCATTTCTTGATGTATTGAGCCTTCCCACCAGAAGGGAAAATCACAACCAAATCTTTGCGATCATAGAGAGAGGGAAGGGGTTATGTTAGACATCGGGGTGAGGCTGGGGTGTTTCTCGGTGATATTATCCCATGAATAACCAAATGGAGCCCAAGTAAACAGCAGTGGAGGGAGGAACATATGCACTAATAGAAACGGGAAGGCAAACAGCCTAGGATTGCCAGCTGGGCCTTACGGGGCCCAGCGATTTGTAGGGGATGCTTTGGCTTGATAATAGCCTAAGAAGCTTCCTGCCCCTGTTCTATTCAAAACAGCTGGAAGTTAGAGTTACACCTAGCAATCCATGAGCTACCTCTCCGTTATCCTTTGAGATGAAAATCATTGCTATTGCACCCATTTGACAGATGAAAAAATTGGGCTGTGAAGAGACTAAGTCATTTTCTTAAGGTCACAAGTGACTAAAGGTGGCAGTTCGTCTGTGGAGTTTGTCCTCCTAACCTCTTTATTATCTCAGTGGGCAAACCTTAGAATGAATAGAGAGCAGCTCTGATACCTAGTGGGAAAGGAACACAGGGCAGGGGGCAGGTGGGGGGAAGGTGGTGGGGAGATAGAGAGGAGAGAGGAGAGAGGGCTGTCCTCTTTCATATCTAACCCTGAGCCGGCTTAGGTTGCCTATAGGAGAAGGCGGAAACCTTGGGAGGGAGGGAGGGAGAGATAATGAGACCCGAGCTCAGGACAGCTGGCCTAACCCTAGCTCTTATCACTTACCCTAGCTCTTAGCACTTTGGATTTGCAGAAGGAGGAGAAACAAGAGCTAATTCACTTACTGACCTTTTAACTCTACTCTCTGAAATCTTCATTACTGGCAACATTGGCTTGTTGTCCTGGAATCTGTCAACCAGAATGGCTTTTTTCCCTCCTTGGAGAGATGGAGAAAGGTAGGAGCAAAGAGGTGCCTGAAATATAGCTCTGAGTTACTATTTCTAGTCCCTGTTCCGGCCTCTGCCTCCTCCCTTAGAAAACCTTGGCTTCAAACCTGGGGTGGGGGAAGAAAAGAACCTAAATTTACGCACCCTAAACCCTGTGCAGGTGCTTCTCCTGGCTCGGCTCATTCACGCCTCTCTGGAGTGCCAAGAGGAACGTCCCCTCTTCCCATTTTACAGATGAGGAATCTGAAATGACGGTTTTTATTTACTGGCTTGTTTTTATCTCCCCCATTGGAGTATAAGCTCCATGCAGTGATGACCTTAATGATCTTTATATATGTCCCCAGTGGCTCACACAGTGCCTGGCACCTTGCAGTTGCTCAGAAAATACTTGTGGAATGAATGCATGAAGTAATTTGCCCAGTGCCGGGGACCATAATGTAAACACAGGTCTGTACAATTGCACTGAAAAGAATCAGCTGCATGTATTCATTTCCGGGTGTTCAAGATAGAATCAGCTAAGCCCAGGTGCATGCACCTGGATGGAGCTAATTTGCAGCCCTCTGGAAACCAGCCCTTTTGTTCCCCTCAGGACTGGGGGAAGTCTATAGCATTTACTATTCAATTCAACTCAATGTGTATTTATAGGGCTCCAACCATGTTCCCAGCACTGAGTAACACCAAAGAAATATACGACAGGAGTTGTCTCAGCTTTGGAGAAGATCCTACTACAGACATGGAGTTAAAATGGACATACCAAGGAAGCTTATTCTCTTCGGGGTTCAGCTCCTTCAAGTGTAAAATAAGGAGTTAGGATTTTCTAGATGTTGTCTTCTTACTGGACTATACAAGGGTAGAGTTCCCCTACAAGGCAGACCTTGAGATAAGTATTGGGGGCAGTTAGTTTATTAGGAAGCCCTGGAATAAGTGAGGGAAGGAATGTGAGGAAGGGAGGAAAGTCTTATTGATGAGTGGTCACTGCTGTCAGCAGGTGACTGGGACTTTGTCTCACTGGGGACCTCTGGGAGACTGTTTTAGACACATCTGACAACTTTTCCACTTCAGGATGACGATGCTGGGGTCTTTATCCACCAACTTCCAACCTCATTGGTCTATGACTGCTCCTGAAACATTGATTCCTGGCATGTCCAGCCTGCCTCAGGCTCTGAGATGAGAGCATTCTCAGATAGAGAGATGCAGTGAGCTGTTGGCATGTATGGGAATCGTCATCAGGAGCTCACTCCAGGTGGGCTGAGAGGGTCATGGCAGGAAAACAACAGCATCTGCATCTGTGACAGGGAACATTTTTGTTTCATCCACCTCTGTGTCACCATGCAGGAGGTGCCATGCATTTGTATTGGATGAATGAGTGAACTCTCCCTCCAGCTCCTGCTTTCCCAGTTCTGTGGCGTCTGAAACAATGACCACTGAATAACAGAGTAAATGGAGTGCTGCCCTGTAATGGAGCAGACCAAGGGTGATAGAGGGCTTCGGACAATTATGGGACTCTGAACCAGCTGGAGAAGCCAGAAGCCTTCCATGGAGGTGAGGGCTGGGCCAGGCAGTGAAGGACATGGTTTCCAGAGGTGACAGGGGGACATCCTGGGTGTCCACAGAGAGGCAAGAAGAGCATGGTGTCCAGGATAGACCTTTTAAGCCACCACCCTGCCCTGTGCTGGCCCTGAGCCCACACCTCAGAGTCCTGCAGCCTCCTGTCTCTGGTTGTGGCTTTGATTCAGCACCACTTGCCCGCACTGCCCTTGAATACCCTCTGTCCTGCCTTGATTCTCCCGGCTTCTGGCGAGGGCCCCTCTCTCTTTTCTAGCTTCACCTCGCCCTTCTGACTCAGGGACAGATTGGATGTGGGGCCAGGTCATGGGTTCTGGGGTCTCTAGATATGGCTCCAGGACTGCCTCTGCATTTACTTGTTGAGCAACCTTAGGGAAGTGACTTCACAACACTAAGGCTCATCTGCAAAAGGGGATGAGGGTAGCCCTGGCCTCCTTGTGCTGCTACTAGGATTAAATGAGCAGACACATGTAAGGGGCTTAGCGCTGAGCCCGCCTAGGGGGTTAGCTGTAACTTCAGCTGAGTTGAGACACTGATTTCTCCCTTGTGCAGTGGTGATGGAGATGACATGGTATGGGGCATACAAGGGGCTTTAAGTGCTTTGCACAGGGCTCAGCATGTGATAGAGACTTAGAGGACATTTGTTTTTATTTTACTTTACAAATGCTGCTTCTGATATCTGAGACCTGACCTTGGTGTCACTCAGCCTCCTCCTCACTCAGCCTCTGACCACCTTTTGTCCACAGATGCTCCCCTGCTGCTCAGTGTGGGGTGTCCTCTGCCCAGACCCTGTTTTCCACACTATACTACAGTGCCATGTGGAGCAGTGGGAGCCAGGCCCAAGGATCCAGGGAAACGTGTGGGGAAAGCAACAAGGGAGTTTGGTTGGGGAGGATGTCTCCTGCTTATAAGGCATGGTCTGGATGGGAGTTGCGGGGAGATACTTCACCTCCACCAATGGTGTGGCCTGCACCCTTGCCCACCTCTGAGCCTCAGATCTGAAGATGGATCAATTGCACCTGTTGCCTGGGGTTGGTGGGAGAATTCAGAGAACCTGACAAAGCCAGAGCTCAAGCCCAGTTTTTGTCACTAACACCCCCATTTGCTCCAAGTGCAGCAAGGATGGAAGGGGAGGTGACAGTGAGCCATGGAAGGCTGAGAATGCATGACTAATGGCATCTGAGAAAGTTCTGGCCCTCAATTCCTCACTGTGATCTTGGGAGACTTGTTTTACTGCTCCAAATGTGGTTCCTTATTTGAAAGGTGGATCTAATAATCCTTTGTTATTTTCTTAAAGAGTTGTACTGGAGATCAAAGTGCCTAATGAATGAGAAAGGGCTTTGTAAAATGGAATGAGAGGTGCACATATCAGGTTATTGTTATTATTATTGTTATTGTTGTTGCTGTTGATTTTTTGTTTTCTTCTCTCTGGCTATCCCTTTTCTTTCCAGTAACACCACATTGATTTTTCTTTGGGGGGACCCCTCCTCTGGTTTCTGAATTCATGAGATTTGGGTTAGGCTACCCTACTCTCCTGGATTCAGGAGGCACCCAGGCCCGGCCATTTGTCAAATTCGATTTCTCTGGATTTAGTGATTGGTTTAGGGGGATGGGCGTGAATCCCAAATCAGTCTGACGACTGAGTCTATGCCGGAACAATCAGGAAGAGAGTCTTTCTGCTGCAATTACAAGCTGGAAATATCCCACAGTGGTGGTTAAAGGTGCCTGTAAGTTGTATGGGCTCTAGAATCAAACTCGGGTTCTTATTTCAGCTCTGCCATTTACTAGCCCTTTGTTCATTCCTGCTGCCAGAACAAGATACCTTAGTTTGGGTAATATATAAACAATAAAAATTAATTTTTCACAGTTCTGGAAGTTGAGAAGTCTAAGATCAAGGTGCTGGCAGGTTTGGCATCCAGTAAAGGCCCATTCCTCTTCGGGAACTCTGTGTCCTCGTTGCAGAAGAGATGGAAGGGCAAAAGGGGACAGCAGCTTTCTCAAATTTCTTTTATAAAGTCATTAATCTCATTCCTGAGGGCTCCACCTTTATGACTTAATCACCTCCTAAACACCCCATCTCTTAATCACATCAATAATTATGTTTCAATACATGATTTTTTGGGGGACACATTTATACTGCAGCATTAACTGCATGATTTTGGGTAAGTTACTTAACCTCTCAATGCCTCAATTTGTCATCTATGAAAAAGCATTTAAAAAGCACCCACCTTACAGAGTTATTCTGAGTTCTAAATGACTGAATGTTTAGAAAATATTTAGAATATTGTCAGGATGGGGTAGGCAATCATGCATGTTAGCTAATACCAGCTGTTAGGTTGGCCTGGAACCACCTGCAGGTACAAGGAAAAGGGTCTTTCTGGCATTGAAGCTAGCACAGATCCCAGCCACGGCAAGACTGGTCCTGGTGGTATCACTGGAGCACCTGGATCCATTTATGCTTGAATGCAACTGAATCTCTAGAGTTTCCTGTTTAGGCCAGTTAGAGTTGAATTTTTGTAACTTGCGACTAGAAGAGCATTAACTTTTTTTTTTTTGTTTTGTTTTTTTTTTTTTTGCTTTTTTTTTGTTTTTTGTTTTTTTGAGACGGAGTCTCACTCTGTCACCCAGGCTGGAGTACAGTGGCACAATCTAGGCTCACTGCAAGCTCCGCCTCCCGGGTTCACGCCATTCTCCTGCCTCAGCCTCCCGAGTAGCTGGGACTACAGGCGCCCGCCACCATGCCCGGCTAATTTTTTTTTTTTGTATTTTTAGTAGAGACGGGGTTTCACCGTATTCTCGATCTCCTGACCTCGTGATCTGCTCTCCTCAGCCTCCCAAAGTGCTGGGATTACAGGCGTGAGCCACTGAGCCCGGCCTAGAGCATTAACTATTGCAGTGAATATTTCCACATAAGGCTGCTTGCTATTACAGCATTAGAACTTCTTTTGATCCCTTGTTTCTTCAGGCTAAAGTTCAGATTCCTTCATGAAGCCTCCAAGCCTTCAAGGCCCTGCCCTGCCTCATTCTTTGGCCTCGTTTCTCTGCACCAACTTGTCTGCAAATCTCCAGCCTCTCCACACTTTCAGCACCCCAAGTCCAACCTGCTCTATCCTCCTCTGTGACTTTGCACATGCAGTTCCTGCTCCTGGGAATGCTTTTCCCCGTGGGTTGCTTCTTCCTTGGGTATTCTTGCTTTGAGAAGCTCTCTTGAACATCCTGAGCCTGGATTGGGTGTCACTCCTCTGACTCTGCATAACAGACACATCCCCAACCATCACACTCTCCTGCAGGGGCCAGTTTCCTTCTTGACTCACCTCCAATACTCAGATTTCCTTGAAAGCAGAGACTTTAGATATGAATAAAATAGCTCTGCATCTCCAGGGTATGGCACAGTGTCTGCTACATAGAAGGTGCTCAACACACATTCATGAAATGACTCACAACCACCCCTGTGAGTGGGAAAGGAGCGACGAAAGACAGATGCAAGGTGCCAGTATTTGGATATGCTAAGAACCCTTAACGTGATTTGTTACAGTCGAGCCGTTAGGATACTAGCAGAGGCAGGCTGTTCAGAAGCTCTGCAGCTGAGGGACCTGCTGGACATCCACTGGTGTCTGGTTTGGCCACACATTGCCAGTGAAACAAACTTCCACCTGACAGGTGCTTGATTTAATAAAAAACCCTAAACTCACATCAGCCCTGATATGCCCAGGGAATAGGATGGCAAATTAAAGAGATAGAAACTCCACTTTGGTGCAAACCAAGATTTAAAACGCCCTAATAGCCCTTATTTATAGAGTTTGGATTTCCCTTTAACACTTGGGTGAGAATGGGACAGCTTACTTGCCCTAAACACTAATGAATTCTGTGCCGTGTTCTGGCTCCTGGCGTGAAGTGCCTGATAAATGTTCCCATCTTTCTACAGGGAAATTTCTCTCCCTGCTAATTGCTGTTAGCACCCATCAGGATCACGGAGAAAGCAGTGTCCCAGCCAGAGGGGCCTTAGGGCTGAGCTCTGTCACCAGGAGACGGTCTCTTTAGGAGGATGAGGGACCCATAAAGGGCTGCACATGCAGGGCATGCCCACCATGGAGATCCAAGGAGTCTAGACCAGCAGCTTCCAAACTGTGTCCCATGGAGCCACAGGGCCCTGGGAGAGGCCTGAGAAACTGGTGTGGAGGTCCCTGGGTAGGGGGGTTGATCTGTGGGGTGCTGGATTCTACCGACCTCTTAATATTACTAGCCCCATTGATCTATTTTATATCTAAATCAGCGCTAAAGGGTTTATCCAAGAAGTTCTGCTAATTCAAAAAGAAAGATTTGAAAACTGCAGATTTAGTCCAGTCCTCACCTTTGACAGGTGAGTAGACACAGCCTGGGGAGTGGGAGGTAGAGAGAGGGGAGGTACTACAAGGTCACATAGAGAATCCAGTTCAGACCTGGGCCATGCGCACAGACCTCCCGATTGCACAGGCACGTTTCTGCCTTTGTGTTTTTCACTTTCCACATCCCACATCTGCCTGTTTCATACTTTGATTAATGCTCAAGCACCCACCTGCCCTGTCGACCTCAGAGATTACAAGTGAGGAAGAATGAGGGGGATTGATCCTCTGCAGGGGAGGGCATCTCTTTTGTGCCAGGCACAGGTTAGGAACTTCAGACTTACTCTCATTTATTTAACAAAGGTTTACTGATGCATATAATGTGTTGGGGGTTCAGGGCAAAACAAGATGCAGGTCCTGATGTTAGAGCATTTGTGTGTCTGTGGGAGGGAAGGGTAAGGAAACAAATAGATGAGTAAACACATACACAAAATAATTGCAAGTGCCGTCTGGTGCAATGGAAGAAGGAAACTGTGCATTGTGATGGAAAATAATGGAGGGCTGGAGGGGGCTGATGCATCAAAGGATGGTCATGGTGTGGTAGCGGAGGGGGTTCCTCTGAGAAGGAGGCACTTGGGTTGAGACCTGAGGGTAAGAAGCAGGCAATTCAAAGCTGGTGATGAGGATTCTGGGCAGAGGCCTCCAGGCAGAGTCTAGCACCTGGAACAGAACAGTGCCCTGGAACTCACTGGCCTCTGTGTTCCTCCACCTCTTCCCCCAGCCACTCACTCCAGTGCTACACCTTGGTGTTTGCAGCATCTTTGAAACCTCCCTTTAGAATACAGTGCTTTCTGGGCACACCCCTGACCCCTGAAGGTGACAGACTCAGTGCCCCAGCTCCCAATGGCTCCATTTCATTGCCATTCATCCATCTACCCTATTTTCATGATCAGTCACCCCCTCATGACCTCTTTTCCTCTCAGGCACACTTTATCTTCTAAGGACCATCATTAAAATCACTCTTTGCAAATACTTCTAATGTCCATGCATCTCTCCTCTGCTTAACTGACCCAGCCAAAGCTCAGCCCTGATTAAGCTCAGATGTGCATTGTCCCTCCTATCTGTTCCTATGCAGCCGAATGAATGGAGACAGCACTGAGACTGGTCCTGCAGGAAGAGTATGGCGTGTAACTGCAGATGGACACTCAAGTGTGGTTGACAACCCTGCTACACTTAGATATTATTTCTCATGCTCAGAAAAGGACTTTCTCCTCAATACCCCACTAGGTTTTCCCCATCTTCATTCTCAGCTGGTTGAATTGCTTACGTAATTCACGAGAAGCAGTCCCATTGGGAATCCTCTTCCCACCACCAGGCCCACCTTCCTTTCCTCCCTTTTCAGCAGATGAATGGCCCCAGCTTCTATCAAAGGGCAAACTTTCACTGTGGACTGGATTATAGGACTTTACTCCTCTATTTAGAATTATTCTTTCAGAATAATACCATGTGCTAATATCTCCTGCCTTTTCATATTCCCCACTTGCTTCTGTTACTTTTCTCTCCATCAGAGAATCACTTCTTTCATGCATTTTTACTTCCAATCTCTCATTTCCTCTTCCACCTCCTCCAGTTGGGCTGAATGGGACCCTCCATTTGTGCTTTGTCGGGTCATGGTCAGCCTCTAGACCAGCAACTCTAAGGGTCTTGTCAGTCATCTCCCTTATTTCCCTGCAATATTCCACGTGGATAATGAGGTTGGCTTCACTCACAGCCCTGTCCAGGCCCTGCTCTGCCCTCCCTGGTTGTGTTCCCTTGTTGTCTTTGCTGGGTCTCCCTCCTCTGCTCTGGGTCTGAGCCCCAGTCTGACGACCATGCCAGGGCTCACTTCTGGGTCCTTTTTTCTTCTTTACCTATACACGCTCTCCTTAGGTGACTCCATCCATTTCCACGGCTTTAAATACCATCTTCATGATAATAACTTCCAAATTTCTCTTCAGCACTGACACCCCTGCTGCAGACTCACATCTCCTGCTACTTGACGTCTCCACTTAGATGACTAATGGGCACCTCAACTTAATATATCAAAAAGTCTTAATTTTCCCACCTTACCTCCACGGATGTTCTACCCTTCGTGTTTACCATCTTGAAATGTCATCACCATCCCCCAAATCACTCAAGCCCAAGTCCCAGGAATCCTTTGTAATTCATGTCACCACTTCACCCCCACATTCAGCCCACAAGTGAGTGAGACCTGTGGGTGCTATCCTTCAGAGAGATTCGGAATCTACCTCCTTCTCTTCATCTTCCCTGCTGCTCCAAGTGCGCCAAGCTCCGCCAGTGCTCCCTCTGACTTTGACAGCAGCCTCCTAATTGGTCTCTGTGCTGCCTGTGTTGCTTTCTATAATCTGTCCTCTACGCAGAAGATTGAATGCTCTTTTAAAAATGTAAATCTGAGCATCACTCACCTACTTTAGAACTTCTTAAGACTCCTGCTTTGCTGCTCTTTACAGCATCACCACCACTCACTTTGTCAGTCCTGGAAGGAGCGGCACACAAGCCACTGAATGGTTTTAGAAGAACTTCCACAAGAGCTAAGCACATTCCTTCCATCTCTACCTCATGTTTGGGGTTCAGAAGCTATTTTGGTATGGAGAAAGAGCAAACACTTTGGAGCCAAACACACTCAGGTTAAAATCCTAGCTATGTTATCCGTGATCTCTGTGATTTGGATAAATCGCTTCTCCCTCTAAGGCCCCATCTGTAAAGTGGAAATGCAGATAATGATATCTATTTCACCATATGACCATGGGTACGTGTGAGGTGTCATATGGTGCCCAGCATGCGTTCCATGATGCTGGCTGCTTCTCTCCCCGGTTCCCAATCTGTCACGGGTAATCAGCCATCCCAGGGGTGTGGGGTGGGAAACAGAGGACAGCTTAATAAAGGGGCCTGAAGAGGGAGCAGATTAAAGGCATCTAGAACTTTTTTCTTTCCTGAATTCTTCCGCAGAAATAATGCTCTGTGAGTAATCATGAGCAGAATTCATAAGGGCCACGGAGAACAAAGGGGAATATAAATGTTACATGAGGATAATGGCACCGATCTGAAAGCCCCATGGCGAGGAGTCTCTCTCACTCTGTAATTGTCACCAGGCTGTGTCAGTGCCCACGGCAGGGAGTCACTTCAGAGGGCCTGCCAGGAGGAGGGATGTCATATCTGCGGGGGACACCTGCCCACGGGTCAATCCTGCAATAGTGACAGGCGGGCTTCTGCTGCAAGTGCACCTCCGTGCCAGCTGCTGACAGGGCAGGCAATGCCTGGGGAAGAGAAGGTAAGGGGAGACCAGCCTTTTCTGGGTGCCTTCTGTGGTCAGGATGGTGGGTGCAGCACTTCACCTCTCAGCATCAGCTGGGCCAAACCATGTGCAGTTCTCTGATATGACCGGCTCTTATTGACCATCTGTTTGGAAGACATTTCATCTCCCCTACTCCTTGGAGAAACTCTACAGATAGTACACCCTCCAGGAAGCCCTTTCTGATCTCTCTTCTATTCTAGTCTGGGAGAAGTACCTCTCTATGTTCCATATCCTCCAAGAACTTCCTTCTCTCTCACTATAGCTTAACTTGCTGCCTACACTTTCTGAGCTCCTAGAGGCCAGGGACTATGCCTTTTTTCATCTCTTTTGCATCAACACAAAGCACATTGCTTGGCAATTAGCAAGTACTCAGTCGATGCTAATATAGTAACTTTCTAATGCTACTTTCATAATGAACCTGACATACAGCCTGTGAAATAAGCATCGTAACCTTCACATTTCAAATGAAGAAATGGCATGACAGCAGTAACATAATCACCCAAGGACACGATGCTAATAAATCATGGAGATTGAATGGGAATCATTATGATCATGGTGATAGTTTCAGTTTGCTGAGCACCTACTATGTGCTAGGCCTTGTGCTTGGTTCTCACATGCATTATCTTTTGTCTTCCCACTAACCCTGGAAATTATATATTATCCCCATTGCATATATAGAAAAATGAAGGCCCAGTGAGGTTTATTACCTTCCCAAAATTATATAGATAATGTAGTGGTGAGATGGGTTAGGATCTGGCTATGTCTGATAACCTATTTATGCTCCTATTGCTGTAACATGCTTGTTCCCATTCTATTAATGGGAGGGAAGGTGGATTCAAAGAGGGAATAGTAGATGTGGTTGATGAGTTCAGGGTATGATGGTTGAGTGTCTTCAAAGTCAGTGTATGACATGAACAGACAGAGAATTGTATAATCTTCACTGACAGTCACTTGATTATAGCTTAACCAATGGTAGCTTAACCAATGATAGAAGATAATTAAAACAAAGGATGTGTTCCCCAAAGGGGTTGGGTGGTCAGCACAAGAAAGAGTGCGGTCCAGCAAAATTGATCAGTGTGTAGGGCCAGGAGATGCGATGCTTTGGGGCATGAGTGCAGATGCTGCTTTGTTGTTGCTGCTCTTTGCCAGCCTTCTCTGCTGGAGTTTGGACTATTGAGAGGGAGGTCTTCATTGTTGAGTCCCCAACATCTAGCACGTGAATGGCACATAATAGACATTCAAGAAATATGTCTGTGAACAGGCTGGGCGTGGTGACTCATGCCTGTAATCCCAGCACTTTGGGAGTCCAAGGCAGGTGGATCACGAGGTCAGGAGTTCAAGACCAGCCTGGCCAAGATGGTGAAACCCATCTCTACTAAAAATACAAAAATTAGCCGGGCGTGGCGGCGGGTACCTGTAATCCCAGCTACTCGGGAGGCCAAGGAAGAGGTGCTTGAACCCGGGAGGCGGAAGTTGCAGTGAGCTGAGATTGCGCCACTGCACTCCAGCCTGGGCTAGAGAGAGCAAGACTCCATCTCAAAAAAAAAAAAAAAAAAAAAAAAAAGAAATATATCGGTGGGCACAAATGAACACAATCCTTCTGTTCGCTAAAGGATGTTTTCTGGTCTGTGACTAAATATTTCATTGGGTTTTCCCAAGGGGAGGGGAACTATTTTTGACCTCTGCCAAACCATTCTATGTTGTTGCTATTTTCCATGCTCCATGCTGCTGAAGTACTTTTTAAAAAAAAAGATCATTAGTGAGGCATAATTGATACACAGTAAACTGCATATATTTAAAGCATACAATTTAACACATTTTAGCATATGTAGTGACATGGTCTGAATGTGTCCCCCCAAATTCATGTGGTGGAAACTTAATCCCCAATGCAAGTGTTGAGAGGTGGGGCTTTTGGGAAGTGTTTAGGTCACAAGAGGTCCACCTTCATCATAAGTTAATGCCAGTGTAAAACGGGCTGACTGAGGGAGTTTGGTCCCTTTTCCTCTTCTGTCTTTTCTGTGATGTGAGGACCCAGTGTTTCTTCCCTCTGGAAGGCGCAGCATCAGGGTACCATCTTGGAAACAGAGAACAGCCCACACCAGACAGCAGAACCTCCAGGTGCCTTGATCTTGGACTTCCAGCCTCTAGATCAGTGAGAAATCCATTTCTGTTCTTTGTAAAGTACTTAGTCTCAGGTATGTTGTTATAGCAGCACAAACTAAGAGATATGTATACTGTGAAACTGTCATCACAATCAAGATAGCAAACACATGAATCGGCCCCAAAAGTGTTTCTCCAGGCCCCTTTGATTTTTCTCTCCTGTTCCTTCTGCCATCCTGTCCCCTGGCAACCACTGACTTGCTCTCTGTCACTGTACGTTAGTGTGCACTTCCTAGATTTTTATACAAATGTGTGATATGTTCTCTTTCTTGTCTGGCTCTTTTCACACAGTGTAATTCCTTTGAGATTCATCTGTGTTGGCAAGTGTATCATTCCTGTTCATTGCTGAGTGGTATTCAATTGTGAGGATGTACCACAATTTGTTTATTCACTTCATGAACTTTGGGCTGTTTCCAGTTTTTGGCTATTACAGGTGACGCTGCTATGAAAATTCATATACAGGCCTTTGTATGAACACATGCTTTCATTTCTCTTGGGTAGTGGAATGATTGGATCATATAGTGAGTATGTATTTAACTTTTTTTTTTGAGATGGAGTCTCGCTCTGTCCCCCATGCTGGAGTGCTGTGGCGTGATCTTGGCTCACTGCAACCTCCACTCACTGGGTTCAAACAATTGTGCCTCATTCAGTCTCCCTAATAGTTGGGATTACAGGCATGTGCTACCACGTGTGACTTCTTTTTTTTTTTTGTATTTTTAGTAGAGATAGGGTTTTGCCTTGTTGGCCAGCCTTGTCTCAAATTCCTGGCCTCAAGTGATCAGCCTGCCTCGGCCTCCCAAAGTGCTGGGATTACAGGCGTGAGCTGCCGCACCCAGCCTGTATTTAAGTTTTAGAGACATTGCCAACTCTTTTACAAGGTGGTTGTACTATTTTACATTCTCATCAGCATGTGTAAAATTTCCAATTCCTTCCTTCCGATTCCAGTTCCTTCACATCCTCACCAACTCTGGGTAAGGTCAAATTTTTAAATCTTCTCTATTTGAATAGGTGTGTTAGAGTATCTCCTTGTGGTGTCAATTTGCATTTTTCTAATACTAGTTGAAAAGTTGCTAATGCAAATTGGAAATTGATGTTGAGCCTTCTTTTGACCATGAGAGTGTCTAGCCTGAGGAACAAGCCATCTGACTGACAATGGTATGCTGAAAATACAACATGGAGACCATGGGTCCTTGTTAAGGTCATTGAGCTGTGACTTAACCTGTGCTAGAAAACCTGTTGAGATTTGGGTTATGTGAACTTCCTTATTGCCTAAGCATTCTGAGTCAGGTACTCTGCTCCTCACAGTAGAAAGCATTGTCATTGATTTGCTTGGTTTACCCAGCCTCAATCTCCACAGGCTGGAAGGGGTGAAAGCAACAATGCCTTTCAGCCTAAAAAGGCCCCTGGTGAAATGGTCATGGGGATAAGGACACTTACTTAAATTTTGATAGTTTTCCATAGCCCTTATATCTTTGCTCCAAGCTCCCAAGATTGTCGTGTTATCTTTGTTTTGTAGACGAAGAAACTGATATTTCATTCAAATTAAAGTGTAACAGCTTTGAGATAACAGCTTCAAGTGTGACTCCAGTGAGGATGTTTTGTTGGAGCAGCAATCAAAACCCTGATAGTGAAATTTCAGGCCTGAGCCTGCAAAGGAGAGATAGAATTTGAGGGGAATTAGGACTATTTGTGTGTCCTTGAGAAAAGTCATGTAAGAAATTGTGTGCTATGCTTATCTGGGTGAACCTGTGGCCAGGAATCATGGAGATTCTCCTGGATTCTTGTGGGCTCTGCTGGAGAATGACTTTTGCAATTTTAGAATAGTGTGTGATTTCACAGAAAGCCTGAAGATCTAGAGCAGAAAAGAAGCTGCCTCTGACTTGGGGAGAGGTGGTCCCATTCGACTATCACTCTGTTATGAGGATATTTCTAGTTCCAATGAAGAGGCTTTAGAATAAGGGATGTCTTGGGTTGGGGTCCGCAGTTGCAGATCTCGATATGAGAACTTGCATGCAGGTGATTTCTTAAGAAAGTGCTCTCAGGAGAAGCTAATGAAGGAGTCAGGGAGGGAAGAGGCCAAGCAAGGGTGTGATTTCAGCAAAGTCCTGAGATAGGCACCTTCAGCCTGATCCCATAAAGAAGCTATGGATACCCTCAGCCTCAAAGTGGCCATGCCTTGAGGCAAGGGAAGAGGGTGATCAGTCTCCAGCACTCATGGCTGTGGTCACAGTCAACAGCTAAGGGTTGCCATGAGGGAGATACAAACTCTCAGGCGCATCCCACTTTCCTTGAGCACAGGACAAAGTGGTGCCAGTACCTTGAGGAGACTCCTCTCTTGAAAAGTTTCAGGTTAAGGGTTGCAAACACAAAGCACACTGAAGCCTGGGGAAGGATGCTCAGGAAAGAGTTCCGAGGGGATTTGGGTGGAATACGCCAGTGTCTGCCACAGAGGAGGGGGCCCATCTCCTTCAGGTGGGTCAGAAAACTAAGAAGGGAATATACCACACTCCCCTTATAGGTGAGAAATGTAGAATAAATGCAAAGAGACACAGACCTGGAAGGTGAAGATTAGTGTTTGATTCTTGGCTCTCTTATTCATGATGCAAATATCTTGGGCAAAGCAATTAATCTGAGCCTCAGTTCCTCATCTGTAAAATGGAGTCGATCACACATTTACTTCCCAGGGTGGCTGTGAGTGTTAAATCAGACTAAGTGCTGTGTAACCCATTGTTTAAACATTAGGTATCAATGTTTTGTTTTTTATTGATATATAATAGTTGCATATATTTTGGAGGTGCATCTGATATTTTGATAACTGTATACAATGTATAATGGTCAAATGAGGGAAACTGGGATATCTATCACCTTAAACATTTATCTTTTCTTTGTATTGGGAGCATTACAATTCTCTTCTAGCTATTTTGAAATATACAATAAATTATCGGCTGGGCGTGGTGGCCCACACCTGTAATCCCAGCATTTTGGGGTGCCTAGGTGGGTGGATCACCTGAGATCAGGAGTTCGAGACCAGCCTGACCAATATGGTGAAACCCTGTCTCTACTAACATGGGCAGGGTGGCACATGCCTGTAATCCCAGATACTTGGGAGGCTGAGGCAGGAGAATTGCTTGAACCTGGGAGGTGGAGGTTGCAGTGAGCTGAGATCAGATGGTGCCATTGCACTCCAGCCTGGGCAACAAGAGCAAAACTCCATCCCAAAAAAATAAAATAAAAAGTTGTCAGTGTTTTCTAAACAAAGCTACATCCTGAATGGCTAGTGAGAATTGACTTTTGCTGCAAACCAGGCCATTCCCAGGGGAGATTCTGGGTGAAGGGATGTATCCTGATTTGGGTTAAGGCAGAACCAGACAGGCGCAGGGTTCTGGGTCATGGTGAAAGAAAGTATTGTCCAGCTCCTGTGTTCCGGATGCCACAATAAGACATTTGCTTGTGTTATTTTGTTGACTTGTCTGATAATCCTATAGTTATTTTTCTGTTTTACAGGTGGGGAAACTGCAGCTTAGATAGAGTAAGCTGGATATCTCCTGTCCTTTCTCCAAATCCTTAGCCATGTGCTCGCAGAGCTGACCCCTATGGACTGCTTCCATGGGCCCCCTGGTCCTCTGGCTTCTGGCCGGGTTTGTCAGTGGGAGGACAGTATGCCATGGATTTATGCTGTGGGTTGGCTGTGTCCCTCTACTGAAGGCCACAGCTCTTGTCAGCCAGCTGTCCCCAAACAGTAGCCCCTCCTCTCGGCCCTTGTAGCCTTGAGTCGATAAGCATCCCTGCCTGTCATTCATCCTTTAGCTTTCCTCAAGTCCGGCTCTTCCTTGTAAATAGTCCTTGGTTAAACTCTCCTCACCATACTCAGCTTGAGTGAGACACCTATTTCCTGCTAGGAAACAGAAACCAAGTGATTGACCCGGTCAGATGGCTGGAGCAGTGGAGCTGGGATTGGAGCCCAGGTCTCACTTTAGGCCTGTGCCTTTTCCATGCGGCATCATGGAACTGGTGTGGGGGCGGCGCCTGGATGGCCATCAGTGGGCTGATTAGCTGCGGTTCCCATTTCTGCTACAGTCAACACATCCATGGGTCCAATCAAAGCAAGGAAAAAAAAAATCACCATGCTGAGGAAGACAGAGAAGACCTCGATGGGAGGCAGTGAGTGTGACAGGTGGCCTGTCACTCAAGACCTGCATATGACACGTCTGTAAGTGCAGCTTTCCTTAGAAGTCTGATGGATGCTGAGACAGGAATTCCCTGGAGGGTCATGCCATTGTTGGCCAGCTGTGGCATCATCAGCTGTAACAGATGGAGAGCCCTGCACAGCTGAGCTGACCTTTGCAGCAACAGCCCTTCAATCAGTGCAGGACAGTCTCTCTCCCTCACCTGGCCTCCCCATCTCTACCCCAGGTGAGCATTCCCCAACGGAGGCTCTTCCATAGGCAGATGCAGCTGAGGCTGTCCAACAGGGAGAGCCTTTGCTGCCCTGGGCCAAGGAGCTGAGCCTGAGTGGTTTTGAAGTCCAGGGAAGGACTGGGAGAGGCTGTGCTAATATCTAGCAAGGACACTCAGGGCACTGGCCTGAGGCACTGTGGAGGCAGATTAGTAAAGACGCAGGAGGAAGAATCAGGGCCTCAGTGCAGCAACCTCCCCAGTTATTAAGATCCATATGCTTTTGTTCTTCAGAGAAGATTGTCTTGACACAGAGAGAGAAAAGGGAATTTAAGGGCTTAAGGAAAACTACCACCACCTGATGATATTGGCCAAATTTTATTTTTTCAGGACAGCTGTCCCTCCACCCCATTGAAGGCAACTAGCTTCAATGCATAAAACATAAAGTGAATTTATGTGTATGGCTGTGAAAGAGATGCAGAGAGACAGGGCAAACAGAAGGGAGGTGGGGACATTGAGACAGAGAAAGAGGGAAGAAATGAACACAGAGTGACAGCAAAGCTGAGGGTGTGGGGCAGTGGGGTGAGGGCGAGCAGGCATCAGGGGTGAGTTGGGAAGATCCTGCAAGGAGGAGTGTCCTCAGGAAGGCAAGCTCAGCCCAGGGCCAACTCACTGCTCCTCAGAACCCCTTTCAGTTGATTTTGGAGAGAGGGGTCTAGAAGACCCAAGGAGAATATTGACAAGATCAGCTTCCTAACAAAACAAAAGTTGATTTGTCTATTTAATTTCTTGAATGTTGTATGCCAATTATTTTTTAAAGATATATCTTGTTCTTTTATTGTATAAAGCACATGGAACCAATGCTTGACAAGTTAGAAGCAGGTGTCACATGTCACCTTAATCTCCTGAATAAAAAGCCACCCTGGGCACTAGACCTAGACATGGAGATCTGGCCAGAAGCTTGGGGCTGCCACTCACATAGGGTGCAGCCTCAGGCTGGTTGCTTAGTCCCTCTCAATCCACTTTCTTTATCCCAGACATTGGGCACCATAAATAAAGTGTTGCTGAGGAATGAATGGGAGTGTGCACCTCCAAGTGGGAGGTGTATTAGGCTTAGGGAGGACACAGACCCACAACGCTACAGAGTCCTCAGTGCTGGGATCCTCTCCTAGCCACAGGCCAGGGAGGCTCCTGGGGAAGTTCTGGGTTTTGTCCTTGCTGCCCCCAACCCAGTAGGAAAAAAGAAACAAAGCAAAACAGAGACCTGGGATAAGTTCTAAAGGCACCATAAAACATACATCTTCAGTCCTCTCATGTTTAGGGTTCAAACTGAGGAAGCATATATGCAAAAAACAGAGGTGAAATGAGAAAGTACACCTTTATGACTTTGGGCAAATACATTAGGATTTCTAAAATATGGGGCCTCTGTAAAACTGAGTTGGAGACTATGGCTTCTAATTGAGACGAAAATGGATCTTTCTTCCCCTCCTCCCAGAAATGAAGAACAGCAGGCCTGCAGAGCCGGTGCACTCTGACTTACCCACCCACTCAAGGGCTATAGGAGAGAGCTCAAGAGGGCCAGCCCACTCTGGGCCCAGGTGGCAGAAGAGGCGGTCTGGCCTGTGGACCAGATTCATCAGCTCCGTTTGCTGGCTACCCCCATTGCAGCCCCCTAGGTATCCAGACAAGTTCCATCAACATTGAACATCAAAAGATTCAGGATTTGGGTCTAAATAATTTTATTCTCAAGAGGCTCTTGGGTCCTTAGGCCAATATTCCTGTGTCCTTCTTAGAGGAGAAAGACCACTTTAGTCAAGTTAAAAAAGCCCCAGTGGGCCAGGTGTGGTGGCTCAAGCCTGTAATCCCAGCACTTTAGGAGGCTGAGGCGGGCGGATCACCCGAGGTCAGGAGTTCGAGAAGCCTGGCCAACATGGTGAAACCCTGTCTCTACGAAAAATACAAAAATTAGCTGGGTGTGGTGGCATGTGCCTGTAATCCCAGCTACCCAGGAGACTGAGGCAGGAGAATCACTGGAACCCGGGAGGCAGAGGCTGCAGTGAGCCAAGATTGCGCCACTGCACTCCAGCCTGGGCGACAGAGCAAGACTCCATCTCAAAAAAAAGCTCCAGTGTACCCCTCCCACACTGCACTCTTCCTACTAGCTTTACAAGTAAATAATTAAAAGGGCCACTAAAAGTGGTTTATCTAAAGTTTTGTTGTGTTCTTTATAAATATAGAAAAAAGTAGTAGGCAACTTGCGAATAGTAACAGCTTCTCTCACTTAAAAACAGACCCCAGGACTCTAACTCTGCCCCATCAGACCCCATGCAACATCAATCCTCTAAGACCTTAGAAAACTGTAGCTCACAGCAAAGAGAGATCAGAGAAGGCCTCACAGAGGAGGGATAATCACTATGTGTCTTCAGTAACAGAAAGACTTTAGAAAGAAAGAAAACGAGGTGAGACAGAGATTTTCAGAGGCACAACCTCTTTAAGGTGATTCTCAGAAGTGTGAATGCTCCGTGTGTGTTTGGGGGGTGCTGTGTAGACTGTTTTGTTTGGAGTGGAGGATATGGGAAGGTGCTGGCTTTGCTGCAGAAGGCTTGAGACTGGGAAAGAAGGAGTGTGACAGCAGATGTCTGTGACACCTTGTGTTTTCAACCCGACTGTCGTTATCCATGGGTCACCTGAACCCAGTTGTGACTTAAGCCTGACTACCCCTGCATATCTCAGGCATGGGAGTCAATCAATTCTTTGTGTTCAACTTGTTTGAGTTGGGTTTGTTTCATGTGCAACTGAAATTGCTCTAATTTAGCGATGACTGGAGAGACCAGGGGAATGTGTGTATTGGCTCCACGGTGGGAGACACACAGGGCAAGGGATCCGACAGTCTCTGGTGGATTCCTCCCTGTCTGAGACGATCAGAAGTGTTCATGGATAGAGTGTGGGTGGGGAAGAAATACATATAATTCTAGGAACGTGAAGTTGATTTCCAGTCCCCCTGAGTCCTACAATAGTGGAGCCTCAGTTTCACTATTGTAAGATGCAGAAAATATTGAAATATGGATATTGTCCAAGGGTCAGGTGAAACAAAATGTGTGTAGCAGCTTGGGTGCTCTGCAGTGCTATATACACATGCAAGCAGCGAACACAGCAGGCTCTGCGGGCACTGCACTTTTCCTTTGTACGATACTTGTTTTTCATTTTGTTTTCTTCAATAGTAATCATGGTGACTACACTTTGCACACTGGAGTTTTACTCATCTCAGAGGACCATCCCATGTAGCATCTCGTTTTCTTTCAAGAATACATTTTCCTTTGGGCTCAGGTGGCTGCCATGCCAGGGGGAAGTAGCTGGGAGATCAGGAACTGACATTTAGAAATCATCTCATGTTCTGGGCTTCATGCATATTTAACCTCTTTGAATTGTCTCAACAACACTGTGAGGCTGGGATTACCACTTCCATTCTTAGATGGGAAACAGGGTTTCTGCAGGATTGGTTGACTGGCTTTGGGTCATGCAGCTGGCAATAGTGGGGTCTGGATTCAAATCCAGGCTGGAATGGCAGCAAAGTCCCACCTACAAGTGGGAGTGAGAGGGGAATGGTGTTGGCTCTGTTTTGTGGCTTCATCCAAGAAGAGTCCCAGGGCTCCCAGGGGAGGCATAAAGCAGAAGTGGGATCACACTGCCTCCCTGTCTTCAGCTCCACCAGGACCCTTGGGCCTGCAGTGCTGGTGCCTCTGCTGTGGGGTTGGCACGCACCCTCCTTCCTCACCCCTCTACCTGGATCTCTCTTATATCTTCTCGAGATAGTGGGAACGGTCCCAGTCTCTGTGTAATGAAGGCTTCCTTTTCTCAATCTAAATATTAGCAAAGCCACCTCCCCTTTCTCCCACCTCTCAGGAAGGCTGCTCCAAAGCTGTTGACAACTCAGAAGAGAAAGCGACTCAGGCAGCCGCAAACTTTCTCTGGCAGCTGCCTGAGGGAGCCCAGAGCAGGAGGGCTGCCTGTACCTGTAAGAAAGCCAAATACTCTCCAGTTGTTTTTGTTTTTAAGAAAAAAGTTTAAACAAGCCCCCACACACCCTCTTCTTACAGGGAATACATTATAAATGTATCTTTTTCCCTGGGGGAAGACTGTTGGTGGAGTTTGCTCCCCTGCGCATATCAGTGCTGCTAGACCAGGAAGCCGGCCCACACTATGTATATTGATATATATATATATTAATAAAATATTGTATATGCTAGTATAATCCCACCTACTGCACACTGGGCATTGTGCCAGATATTAAAGGCATGAAGGTGACTTCAGATATAATTCTTGATTTTAAGAAGGTCACGGCTCATAAGGATGTGGGATGGGAGACAAACAGGCAAATAGGAGACTGTAGTCAAGGATGACACAAGTTTGTGGAGGGTGCCGGGGGGCATGGAGGGAGGGTGAGATGGTGGATGGTCACCTTGCCTTGGAAGGGAGGCTGGGAGAGCTAGAAACTGAAAAGTGTATAGGAAGTAGGAGCTAGCCCGGTGCAGGAGTGGTGAATAGGAGGTGGGGAGGAAAGAGTGCTCCAGCAGAAGAAACAGCCCAGCCAAAGGCTCAGAGGCAAGAAAGAGCATTGCTTTGGGAGTATGAAAAGATCTTGGCTAGTTCTCAATGTGTTACTCTTTCTAAGTAGGTATGAGGTCCACTCTGGGAACTTTGTGGTTAAGTGTGTGTAAGGAAATGGAATGCTACCGACCAGCAACCTTATGGTGTGTGGCAATTTACAAACCCTTCTGAGGCTAACATCTCAGTGGGGCTTGCAATGGTTCTGTGAAGTAGGGCTGTCTGATGTTGTTACAGTTCCAACTTTACACCTGGGAAAACCAAAGTTTAGGAAATGGTCATGTCCCTTCTGAGATTAACAATGTTCCATTGTTTCCCCACACTTTATATAGGTTTCTTTTGCTGTGTAGCAAATTGACACAAACTTAGTAGGTTTAAATTACACATATTTATTATCTCAGTTTCTGCAAGACCGGAGTCTGAGCATACCTTAGCTGGCTTCTCTGCTTCAGAATTTCACCAGGCTGCAGTTAAGGGGACCCCTTAATGTCTGCCTGTCTCACACTTCTACCCCTTTTTCTATGCAGGAATTCAGGACCAGCCAGGGCAACATAGTGAGACCCCATCTCTATTAAAAGTAAAAAATTAGCCAGTGGTGTGCATCTGTAGTCCAAGCTACTTGGGAGGGTAAAGTGGGAAGATCACTTAAGTGGGGGAGGTGGAGGCTGCTGTGAGCTGTGATTGCACCACTGCAGCCTGCAGCCTGGGCAACAGAGTGAGACCCTATCTCATAAAAAAAAAATAAAAATAAAAAATAAAAAAGAACCTTCCCAGGTGTGATGGTTAACATTGAGTGTCAAGTTGATTGGATTGAAGGATGCAAATTATTGTTCCTGGGTGCATCTGTGAGGGTGTTGCCAAAGGATATTAACATTTGAGTTGGTGGACTGGGAGAGGCAGACCCACCCTCTATCTGGATTGGCACCATCTAATCAGCTGTCAGCATGGCTAGAATAAAGCAGGCAGAAGAAAGTGGAATGAGAGACTTGTTGAGTCTTCTGGCCTTCATCTTTCTCCTGTGTTGGATGCTTCCTGCCCTCGAACATCAGACTCCAAGTTCATCAACTTTTGGACTCTTGGACTTATACCAGTGATTTGCCAGGGGCTCTTGGGCCTTTGGCCACAGACTGAAGGCTGTACTGTCAGCTTCCCTACATTTGAGGTTTTGGGACTTGAACTGGTTTCCTTGCTCCTCAGCTTGCAGACAGCCTATTGTGGGACTTCACCTTGCGATGGTGTGAGACAATTCTCCTAATAAACTCCCCTTCCTATATACATATATCCTATTAGTTCTGTCCCTTTAGAGAACACTGACTAATACACCTGGGCTCTCTGTGGCCAGCCCCACCCATTCTCCAAATTGCAGCTTCAGCTTTAGAAGCCTCCCAAATGCCTCTTGCTACGTTTGTGGTGCTGGTGCCCTTCCCTGTCCCATTCCCACTGTGGCAGTTACCAGGAGATACTGAGCTCTTACTGTTGATTTGCAAGTCTCTCACCCTCTAGGTGGGGACTGAGCCTTCTTTTCACTTTGGCATCTCCAGTGGCTGATGATGGTCACTGTTCAGTAAGTATTTGTGATTGATGAAATTGACCAACTAAGTGATTTGCTTCAAGTCCCAAGTCTATTTAGGGACTTGGTCTCAATTCCAGGTCTTACTTTACTACACCTTCACCTCTTCAATTTCTCAAAAATCCAAATCAAAGTATAGTATCATAGATACCCCTGTTGGAGCTAATTAGGTTGAAAGGGCCAGCTCCCCATAAGACATGATGGCAATGGGTGATAATATATAACATTTAAATTGTGTTATTTTTCAAAGCACTGTGATATTCAATATCCCACAGATTTCCTTCAGTGTCCAACTGGGTTTAGCCCCTCATCTGTAGTTTAAGTAACAGAAGCACAGACAGATGAAATGATTTGCTTAAATGTACACAGAGAAAAGAAACACAAAGCTGTGACTCAATCCAGGGCTTCTGACTCCAGTCATTCATCAAATGCTTACAGTGTGCCAGTTCTGTGTTAGGCATCACTGGGGATGCAGATATAAATAGGATTACTGTCTTACCCACATACAGTTAATGCCCCCTCAAGATGAAAATAAATAGCTAAGATTGTAAATATAAGACAAATTGGCAAGTGTAGTGATGGAGTGAGGCACAATAGGTTTTGAGAAGTAAGATGAGAAATATAGCACCTAGGAGGGGAAGGGGTGTCCTTAAAGTATGCACATAAAGTCACTGAGAGTTAGTAGGCAAAGGAGAGCAGAAAGGGCATTCATAGGCTGGGTGTGGTGGCTCCCTCCTGTATTCCCAGCAGTTTGGGAGGCTGAGGCAGGAAGACTGCTTGAGTCCAGGAGTTCGAGACCAGCCGAGGCAACATAGCAAGACCCTGTCTCTACAAAAAGTAAACAATTAGCCAGACATGGTGGTGCACTCCTGTAGTCACAGCTCCTTGAGAGGCTAAGGTGGGAGGACTGCTTGAACCTGGGAGGTTGAGGCTGCAGTGAGTCATGATCCTGCCACTGCACTCAGCCTGGGCAATAGAGTGAGACCCTATCTTAAAAAAAATAAAAAGAAAAAAACAAAAACAAAAACAAAGGACATTCACGGAAGAGAAGAGCCAGAGCAAAAGCCTGCAGAAAGGAATACTAATATGATGTATTTGGTGAATTTTGAGAAGTCTGGAGTCAAACTGGAGACAAATGGCAGATAAAGCATCTAAGACACCCTCTTTTCTCTTTCTCCCTCTTGTTTCTAGAGCCTCTTCCTCTCATCAAGGCCACCCCCTCCACTTGTCCTCTGAAATCTATCCTCTCCCGCCTTCTCATAGTTTCACTCTGGTGGTTTTCCCTTTTTCTCCTGCATCTGCAGCCTACCTCTCCCTCTCAGTTTTCATTGATTCCTTTCAACCCACTCTGGGCTGGCTTTGACTGCCCACATACCCCACCCTCTGCAATGTGCCAGGACTGGTCTTCATCAGCCCACCCATGACCAGACATGGTGCTGAATTGTTGAATACTTGGGAGCCCTCTCCTTACAGGAGCTCTCGTGCTGTTGAGTACAGCAATCTTTCCTTCCAGCACATTCCCCTCACCGAGTTCCTGGTACCACTCTCTCTGGGTTACTGTTCAACATTTCCAGTTGCTCACTGTCTGTCATTGCTCTTTTGTTGTGTTTCCTCCCCTACTCTTTGCAGTCCTCTGCCATCTTCTCTTCCCCTTATCTCAGAAGTAGGGAAGGGCAGCCTATGCAGAGGCTCTGAGGTGCAGATCTCCTCATGTTTGATGACCGGGCAGGAGAAGGCCTGCATGACGAGAGCTCAGTTGGTGACAGGGTGAGTTGAGTCTCAGCTGATGCTGGAGACATTGGCAGAACGAGGTCATGTTGGCTCTTGTAGGCCATTGATTAAAAATTGCATTTATTTGATAAAATCAGAAGTCTTTAAAGATACTTGAAGAAGCAGGGGACAAATATTATTCTCTGTGTTGCTCTGATTCCTCTGAGGAAACTTGGCAGGAAGGAGCAAGAGTGGAGGCAGAGAGATCAGATGAGGTACATTAAATACAGAAATGACAGTGTTCACTGATGGGCTAAAGGTGGGGGCCGGTCAGTGAAGAGCCGCCCTGGTTTCTCTGTTGTTCTTCTAATAGCACAAAACAATTTCCTTCTCTTTTTTAAGGACAAGGCCAATATGAGGCCAAAGTCCCGATGGATTTGTCCAGTAAAGGAAAAACAGGCCATGCTTAGGTTTGAGCAGTTAATTACTTATATAGTGAAAGGAAAAGCAGCCAAAGATGCCTCTCCCTGTGGTCTTTGTTCCACATACCAAGAAGTCCTAAGCCATAGGGGCCAGAGGACAATGCAACACAAGTGGTGGGATACCCATGGCTGAGTGCAGCAACGTGGTTCTATCTATTCTCAGCCATACCCTAGAGGGGTGGGGTAAGAGGCCTTATAACTCATCAGAACTCGAGAGGTCATGAGAAAGTGCCTCCAGACAGCCTCTCGGGCAGATGGGGAGGTGAGTCACAGGAACTTGAGTAGCCCCTTATAAGCTATCCATCCTCCCCTGTTCTGGAAGGATCCATAAATGTTCCGCCAAGACTCAGACTAAGTTGGGGCTTTGTCTACCTGCTTTAAGTAGATACATGTGAGGTCAACAGGACACCCTGGAGGAACCTAAATTCTTTAGTATCACTTACTGCAATTGGAATTAATATGATAGGAAACACACAGCACTTAACTATGTTCCATGTGCTTTACACATACTAACCCATTTAATATGGTTTGGCTGTGTTCCCACCCAAATCTCATCTTGAATTGTAGTTCCCATAATCCCCATCTGTCATGGGAGGGACCTGGTGGGAGGTAATTGAATCATGGGGGCAGTCACCCTCATGCTGTTCTCGTGATAGTGAGTGAGTTCTCATGAGAACTGATGGTTTTATATGGGGCTTTTGCCCCTTTTGCTCAGCACTTCTCCTTGCTGCTGCCATGTGAGGAAGGACATGTTTGCTTCCCCTTCCACCATGATTGTAAGTTTCCTGAGGCCTCCCCAGCCATGCTGAACTGTGAGTCAATTAAACCTCTTTCATTTATAAATTACTCAGTCTCAGATAGATCTTTATAGCAGCATGAGAACAGACTGATACACCATCTATTGAATCTTCATAGCAATCCTCTGAGGTAGGTGCTATTTTTATCTCCATTTTTCAGATGAGAACCCTGAGTTGCACAGATAATACATAATCTGCCCAAGCTAGTAAGGGGTGGAGCTGAATTTGAACCATGAGGGAGGGCATTATGTCCATTTTGGCCACCATGATTTTCCTAGAGCTTGCAGAATGCATGGCAGGCACATACAAGAAACTCAACACATATCAAGGAGTTAAGTGAAGACTAAGAGAAAACTAAGATTTAGGGTTGATAGATGTAGGACATGAAGGGGTGAGATGGGTCATGGGTCACTCCTCACCTTCTTGCCTGGTGATTACGGTGCCTGTGGTGTCACCAGTTGAGATAGGGTATTAGGAGGAAGAACAAGTCTAAGCGGTAGGTAAGAAACTTATTTTTATATGCTGTTTTAAAGTTATCTGTGGACCAATTGTGTGATGTGGAGATGTTCAGCACATTTTTGTAAATAAAAGAAAAAGAAATACAATTTCTCCCTTTGGAATGCTCACAGAACTATCAGATATAATCACAATTCAATGCTGCAATAAAACTGGGTAGAGAAGAGGGGGAGAAAGTGTGAGAACAGGTGGAGTGAGCCTCCCATTTTGTATAATTCTTTATTATCGTACCTTAAAACTCCTTAGGTGTTGAGGAGGAAGTGGAATCATTGATCAGACCTGAGGAGCTATTCTGGTCTTGACACTTAAGCGGTGGGGTGTCTGGAATTGAGTCTATTCTGGTTAATAGTTCTTCCCAATTGTTCTCCCAATTAGGCAATGTTTCATCTCTCTGTCATACCGGATTTCCTTCTTTTTTGAATAGAGCCTCCCTACAATAACCCACTTTCCTTAATTAACTTAAAATGCTGTTCACCCACCACCTAGTTGATATCTAAGTGATTTTGGTAATCAGATGTCCTGTGGAGGTGGGCATGAGAGAGAACCCATGATGTCTACTGAGACACAGTTCCAACTGGACTCCTTTAAGGTCTTAGGTAGATGAGTTATCACAAGAGATCCAGAGCTCCAAGAAAAGAAGGAAGACCTTTGAGGATAAATACTTCAGAAATGAAGGTGAAGATCACAGTGGGGGAACTTTATTCCTTCCATCATTTCTGACCATATTTTCCTTCATCCTCACCAAGGGAAGTGGGTTTTTATGATGGGAGATTTTGAAATTGGGAGAGGACTTGGAAGGGTTAAAATGGGAGATTTTTGATTAACCTGGACTGTTTCAGTGCCTCATAGTTGAGGCACTGTTTCTGCCTCTTTGGGGCCCCTTGCCTCTAAAAGGATTGAAAATTCTCCCCAATTACTACAGCCTGTTGAGTAATCTTTGCATCACCCTGGCAATCCTGAAGACATGAGTTAATAATTGGAGATAACACTTCCACTGATGTACATGGTTCCCATTTTAGCTGCATGGCAACACTGTGGGTAAATTATTATTTATCCTATTTTATTGAATAAAAAATGGATGCTCAGAATGATAAGAGACTTCTCTAAGAGGATACAGCTGGTAATGGCAGAATCAGAACTTTTTCTTATAATTCTTGATTTTTGGGCCAAAGGTTGTTTCCGCCACACTATAGTGCATTGAAAAAGCACTATATTCCCTGTGTATTCTCATTCTCTTTCATTTACCTCAATGGCTCGCTTTACCTAAGTAGGTCAAGTGTCTGATACGTGGTATGGGACTTCAAGAAAACAGAATTCCCTTTCCCATGCCCACACAAAAATCTGGCCAAAACTAAGAGGCACCTGATATGTGGGCGGGTCACAGTGCTACTGCACAATGACTGGAAGGCAAATGCACAATTGCACGATGCCCAGATAGCCATGTCACGGGAAGAAAGCATGCTGGAGGAGTTGTCAGGAGGCCTGAGCCCCAGGTTTGTTGTCTGCCCATTCCGTAAGCCAGGTAATCTCTCTGGGGTTCAGTCCTTGTTTGTCAATTAGGAAAACCAGCCTGCCCCTCTCACAGGCAGGGGAAAGAACTGGGTAAATCTGTCAGGCTCTATACAGCTCTAAAGTAGTGCTATAATTATCCTAGAGGCATTTGAACCTGAAACCTGATATATAATTGCTTCTCTCCACATGAGAAATATGATGAGACGCTTGCTTGATTCTTTCACCCACTGGGGAACAGCAGTTATCTAGGGGGCATTTGGCTTGGTTTTTAATCATGCACAGGTGTTGTAAGATTCTGGCAGCATAGAGCCTCTCTAGATGCCCCTTTCACAATCTCTGCATGTAGAGACAGAGATAAGATTATTTACACACCATTCCATTATTCACAGCCTCTTGGAATGTGGCATTAAATAATTCAGAGACCATACAAGCTTGGGGATTGAGGTGAAGCTGATAGTTTTGCAGATACAGCATGCAGCAGCCACAGAAAAGCCAATTCCAATCCAAGTGCACGTGGGAACAATTGTTGGGTACCAAATGCTCATCAGAATCCTGGAGAAGGGCCTTCCTTCCCTGTGGTCCAAAACAGACTCTGGATCTGTTGTGGGATGGGGAGCTTTGTCTCTGTGTATGAAAATATCCACCCTCCAGCCACCTTCTAATCTAATGCTCCTTGGAGGCCACTCATAGGAATTCTCTATCACACCTGGTGTAGTCCAGTCCCATACAAGGTGTTTGATGAATATTTTTGATGGAATGGTCTTTGTTTTATTAGCTGCTTGCTGTCCAATAGCAATGGCATTAGCAGAGTCATCAGGAGTCAGAAGACCCAGGTCCTATTCTTTCACCTACTAGTCTGGTGACTGTATTGGCCATGGAAAATCTGAGAGGATGAAGAGCAAAGAATCAAGGGAAAATTGGGTCCAGAGAAGAAGCCAAGAGTGAGGAGGATGCCAAAGAGGGGAGTTTCAGGCAGGAAGTGTGGTGAAGAAGATCAAACAGTAGGCATTTGTGGAGGAAGAGTTCAGGGAAGCAATCACTGAGTTTGGCAGTGAGGAGGTGGTCCATGCTTATCTCTGGCTTCTTAAGTAAAGCCTTCTTTCTCCGCAGGCCCATGAGCATCAGCCCATTTGAGGTCCACCTGATACTTGGCTTCCTGGCTTCTCACTTTCTGCAATTGGCTCCTGGGCTCCAGGACTCCCTGGCCTCACATGCTGGCTCTGAATCCTTTCCCAGGCCTTCCTCTCAGCTTGGCAAGCTGTCCAAACCTTTCTTGGGCTTACAGACCTCCGGACCTCACTCCTTCTTGACTCTAAATTTACTCTTGATTCAGTGCAACCTGCAGCTGTGGACAAGAGGCCCTGCTCCTCTGCTTGTCTCCCAGCCCCATGGAATTGTTATTGGCAGAAGGTGTCCAGGTCCTTGGCATCTCAAACAAAGAATTGGACAAAACACAGAAAGCAAGGAAAGCAAAAGCAGAGATTTATTGAGAATGAAGGTACATTCCGCAGTGTAGGAGTAGCCTGAACATAGGGGCTCAAGAGCCTCAGTTACAGAATTTTTTTGGGTTTCAATTCTCTAGATGTTTCCCATTGGTTACTTGGTGTATTTCTGTGCAAATGAAGAGGATGAAGTGAAGTAACAGAGTCATTTACTCAGAATGTGCCCTATTGTAAATGGAGAGGATGTTACTTAGTGCGCGTGGTCTATGTAAATGGAGAGGATGAGTGTGAAGTTACAAAGTGTAAATGGCGTGAATGGAGAGGATGAAGTTACAAAGCCATTCACATTCCTGTCATTGCTGAAGTGCTGTCATTTGATTTAGTTCCAGGAAGTCAGCGTGGATCGGCATTATGTTCCCTGCCTCCGGGCCCTATCCTCCTGCCTCGGAATCTTCCAAGGCCAGGAGGACTCCTAGTTTCAGGTTTCAGATGGACATCACTGATCACCTCCAAAAGGGAGGCTTAGGGGACTTATTAGTTCACCTGCTAGATTTTATTTTATTATTTATTTATGAGACAAGATCTTGCCCAGGCTGGAGTTCTGTGGTGCGAACACAGCTCACTGCAGCCCCAACTTTACAGACTCAAGTGATCCTCCTGCCTCAGCCTCCATAGCAGCTGGGATTATAGGTGTGTGCTACCATGCTGGGCTAATTTTTTAAATTTTTAATAGAGACAAGGTATCCCTATGTTGCCTAGGCTGGTCTTGAACTCCTGGGCTTAAGTGATCCTCCCGCCTTTGCCTCCAAAAGCTCTGGGATTACAGGCATGAGCTACTGTGACCAGCCTGACCTGCTAGATGTTAAAAAATTATGAGTACAATAATCAGCACTCTCATGTTGCAAGTGACAGAAAGCTGGTGATGGAGTATAGTCGCAGATAAAGCGTGGGTGCTCTGTCAGGTCCTTCCTGCCAAGGGCTGGGGACATGGCTCTATTGGATGAGTGTGCTGGGCAGTGGCCAGGGCAGGCCTGTTGCTTCTCAGAGCCAAAGGAACTTGGGCATTATGGCCTGGATGAAGGATTGAGACATTAAGGGACAGCCTGGAGGTGCAAGCTCAATGGACTTAGGCTGAGAGGCAAGAAATGGGTTCTGTTTTTCGTGAGGAGTGATAGAGGAGCATGGAAAGGAGGGGGGAGTAGGAGAGGCCCTCTGAGGCTTTCATGTGCATTGGTTAGTGTGAAGAGACCACCAAACAGGCTTTGTGTGAGCAATAAAGCTTTTTAATCACCTGGGTGCCAGTGGGCTGAGTCCGAAAACAGAGTCAGTGAAGGGAAATAGGGGTGGGGCCATTTTATAGGATTTGGGTAGGTAGTGGAAAATTACAGTCAAAGGGGGTTGTTCTCTGGCTGGCAGGGGTGGGGGTCACAAGGTGCTCAGTGGGGGAGCTTTTGAGCCAGGATGAGCCAGGAGAAGGAATTTCACAAGGTAATGTCATCAGTTAAGGCAGGAACCGGCCATTTTCACTTCTTTTGAGATTCTTCACTTGCTTCAGGCCATCTGGATGTATTCGTGCAGGCTTGGGCTCAGAGGCCTGACAGAAGCATGTTAAGCAGTGGGGGGAGGTCTGTAGAGGGTGCCTGCTGCCCTGTTAGAACGTGAGGAGGGTGAACATAGGGTGGATTTAGACTGGTCAGGCCTGCGGGCATGGGTTGAGGGACTTGTCTTAGTAATGAACCATAGAAATGTTCCCTGAAAGTATAGTCTTGAGGGGCTGGTCTTAGATAGGAGAAGAGATACCCTTACCTGAAAGGAAGACTGAAGACACAGGAGAATGTTGAGGGGAAGAGGAAGGAGCTGAGGGTGCTGCTGTTCATGGGTAGAAGGGCAGTTTTAGGGGTGCTGGATATCTGTCCTGCCCAAATCTTGTGTTGAAATGTAATCCCCAATGCTAGAGGTGGGGCCTGGTGGGAGGTGTTTGGGTCATGGTGGTGGGATTCCTCATGGATTGGTGCTGTTGTTGCGATAGTGAGTGAGTTCTGTGGGATCTGGTTGTTTAAAAGTATGTGACACCTCCCACCACCCTTGCTCTGGCTCTCGTCAATTGGCACATCTGCTCCCTCCTTGCCTTCCGCCATGAGTAAAAGCTCCCTGAGGCCTCACCAGAAGCAGATGTAAGCACCATGCTTCTTGTATAGCCTGCAGAATTGTGAGCCAATTGAATCTCTTCTCTTTGTAAATTGCCAAGCCTCAAGTTTTGCTTTACAGCAATGCAAGAACAGCCTAATACAGCAAGTTCTGCAGAGATGAGCATGATTCCTGGGTCAGAAAATGCTTGGCCATGTGAAATGGCTAAGAGGCTGGGACTCAGGCATCCAGATGTGTGGCAGGGAAGCTAATGTCACTAACCAGGATTCACATATTTTTGAGCTCCTGTGATATTTCAGGAACTTGACATGGGCTGTCATTTTCAATCCTTAGAACACCATACTACAGAAAATGTATTGTTTTGCAGATGAGAACATGGCAACTTAGAGACGTAAATTAACTTCACCAAGATCACACGGCTGAAAGTGACTGAGAAGAGATTTTTTTTTTTTGAGATGGAGTCTCACTCTGTCACCAGGCTGGAGTGCAGTGGCGTGATGTTGGCTCACTGCAATCTCCGCCTCCCCTGTTCAAGCGATTCTCCTGCCTCATCCTCCTGAGTAGCTGGGATTACAGGCATGTGCCACCACACCCAGATACTTTTTGTATTTGTGGTAGAGACAGGGTTTCACCATGTTGGCCAGGATGGTCTCTATCTCCTGACCTCATGATCCACCTGCCTCGGCCTCCCAGTGCTGGGATTACAGGTGTGAACCACCACGCATGGCCCCTGAGATGAGATTTTTATCTTAATCTTTCTGTCTGCAACAGTCCTTGTCTTTCTACGATGCCCACATAAATGGAACTAAGAGTGACTTTTTTCATCAGCACATCATCACCATAATTTATCATAAACTCCAATAACGACATGACCCAAGCTAGAAGAAAAGAATTGTAATGTTCCCAAATAAGAAAAAAAATGTTTGAGGTGATGGACATTACAATTACCCTGATTTGATCATTATATATTATACATAGGTATCAAAATATCACATGTACCCCCTAAAATATACATAACTATGATATATTGATAAAAAATACAAAAAACCCAACATGGCCCAGCTTTGAAACTACAACAAATATACAGCAGTTACCCTTTATCTACAGTTTTGCTTTCTGTGGTTTCAGTTATCATGGCCCAAAAATATTAAATGGAAAATTCCAGGAATAAGCAATTCATAAGTTTTGAATTGCATGCTATTCTAAGTAGCATGGTGAAGTCTCACACTATCTTGCTCCATCCGGCCCACGACATGAATCATCCCCTTGTCCAGTGTTTCTATGCTGTACGCGCTAGCTGCCCATTAGTCATCTAGCAGCCATCTCAGTTATTAAATCGACCGTCATGGTATCACAGTGCCTGTGTTCAAGTAATCCTTCTTTTACTTGATAATGACCTCAAAGAGCAAGAGTAGTGACGTTGGCATATTGTTATCATTGTTCTATTTTATTATTAGTTATTATTGTTCATCTCTTATGGTGCTTAATTTTCAAATTAAACTTTATCATAGATACACATGCATAGGAAAAAAAACCCAGTACATATAAGGGTTCAGTTCAATACTCAGTTGCAGGCGTCTGCTGGTTGTCTTGTTACGTATCCCCTGAGGATAAGGGCGGGATTACAGTAACGTCATTTATAAGAGCATGAACCACTTCCACTTCAGTGTTTTTCCATCGCTTGTAATTTACTTATTTCATCAAATTCTGATCTTCACAAGATTAATTAACACAGGAAATTGGTCCCCCAGTTGTGATTAAAACTAGATTTTTTTTTTTATATTTCAATATATGCTTTTTTGGGGGCTTATTCTGCTTCCTGCACATTATAGGATTTACTATATTTACAAGGGACTGATTAAAAGAAGAGGATTTGTCTCAGTGACTGTGTGTCTCCTGTTACTACTCCAAGCTCAGGCCTTGCCATGTGCTGCAACCTGCACTGATGGACACGGAGGACAGGGATGAGTGTGGACAGAATGCCTGCAATGTGCCAGATTCAGAACTGACATGGGCCAGGTGCAGTGGCTCATGCCTCTAATCCCAACACTTTGGGAGGCCAAGGCAGGAGGATTGCTCAAGGCCAGGAGTTCAAGACCAGCCTGGGCAACAAAGCAAGATTTCATATCTACAAAATAAAAATAAACATAAAAATATTAGCCTGGCATGGTGGCATGTGCCTGTCTTCCCAGCTACTTGGGAAGCTGAGGTGGGAGAATTGTAGGAATTTGAAGCTGCAGTGAGATGTGACTGTGGCACTGCACTAAACAGCCTAGGTGACAGAGTGTGAGACACTGTCTTAAACAAAATAAAAAAGAAAAGAATAACAGACATGATCTCATTTCACTCTCAAAAAAATAAATAAATAAATAAATAAATAAACCTGGAAAGTAGGTCTTGCTAGTATACCCATTTTGCAGATAGGGAATAGCATGTCTAGTAAATGGTGGTACCTGGTCTTGTCTGAATCTAAAGTTTATCCTTGTCCCACAGCCTCTTGGTCCTAACCACATTTCTTTCAAAATGCTTCCAGGCATTGGATGTGGAAGATCTGCTTTCAAACTGCATGGATAAAGGTTGGAAATATCACCCTCCTAGCTTAAGACTTAGGCTTCCTCTGCCCAAACACTTATCAAATTGATTGTAGTGGCTGATTTCATTGCTTTTCTTTCCTGCTAGACTGTAGGTTTTATGAGGCAGGGACTCAGTTTGTTTTGCTAACTATGAATTCTATGTCTCTGGTACATTGTAGGTGCTCAAGAAATATGTGTTGAATGAATAAATCCCATTTTATAGCTGAGGGGCCTCCATTCCCAAGAAGTTAATAAAATGTGGAGTCAAGACTCAAATTTACTCCCTGCCTCAGAGTTGGCCTACTTCCTACTCTTTAAAAGGTTTTGGGATGAGGTGTTGTTGGTGTTTGTGAAGAGGGAGGAAGAGGCCAAAGTTAGGAATACATAATTAAACAGAAATGTCCTGGGGAGACTTTTGTGTCAGCCCCTCTTCTGAGGGTCACTCTGATAAGCCAACAAGGAGAATTCCTTGTAGCAGTAGAGCTACTGCGTTGAGGAAGAGGCAATCCCAAGGCCTGTGTGCCAGGAGGAGGGCAGCCACTGATTAGAAATGTCACAGGGGCTGGTGCTATCTGATCCCTATTTTCCTAAGCTCCTGCTATCCCTAGAGACTTTAGGCTGCATGGGGCATTTTGGAAGCTGCTCACTTTGGACCACACAGTCAAGTAGAAAGAGCCAGAGCATTGGAGATGTGGATAGAGCCCCAAATTCAGACCCTGCCTGTATCCTCTGTGCCTTTTTGTAGCTAGTCATTAATTCTTTGAGCCAATTTCAATAACTCCAGCCTCAAGTAACCCTGGCTTCCATCTGCCCCACCATTCCCAGGATGGCACAGAGGATGCATTAACAAGCCATCATGAGAGTGAACAATTGAGGCAGTTTGTCTTATAATGTGGGCCTCGTGTTCTCCATTGACCTCCTGGGGCTTCAGTCCTCATCCTAGCAACAACTCACTAATGGGCTTTGCTTGGTGTCACATGGTGGCACATGCATGGGACAGAGAGTGGTCTTGGAGCCAGCTGCCCAGGTATGAATCCCAGCTCTCCCCCTCTACTGCTTCATGACCTGGGGAAGGTTACCAATGGCCCACTGCCTTCCCCAGTCTGCAAGACAGGGTTAGGAAGGAAATCTCCTGCAAAGGCCTGATCAGAAAAGGAAGTGAAATTTTATATATAAAAACACTTACCCATGTGGCTGGCATATGGGAAGTTCTCAGTTCAAGTACTGGCCTCATGGGCTTTGGACTATTCCAGGTTAAATGAGATAATGATGACAAAAACACTTTGCACAAAATTACAGGAGCTGCATGACATCCTGTGCACCATGGGACCCTGTTGTCAGTTACCCAGGGGCCCCTGAACCAACAAGAATTTTCAACCTTGTGACCATGTATTACTTGTCTTCTCTGATCATAATGACAATCCACTACCTTGCCAGTCCTGCAAACTCTTACTCATCCTTCAATATTTGTGTCATCTCCTCCAGGCGGCCTTCCTTGACTTTCCCAGGCATTGTTCCTTGTTCTGTCTGCTGTTTACAAAGCCCTTGATATACATGTCCAGACTCACACAAGTTTCGTGGTTCTATAATGGTCTGGGTAGTGCTGGTTTCTCTAACCCCAAGGCTCTGAGCTCAGAGACTCCAAGCTCTTGGGAGGGCTCACCAATTAATCCCACTCAGCTCTGTACCCAGCATAGGGGCTGGCACATGGAAGGCCTGTAATTCATGCTGTCTTTAATTGAAGTCTGATGATTCGCAGAAATAATTTATGAAATTTGAAAAGAATTATCTGATCTTTTGCAGGCCTCAGTACAGTACTGGGCTATGAATAGAGATTTAAATTATTCGCTTTCTTAGACTTTTAAAAAATCTTTTTATAATGGAAGAAAATGCAGTAACACGTTGTGTGGATGTATGTAATTTTTTTTTTCCTCCAAGAATTTGTTTTCTGCCTCATTAATAGAAATCTCCCACACATTGCAAGAAGAACCTTTTTCTCCCCCTTGCCAGGAAGGACAGCTAAGAAATGACTTGTACTTGTGCATTTTTTTTTCCAGTGGGCATGGAATAGATAATTGCTTAAAGCTGAATTTTGGGCTGCTGATAATACAATTAGGGTCTTGGGCATAATTGTTCCTGCATAACCTGATGCCTTTTATTCTCCATGGTTCTGACTTCTGAATCTGGTTCTCTTGGCAACAGCGTATCTTTCTGTGGGAGAAAGGAACACAGCCATTTGGGGGTATTCTTTACTCAGCAGATAAGAAAGAGGTAACACCTGAGAAAATAGACAGTAAATTGTGGGTATTGCTGGATTAATAATTGAGACTTTTATGAATATGCAGTTACATCAATGTCTGAAACAGAAATAAATTTCCCTGCAACTGTGACGTGAGCCCAGCATCTCTTTCCTCCCACCAGTTACTCCTGGCATGTCAGAAAATGAGATATTGAATCATCTCTTTTGTGCCTTGCACTCTAGCCACATGACACTGGCAGGCTGAGAGGGGAGGCTGAAGTTTGCTGCTCGCTAGGTTAATTTATAATCTTCCATTTTCTAGTCTTCTCCAAGGACTCAAAGGAGAAGTGGCAAGGTGCTATGAAAAAAGCTAGAACTGGGTGATAGGACGTTTGGGTTACAGCACTGGACATGAGAGGCCACTCTATTCACCACACTGAACCTCAGTGTCTTAGCCTGGGATGAGGAGGATGTGGGTTTGAGTCAGAGGGTGCAAACCATCGGCCTAAGGGCCTTAACTACCCTCAGACTTGTGTGTTTAGCGTAGAGAGTACGCACACAAAAAAAACTGAGTTACTTGTCAACACTAAAAATTTAGAATAGGTTTCATAAAACACCAAATTGCTGCCTTCTTTTGGTAACGGAGAGATCTAGAAGTCGTAGGTCCACATTTCTGCAACAGAGCTGGAACTTGACAGTTCTTTTCATGAATCTCCTTGGTTTACCACAATCCCCACTGCTCCCTACTGTACTACACTGAAGTTGTTTCCCTCATTTATGTGGCCTGCCTAGCCCCTAGAGGCATTCAGTTTATGACCCCTGGAGCTTAGGGATCTTGAAGTTCCCTTCTAAACTTGTCAATATCTGGCTAAGACACATGGGTCCTTATTTGACATCAGTTCCCATTTTATGGGCCCAGCATGCTTCCGCTGCACAACTCTGCTATCTCAGTTCCCATTTTTGGATGCAGAAATTGAGGTTTGGCAAGGACAATGACCACATCCACGGTCATGAGGGTTATCAGTGGTGGAGCCAGTAATAGGACTGTGGACTCTTGGCTCCCAGTCAGTGGTCATCTCTAAGAGTTGTACTTCAGTTTCCTTCCTGGGACTGCCTTGGTCCTGTGTCTGTCTACACCAAGAGAAGATCAAGATGTGCACATCTAAGATGAAATGATCTTTACAGACCACTTGGAATGAGCCTGAGTTATCACTTAGCAAAGCATTCTGGAGGCAAAGCTGCCAGTTCAGATCGAGTTTGAACCTGAGAAAAACCCCAATCACTTTGGATAGTTAGAAAAATACCAAATCTTTACATGTTGAGCACTTAGCAATTTTTATAGTACTTTTGACATTTAATAGCTCCGATTCTTGAATTGGTGAATTGTGTGTAAATTTTGACTCTGCTGCTTTCTAGCTCTGTAACTTGGATTCTTGGTTTGTAACACAGGGATGGCAGTATGAACTCCTGACCTTATGTGGTTGGTATGAACGCTCAATGTGCAGTGTTGTATGAAGCTTGTGTCACCTGCATAGCACAGTATCTGGCTGATTTCAAGACCTAACTGTATACACAGGACTTGCTTACTGTTTTCCAGACATTCACTCAGTGATTAATATTATCCCAATTTACAATTATAGAGTTGAGTCTCAGTGCCAATAAGACATTTTATTTAAGGTTATGTGGCTAAGAAATATTAACATTCTGCATAATTTCAAATCATGTAATTTTTTATAACACCCCAGTTGTTCCTCCTCATTCTCATCCTTATGTTGTTTCCTTTATGAAATTCTGAATCAACTCGGAATTGAGTTTCAGTTTTCCTTCTGCAAAAGGAAAGGATTGCACCAGATGAACTTGAAGGCCCTTCCCAAGCCTGAGAGTCTGTGATTTCACTAATGAATAAAGAGGAAAAGGATACATTAAAGAATGCTTATCCTTAAATTATAAAAAATATAAATCTAAATTTTATTTTATTTTATTTTATTTATTTATTTTGTGAGACAGAGTCTCGCTCTGTCGCCAGGCTGGAGTGCAGTGGCGCAATCTTGGCTCACTGCAAGCTCTGCCTCCAGGGTTCACGCCATTCTCCAGCCTCAGCCTCCCGAGTAGCTGGGACTACAGTTGCCTGCTACCACGCCCCGCTAATTTTTTTTGTATTTTCAGTAGAGATGGGGTTTCACCGTGTTAGCCTGTATGGTCTCAACCTCCTGACCTCATGGTCGGCCCATCTCGGCCTCCCAAAATGCTGGGATTACAGGCATGAGCCACCGCGTCCGGCAATCTAAATTGTATTTTACTCCATTCCTTAAAAAAGGATCAGATAATTAAAATAATTAGCATGAATATAAGAAAGAGTTATTTTTTTTCTTACATTTAATTTTCATTTTCTCTTTTCCGTCTCCCTTTAAAAGTTCGTTTGTACAGGACAGACATTGGGGACTGGTCAGAAATCTCTCCTTCTGTTCCATGCCCTCCATTTTGGTTCAGAAAATAGTTCCAAGAAGCCATTATTGACAAAGATTAGCCCAGGGTTCCAGGAACAAAAGCCCAGATCCTTGTATTAGCACTCCCACAGCAGGGGACAAAAGGGCAGTGACTACAAAAGGAAATTTGAACACACCCTCTGATTTTTAAAATTAGTCTCAAGATCTGTTCCTTTTCTTTTTTTCGGGGGAGATTATTACAGGCGTAGCAATGAATAGTCCTCAGTGATTTCCTTTTCCTTTTTTTTTTTTTTCTCCTTTATTTTGGTGGCGAAAAAAATTGTTATATTTAGGATTAGTCAGCTGGACTCTGTTACATGATCGCAATTTTGCTGGTAATATCCAAAGCATCTTAGGGCAGATCAAATGCACTCCTCTTCACTCAATCAGACCAGATCAGGGTGTCGACCTTGGCCAGTCAAGGTCATAGAGCTTCATCACAGCTTGTTTGATCTGGTGCTTATTGGCCTTGATGTCTACAGTGAACATAAGTGTGCTGTTGCCTTTGATCTTCTCCATGGCCAACTCCATTGTCAGGGGAAATTTGATGATGGAGTAGTGGTCAGGCTTGTTTCCCCTGGTGGTGCTCTTAGAGAATTTGGGCTGCCTTGAGAGCCACAGTATCTTATTCCACTGAAATGTGGATGATATGCAATTTTCATTTGTTTTTTGGCATGAATGTTTTTTAGCACTGCCTTCTTGGCCTTTAAAGCCTCTGTTTGGCTTTGGTTTTAGGAGAGGTCAAAGCTTCCTTCTTTGTGTTTGGTTCTATCTTTGTGAAAATATCCTTTTCTTTTTTAAAATAACTTTTCTCCATCTATAAAAGTAAATAAAAAAATAGTATTATTTGTGGTAGAAATTGTAGAAAATAGTAAACTTTAAAAAAGTTTTTTTTTTTAAATGGTGAGCATATTCCCAGATAGAACCATGATATAAATATACTTATAGATACTTTTTCCTACCATTTATTTTTCCTGTAATGAACATATGCCTTGCTGAATATACAGATTTATATTCAGGTATTAAACTTAACTTTAGTTGTGAACATTTCTCCCATGTCAGCATATTTTTAAAAAATGACTTTGATGACTGTATCCTTCAGGCATGGATCTACTGCGGTGTACTCCTTTTTATTTTTTTCTTTGAGACAGGGTCTTCTCTATCACTCAGGCTGGAGTGCATTGGAGTGATCTCAGCTCACTGCAACCTCTGCTTCCTGGGTTCAAGCGATTCTTGTGCCTCAGCATCCTGAGTAGCTGGGATCAAAGGCATGTGCTGCCACACCCAGCTAATTTTTTGTATTTTTAGTAGAGACAGACTTTCACTATGTTAGCCAGGCTGATCTTGAACTCTTGGCCTCAAGTGATATGCCCGCCTTGGCCTCCCAAAGTGCTGGGATTACAGGTGTGAGCCACTGTGCCTGGCTTCGATCTTTTGTTCCCTATTTAGTTTATAGTTTTTCACCAACATAGATGATGTTACCATGAATATGCTCTACATTTATCTTGATTTACATGTCTGATTATTTCAGCTGGTAAGTATTTCTCAAGGCTTTTATTGTTTTAAATCTTTTTATTTGTTATTGATATGTAATAGATATACATACTTTGGGGTTATGTGTGATAATTTGACACACTGGTGTAATGTGTAAACATTAAATCAGGGTAACTGGGATATCCATCACCTTAAATATTTATCTTTAGGGTAAGGACATTCAAATTATTCTCTTCTAGCTCAAGACTTTTAAAGTATTGGACTGAATGTTTCATTTGCTCAACCCAAATCCTAATGATCTTGCTGATTCTGTCCTCTCCCCCACGCACTGCCCTTGGAGGAAACCCCAAATTATTTGGCAACTGTTTAAAGCAGGGTATGATATGGCTCCTTTCCAGCCACTCAGCCTCTTCCTCACACTGTCCCCACATATAATTGATAGTTCTGCCGGTTTTAACTGTCTGCAGCATCTACCTCACCATGCTTGTTCACATCTCTGTGTTTTAGCTCAGTGCTTCCCAAACTCCAGGCATTTAAATATCACTTTCACAATGCTGCCACTTTCGTATACCAATGGAACCACTATTCAGTTAATATTTATTTTAAGATTAATTGTTACTTACAAAGTAGACTTTGAGCAACAATAGGTGTGAGAGCATGGGTTTGACGTAGTAGATGTGTGTATGTGAGCATATGCTGTGTGCATAGTTTTTTCCTAATTCATATGAAAATAAATGTATAACCAAAGAAATAAAAGTATAAAGGTTTTGGCTGGGCATGGTGGCTCACACCTGTAATCCCAGCACTTTGGGAGGCTGAGGCAGGCAGATTGCCTGAGCTCAGGAGTTCAAGACCAGCCTGGGCAACAAGGTGAAACCCCGTCTCTACTAAAATACAAAAAATTAGCCAGGCATGGTAGTGTGCCCCTGTAGTCCCAGCTACTCAAGAGACTGAAGCAGGAGAATCACTTGAACCCAGGAGGCAGAGGTTGTAGTGAGCCGAGATTGTGTCACTGCACTCCAGGCTGGGTGACAGAGGGAGACTCCATCTTAAAAAATATATATATATATTATATATATATAATATATTATTTATATATATTATATATGTATAATATATTATCTTATATATATATATATAAAGGTTTCTGTATACCACCTAAAATTATCTTCCATGATGGCACACAATCTCTATATTGCAGAACACTACATTAGTTCTGTCTTCCTGGTATATCATTCTCTCCTGATAGACTAACTGCTATTCATCTCATGGGTCCTAGGAAAGATGCCCTGACCTTAAGTTTAAGTTAGATCCTTCCTTCCTTGGGGTCTTTGAGCATTTTGTGCTTTTTTTCATCTCAGCACAAAAAATTGCAATTGTTTATTTATTTTCTTTATCCCTAAACAAGCATTTATTGAACTCCTATATGTGCCAGCCTCTATGTGAGAATGTAGTGATGGAAAAATAATTTTTTTTTCCTTTGAGAAGCTTAGAGACTAGTGTTGCTTCTGCTTTGGCAATGGGAACCCAGAGAAAAACTTCCAATCTAGTCCAGGACATGGGCTAGATTGGGGACTGTGTCAGGAAAGGATTCCAGGTAGAGGTAACTCTGAGCTGAGTTATAGAGAATAATAGGTTAGTATACATCTATTTAACACAAAAGAAGGCAGTAAAGGAGAAGCAGAGCAACAAACATGACAGAAACATATAGAAAATAAACAACAACAGGGCAAACATAAATCCAATCACATCGATTGTTATATTAAATACTCCAGTTAGAAGGCAGAGATTGTAAGACTAGATGAAAACATCCCAGGATCTGACCATATGGTGTCTACAAAAGAACCACTTTAGACTCAAAACACAAGTAGGTTGAAAGTAAAAAAAAGTAAAAAGATATATTATCAAACAGTATCCAAGCTGGAGTGTCTCTACTAACAAGCTGGAGTGGCTATAGTAGCATTAGACAAAATAGACTTTAAAATAAAATGGATGTTACTAGAGACAAAGATATTTAATAGAGATAAAGGTTCAATTTATCAGGAAGCTATAAAAATGATAAACATATATGCAACTAACAACAGAGCTCTAAAACCAAAAGGATTAAAAGGTGCAATAGAAAATTTGACAATAATAATTGAAGATTTCACTACTTACTCGCAATAATTAATAGAAAATATAATAAGCAAAAAATCAGGAAGGACATGGAAGAATTAAAATGACACTACCAACTAACTCAACTAACATGACTTAAATGACTTCTGTAGAACACTCCACTCAACAATAGTAGAATGTACACTTTTTTTGTTTTTTTAAGAGACAGGGTTTTGCTCTGTCACCCAGGTTAGAGTGCAATGGCATAATGATAAATCACTGTAACCTTGAATGCCTGGGCTCAAGTGATCCTCCAGCTTCAGTCTCCCTGAGTAGCTAGGACTACAGCTATATGTCATGATGCCTGGCTAATTTTTAATTTTTTTTTTTTTTTTTTTGTGGAGTATGGTCTTGCTGTGTTGTGTTGCTGGTCTTGGACTCCTCACTTTCAAAAGATCCTCCTGCCTAGGCCTCCCAAAGGGCTGGGATTATAGGCATAAGCCAGTCTGCCCAGCCCCAAAATACACATTCAAGTATATATTAAATATTCTTTATGTGCTAGGCCATAAAACAAGTCTCAGTAAATTTAAATAAATTGAAATAATACAAAGTATGTTTTCTGACCATAGACGAATTACATTAGAAATCAACAACAGAGGAAAATTTGAGAAACCAGTCCTCACTGGGGTTTGCAGCCCAAATTCACCCTCTCTGGGTCGTTCAACAAAATTTTAAGCCAATAAATTAATTTTAAATGGCTCTAAGTTGATAGAACTTTCAGAAGACTATTATAGGGAAATACAAATTATTTCTGAAAGAACTCACCTTTAACTCCGGCCTCAAAGAATTCCCACTGATAAAGTTCCAAGAAATATGAGCTGATGTTAACAGTCACAAAGTCATCCCCCAACACACACACACACACACACAACAAGGCATCTTGAGTGAGAACCAGTAAGAATAAATAACAGACTGTGAGATCAGATATTGAAGTTATCTGGGCCAGGTTACCCAGTTAAGATGTTTCTATATTGAAATAAATAAATAAATTGAAAATGAGGAAAGCATAAGAACAACAAATGTAAATAATTAGATTTGAATAAAAAACCAAAACAATTTCTATGAATGAAAAATAATTGAAATTAAAAACTCAATAGATAGAATTTAACAGCATATTATACACAACTGAAGAAAGAATTTACTAGAAGATAGACTTACAGAAATTACTCAGGGTGTACCAATTAGAGATAAAGAGATGCAAAAAAAAAAGGAAGCAAGATTAACTTGTGTGGGATTTAAATGAGAAGCTGTGAACATCAGTTTACAATTTCAGATGGAGAGGGGAGAGAACAGGGTAGAGGTAATATTTGAAAAAATAATGGTTGTGAATTAACCTACGTTGATGAAAGACACACATCTGCAAATGTGGAAGTTCTGGTGAATCTCAGGCAGGATAAAATAAAATAAAAAACACACCTAGGCACAGCCTGATAGAATTGCAGAATGCCAAAGAGAGAAGATCGTAAGAGCACAGAGAAAAAACATACAGGTAATTTACAAAGAAACAGCAAATACACCAACAGCTGATTTCTTAATAGCTACAATGGAACATAGAAAACAGTAGAATAATATATTCAAAGTGCTATGAAAAAATAACTGATAATTTAAATGTCTCTCAAGAATGAGGAGAAAAGAAAGGACTTTTTTAGATAGGCAAAAACTGAGAAAATTGACCACCAACTAACACTCAGTGAAGTAATCATGAAGACTGTATTTTAGGCAGAACAAAAATAATTCCAGATGGAAGGTTTGAGATGCAAGAAGAAATGATGGTAAGGAAAGCAGTAAATATATGGGTAAATCAAAACAAACTTTAATAATATAGAACAGTAAAAATGATATGTTGTGGAGTTTTAAAGAATATAAGTAAAATACACAAGCATAATAGAACATAAGATCAGAAGGGAGTGAAGGGAATAAAAATGTTCCAAGATCTTAGATTCTGAAATGCTAAGTGTGCTAAATAAACATTTTAGAATTTCTAGGATAAGCTAGAAATATAGGCCATAACTTCTCATCCAGTAGATAGAAATACATGGAATGAGAAAAATATCAATTAAAAAGTAAAATAATATAAGGAAAAGGAGCAAAGGAAACATGTAAGATACACATAGCACAGAACTTAATGATAGAGATAAACCCAAGTATATCCACAAGTTCTGTGAAGACAAATATTATCATACTTGTTTATGAAAATCTATCAATGTGATATTCATAATGACCTCAAACATAGGACATGAAAAAGACAAAAATGCCCATAATTATATTCTTGGCAAATACTACACAGAAGAATTTGGCAAAACTGTTGCAATATTAGGTAAAAATTAGTTTAAGAAAATACTTTTGCTAGAGATAAAGAGATTCACTATATAATGAAATAAATTTCCATTCCTAGGAAGATATAACTAATTACGCTTGTATCTATCAAATTACATAGCCACAATCTATATGAGGCAAAGATTGACAGAACTAGAAAAATAAATAGATAATTCCCGCACCACAGGAGATTTTTAACACTTTACTCTCAATAATTGATAGTGTAAATACCCAAATCATCAGTAAGGATAAGTAAGATTCGGACAATACAATTATGAAGCTTGAGCTAAAAGATACATCTAGGGTGTTTTACCCAACAATTGCAGAAAACAGCTGTTTTTCACTCGTTCAAGGAGCATATGAAAACTAACATACATTAGGCCACAAAACCAAGCAAAACATTCAGATATTTGGTATCATAAAAACTATGTTTTCTGACTTCAATGAGAATAGCCAAGAAATTGTTAACAAAAATATAACTAAAACCCTCATATGTTTGGAAAACAAATCTTTGATTCTGTGCAACTCATGCGTCCAAGAAGAAATATTTAGGAGAAAATGATATAAAAATATTCATTTTGAAAACATGGTATGCATCAAAATGGTTACTTGGAAGTGAACTATAGACTGAAATGTTTGTATTAGGAAAAGATAAAGGCCAAACCATTAGCTAAGACTCCAACTGAAGAAGTTAGAAAAAGAACAAGAGTAAAGGGCTAAACAATTAGCTAAGATTCCAACTTAAGAAGTTAGAAAAAGAACAACAGGGTAAACTGGAGAAGGAAAAGCGCAAAATAATAATGATATAAACAGAAATTAATGACATTGAAAATAAAAAATAGCAAACATCAACAAATCCAAAAGCTGGTTCTTTGAAAATATTAACAAAATGGACAAACCTGCGGAATGGGTGATCGAGATAGTAAAAAACATTTAAAATACATATTAAAAATATATTCAGTGATAAAATTTGTAGCTTACATTAAAAAGATAAAAAGGACATTATGAACAACTTATGCCAATGTATGTGAAAACCTATATGAAACAGATACATGTATTTAAAAAAATCAGCTGGTGGTGTACTAAAAGGAGGATGAGAGCAAGTCTCCTCCCAGGGGGAGGAGACTTTCTTACTGACATTGTTTAGAATTGCTAGAATATGGTGTTAATAAAGAGCAGACACACATTTTGTCAACTTTACTGAAGATTTTAAATTCTCTACAGGTAATACACCCCTTATTCCCTGCAACTGGGGAGGACTGATCTTACCTCCTCTCCACCTCCCACCTTAACACTTTACAGCAAACAAAATAAATGAATACCAGCTGTATACAACAATATGCACTCACTAGCTATGTTACTTCATCTGACTCATTTAATTTTAGAGGCTTCAGTTTTATCACGTGCAATACAAAAGAGAATTGTAACCACCTGAGGATTTCAACAGTTTAAACATCTGGGTCTCTTTCCTCTGCAAAATGGGAATAATAGGCTCTGGCTTCCCTTCAGTGGTGTCCAGGCAAAGATTTAAAAACTGTCTTTCTAAAAGCAAACAAATAAGTTACAACAGCAAGAACAAAACAACAACAACAAAAACCCCTGATTTGTAGCATTTGCAAATTTCCATGGTGTAAATACTTCCAACAATGGTAGCCAATTTTAAGCTACCAACATGAAGTCACTTGACTACAGCATTGGGATGAGGTGTGCACAATCAGCTTTCATGAGCTGGTCTGAGCCAGCTCCAGCATGTCACTGTCAGCCTCTTTATGTAGTTGTCAGGAACTAGCATGGCTGCCAGCAGCTGTCACCTCAAATGATGTCATAAGAAGGATAGCAAAGTTTGACCCCTAAATCAGACAAAATTAAGTTTGAAGTACAGCTCTACCTCTTACTAATTATAATCCTGGTTAAGTCATTTTGCTTTCTGTGCTGTAGTTGCCTTACCAAGAAAATGAACATAGTAATAGTACTTACAACCCAAAGTCCATTTATTCAGTCATTCAACAATGTTACTTGAGCAAGATGATATGACAGGCACAGTGGTAGGCATATGGGGAGGATTACATTGAAGTGCTTAGCTAAATGTCAGGTGCCTTAACTTCTCTTTACTAAAAGATTTCTCCTATATTTATCTTTGGCTTATGCTGCAAACTTTCCACGTGTGATGTCATCTACTCCACTGCATGGTCTGGATCTGCTCACACTTGGGTAACTTCCTAATTATAATCTCCCAGGGCACTTCTCCTCTGAGCCCCAGATCCTTGTATCCATCACTTACTGGCCACCTCCCTTGAGGCACACTCATTATGCCCCCAAATGAACTCATTATCTCTTTCCATCCACTCCATCTGCTCCTCCTCCTGGGTTTCTTCCTTTTCTCAGAGAATGAGGCCACCAATTCTCCAAGTGCCAGAAACTCTTCCTTAAAACCTTCCATGGTATAGTGTTTCCTTCCATATTAAAAGGAGCTCCTCCCACTGCTGTGCTCAGATGGGAATGCTAGACTGGATCCAACCACAATTTCAAGCTTATCTTATAGAGTTCTTGTCACAATCAATATTTTTTAATTAAATGAATAAACTAATGGTGAGAATTTCATGCACCATAATGGGATTTGAGGGAAGCTATTTTGGGGTGTAGAGAGAGTTATTGATCTCTCTGAAATCACATCACTCAAACAATAGTACATTTTATCTTGTACTATATTAAGCTGGGGCTTAATAGACAATAGAATTGGCTGAAAATTTATTTTTTATTCATTATTTTACCCAACATGCACATTTTGAATACCCACTTATATGGTTTGGCTCTGTATCCCTATCCAAATCTCATCTCAAATAGTAATCCCCGTGTGTCGAAGGAGGGAAGCGATTGGATTATGTGGTTCGTTCCCCCCCATGCAGTTCTTGTGATAGTGAGTGAATTCTCATGAGATCTGTTTTATAAATGGTAATTTTTTCCTGCACGCTCACACTCTTTCCTGTTGTCTTGTGAAGATGTGCCTGCTTCCCTTTCGGCCAGGATTGTAAGTTCCTTGAGGGCTCCCCAGCTATATGGAATTGTGAGTCAATTAAACGTCTTTTCTTTATAAATTATGCAGTCTTGAGTAGATCTTTATAGGAGTGTGAGAATGGACTAATACATCCGCTCATGTGCCAGATGCTTTTTTGGGTTCTGAGGATATGGAGATGAGTGGAATACGAGTCCATGGATCTCATTATCTAGTGGAGGGGAAGATATGTGAAACATAATGAAATGTGCACTCTGAGGAAGGGTTGTAGGAAGTGCTCTGTGCACAAAGAAGAGAGAGTGACAACTTCTGCCTGTGAGAATCAGGGCAAACAGTACAGAGGTGGTAATATTTGTTTGGAACCTTTTATAATGTGGAAGAGTTTGCTAGTTGAAGACAAAGTGAGGGTGAAGGAGAAAAAGGAAGTCCTAGGCAGAGAAAACAGCACATGTATAATACGGAGCTGGGAAATGTTCTCTCATGACATATACAAGTGTGTGCATCAGGAATGAGGCCAGTGTGGTCCACGAGGACCAAGGGCTGTGTATGTCCAGTTCAGGGGTTCTCATGGTCAGCATGCATCAGAATCATCTGGACATCATCTAAAATAGAGGACTTCTGGATCCACTTGGGCCTGAGGACTCACAATCACTGGGGTGGCAACTGAGTATCACTATGTAGAAATTCTCCAGAGGTGATTCTAATGCAGACTCAAGCCTGAAGGTTAGCAAAGTTCAGCGCACTGTCCGTGGTCATAGAGAAAGTGGCAGGAATGAATGTCCCACTCAGGTCCCTGGGGGTGATTATTAGGAATCCTGAGGTCCAGGGGCTATTGGCCTCAGCTGCCTTTGTGGGCAGTGAAGCTGCCTGCTGGACTCCACAAAGTGTCACAAATCCTGATTTTCTTCGAAAGGCAGCGATTTCCCTTGTCTGCCTCCAGGAAGGACTGCAGCTGATTCCAAAGACTGGCATCCTCCCCAGCCTCATTGGGTCCTTAGATAATGACAAATCCCTTTCATTTGCTCCCCATTATTTCATTGTAAATGAGAAAGTAATAAAGCAAGGCTGCGACTGGACTAATTAAATCAGCCATTTCTAATCCCATCGATCTAGGGAAAGAGAGTTGTGGAGGGTGGAGAAAGAGGCTTTTGATTCAGAATAAGGCAAATTCATTTCTGTCACAATGTGGGTGTTGAGGACTGAGAAAGAAACAGCTCTGGACCTGGGATCTGAACTCTGTGGGAGGAGAGGCTCAGCATGCCTGGGGTGGAAGGCAACCCTACTCTACCGGGCGCAGAGGTGGAGCACCAGATAAAAGCACATTGTTTTCTTCTCAGGACAAAAGGCACACCATGAGAGGAGAGGCTGTCGAAGCGAGAATCTTAGTCTTTGTTGCTGGGGGATGAACATTGGGGGGTGGCTAATCAGCACCAAAGGTGGCAAAAATACATGGATAAATACATAAATTTTTAAAAAGAGACCTGTAGGAAGCCAGCAGGTGTGATTTTCATGGGCTGACTAAGCAGCACTGGTCAGGTTGAGTTTAGAAATGTCTTTTCTGTTGTTTTTCTGTGGAAGATCGTTTTTGTCAGTCACGTGGACTTGCCCAGTTCCTCCCAGCTGTGGTCTCCTGATTCATCTCCCTGGCCACCCCATTCTGAACTGCTCGCAATCCTTTGAAGGTGCCAGAGAGATCCATACCTGCTTGATTTTATTCATGCTACACTACCTGCCTGGGAGGCTCTTCCCTACCCCTTCCTCTGGAGTGTCTCAAAGTGTCAACTGTGTACCATTTACCTTAGAAAAACTTAGGAATTTTGCTGAAAGTGCAGAACCCAGACCTTAGCACATTCCTGGTGAATCACTTTCTGGAGGCTGGATCTCAAGGATCTGGATCTTGGCAAATATGATGGGTGATTCTTAGTAGTAATACCAGGGTGTGAGAACTGCTGGCTGCCCTGTTCTTTCTGTGTGGGAACACCTATTCATCTTTCTCTTTACTCCTTCAGCGTGTAGAAATAAACAGGGCTCCCTGTTGCTTTAGGCTTAGAAATGGTCAAAAGCATTTTTATTTGATTCAAGCTTGTTGTAAACTTCTGCAGAAAGAAGACAATGAATTGTAATGTCCACCTCGAAAACGAACAGATTTTATAATGGTTGGAGAACAAATATCTAGAGAGAAAAGAAAAAAAAGTTTATTTTAAACTGGGCAATTTTGACTTCAGTTGTGCCTGAAATGAATAATAGTAAGTAGAATTTATGAGCTATCATTATATCTTTCCTTAGCCATATTTTATGACTTTCCAAAGTAAGCTAAAGCATATCTTACAAACTTTGACAACCACACAAACATAAAGATTTACAACTTAGGTGAGTAAAGGCTGACTCTGTAATAAAATAATTTGACTGTAAAAGAATGCTTGCCTTTTAGTGGACATTAGTCATGTTGTCTGATTGGCAACCTCTCGATGTTTGGGGGGAAATTATTGTTTTATGAGTTTCACATCATCAACACAGAATGAGCAAATTTGATTTTGCAGCCTCCCTTGCAGCTCAAACCCAGACCATTTACACGTTTAACGAGTTCCACTGATCGTTAGCCCCTGCACAAGATGGGATTTGAAAGTGAGAAATAAAAATCTGACTCTCTACTGGCCCATTTTGCTGCAAAAGGTCATGGCAGAAGCACCAGCTTTGGGAGGGTCCTGGGTGCCCATCAGGTTCCTGGTTCAGAAGTTCCTTTTGCTGAGGGCCTTTGGTTCCTAGTGTTGAAGCTGAGCTACAGCTAAAAGGCAGTGAGAGCTGGAACCATGGTTTCCCTAGCAGCCATTCAGGATGTTCCTGAAAGCTTAAGCTCAAAGTTGACTCACCAGCTCCCCTTGCAAGTCTCTGAGTTACCCCTCCTTCCACCCCACTTTCTCTAGTATCACCTTTAGTACAATGATCAAAATCAGGAAATTCATATGGATATAATTCTATCACCCAAATCTGTAGACATTTATCAAATTCTGATTAATATCAAAATTGTCCTATAAAGCAAAAAAAAAACAAAAAACAAAACAAAAAAAAAAAAAAACAACCAAACAAACAAAAAACCAAAACCCAAAAGACAAAAATAAAAACCAAAAAACAAACAACCATTATTTTCTGTTTCAGGATCCAATCTAGGATTACATATGATATTTTATTGTCATAAATCTTTTTTTTTTTTTTTGAGACAGAGTCTCGCTCTGTCCCCCAGGCTGGAGTGCAATGGCGTGATCTCGGCTCACTGCAAGCTCCGCCTTCCGGGTTCACGCCATTCTCCTGCCTCAGCCTCCCGAGCAGCTGGAACTACAGGCGCCCACCACCACGCCCGGCTAATTTTTTGTATTTTTAGTAGAGACGGGGTTTCACCGTGGTCTCGATCTCCTGACCTTGTGATCCGCCCGCCTCGGCCTCCCAGAGTGCTGGGATTACAAGCGTGAGCCACCGCGCCTGGCTATTGTCATAAATCTTTAGTCTCCTTCAATCCAAATAGTTCCTCAGTATTTATTTTTCTATAACGATATTTACACTGGTTCAGAGTGCAAACAGGCATTTTATTTTGTAAAGTTTCCTCAGTTTGGGTTTGTCTGTTATTTCCTCATGATTTAAGTCATATCATACATTTTTGTCAAGAGTACCACAGAAGTGATATCTTCTTCTTAGTGTATCATATTGGGAGGCACACAATGTTGATCAGCCTCATTACTCCTGGTGTTTCTTTGATCACTTGATTAAGGTGGTGTCAGCCAGGTCTCTTTCTCTACTGTAAAGTTACCATTTCTCCTTTTGTAATTATTATGCATCCAAACTTCTTTCAGCAACTTATTTACTGCTTTATCAGTCAGAGTTGGCTTCTGTTGCTTGCAACTAAGAGCTCTGACAGTGATATCTCTTTATAATACAAAAAAAGGGAAAACCATAGAGGACATTTTCTGCTTAGGATCAACATCAGAACATGGTTAAATCCTGCTTGAGACCTTCATTTCAGCTCAATTAATCAGTGTTTAGAGCAGAAACTTTGGTTGTTTTCTTATCAGCATAACCTAAAATATTTTATAGCACATCTGAATAACAGAGCACTTTTAATCCAGGTGATTTGCCTCATAGATTCCCATTAATTGAAAGCTGATTCTCTTCTTAGAGGAAGACTCACATTTCTGATGAATCTTGTGTTCTCTCAAGGAAGGGACTTATCTTATCCTATAATCACAAATATAACCTGTTCTAAGAATCTTTCCTGACTGCTTCCTGGTGATAAACACCTTCTCTGAGGTCCTATTCTGCACCGTGCAGATGTAACACCCAAAAGCCCTTGGGCCTCTCTGAGTAGACTGCCACCTTTGAGGGCAAGAATTTACCTTTTCTATGTCGGCATGCTCAGCACTCAATGCAGTATGTCCCTGGAATAAGTGCTCAATGGATGTTTGTTGAATCAAAGAATCTATGTAAGAAGATATGATTGTGGCAAGTTTGGCGTAGCCCATAGGGCATGTCCTTGCAAAGTATTTAAAAGACTAGGTTTTCTCAGCTCTGGTGGTGCCCATCTCTTCATATTCTCTTGCACAGTGAATCCTATGGCCCTTTGGAACTATTATGGGGATTTAAGCAAAAAAGTGGCATGACTGTGTCTGGGCTTTGGACAACATTTCTTTGGCTGCATTGCAGGATGAATGGGAAGGCCAAGACTATGGGCAGGTAGACTTGGCAGGTGATTCTGCAGTGGTCCAGGCATGAGATGCAGAAGGGTGGATAGAAGCAAGAGATAATTTATAATCTAATAAAAATGCTACAACTTATCAGTGGCCTACTCTGAGCCAGACTGTTGCATATGCTGTTTTTGTTCTTCATAGTAGCCCTGAACATTGTGTTTGACACCCCCGTTTCTTTCTGAGGAGGGAAAGGCTGGTAGATTTGTCTAAAAACACAGCTAATGAAGGTAGAGCCAGTGATTAATTCAGAGACATCTGGCCCCAAAGCCCATGCACCTTCGTGTGGATCTCATACCTGAACCCAATGCTGATCTGATGGCCTCTGAAGACTGCCCTCCTTTCAATGTGGCAGTGACAGAAGAGACACAGCTTTGCCGTACCAGTGCTGAGCCACCTGGAAGGACAAGAGGGATGTTGCAATTTAAATGTGTGGCTGCTGCTCAAGGGGATGAGAGAAAGAGACAAGGCCTGTGGTGTTGGCTTCTGCATGGGACTGCAGTTCGGGCTGAGGATTTCTGCTCCCCATCTGCCCTTGTCCAGGATAGGTTTTGCAAATGTAGCCAATTGGAAATAAAGCAGCTGCTGCAAATTCAGATGTCCCCTATGATCTGGGAAAGAACCATAAGAGTCATCTGTACAGCAGGGTTAAGAATGGGCATTCTGTAAGGTTTCTGCTACTTGAAATTCTGCAATTCTACAATTCTACAAATTATCTCCAAGTTTTTCTCATTTCCCTTGGTGTTGCTTCTTTTTCCAATGTTAACTAATATTTCAGGAAACCTTGGTTTTTGAAGCTTAACCTTGTAATTTCGACTATTTGGCAGAGTCCCTGAGCATTCATGTGATATGATAATTTGTAACTTTATTGAGGGTAAGTTTGAATTTCAAGGGCTGTAAGATCAACTAAAAGCAAGCACCCAGCTGGTGAGTGAGCCTCAAGTGGCCCTATTGCCACTCGCCGCAGCCGTGTGGCATCTATGTGCTATCATGTAATAATTAAGAAGAGCTGCTACCATTCTCAAGCATGAATTCTGGGCCAGACACGGTGTTATGCTCCACATGCATTGTCTCACTTACTCCTCACAAACACCTGGCAGAATGGTAAGTGTCTCATTTTTGCAGAGAAACGGAAGCTCGCAGGAGCTAGGTAATTTTCCCATAGTGTCACAGCCATTAAGTGGCAGAGCCTTCACCATTGTTTCTTTTCAGGCTTAGGAAGGTTCATGGTTGAGGTGACTGCCATTAGGATGTCAGAATTCCTATATTGAATCAATATTGAGTGGGCACCTACCACGTGCCAGGCACTGTTCTATGGACAGTATTATTATAGCACTGAACAAAAAAGGACAAACAACTCTATTCTCACAGAGCTTTCATTCAAGTGGGTGGAGTGGGCAATAAGCTACGTAAACAATAGACATATTCTGTGTTGGATGGTGACTGGTGCTAGGGAGGAAAATATAGCACGGAAGGGGTACAGTGGAGGGCAGGGGTGGTTGGGGTTGGTGGCTCAGTTTTAAATAAGGGGGACATGCAGGGATCCCCATAGAGAGGGTGACACATATGCAAAGACTCAGAGGGCCACAAGGAGAGCACGTGAGCGCCAGTAGGCCAATTAATTCTACTCACCTCAGCCTCCACTTGGAGGGTGTGGGAGGTCACTGGAAAGTTTGCAGCAGACAATGCCTTGCTGTGACCTGTGTTTGGAAATAATTACTGTGGCATGTGGAAAATTGATGAAAGCGGGAGAAAGACAGGAAGAAATGAGGAGTCCAAGTTGGAGGCTCTTGCAGGCATCCATGCGAGAGCTGACGGTGGCCTGGGCAAGTGGATGTACTTTGAAGGCAAAGCCAGCAGAATTCCCTGTCTGATTGGATGTGGAGTGCAATGTTGAATTTATTTCAGTGACAGAATTTATTTAAATAGATTTTAAAATGTCCTGCATGGTTTCCCAAAAGGGTCACTGGAGGTCTAACCGGGTCTCTTAAATATTTTGATGATATGTTACTGCATTTGGAGAAACAATTTGCCACCACAAATGTGGGGACTAGCTAAGGTCTTGGCTTGCAGTCCTCACAGATGTCTACAGTGTATGTGACTATTACCTGATTCTGGGCTTGGGTCAGGGACAGAGACCAAGAAAATTCTGCCGGGGATCTATGAATCGGAAGCAGCAGCTCATCTCGGAGGAGGTGAGGAGCCAGAAACCAATTGGGAACAAGCCATGGTGGTGACAGCAGCTTTCTGCGCTGGGTAAACCAGGAACCCATTGTTCCAAGGAGAAGATGCCTGTGGAAGGGGCGGGGGTGCGGTCTTGGCAGCACAGACCCACAGATGTCTTTAATTTTCACAGCAGCAGATTTAAGAAGGGGAGTATGGCTCAGAACCATAAGGGCAGGACTGGGGAACCCAGACTGTCTGTTCTGGTAACCAAGCTGGTGAGAAGGAAACTTCTCTGAATGGGTATTATGGTCAGTAATTTGCTTAGTCTGGCCAGCACACAGAGATTAGTATCCACAGGAAGTGTGGTTCTTCTTGAGCGTCTGCAATAGCATTTCCGAGATGGACAATCACTTAGATTCATTTGGGGTCATTTGGGGAATGTGCTCTAGACTTAAGAGTTCAAAATCCTGATTTTGAACTTCTGTTCTGCCACCTTCTAGCTGAGTGACCTCGGATAAATCACATAACCTCTTCACACCTCTGCTTTTTAAAAAATTATACTTTAAGTTCTGGGGTACATGTGCAGAGCATGCAGTTTTGTTGCATAGGTATACACGTGCCATGGTGGTTTGCTGCATCTATCAACCCACCATCTACATTAGAAATTTCTCCTTATGCTATCCCTCCCCTGGACCCCCATGCCCCAACAGGCCCTGGTATGTGATGTTCCCCTCCTTGTGTCCATGTGTTCTCATTGTTCAGCTCCCACTTATGAATGAGAACATGTGGTGTTTTGTTTTCTGTTCTTGTGTTAGTTTGCTGAGAATGATGGTTTCCAGCTTCATCCATGTCCCTGCAAAGGACATCCTTTTTCATGTTTGCATAGTATTCCATGCACACCTCTGCTTTTTAATCTCTACAATGGGGTAGTAGAATATATCGCTGATCACCTATATTGTATGCCCCATTTCTGCTGGGGGATTACCCTTGTGAACCCATGATTTGCTTTGACCAATGAAACGTGTCCAAAAGTGACATGTGATACTTCTGGGGGAAAGCTTTAAAGAGTCAGTGCACGGCTTGCCATGTTTCTCTTTCCTAGTCTCTGTGACTGTGGAAGAATGGATCTAGGCAGAGTCTCCATCAGCCTGGGTCCCTGAGGAATTATGATGTGCAGAACTCCCTGCTGACCTGTGGTGGTCATGTAAGTATGAGTGAGAAATAAACTATTTCGCTTTAAACCTTTAAAGATTTCTAGGTTGTTTGTTACCACAGCATAACCTAACCTATCCTGACTGATACAAGTGGAAATGATAATCTCATCATATATATAGCGTAGGATTGTTCTGAGAATTGAATAATTATTCCCTTGTTCTGGAACAATTTCCTTCACCACTCTAGGCTCTTCTTCACTTTTTAGGTATCAGACAAAAAGTCCCTTCCTGAGAAACATCTTTCTGGCCTTCAGTGAGTTAGTTCCCTCTGCTGTTAAAGCCTCCTTTGTAATCTTCATCTCACCTATAACCCCTTCTTGTATAATCTGTGACAACACTCTTCTTTGACCTGTAAGAAGGTGAGCCCTTGCCTGTCTTGTTCATATTGGCCCCCATAACCTTGTACACAACCTGGCACAAAGTAAGTGCTCAAAGATTAAGGTTCATGACCAAGAAATGGAGTGGCTGGCATGGGGACAGCAGCCTTCTTTTTCTCTTGTCACCACCACAGCTTTGTTTATATTTCTCTTCTCCCCTCAGGGGCTCCATATTTGAAAATATTTCTGTCTACCAAACAAACTGCATTTATTATAAAGCAGTACATTTGACCCGTTCGTTATTACTCAAAGACACATGTAGCTGCTGATAAGAGCTTCTGATCAGCAGGAGATAATCACCATGGCCACATCAATGAATATAATTCCAGCCCCAAGCAAAGCAAACAGATGTTTGCATTTGTACAGCTTTACAGGGCCTTTAGCTAACAGTTGCTTCAACCAAAAGGACATTTAATGTTTATGTAACTAGAGGTCCCCAGGGAGGCATTTTCGGGGTTGGTTAGGAAGCTCCACCACATCTTTGAGGATTTTGGCAGCTTCTATCTTTCCCTGCTGCCATCTTCACTTTCTCTCATGCCTGTTGCCTCCTGGTATTTCCATGATGTCTGCAGCTGCTCCAGGAAGACTGAGTGCGTTGTCAGGGTGAAGGAGCAGAGCCAGGAATCTCTCGTCTTCTGTCTGTTGCTTTCACCAGGAAATCAAAAGCTTTCCCAGAAACTCCTCCTCAGACTTTGCTGTAGGTTTCTTTAGGCAAAGCTGGATTCCGGGGTCACCCCTAGCTGCAAGGGATTCTCGGGAAGTGGCTGGAAAAGGGCCTGGGAATCCTCCTGAGCCATCCCCTGGGCCTGACATATGGCATCCGGGACAAAGGGCAGGCCCATGGGCAAGGAACAAAGTCAGGAGAGCGGTTTCTGGGTGGCAATGAATAGCATCTGCAGCACCTGCTGCGGGAATGAGGCCTCGTTATGTCTTCCTCATTCATTTAGTCAAACCCACTCAGTTACTAGGGAAGGAGAGCAATGCCCAAGGATGAGGAAATTTTCAAGGGCTCATCTTGATTGAGGGGCAGATAGAAGTTAGGCTATCAGTCCTCAAGATCTCTTCATTCTTTTAAAGAAATAATCGAAAGAGGCTCATGATCCTGTCAAGTTGCTCAGTACAAGCAGAGAGTCTCATCCTGCAGGCCATGTGGGGAGAAGAGCACAAGGTAGGTAGTCGGAGTTCCGGTCCCACTTCTGCTTCTATCTAGCTGTGCCTTGTTGGGCAATTATGTAATGCACTTTAGGCTTGAATTTGTTTCATTGGCCATATTATTTAGTTTGATTTTACAGATAGGGAAATTGAGAGCTGGAGAGGTAAAATAACATCCCAGGGTCACATGGCTAGTGAGTGGTGGGGCAAAGTCTTGAACGCAGACCTCCTGACTTCCTGTTTGGTCCTGCCCTCGATAGATGTGTCTGGGAGAGCCTCAAGTACTCCCTGAGTAAGGGGTCAGGGCTGGACACCCTCCCCACTGTTTAGGACTTAATTCACTGTGTTAGGAGGAGTTATTGATCAGTTTCATTTGTTTAAAAAGGGACTTACAAAACTTGGCTCTCAACTTGTGTTTATAAAGTGGCTCTTTGGTGAATAGATCTGGATACTATTAATTATTGCAAAATGCTGTGTTTATGTATCACCAAATCACCCACTGCTGCAATGATGCAATGGTAGGAACGGGGTCCTTTTGATCTTTAGTAACAACAAAGAATGTCAATCCTGTAGCAATATTTCCTTCACCCATCTAGACATGTCTCTCCTGAGGAGATTTCTTCCTTTTTTTTTTTTTCACTGCAACCCCCGCCTCCCAGGTTCATGCCATTCTCCTGCCTCAGCCTCCCGAGTAGCTGGGACTACAGGTGCCCACCACCACACCCAGCTAATTTTTTGTATTTTTTTTAGTAGAGATGGGGTTTCACCATGTTAGCCAGGATGGTCTCGATCTCCTGACCTCATGATTCGCCTGCCTCGGCCTCCCAAAGTGCTAGGATTACAGGTGTGAGCCACTGTGCCCAGGCTCCTGGGGAGATTTCTTTTGTTAAATACAGATTACAGGGCCGCACCCCTTGGAAAGCCCAGAAAGGGCCTACAAAATTGTACCTTTACAGAGTTTTTATTGGAGATTCTGAAAATCAGCCTAATATTTCAATCACTGTGTAGACAGAATGCAATTTCTCAAAGCAGCCCTTGAACACCTTTGAATTGTTGTTTATTTGCTTTGCTCTCAAACAAAATGTGCGTTAGTACCAGGTGGAAGGATGTGATACAGTGATGACCAGATGGTTCAAACTTCTGAACTTCTCAGAAGCATTGTTAACCATGGAGGTGGTTTGCTTTTGCCTTAAATGTATGTAATTGAAAACATAGATAGAGTTCCTCATTAAGAGAACTAAGGTACTTTGAGTATCATTATTCCATTCAAATCGAGAATGCTATCAAAACAACTTTTAAATAAATGCTAAGCTGAACTCATGAAATATTATCAATGATCATCTTAGGTCATTGATACATGAGGTAAAGTGGTATTGGACAGTGCCTGAGATATTTTTTGGTTATTTATAATTAGGCAGGCATGGTGGGGTACAAGTATCTGCAGGGTAGAGATCAGGGATGCTACTACATATCCTACAATGCACAGGACATCCTTTAAGTTTGGCATATGAGTGTGTGTGTGTGTGTGTGTGTGTGTGTGTGTGTGTGTGTGTGATGCTGGTCATGCCATCTATGACTCTAGGACAGTCTTGGGGGAATTTATGTCACTGTGAAACCTTCTGCTCTCTTTAGGCCCTGTCTGGAAAGACTTTTGGTCTCTACTTCTCTTTCATTCCTATGTGGCCATTAGAAGCACTAGGTATATAGTCATCTGTCTCTTTTCTGAGTTCCTAGAGCTGTCGACACCCCCTGTGACTGCTATAATTATACAGGTGTGGCCTGTGGACTGCTCTTTCCCAAGGCGAATGACTAGCTCTGTCTACCACTCTTCTTTCTTACTTGGTTAAGAGACCTCACTCTTACCTCCTCTGGCCTGTGTCATAGCACCAGCTTGCAGTCTCTTGTCAATCAGGGGTTACTAGAAAATACTTTCTTCTGTTTTTGAAAGGCTTAGGAAAAAAGCCACAAATTGGAAAATTTCAACCAAACATAGGAGATGTTGAAGGCATAGGCACCTATAAGTGCACATTGCAGAAGCTGATGGCGGAGGCCTGCATAGGAGTCAGGCATCTTGGGTTAGAGCTCACTGTTCACCATCAATTTGCTGAGTGGCCTCGGGCAACTTACTTCCCCTCTCTGGTCCTAACTTTACCCTGGATGGCTGAGAAGAGTTCTCAGGTCCCTTCCTGTTCTGATATTGAAAACTCTGAAGTTGGCACAAGTTTCTCTCCTACAAAGACCCACAGAATGACCAGAAAGGACACATCCTGTGAGCCACAGCCTGCACTAGTGTTTTCCTCCTAAGTATTAAGAGGAATGCTCAAGCTTCTCATTCTGGCAGAATCGTATGCCCACGCCGATGGATGTCAATTCTGGCATTTATTAGAATGCCGGTAAATCTTGAAGACAATAAATATCTCATTACTTTGCTGATGATGTGTCTTTAAGTGCTACTTCAAAATGCCCGTCTTTGCTGTGCTTGATTTATAACACAGACTCATTTTAATCTTGCAATCTTTCATTTTTTGTAAGCACTTTCTTGGACCCTAATCAGATTTCTATACATTCCCTAGAGCAACTGGCAATGAGGCCAAAGAGGTATCCCAGGGATGGTGCCACCTTACATCCAGACAGGTTTGACATCTGATTTTCTGACCTGTGATTTCGACTTTAATATATCAACTTTAATATCAGGCAGGCCTGGATCAGTGTTCCATATCCCGTCTCTGTCAGGGGCTAGCTGGGTCATCTTAGACAAACTAACTTAACCTCTCTGAGCCTTAGTCCCCTCACCTGTGCAATGGGGATGATGGTTTCTTTGCAGATCTAAGGTAAAGAGGAAATGAATTGACAGATGCAAAGCATCTATTCTGATGGCTGGAATAGAGGCGATGCCCAGGAAGTGGTGAACTAGGAAACTGATTATTACTCTGAAGAAAGAATTCAGAGCTCCTTCTCAGAAAGCCCTGGAGGCCAATGTCAGGGGTTGTAAATCAACTCCTCTTCTGTTTTAATACTGAATTAACAACCAGGCAGGGGGATAAATGGAACATTTAAATATTTAAACCAAACATTTAATTTTTAAACATGAACATTCTTTTTATAACTTGGACTGCTCTTCAAGGCCTGTGGAAAATTCCCTGAGCCTCTACTGTTGGCCCTCCTTCATGGTTCATGCTAAAGAATGTTGCTAACCTTGGATGTCTCTGAACTTGACAGGGGATAATACATTTGTTTTATTCAGAAGAAATCACATTTGTGTCCTAATAAAGAGATTACTGACAAGTTTATTTAAAGAAAGGGGAATAAATATCTGTATAATAATAATAAAACTAAGTCTGATGAAACTGAAGAAAATTATATTTCATGTGACGCTCTTGATTCCTGCTTTCTGCTGGAAACTGTTCTTGGCTTTTATATTATTTATTTTAAATTGCACAAAAAACTCTGCAAGGTTTCATTTATCATCATCTTTCTGTCCATAAGCAAACCGAGTTTAGATGGGGTTATAAAGCAACACAGCGTCGTGTGTTTTGGATGATGGACGTGGATGCTCGGCCCAGCATTCATATACTCTTCTTCTTGCAAGAACCTCTGATTTTTGCTTGGAGATCCAGTCTCCTTTCCCTCTTTGCTGTTGTTTGTGGAACGAAATGCCAGTACTGCTTTTGTGTGTTCTAGATCCTATGACCTAGAACAGTGGCCACAGTGAATGGTTCAGGGACAAACATGTGAATGCATTAGAGCCAAGAGGTGCATGAGATGTTGCTGGGAGGTTGGAAGAGGGCATTGAGGCTGCTCTTGCTCATCTTACCACCAGGGAGGGTCTGCTGAGGAGGAGGCTGGTAGGAGCTGGAAGAAAGAGATGATAGCTAGTCTGGTTGAATCACTGAGATCATCATCTCCCTTTAAGTAAAGGAATTCCTCTCCTCTGCTCTTTAAGACCTGTTTTTTTTAATTTTTTTTAGGTATTACTTTCACCTAATTAATTAATTAAATAATCTTCTCTGGAGCACCAATTATATTTTGAGTGCCCTGTAAGAGCCATGTATATCTAATCTGCTGCAGGTCTCACTAATCTCTGACTACAAAATATTACAGTACTTTCTGTTTATAACCAAATTACTGCATGAGCTCATCCTTCCTCATCTGGCTGATGTCTAAGCCAAGTATCCACAGGACATTGCCTGTTTTTGGGGCACAGTGCTCCTCTGAAGCTAATCAGTACCGAGTCCCATCTTGGCCTTGATAAAGGAGGCCACATCTCTATTCCCTCGTATACCTCCTCCAAATGTGGCACACACATTTCCATTGCAGTTGCAGGCAACTGTCCTTGGAGTCTAGGGGCCTAAACCCCATCTCATGGTCTCTTATGCAGTTGCTGTGTCCCCACTTGGCTCTGGCTTGCCCTGTAAGATGGCGGAAAGCATCCCCTAATCCTCCAACCAACCCCTTCTCAGGACCTCCAGGGATCTCTGAGTCTCTGGGCCAGCCCAGTGACTCCTGGGCCTCTGAGAGGCCTGAAGGTTGTTTTCAAAAGAACAATGGGTGGGCACCTACCTAAACTTGCAAATCTATGACGATCCTTTCAGAACAAGGGGAGCAGTTTGTCCTATAGACAGCTCCCCAACCTAGAAGGCAGAAATCTCTTCAAAAATTTTAAGTGGCCATTTTGATAGCTTCAAAACAAAATCCAGAAGAAAAACCAAACCTAACCAAGCAGCAACAGACATAACTGCAATAATGACTGGACAGCAATTCCAGTCCAGTTCCCACGGGCACCTTTGGATGGACACACACATGGCTTTAGGGATGGGACTTCCTTCTCCCACAATTCCTTCCCTCCTACTTACAGTCTGTCCTTCAATTCAGACTTCCACACCCAAGCACAGAGCCGCCTTCTGTGAGAATGTGATTTTTTTAAGTGAGTAATACTCCATTGTCTGTTATCAATCTTTGTTTTATTGCAGAAAATCTTTCATCTTTGCATCCGCCAGTGAGTTTTGGCATCTCTCTCCTGGCCTTTAGCACATTGGACCTTAGTTTTCTGCCTGACTTTTCTCCTCTACTCATCCTTAAGTGTCTTGAGGTAGGGACCCACCTTGCTGGTCTTGGGGATCCTCCTCGGGGCTGAACAGGATGTTCTGCCCTATTACCTACTCTGGGTTTAGAAGGAAGAGTCCTGGGTTTCTGTTCCAACCCTTCCGCATTTGAGCTGTGTGGCTGTGGGCAAATCACTCACCTCTGGGAACTCTTATTTCCTCAGCTGTAAAACTAGGATAACATCACTGTAGTAAAATGAAAAGTAGTTACTATTTTTCTTACTTCTCTACATTTGTATTCTTTGAAATGTGACTTTGCAATTTTTTCCTTCAATGTTGGTGTGTGTGTCCCTACCGCTATAGTTGGATCAGGCTTTTTGACTTGCTTTTGTTAGTGGAATGCAGTGGAAATGACAGTGTGCCAGTTTGGAGTCTGAAACTCAAGAAGCCTTGCATGCTTCTTCTAGCCATCTTGGACCCTTGCTTCCTGCATGAGATTAAGCCCATGCCTCCATGCTGGAGAATGAGAGCCCACATGGAGCAGAGGCGAGTTATCCCCAGTGGAGCTGCCTTTGGCCAGCTAGCCCCCAGCTGACTTTGCAGACCACATATTAATGAGTGAATCCAATAAGAACAGAAAGCCTCTCAGCTAAGTCCAGTCTAAACTGCTAACCTGCAGAACCATGAGCTAAATAAATCAGGGTTTTAAGCCATTAAGCTTTGGAATGGTTTGTTATGCAGCAAAAACAAACGAATACATTCACTCACTTCAGATGATTGTGTGCATTAAGTGAGATAATGTGTGCGAGCGCTTGGTAAACTTTGTAAACCTCACTGTCTGTCTTGCCTCACTCTCAAAGACCCCTCCTTACATCAGTGGAATCAGCCCCTCCTTCCTTAATGCTGGAGACAGAGGGAGACCTGGCCACAGAAGCAGAATGACGTCATCACTTATTCCCTCTGATGCTTGGATTCAACTTCTCCATCTAATGAAATTTCAGACCTTCTGCCAACCACAGACTCTAGTAGTTTCTCAACCCTTAATATTTGCCTTGTTGGACTGATTTCCTTAGTAGAATGAAAACACTTCCAAAAGGGCAGCCCAGAGAGTTTTGTTCAAGTTTCCAAGTTCCAACTAGCCAGTTGTGGAAGCTTGGACTAGCTCTCCAAGGCTCAGTTTCCTCATATGCAGAAATGGGTCCAAGCTTCTTATCAATCCCTCATAGGAGTGTCCTGGGAATCATGTGATAATTATGTATGTGAAAGCACTTTTTAACTAGAAAGCCCTATAAAAATTCACAGTATTAATTGTCCATTCTACAAATATTTACTGAGTGCTGCTGTCTCCAGGCACTGTCCTAGAAGCTTGGAGTACATCTGAGAATGAAGTAGACAGCCACCCCTGGCCTTATGTGCTCACACTATCATTATTTGGGCTTTCCCAGTCCTGCTGTGACCTCAGTTCTCAATGTGACTTTCACCAGAATTTACCTTTGTCTTAATATGGGTTTCTTAGAAAACAGAGCCTGAGGCAAAACACATATGCTAAGGCTTTATTGGCGAATAAGATCTCAGAGAAGAAAGACTGGAGGTAAAAGGGAAACTGAGGCAGGGATAGAGGGAAAACACATATAAGGTGAGGCACTGAGCTGCCCACAGCTTCACAAGAAATCCAGCCATTTGCTGGGTCATGTAGGACATCTTTGAGAGGGCCACACAGAAACATTGCATCTTGAAAGAGTCCATTCAGAGAAGAAAGGGGATAAAATTCTTGCTTTTTCCTGTCTCCCATCTCTAAATGGTCACAGGTCACCCAGTAGGAGTTAATTCTCCAGCACTGCTGAGTTTCGTTAACCGATTCTCTGGAAAGCAAGGCCCACCATAGCAGTGGTAATGGTGATTGGGTGTGAGCCAAACATTCCCAGCCAGCCTGCAGCCTAATGGACATAGCTGGGTGAGCTGGAGAGTATGAAAGGGGCTGTCAAATGTTTTGCACCTTAGTGTTGACAAAGCTCTGCATATGAGGCAAGAGGCTGGTGGTACGAGGCATGAGGCAGGGCACTACTGGGTCAAGCCACATGACATGGGGGGCCATGGTGGCAGAAGGTCTGGCTGGTTAAGCCAGGGGAGGGGTTGACAACAGGATTGCTTCTGTAAGGCTAGTAAGGAGCACACAGCCTCTCTCTATGGAAATCTTCTCTTTTGATCTCCAAGAATATGACTGGTGGCAGGTGATCTTCCTCGAGGCAAAGCATGGCTGAGCCAATTGGGGAAGGGGCATGAAGAGGATCTGGTAAGCCTTTAAGGACTCCTTTGAACAGAAAGTAAAGCTTGGTGTAGCAGGAGGAATGGCTGCAAGCTAGAAATCCTGGGTCCTACTCTTCTATTAACTTGCTTTGTAACCTTGTGCACATTTCTGAACTTCTCTGTGCCCCAATTTCCCATGTGTGAAATGAGAGTTGTGTCCAGGCAGAGCCCTTTGCAGCTCTTCTGTGCTGGAGCCCTAGGGCTTTATGCAGATGAAAAGTCATCCTTCCTTAGCCCCTGCCTGTGTCCCTTGTTCTGCATGTACAGGGATTAAAGCAGGCCAAAGGAGAGGCAGGCTCACTAGGAGGGAGTCACAGAGGGTAATGAATAGCCAAGGTCATGGACAACTTCACTCCTTCCAGCATTGTTACAGTCCAAGTTAAATATAGCCATCCAAGACTTCCATACAACGCTGACCAACTGCAACTATTTAACACATCCTGCGGTGGAAGAAACAGCTGCCAATCACCAGCAATCATCAGCAGTGACTCTGTGAAGAAAGCTGAGGGCAAAATTTCACTGGTGTCAACATTCTCAGCCAGCATCTTTAATGACTCAGAAATGCCTGGAGCCCTGCTGACTGTATGTTTGAATGAGACTATTATTTATGAGACTACTGGGTCCTTTACCTTTTTAACTTTCTGATGGGTCAAACCTGCCAAAACATGACTCCAGAAGCATTTTGAGCAAGTAATTATTTTTTCCAGAAGAGCTAATATCATTGATTAATAACTATTCTGTATTCACTCTGTGTCGGGCACACATTTTGATGTGCATCTCTCCTTTCACCTTCACAACAACTCTACAAAAGTGGGCCCTGATTTCTCCTCACTGTATAGATGAGGAGCCTGAGATTCATAGAGGTTAAACAATGTGCCCAGGTTCACCCAGCAACAAAGTGAAGAACTCAGGATACAGAATCCAAGCTTCTAACCGTTTTCTCATCACCAACACTCTAAATATAGAACTGCTGATCATAGGATGATCAGTAGGGTGATCACAGAGCTTGTCATCCAAACCAGTACACTCTTGGGAATAAAGGGGGAAGCTATTATTACCCCAGTGTAACAGGAGTAAACCAGAACTGCCCCTGGCAAACAGGGACATCTGGTCACCCTAGAACCTAGGTAGAGGGAGTCAAGTAAAAGCTGGAGTCAGTCTTTGTGATCTTATTCCTCCTTCTTATACCCCATCTGGGATTAGTGCCAGGCATTTAAGACCTGTCTCTTACTGAAACCATTGTAACTGACATAAATGTGAAGATCATCGTAAACTGTAAAACACTACAGATTGAGTTAACACATGCAAATTCCCATTGATTAAAATTGGTTATTTGTTTGGCATGGTGACAGCACTTTACTTGTGTTATTTCATCTTTGCAACAGCCCTGAGTCCATACTTTATTAAATTCGGCAGATACAGAAACTGGGGCCAAGCCAAGCTAAAGTGGAACAAAGGGGAGAACAGCACGGTTTGAGACAGATGGTTTTCTGTGCAAACATCTAGTGCACGTTGTCTGCATACCTTGCCTTATTAGAGGGGACTATTATGCTTAAGCAGAATCCCTGGAAGAGAAATGGTGGTTCTGCCTCCTCACCCCATCCTGGATCTCAGTTTCATAGAGTGCTACATCCCTGACCTGTCAGTGGTACAGACATTAAATGATCAGCCTTCCCCCACTGATGTGCTGGTGATCATTCCTTGTCTTTCCTGGGAAACCTCGTGCTGGGACTCTGCAGGTCAGCTGTGAGGGTTTTGAATGCTCTAATATAGCAGGGAGACTTTTGGGAAAGGGTGGGGAGCTACTGCAGTGTCCTTCAAACATTCCACGTGTGGGAGGCGGCACTAGGTTTTAGAAAAAGTGAGAGGTTCTGAGTGTGGGGAGCTGGTTGCTCTAATGTTAGAGCTGGTTCCAGCTCTAATGGGCTCTGTGGTCTTGCAATCATGTTCCTTCCTTGGGCCTCAGGAACATGAAGCCCTACCTTCATACAGCATTTGGGCAAGAGCTATAAATATGTTCATAGCCTTCGACTCCAGAATTCTTTTTCTGATAATTCACCCCAAAGAGCTAATTCTAAGTACAGAAGTGGTTTCCTGCAGAGAGAGGAGGAGGAGGCCCACAGCGTCGAGGAGTGCAGAGGGCCCAGCGATCTGGGTGAGAGGGTCCTGGTGCAGCAGAAACAAAATGGGCCCAGGGGCCGGACTGACATGGTTTTGACTTTCACTCTGCCCTTGATGATAACTGTGAGATAGTGGGCAGGTCACTTCACCTCCGTGGGACTATTTCCTACACATATAAAAAGGAGATAATGATGCCTTTTTCCTAGGGTTGTTGAAAGGATAAGTGGGATTATTGATTGATTAATATTTATCTTCACCAAGTATTTGAGGTATTCTATTAAAATTTATATAATAAAACAGAGAAAACATAAAGTAGAGAGATAAGGTTGAATGAAAAAACGATATAAACACGCAAGCCTAGGGATTCCAAAGAGTCGTGAGATTTGGGTCATGACATGGGTTGTTCTCTGCCTGTTTTTCAGTGTGAATGAGGAAGCATCATCCATGACTTGGGTCCTTTCATCCTTAATTCTGAGGGGCACATAACACACAAGAAGGTCCCTGTACAGAACTGGTGTCCGCTGATACGTTTTATTCCCTTTCCCCTACCTGGCGGATAAATATCTTGTGACCACTGGCTCATTTGTAATAGACTAGGTTTTTGTGGCTTACAGCTAGAGAGGACACACAATGAGGCAGGGGGCCTTGGGAGGGTCCCCGTGGTCTGTTTTTGGCCTCTTTTCTTAGCTGAGCCAACGAGGATGCCCAACAGAGAAGCTGGCCTCACCTCCCACAAAGAGGAAGATTAGGATGTGGGGCTGTATTTGTTTTTACATGTTGCAGTTCCCATTGACAGAGCCCTCACTCTGTGTCAGGCACTAAGCTGAACAAGCATCCTTGCTCACCTTTCTTACACCAACCCTTTGAAAGAGACAATTTTATCACTCTCATTATGTAAGTAGAAAATGGAGGCTCAAAGAGCTTAAATAACACATTAAGGTTTCACTGAGTTGGACTTCTCGTCCAGGATTCTCTGGTCTGTGGACCTTATACTTAGCATTTCAGCTGCACTGTCTGCCTCCTTTATGTGTTAATTTGATGAAGGTGGGAAAGTGAGTTTTATGGATAGCATCTCTTTTGAGTTTCTAACCTACCCTCTAGAGAGAAAAGAACCACTTGTGCATAATACATTTTACCAGTGACCTAAGAGTAATCTCTCTGTTCATACTACAGATGGTTATTGTCCTATTTATTCAGCTTCTGAGAATATAGCAACAAATAAAACAGACCAAATTCCTGCTCTTTAAGAAACCTGGATTATATTGAAGGCACTTATGGATTTCAGGAAAAGACATTCTTGTCCATTGCTACTTAGGAAATATCCATAGCTCTTGTTTTCTTTGCACCACAACCTCCATTCCCACTCTGGCTGTGGGAATAATATTAATTATCTCCTGTTGATCACCTACTGTGTCTCAGGAAATCTAGTAGGGACTTTCTACATACTATCTCGCTTAAAATACCACAATGATCCTGCAAGAAAGGTAAACCTTCTTGGCCTTTTTAAAGGGCAAACTAAGGCACAGAGAGGTTGGGTACTTGCCTCAGGTCACACAGTGGTGACTGGGAGAGCTTTGGCTGGAATTTATAGATCCGGCTGAATCTAAGGACCATGCCTTCTCTGTTATACCATGGTACCTTCATCCAGACTGGTCTGAGCACTGCTGGAGTTGGGTAAGTAGCCTTTCTTCTTGGGACTTCAATCATCCCTTCTATGAAATAGTGGAACTTGACAATGATTTATCAGGTGCTTCTAAGTTAGCTGTTCTCTGATGGTGGATCTTTGAGATAGGCAAAGCTGGGAGCTCCAAGGGATGCCTGAAGCTTCAGAAAAGGCTTTTCTGGTTAGAGAAGTGGAAAAACTTGGTTCTTTTAAAGCCAACCTGGGCCACCTATTCCCAGAAAGTGGAGGAAGTTATAACCCCTGCCACGAAGAGGCCTAAGGTCCACAGAATGCAGGAGATTTTCTACCTTTCTGTTCAGATCATCCCACATTTGGAATTCAGTCAGCTACCTGACAACTCAGGTAGAGATGGAACAGCCATCACCCAGGTAACCACAAAGCCAGCTTTATTGGAAGTGACTCGTGGATCCTATTAAAATTACTCAACTTTTGTGTTTGTTGTGACCTAATATGAACCATGCATCTAATTAAAACTAGTTAGGGAGGTGACTGCATGTTTGAAGAACTAAACCTGGAAAGTAGCAAAATAAAGCTGCTTCCACCTCTTCAGCAGCCTTGAAGATACCCTGGAGAATGAGAGGAGAGAGGGAAAATTTTCCATCCATGTGCAGCTTCAGGACATTTGCATAAAAATGTTTTTATTGATTTTATCAAATCTGTTTTGTTTTCCTTGAGGTACTAAAATAGTAATCCAAAAAAGGGCTCCAATTTCGACATGAGTCAGGCCTGGAACTGAATCCTGTCTCTGTCATCACCAGCTGTGTGTGACAATAGTAGTTAAGGTGACACTAGCTGCTATGTCGCAGGTTGATTGCAAAGATGATTCCAATTCCCAGCCTCTCTCAATGTGACCTGGCTGCTTCTCCAGTGAAGAGAATGGACTACTATTTCCTCACTCCATGAATTCGGTTGGCCTTGTGACTTGGTCTGGTGAATAAAATGTGGCAGGAGTGACACTGGTGAATTCCAAGCCTAGCCATCAAGAGGCCATGTGTGCTCTTGCCACTGCCATGAGAACCAACCTGGGTTAACCTGCTGGAGTATGAGAGACCACATGGAGTGAAGTGAAATAACCCTCAGCCAAGCCATTCTAGACCAGCTATCCCACTGTCAACCTGGCAATTGACTTCAGATGAATGACTGAGCCCAGCTGAGGTCAAATAATGCCAAGCCAAGACAAGCAAAACTGCCCTCATGACCCATTGATTTGTGAGCTATAATTAATGGTGGTGGTTTTAAGCCACTGTCCTAGTCATTCCAGGCTTCTTTAACATGAAACTATAGACTGGGTGGCTTAAACAATAGGGATTATTATTATTTTCTTATAGTTTCAGAAACTAGAAGTTTTAGAAGTCCAAGATCAGGATGTCAGCAGGGTTAGGTTCTGGTGACAGCTCTCTTCCTGGTTTGCTTCCTTCTTGCTGTATCCTCAGGTGGTGGAGAGCAGAAACAGAGAGCAAACTCTCTGGTGTCCCTTCCTATAAGGGCATTAATCTCATAATGAGGACTCTACTCTAATAACCTAATTATCTCCCAAAGGCCTCACTTCCAAATAGCACCATGTTGGGGATTAGGGTTTTAACATATAAATTGAAGGGAGGGACATAAATTTGTATGAAGTTTGTAGAGGCCACTAAGTCTAGAAGTTGTTTGTTTCATAGAAATAGCTAACTGATATATACTATCATGAATAAACTTCCAAATCTCAGTGGTTTAACACAGTGAACACTTATGTTTTTCTCACGTGACATTTGATTGGTAGAACTCCCTACAGCATGTAGATAGTCAGAAGCTGAAGCTGGAGGATTTCAATGTTGCCCTGAGAACTCAGGGAAGAAGATGGCAGGGGACAAAGAATGGATGACTGAGAAGCATTTTGATGGGTGGCACCTGTGTGTGCTCTCCCCACATCTTTTATTGCCTAAGTCATGTTACAATCATATTACCTAAGTTTTACAATGCAGGTATATAATGGCATTGTTTCCATTTTATAGCTAAGGATACTGAGGCAAAGAGAGCTTAAAATAATTAGCTGAAGGTCCACAGCCACCTGCTGGAACATTAATTGGCCTTGTTCCAAAGTTTTGCATCGTTATGCCTCTCTAAACATAGCTTGGCTGGGCTTTGGGCCTCACCCAGTGTATCTCAAAGAAAGAAGGGAGAAAAGTACATATTCCTGTCTCTCTCCTATAAACAGGTAAGGAGCAGTTATCTGAATTCTGTTCATAGGACCTGAGAACTTTGAATCTGTAATGCTTTCTACAGATTAATAATTAACACTTGTAGAAATTAACATTTCTACAAGTAGTGTATAGGAAGATGTTATTTTATTAATCACTGCTCATTCTTAATGAAGTAATAAGGTGAACTAAGTGACCATCTGAGCTTCTGATAAGATAAAATGCTAGACTCCAACGTGAGACTTCTTAGAGCCACAGTTTCCAATCTCATCGGGGGCAATTTGGTTTTCTTCCCTTTGTCAGAAAAAATAATATTGGAGCCCACAGCTGGCTTGGCACAGAGCTGGGATTTACCCCTAGGTCTGCCTGGCTCTAAGCCTTTGGTCTTCTAACTCTATTGCACTGGACTTTTGTTAGCTTGCACCCTGAGAAATGGCTGCCCTGGGGCATCAAAGTTATCTTGGTTTGCTTTCATAACACTGTCTTCCTGAGAAGTGTATGGGTGGTGGGAAAGGCATTTCAGAAAAGTTGCTATTGGTTTGCAGAATGATGTTGGCAATGACTTGTAAAATGATCTAACAGTTGAAGGAATCTGGGTCACCTTAGTAATAGAGAAGGGGCTAGGTGATTTGCTGCAAAGTTCTTGTAATTCTCAAATGTTTAATGAATTCAACTATCTAGCCAGGGAAGGGCAAACAGCCAGTTCTGTTTCTCTCTTACCCTTGTTTCTTAGATTGCTTCTTCCTGAACCTTCCACCAGAAAACAATCACTTCTACCACAGTTAGTTGGGGCTGGAGGTGAGAGTGGGTGGAATAAACTAGAAAGTTTCTCTACACATGTTGTTCTAAATTTAGTCTCATCTGTAGCTCTTATTCCTCATTAATGGCTCTCCAACAATGTTCCTGAGAGGGAAGAAGGTTGCAGGGACTCATTGTTCCACTTTGCAGTTATCTGTAACTGCAAAAATCTGTATCTGAGAAAGCAGTGCTCAGGCTTCAGGTGGCTTTATAATCTTTCCTTCAAACAGGAATACCTTTAAAAGTGAAAAAGAGTATTGATACCAATTATGTTAGGACAACAAGCATAAACTAGGACTGTCCTGGACAAGGCAGGAATTAGGATCACCCTATTCACTGTGGGCTTCCCTGGGGCTATAACTGTGATACCCTCTTGAGAAACAAGGGCATACCTCAGATTTAAAATCAGCTCTGCTGGGATGGGTTGGAAAGTACTCTGGATATGGAGTCAGACCTAATGCCTACTTAGGTACTTGGCAAGTCACTTATCACCAGTGAGTCTTGCTTTCTTTATCTATAAAATGGTATATATATTTATCCCCACATCAAAATATATTCTCAAGATTAAGTGACAGGAGCTGAGAAAAGATTGCATAAATGTAGTTTCTCTCCAAATATTGTGTCCCATCCTGAAGTCCTCTTCCACAAGTTTTATTGCTCTTTTTACTTTTCTAAATTCCTTTGGCATTTTCCATAATGATATGGTTGGCCATGTCCCTACCCAAGTTTCGTCTTGAATTATAACTCTCACAATTCCCACATGCCACGGGAAGGACCCAATAGGAGGTAATTAAATCATAGGGGCAGGTCTTTCTCATGCTATTCTCATGCTAGTGAATAAGTCTCATGAGATCTGATGGTTTTATAAAGAGGAGTTCCCCTGCACAAGCTCTCTTTGCCTGTCACCATCCATGTAAGATGTGACTTGCTCCTTCTTGCCTTCTGTCATGATTGTGAGGCCTCCCCAGCCATGTGGAACTGTAATTCCGTCAAACCTCTTTTTCTTCCCAGTCTCGAGTATTTCTTTATCAGTAGTGTGAAAATGGACTAATATAGTAAATTGGTACCAGGAGTGGGGTGCTAATGGAAAGATACACAAAAATGTGGAAGCTACTTAGGAAGTGGGTAACAGGCAGAGGTTGGAACAGTTTGGAGGGCTCAGAAGAAGACAGGGAAATGTGGGAAAGTTTGGAACTTTCTAGACACTTGTTGAATGGCTTTGACCAAAATGCTGATAATGATATGGACAATGAAATCCAGGCTGAGGTAGTCTCAGATGCAGATGAGAAACTTGTTGGGAATTGGAGCAAAGGTGACTCCTGTTATGTTTTAGCAAAGAGACTGGTAACATTTTGCCCCTGCCCTAGCAATTTGTGGAACTTTGAACTTGAGAGAGATGATTTAGGCTATCTGATGGAAGGAATTTCTAAGCAGCAAAGCATTCAAGAGGTGACTTGGGTGCTGTTAAAGGCATTCAGTTTTATAAGGGAAACGGAGCATACAAGTTCAGAAAATGTGCAGCCTGCCAATGCAATAGAAAAGAAAACCCCATTTTCTGAGAAGAAATTCAAGCCAGCTGCAGAAATTTGCATAAGTGAGGAGGAGCTGACTGTTAATCACCAAGAAAATAGGGAAAATGTCTCTAAGGCATGTCAGAGACCTTTGTTGCAACCCCTTCCATCAGAGGTCTGGAGGCTTAGGAGGAAAAAATGGTCTTGTGGGCCAGGTCCAGGGTCCCTCTGCTATGTCCAGTCAAGGGATTTGGCGTCCTGTGTCCCAGCCACTCCAGCCATGGCTGAAAAGGGCCAATGTAGAGCTCAAGCTGTGGCTTCAAAGGGTGCAAGCCCCAAGCCCTGGCAGCTTCCATATGGTGTTAAGCCTGCGAGCCCACGAAGTCAAGAGTTGAGGTTTGGAAACCTCTGCCTAGATTTCAGAGGATGTATGGAAACGTCTGGATGACCAGGCAGAAGTTTGTTGTAAGGGTGAGGCCCTCATGGAGAACCTCTGCTAGGGCAGTGCACAAGGGAAATGTGGGGTCAGAGCCCCAGCACATAATTCCTACTGGGACACTGCCTAGTGAAGCTATGAGAAGAGGGCCACCATATTCCAAACCCCCAAATAGTAGATCCACCAGCAGCTTGCACTGTGTGCCTGGAAAAGCCATAGACACACAATGCCATCCTGTGAAAGCAGCCAGGAGGGAGGCTGTACCCTGCAAAGCCACAGGGCCAGAACTGCCCAAGACCATGGGAACCCACCTCTTGCATCAGTGTGACCTGGAAATGAGACATGGAGTCAAAGGAGTTCATTTTGGAGCTTTAAGATTTGACTGCCTGGCTAGATTTCAGACTTGAATGGGCCCTCTAGGCCCTTTGCTTTAGTCAATTTCTCCCATTTGGAAAGGCTGTATTTACTCAATACCTGTACCCCCACTGTATCTAAAAAGTAACTAACATGCTTTTGATTTTACAGGCTCGTAGGTGGAAGGGACTTGCCTTGTCTTAGATGAGACTTTGTACTGTGGACTTTTGAGTTAATGCTGAAATGAGTTAAGACTTTTGGGGACTGTTGGGAAGGCATGATTGGTTTTGAAATTTGAAGACATGAGATTTGGGAGGGACCAGGGGCAGAATGATATGGTTTGGCTGTGTCCCCACCCAAATCTCATCTTAAATGGTAACTCCAGCAATTCCCATATGTCGTGGGAGGAACCTGGTGGGAGGTAATTGAATTATGAGGACGGGTCTTTTCCATGCTGTTCTCATGATAGTGAATAAGTCTCATGAGATCTGATGTTTTTATAAAGAGGAGTTCCCCTGGACAAGCTCTCTTTGCCTGCTGCCATCCATGTAAGATGTGACATGCTCCTCCTTGCCTTCTGCCATGACTGTGAGGCCTCCCCAGCCACGTGGAACTGTAAGTCCATTAAACCTCTTTTTCTTCCCAGTCTCGGGTATGTCTTTATCAGCAGTGTGAAAACAGACTAATACACATCTGGATCACAGAGTCAAGGACTCAAATACACACTGGCTCATACCCATCTTTGTTTAACTTTCATAGTTTTGGCTTTAATAATAACCTTGCACATGTGATAACTCTCTCCTAAAATGTATGTAGCATTTTAAGCCCTATTATTCTAATTAATACTACCTGTACTTAGCAGCTCTGTGGCTTTCAAGAAGTTACTTAATCTCTCTGTGCCTCAGTTTCCTTACCATGGGGATAACCATAGTACCTACCTCATTGGGTTATTGTTAAGATTAAACAAATCAATGCAGGTAATTCTTTACATAGATTTCTTGTCCAGAAGATGTGTATCTCATGGCTTCCAGGATCCCCCTGCAAGACCAGGTATCTCTTTAGGTTTCCAATTTGAGAAGGACCATTGCATGCCATGTCTCAGCACTATCTAAACCCTGAGTTATTGTCTCCCATTCACCCAGGGGAGAAGATCATTTTGTACCTGGTAATATGCCACCAGCACCAACTGGCAAAGTCTTTTCAGGAGCTGCCAGTTTTGAGAAGCATCACATTTTCAAATCAGGAAAGCTGAGTTAATGAAGAATGTGACATTGGAGGGCCGAGTGGGACCTCTCAGAGGTGATCTGGTCACCAGTAGTTGGGGGGGTGTGTAATTATTTGGGCACTGAGTCTCAGCAGAGGGAACCCATTTGTCTGGTTAATTACCCTTGAAACAGTAGGGAGGTCAGAGGATGGCCTGGCTGACAAAGTCCATTGAGCCTGCTGGATGGAGGCCAATTCCAATCCACTCTGACCTCCGGTTTCTCCTCTGGAGGTGGCTGTGGTTGCTTAGGGTGTGGGTACCGAGCAGGCACCCTGATTCCTCAGAGGTGGCTGGTCCAGGGAGCCAGAAGCCCTGGTGCTAAGCCTTCCTTTTCCACTACCTTCATGTGGAAAGCCAGTTCTGTCTCTGGGCCCCAGCCTTCTTCTTTGAAAAGGAAAAGTTCATCCAAGATGATGCTGGGAAGGGCCTTCCTGCTCCAACACTCCTTGACTATTAATTTGGAGAAGCAGAAGCAGCACATTATCAATCATAGGTTTGGGAATTATCTCTTAAAAATCTGCCAAAAAATTAAATTGACCATATGTTAAACATGACTGAAGCCAGGTGATGGGTACAAGGGGGTTAATCATGCTATTTTCTTTACTTTTATATGTGTTTGAAATTTTCTATAATAAAGAAAGTTTTAAGAATCTGCTAAAACCTTTTAAAGTTAATGACAAGAATGATCGGATGTAATTCATTTATGCACCAGAATTTCTGATGCATCAGCTATGGTAGTATGTGGTATAATTCAAGGAACATCTACTCAATAAAAAACTATCTCTACCATCCACTTTCATATAGCCTGGGAGGCTCCCAACATGTAGTCTTTCAAGAAGGGGTATAGTATGGTCGGAAAAGTATTGATTTTTCTTTTTTTTATTTCTTATTTTTAGATAAACTTGAATCCTGAGCTTTAGTTTCTTTTGTTGTTTTTTTGTTTTGTTTTGTTTTTAATTTTTAAAATCTGTAAAATGGGCCAGGTGTGGTGGCTTATGCCTGTAATCCCAGCACTTTGGGAGGCTGAGGCGGGCGGATCACCTGAGGTCAGGAGTTTGAGACCAGCCTGGCCAACATGGCAAAATCCTGTCTTTACTAAAAATTCAAAAAATAAATTAGCCAGGCATGGTTGTGGGTGCCTGTAATCCCAGCTACTTGGGAGGCTGAGGCAAGAGAATTGCCTGAACTGGGAAGGTGGATGTTGCAGTGAGCCAAGATCGTGCTATTGTGCTCCAACCCAGGTTACAGAGTGAGACTCTGTCGCAAAAAAAAAAAAAAAAAAGTCTGTAAAATGATAATTATAGTGACCTAGTGGATTTTGGTGAGGATAAGGGATGGTATACAAAGTGCTAAGAAAATGGTAGCGCTCATTATGACATCTTGGAAATTCATAATGTGGATTCTTTAAATTACAAACCATTCAGAGAAAGGCCCAGCCTTGTAGCTGAACTTGAATGCAATTTACAAGCTGTAAAGCAGTATCTCTTAGTGGAGATTGATGTCTCTGATTTCTGGGGGTGGAAGGGCAAAGGGAGCCAGACAGGGGGCTGGAAATAGAGGCAGGAGATGGGTACAGGGATGTGAGGAGCTGCTGAGACATTTCCCCACACGGCTGCACTGCCCCATATACCCTCACTACAAACATCTATTTCCACATTGAACCTGGGTGCCTCTTTTCCTTTCAGGAGGTCTAAAGCAGCATGATATGGTCAAAAGAGCATGGATTTTGGTATTGAAGAGATTTGGGTTCAAATCCCAGAGCTGTCACTTCTTAGTTCTGTGAGCTTGATCAAAGTCACTTCACCCCTTTGAGACTCATCTCTAAAATATGGGAGATAATGTATTATTGAGTGCATTAAATGAGAAAATGTCATATTATCTGATTCATGGTAGGTGCTCAATAAATGTCTGCACCCTTCTCCTTATGTATTATGGGCAGCTCTGATGATTCAAGCGCTCTCCCTTTTGCCTCATGTGGCTTGCACCCATTAAACTATAATACTTCTGTCTTCAGAACATATGCCATTCTTCTTACCCATGATATCTCTTTAGAAATTTGAAAATAATGCTTACATTTTGCTAACCTATTTCTTCCAACATCCCCTCACCTTGAGTCTTCACTTTTCAAGGTAAAATCTCAGCAAATTTAATCCAATTCCCATGTGTCTAAGTGTGGTAGATTGTAAAACTGAGCACAAACTCTTCCACTCTCTGTATCTTCAAATTTACATAACTTTTTAAGCTCTTCCCCTTAAGAACTGGGAATTTTCTTTACCCTTAGAATCTGGAGCAGCCGTGGGATTTGTTTGGCCAATGGGACAGCAGCAACCCTGAGACTTGAGAAACATCTACTCTCTTAGCACTCTTACTACACACATGTGAACAATCATGCGCTTACAATAGGCCCCATGAAGCTAGGATGAGCTATTGCAGCCAAACCCCTGGACATGATGGTCCAGCCAAGACCAGAAAAACTATCCAGGTCCCCGACCCAAACCACTGACCTACAGAAGAGTCAGCTAAGTAAGTAGTTGTTGACTTAAGCCATGAAGATTTGGGGTCGTTTATTTTGCAGACAGTCTGATACCTCAGACTTCCAGAACATTCATTCTCCTCTGTTTAATTGTATATGTCCATTCTGCCCCCAATTTTTTTTGTATGACATTTTTGAACTATCCATTTTCTTGAAACTTTCTAAATTACTGGGTGCTTGGCACGAGAGGCTTGTTCTGTCTGTTCTTGACTTCTTCCTACTAAATTCAAACCATATGGTATACAAGTACAGATGAATGTCCAAAAAGTCTTTAGATCCTCTTTGGAAACTTAAAAAAATCCCACCAAAGAGTTTTGCAATGAAATCGTGCTTGGCCAAGGAGAAAGAAACTTGAACAGCTTGAGTTCTGTTCAGTTCTTCCTGCAAGTGGTAAATGATTCTATACTTAGGAGAATTTCTTCTCTAGGTTTGAATTAACAAGGTGGCCTCTGCATGACATCCAATTCTAGAGGTCTGAATAGAATTTTGGAGCTCAAAGAAGCCTCAGATTTTTCTTTGGCCCAACACTATTTTTTAACATATGGAGAAACTAAAGTTATAGCAGTAGGCTGTGGAAAGTTACACTGGAGTGGAGAACCCTAGGTTCCCTGCAAAGGCTAGTACTTACAGTGGTTATATTCGAGTTTCTTTGGACATAGCCTTTGTGATACAGATATGTATGTAAAGCCCTGGGTATGAAGGCATGGAGGGAAGGAATATGGAGTTGTTGGCATCCTACTGACCATTCACACCGCTGCTGGGCCCAACCATGAGCCCTTTGAGAGAAGAAAAGTAGTTCATTTCTCATGACATCTTCTAGCCTAGCATGGTGCTTTGCACAGTGTAGACATTCAGAGTGTTGGATGAAGCCATAGGCTATAGGGCCAGCTCTCAGGGTTAGAATCTTGGACAAGTCTTAGCAATCCTTGGAACAGCAGTTCCTTTCCATTCTTTCTGCTGTAGGCCCTTTATAAGGCAGGTGCACGCTTATTCCAAATGCAGTTATCCCATAAATGCAGAGATGCATAAGACCTAACTCTTGCCATAAAGGAGTGTCTACCAGGGAAGACAGAGGCATAAATGGATGATTAAAAGGGACTCTTGACAGAAGTGTTACACCTGAATCTTTGTAAGACTCTTTCTCTTAGTGAAACTAGAAGTGAGTGGACAGTTGTTCAGCCTCACTCTTTGCTATATGTAGCTGCTCTCATTCTGTCACTGAGATATCAGTGAGGTCTGGGATTTTGAACCTGACAGAATCCTCCACAGGCTGAAAAGCCATGAAAAGGAGAATGGAAGAACTCGAAGGCAGTCATAAAGACCATTGTTATTCTTAAATCCCCATTCTCGTACTGGGTTATAACATTATTCCTGAATTTATTTAAATAAGCACTGGTTTTTGAGACGAACAAGTCTGAATTTGAACCCTGACTTTGGTCCCCACCTGCCATCTTAGTTTTCTGAGCCTTCATTCTGGACTCTGAAGGCACTGTTGGTTGTCTTTTATCAGTTCTTTAAACATGTGGCCAATGAACCACTACCTATTTGTTTTAAAAATCCAGATTCCTGGGCAATATCCTAGAACTAATTATAAAAACAATAGTGTTCCTCAGAGTACATTGAAGCTTAAGAACTACATCTTGTTGTGGTCATGGTTTTATTAGTTAAAGGAGACGGCTGGGTGTGGTGGCTCATGCCTGTAATCCTAGCACTTTGGGAGGCTGAGTCAGGCGGATCACCTGAGGTCAGGAGTTCGAGACCAGCCTGGCCAACATGGTGAAACCCTGTGTCTACTAAAAATACAAAAATTAGCTGGGCATGGTGGTGGGTGCTTATAATCCCAGCTACTCAGGAGGCTGAGGCAGGAGAATCACTCGAACCTGGGAAGCGGAGGTTGCAGTGAGCTGAGATCATGCCACCGTACTCCAGCCTGGGGCCACTGTACTCCAGCTTGGGTGACAGAGTGAGACTCCATCTTAAAAACAGGAGAAAGGATAGTCAGGAAGCGTTAGGCAAGAGTATCTATTTATAAAGTGGAAGACATCAGGAAGAGGAGGAAAAGCTAAGGAAAGACCCACTGATAATATGTTAAACTGTGGTGGGGTAGAGCTACATCACCAAGTTAGGAGTATGACAGGGACATGGAGATATTTCTGCTTTAGAAAGAGCACAACGACTGGAAGGATGTGTGGTGGAGAATGCTAATGCACATCCAACATTTAGGAGCCACTCTACATTCCCAGCTTTCTAGGAAAGCAGGTTGGAACCATATTATGGAGTTCTGGCCAAACAGAGGGTGGGCAGAGAATTGTAAGCTATTTCTAAGGACTTTCTTACTAAGATCTTTCATTTCTTTCTTCTTCTTCTGTGAAGAGCTTGGAGGCCACATGCTTCAAAGCGTACAGACAAAAGGTGGAAGAAGCTAGCCTGACTCACATCACATGCTGGTATAAATAAGAATACTCCTTTCTTGTATCAAGTCTCTGAGATTCCAGGATTTATCCGTTGCTGCAACACAGCCTCTCCTATCCTGACTATCTCAGGGGACAAGACTAGAGACAGAGAGACCAGTTAAGAAGCCAATGTAATAGAAACACTAGTGCCAATAAGAACTTGAACTATGATGGAGACAGTGGAGAGTAGAAAGAAGAAACAAATTTCCGGAACTTTGTGGAAGTAGCGTAGCCAGTTTCCTAATCTCTTGAGCAACTTGCCTGGATTAATAGAATAGCCCCTGACCTATGCCCTTGCTTCCACCTGTCTTATCTTTAACACAACAGTAAGAAATATTTGGTTAAAATGCAAGTCATATTATGTCATTCTTGTGTACAAAACTCATCCACTGCTGACAGTCTTTGGAGTAGAAGCTGAGAGAGTCCTTTGAGGCCAACATGATGCATCCTCTTGTTTTCCTTTTGATGCAATCTCCCATCGCTGCCCCTCTCCCGCTGACTGCTCTTTGTTCCACTGAATCTCCATGTTGTTCTTGAACACACTGACATCCTCATGCCTCAGGTCTTTTGCACATCCTGTTCCCTCTACCTGAAGTGCTGCACCTTCAGGCATCTGCATAACTGGCTGCTTCACTTTCTTTAAGTCATTGTTCAAATGTATTTCCAGTGAGTCCTTTCCTCAGTGTTCTATTTAAAATTACATCCCACTTCCCTCCAACACTCCTGACTTCTCTGAATTACTTAACTTTTATCCATACACTTAACACTTTCTAAAATATTATATATTTTACTTGATATTTTGTTTAATGTCTGTCTCCATTTACCAGAATGCTAGGTCCAGCAGGACAAGATTTTTTTGTCTTTTTTTTTTTTTTTTTTTGTACACTGCTGTATTCCTAACGTCTGCAATAGTGCCTGGCATATAGCAGGCACTCAGTAACTACTTCTTGAAATAATATTGAGTAAATGAATCAACTAAACCTGAAGAATATTAAGGGCATTTAAGCATGGGTAGGAGAACTACACTTTTAAAACAGCATGTGCAGTGGTTAGTAAGGTTACAGAGTAGGACTGGGAAAGCCTACTTTGCCTTCAAAGATATTCTGTTTGACAGTTTGTGCCACGAACACAACTTTTTTTCTTGGCCATTTTTGTCTATGTGACCAAGAGATTGAATCTGTTAACTCCCTTAAAGTGCTTTTATCTCTTCCTTACCCTAGCAGCTGCAGAAAAAGCACCACTATTTGGTGATGGTGTTGGGGCCATCTCTCCAGAGTGCCCTGAGAGTGATACCACAGAATGTACATAAACTCATGTCTGTAAGAGTGCATAACATATAGCAGGTGGTCAATTTACCTCCATTTCCTTCTCCACATTTTCTTCATATTTCTTCCTCTCCATCCATCTTTTCTTCATCCTTCCTCTTTGCTTATTTCAGCCACTCAACAGAGAATGGATTGACTACTACACTTACTCCCAGGTTAAGAATGGAGGCTGTGAAACAGGGAAGCAAGAAAGGAAGGAGAAAGAGAAGAAAAGGAAGGAGAGGTTTTGGGATCATAGCTTATGATTAACAACTGTTTGAGTATTATGTCACTGGGTTTAGCCAAGTGTTAGGCCATCTAGTCATGGTTAAAAAGATTCTAATCCCTGGCTTTAGAAAGATGATTGTATATTCTCCAATCACTGTGACACTCAGCCTGCATGGGCTGTTGAGAAACCCCACTGCAGCATTCACTGAATTATCTCAGTCCTGATGAATTCTTCCATCTCCACCCCAGATTCAATTTGGATGTTGCAAATGCAGAAAAGATGATGAATGTGGGGGTGAATCTAATTTCATTAGCTGAAGCCTTTATATTCCACATTTCCAATAAATATCAAGGCAGGTATGATGAAAATGCATGTAGCTGGTGGCATTTTTCCAGCCTTGTGTTTCCAGTGTCTTATACAGAAACCACAACAGGAAGTTACTAGATTTAGCTCAAGAGCTTTGGATTTGAGTCCTGGCTTCATCAGTTACTGGCTGGCTGACTTTGTGGGATGAGTCTTAGTGTTTTCATCTATAAAATGGGAGATAAATCAGTCCTCAGAAGATCCAGTGAGAGAAAAGGTACAAAGTGCATGGCACTTTGCTTCTGTTACAAATAAATTTTCGGTGCCGCAAAGAAATAGCACTCAAACATAAATTTAATTTTCTCAGCAAGGCAATTTTTACTTTTATAGAAGGGTGTGACTCGTGAATGGAGTAATGGTGAGAGCACACCTGAACAAGGGTGGGGAAGAGTTTTTTTCCTGATGCAGGTAGCCCCTATTGCTGTGTTTTTCCCCTATTGCCTAGGGTTGGACCACACAGTCTAAGCTAATTCCGATTGACTGTTTTAAAGAGAGCAGGGGTATAAGCCAGAGTTACCAGGTGAGTAGTTTGGCGGGAAGTACAGTTAGAAACCGGTAACTAAAGGTGACTAAAGTTTTTTTTCCAGGAGTGGGGCTGGACTGTTCTGGGCTGTTGCATCTTTTTATCAGATCTTGCTGTGGCTCTTTGTATCAGTCAGGATGGACTAAGTCTCAGTGGCTTACAACAACCAAGTTTATTTCACACTCATGCTTCATGTTCATCACGGCTTGATTGTCTCCATTCAATTTCATCTTCAATGCAGCATCCAGACTGATGGGGCAGGCTCTCTCATAACATGGCTTGTCTCATGGAAGAAAGAAAGGGGGCACAGCAAACTACATAATGGCTCTTAAAGTTTCTTCCTGAAAATGACATATGCTACTTCTACCCACATTTCGCTGGCCAATAAGTCACAAGACCACTCCTGAGTTAATCAGGGTAGAGCTGTATAATTCTCCCATAGTGTGAAGAATTTACTAAAAATTTGGTAAAGAATAGCACAATACAATGTTGTTATTTTCCTAAAATTCAATCATTTACAATTTTTACCATACTTATGTGCCAGCTGACTTATTATTTGTAATTTTTCTTTAAAAACAAGTATTATTACTTAAAGAAGTCACCATAAAAATTAAAACTGGGAATAACAAAACAATAGTATTAGATCCTCCCTGGAGTACATGTGATATTTTGTTACATGCATAGAATGTGTAATGATCATGTTAGGGTGTTTAGGGTACCCATCACCCTGAGCATTTATTATTTCTATTTGTTGGGAACATTTCAAGTCTTCTCTTTTGGCTCTTTTGAAATATACAATACACTGTCTTTAACTATACTCACCCTACTCCTCTATTGAACATTACAACTGATTTCTTCTACCTAACTTTACCTTTGTGCCCACTAGCCAACCTGTCTTCATCTCCCCATCACCCTCACGCCCTTCCCAGCCTCTGTTAACTAACATTCTACTCTCTACCTCCCTGAAATCCACTTTTTAAGCTTCCACATATGAGTGGGAACAGGAGATATTTGTCTTTCTGTGCCTGGCTTATTTCACCTAACAAATATTTCATGTCAATTAAAAAAATGACAAAAAGTCAAGTGTCACGTAAAAGCTAACCAATTCTAACAAAACATAAGTGTGTATGGAAAAAAATACATTTTTTTGGATTTTGTTTTTAAAAGCTCTGTACCTAAGACAAATTTTCTCTCTCTCTCTCTCTCAGAAAGGAAAATTGGCAAGTTTTAATAAGATGAGTACTGCTACATGGCATGAGACTGAGCCTTTATTCTCAAAGTAATCAAAGTGTTTGGAAAAACATGGAAAAATGAATGACTTTCATACTATGCAATTCAGATATTTAATGCCCTATCTGTGCATAAAGAAAGATTCTTCATGTAGCATTTAAAATCTGAAATCACTTGTGTCCAGTTAGGACAAATCCCACAGAATTAGGAACACTCTACTATGGGCACAATGGAATGGCCTAGATCCTGACTCGTTCATGTTTATCTCACATAGTACCTGGCAAGTGTATGCTCCATAAATGTTTATTGAATGAAGCAATGACTAATTCCTTACCTGGTACAATTCTTGCATATAAAAGATGCACAAAAATAAATGTTTGTTAAATAAATAAATGAAAAGGCTCAGAATCCTTATAGTCCTTTCTGCTTCTGCCCAAGGTTCAGGCCCCCCTGATATCCCATTTTACTTCTTTCTGCCTGGCCCAGCAGTTCAAGTGCTGAGATGGGCTGAGAGAGCCACTAGCTATCATGACATTGAGCTGTTGCAGCCTGCCCTAAGGACAGTAAGTGTTGATGTCTGGAGGTAACACCTCCATGACATCAAGCCAGGGGCACCCAGTTGATTTATGGAGCCTCCCTTCTCAAAGTTTCAGACTACATGGGTTGATAATCATGGATTTTCAAACCTAAGCCTGTATCTTTTCACCCATTCCCCTGCCCCTAGTTAGGTTGGTTCCTCATGTTGCTCAGTCCGGGGGAAGAAGGCAGCAAGGCAGTAGGGTGAAAGTGCCAGGAGGAGGCTGAGTGGTCACTTGTCAGAAAGCCTCATGAGTGGCATTGCTGTCATGGATTTGACTCCAAGAGCTTCTACAGGTTCTTGAACAGGAATTTCTGAGCACAGTATAAGAAACTTGCAATGATGGACTGACATGAGCCAAACACAGATGCACACACACACACCACTTTATATATCAAACCAAATACCCAAACACTCATTTACAAAGAGGGTCATTTCTTTTCAGTGAGAAATATGAATGTCCCATAAGCTTGTGGCTTTTTACATTCTGGGAAGTGCTCTCATCATCTAAAACCACTTGCAGTTTCTTCCCTAGATGGGCCCCATCAGCCGTACACAGATGCAATGGAACTGAGAATGAAGAGTCCTTGGTACTTGTTAATTCTTAGAATTCCATTGCTTTAAAGCTCACTTGCCCAAGCTCATATAGTTCAGGCCTCTCTGGTGACAAAAATGGTCTTGTCCCCTGTAGATGGTATCTCTGTCTGGACAGTGTTAGTCATACTCAGCTGAAGATAGCCTTCTTTCCCATTTTCCATGCGGAAGTAAGATGCTTAAACATTGCTGACCAAACTCCCTTCAATCCATGTTTCCTCATGGGCCTGATAGATACATTGTCTCTTTCAATTACGTATTTGGTTATTTTCTTAATTCTTGGAGGATGTCTCAGCTGAAGCATTTTTGCTTTTAAGTACAAGAAGATCCAGCTCACACTGGGAATTTATTGACATTTAGCTGAAAAGCAGGAAGGCAGGGCTTCTGTCTGAGAGGCTTGTTCAATAGCTAGTGATGCCACCAAGTCCCTGCTCTCAATCTATCTCTCTACTCTGCCTCTGATGGTCTCTACCTCAACTTGATGTTGACTTTTTTTTATGGCCCCAAGCTCTCTGCCCCCACCTCCTAGGGCTCTCCCATTCTTCCTTATTTACATCCAGCAGAAAACCTGGATTGTCATTTTCCAGAATTCCAAGGAAAAGTTGTATAGTCAAATTGGACTGGATTATATCAAATGCTCATTTTATCATTCAGGGGAATGGAATGTTCTGATTGGCTTAGTGAAATCTGCGTCTTCCATACCTGGAGCTGGGGTCAGCTTTATAGGAGCTGTCATGAAAGAGTAGGGGGAAACTACTGAAGAGATGCTGAAGAGACCAACAGGAAGTCTCTACTAAAGATACTAAAAGTATTTCCTCGTCTCTAAGTACTTGGCTGGGGTATGGAGGGGAGGACTCACTGCATTTTGTCTCCATTGCCCATCCCTTTTTTTCCTTCCCCATCTGTCTGAAGTAAAGGACTGCCAATGAGGCCCAGACCATAAACTTTAAGGGAAGTTGGGGGATGCTGGCTGTAGGAACTGCATCAACAGATTCATCTGTGCTTTGACTTAAAGTTGCCTTTGACCAGTAGGGAGTTCAGGGAGGAAACACAAGGGAAGGACAGGAGCGGGGTTAGGGAATTTTCTCTCCTGGCACCCTCTCTGTCAGCAGCACTTCTTTACCAAAGACCCCAGCTCCTGTTGGGAGGCATTCTCCATGCAGCTACTATCTGTGGATTCTGGTAACTTCTCCCTTCACCCCTTTGCTTCTTTGGGTGTGGGGGTGATAACTGCTCCCTGCTTTTGCTAGCCCATGGTTTCTGCACTATTTCCTGTTGGTTTCCTTCCTACACACAGTTTCATGATCACACTGTCACACATCCAGCGTGCATGTGCCATTGTTTCTCGGCATGACCGATGCCTTCCTGATATAGTCAGGGTTATTTTGTGGCAGGTTAAAAAATATGCCATCCTTTGCCTACATTCTCTTTGTCTCAGGGTCTTGCTTTCTTATCAATCTATTATTCTTTCATTGTGATCTTAACAACACTGTAGACTACAACATTGCAGTCTTAACAACACGGTACTTGACATAGCTACAAGGCCACCACGTGTAGAGAATATGCTAGTCACCTTGCAATAATGGCTGGAACATGTGCAGTTATTCACGGCTGACTTCTAATGGTCAGCCAAGGTCTGTGGAATGAGTGGGTTGACTGAGCTGAGAGGATCAGTGACCAGATGGGCATAGAAAACACACATTTTGATATTTTAAGCATTGAGGCAGGGCTAAAGCTTGTACTGAAAGGAAAAGCTAGACAGCTCAAGTCAAGGATGGAGCCTCCGGTTTCTAACCTCAAGGGGCCTCCGGTTTTAACTGCAAAATGCACCATTTAAAAGAGCAAGACTTCCTGGCAGTTCCTGGTGGGGGTGGTAGGACTGGGGGAGGAAGGACAGGATGATGCTTGGGAAACCGTCAAACTCACTCAGCCTCCATCCCACAGAGCCCCATGGGCCCAAGCCCTAGCCCTGGGAGAGGTACCATTTCTCCCTTTGATGCTGGGTCCATTGTCACCAGAGCTCATTATCTGCTCAGTGTGAGTCACCCATGTCCTGCTCAGTGGCCCCCACACGCTGGAGCTGGAGGAGGCTCTGTGAGCCTTCCCAGCGGGAGGACTGGGAACAGGAAAGCCCTAGGCCTAAGACTCCTGGGATCCAGGAGGAACATTGGCTTTCTCTTTTCTGCTTTGTAGAGATGTGTGGAACAAGGGAAGGGAGAGGAAGGAGTGAGAGAGTGGGAGGAAGAGGAGCTGTCTGTCAGTCCCTGGGCTTCTGTCTCTGGAATGTTCAAGTTGCAGAGTGTCAGAACAGCAAGGGACCTGGGAGATCACATGGCCCCCGATTCACAGAGGAGAAAATCTGGCCCTATTCAGACCTATTCACATTGCATTAATTAGAGCCACAACCTTACCCTCCACTCTATGCATGTGTTGCTATCCTACTGGGCTAATCTCCTGGGTCTGTCCAGACCCCCCAGCCTGTCACCCCTGTTCCTGTTTGTTCTCCACCTCATCATGGTTGCCTCCTAACTGCATTCCCCACCCACTGCCCCCTCCAGCCCACACATCTTACTGCAGTCAAAGCACGCTAACATCAGATTCCCACATGCCAACTGTTTTCCTGCTCTCATGCTTGCCTAAGGTAAGTACTGGTCCTCATGTCAGAGCCTCTAGACTGGGATCTCCTAGAGGAAAAGCCTTGTTCCATTCATCTCTGTTTTCCAGTACCTGGCATGGGTTAAACCAGTGGTTTTCAACTAGGGGCGATTGTGCACCCAGGAGACACTAAGCTGTGTCTGGAGACACTAAGCTGTATCTGGAGACATCTTTGGTGCCAGAACTTGGGTGGTGACGCCGGCATCTAGTGGGTAGAGGTCAGGGATGCTGGTAAACATCCTAGGATGCCCAGGACTGCCCCTACAAAAAAGACTTAGCACCGTCTCCTTGCTGCTGTTCTTGTAATAGTGAGTGAGTGAGTTATCATGAGATCTGGTTGTTTAAAAATGTGTAGCAGGTCTCCCCACCTCTCTCTCTCTTCCTCCTGCTCCAGCCATGTGAAGTGCTAGCTCCCCCTTCACCTTCCACCATGATTGTATATTTCCTGACTCCTCCTCAGAAGCTGAGCTGATGCCCACTTCATTCTTCTTGTACAGCCTGTGGAACCTTGAGCCAATTAAACCTCTTTTCTTTCTAAATTACCCAGTCTCGTGTATTTCTTTATAGCAACACAAGAACAGCTTAACACACTCAGGTTTTCTCACTGTTTGAAGTCTCAGGAGTAAATTTAGAAAGATCCCTGAACTTGGTTGGAAGATCTGTGGACAGATTTGTGTCTGTCACTCTTTGACCAAATTACTCGAACTTCATGTCATTTTCCTTATTGGTTAAGTGGAGATCATGTCAAAGTTGTGGTGAGGCATACAGGAGATAAGGCATGTGAAACTCTTATAATCCCTACAGCTCTATTCCCAGGTGTGGGGTTGGTATGATGGGTTGATCTTCGTATTCAATAGTGATTCCTGGTTATGCTGAGTAAAATAAGCCAGACATAAATGAATACACATTGAGGCCAGGTACAGTGGCTCACACCTGTAATCTCAGCACTTTGGGAGGCTGAGGCAGGCAGATCACTTGAGGCTAGGAGTTCGAGACCAGCCTGGCCAACATGGTGAAACTCTGTCTCTACTAAAAATACACAAATTAGCCGGGCATGGTGGTACACACATGTAGTCCCAGCTACTCAAGAGGCTCAGGCAGGAGAATTGTTTGAACCCGAGAGGCAGAGGTTACAGTGAGCCCAGATCATGCCACTGCACTCCAGCCTGGGCCACAGAGCAATACTCCGTCTCAAAAAAAAAAAAAAAAAAAAAGGATGTAAAAGAATACACATTGGATACATACGATTCCACTTATATAAGGCTCCTAGAGTAGTTGATCTAGTTTGGATATTTGTTCCCACCCAAATCTCCTGTTGAATTGTAATCTTTAATGCTGGAGGTAGAGCCTGGTGGGAGGTGTTTGGGCCATGGGGACTGATCCCTCATGGCTCGGTGCTGTCTTTGTGATAGTGAGTTCTTGCGAGATCTGATTATTTAAAAGTGTTTGGCAGCTCCCCCTCCCCACCCTCTCTAGGTCTTGCTTTTGCCACATGACATGCTTGTTCCCCCTTTGCCTTTTGCCATGATTGAAATCTCCCTGAGGCTTCACTAGAAGCCAAGCAAATGCCAGCACCGTGCTTCCTGTAAAGTCTGCAGAACCGTAAGCCAATGAAACTTCTTTTCTTTATAAATTACGGAGTCTCAGGTATTCCTTTATAGCAATGAAAGAACAGCTGAATACAATAGTCAAATTCATAGCGACAGAAAATAGAATTGTGTTACCAGGTGCTGGGGGTAGGGAAAATGGGAAGTGAGTGCTTAAAGGGAACAGAACTTCAGTTTGAGAAGATGAAACTGTTATGGAAATGTGTGGTGATGATAGTTGCTTAACATTGTAAAAGTTCTTGATGCCACCGAATTGTACACTTAGAAATGGTTAAAATAGTTAAAATTTATGTTATATACACATTACTACAATAAAAATTAAATTGAAAAACTGAGTTGTTTTTTCAAAAGGATTTGTGCATTTGGTCTTATAAAATAGACTTGTTAATTCAACTTTTCATTTTAAAAATTAGGGTGTAAAAATGAAGAAGCCACATGACTGGCCTAAGGACATACATGCTAGGTGGGACCATAATGAGAACAGGACCCTGCTTACGTGAATTCCAGCTTGCTGCTTTTCCCCTTGTCCCATGTGGATCCTCCTTAGTGAGTGGGGACCGATCTCCAGAGAAGCTGCCTGGGAAGGTGCTGGGACACCCTTTCCACTAAAGAGGAACCAAAGACAAATAAAAGGAATACTCACAAAGACCGAAACCAAGTCAATATGGCCTTTTGGGCATCAATGTACTTGCTCAACTAGTAAGATGCATTTGTTTTGTTTCATGTGGCTGCATCTGCACAAAGATGTTTGGATTAGATGAGTGACGGCCAGATGGGGCACAGCAGTTCCACAACAGCATGTCTGCCCACTGTGGTGTGGCACCCACACACTGTGGTGTGCTTTGGGCTTGGCACCCAAGTGTTTATAGAGCGAATGCATAAATAAACCACATTGAATTGAAAGAGCTGGAGTCACACCTAGCATTGACTCTCAGGTTTGCTGCTTAATACCCGAGTCCTGGGTTCAAGCCACTTACCCTTCTGAGTCTCAGTTTTCTCCTTTATAAAATGGGGATAAAAATGTGCTTACCTCACAGGTTCATTGCAAGGAGGAAGTACAGAATGAGATCATTTTACAATAACTTATTTATTGATACGCAATTAGCAATAACAAGGATTAAGCATGGGTTCTCTACTCAAGACTCTTCTTTGTTCAACATGGAGCCGAAGATCCTGGTCTTCAAGGAGCATCCAGGCTAATCAGGGAGCTGCACTCACTATTCAGAGCTGACAACATTTGAGGATGATAAAAGGCCACATTTGCCCACGGCTGTCCAAGGTGGTGCAGAAACCACAGGACTGGGTTCTGGTTCTGTCTTTGGCTTTGTGATTTCTTAATTGTCAAGGGGGCATGATGTTCCTTTCTTCCCTCAGCCTTGCCCTCAGAATTGCTGGGATTTTCACAGGAGATAAAATCTACAAGATGGTTTTGTGTAGGGTAAAGCACGGTGAGGAATAAGCTGTCTTCATGTCAGGTGCTGGATGAGGGGGTCAGGCCACACCCAGTGTCTTTTGTGCCTTGTTTTTTGTGTTTGCAATGGTAGATGGGGGTCCATTCACTGAGTGGCTGGGGACCCGGGTGATACTGTTCCTCATGAGCTGATGTCCCTGGAATAGCAGTGTTTTCGAACTTCTCAGGAGAAAATCTCTGGCTGCTTGCAAGACAAGTCTATAATTATAGTTTTTGATTCAGAAAGTAGAATAATGCAAGCTTAAAGTGGCGGGTGATGTGGGTTGGCACACCTTCGTTTCTTTCCCAGAAAGTCCTCAGCTAGGTACAACACACCTTTGATGAATGTACAGTAGTTTTTTCTTTACCTGATTTCGAAGACATCATTAATGCATTCAGAATATTAATTAATTCTATTTTCAGCTGTGGAGCATGAACCTGAAGCTAAAACTTTTCTGGCTGTTTCCCACCCCAAGCGACTTTTTTTTATCAGCCATCCTCAGCTTGGGTGCTATTAACACAGTAAGGCAATGACAATAGGAGGAAAAAGAACTCGCTGGGGTTGAGGGCCTACTATGCATGTGGTGCTCTATTAATGTTATTTAGACTCTCAGACACCCCAGAAAGTTGCTTTTAATACCACTGATTCAAATCGGGTAGCCAGAACTCAGGGCAGCTAGGTGACTTGACTAAGATCATGTGGACAGTGAGAGACTGGCCTGAGAGCCAGGTTCTGCTGGACACAAGGCCTGTGCCCTTTCCATTGCATCACACAGCCTCTGCAGCTGGCATGCGTGGATGGGTGGGGGAGGGAGTGGAGAGGATATGGACCATGGGATGATCTAAATGAATGGCTGGCAAGAGAGACAAAGTAGAAAAGCACCCCAGACGGTCTGGGTTCAGCTGCTTAAAATAGGCAAAGAAATTCTTTGGCTAATGCATAATCACCACAGGGATTAATGCAGTTCTGCTCCTTGGGGTTAATTTATACTTCATGAGCCCTATTAGATGAGATTTCTAAAATGTATAATAGTACAAGGCTCGTTAGGGACTTTCATAAAAGCCTGGTATGGAGAGAAGAAAGGGAGCTTGGTGCCATGACACTGGCCCAGAATAACCCAGGCAAAGCTGCCTTTGGAGGCAGGTAAAGAAGTCGGCTTTGGACATGCAAGGCTGTGCCCCCAGCTCTTTCTGCCAGCAGAGACTCCATTCCTCCTGGGTCTTTTTAGCATTGAAGGGAAGCAGCAGGGGTGGAGAGCAAGGAGGTTGGGTTCTCATCAAATCCCAGAATAGAGGATCTAGGAGGACTTGGGTATCATCTTGCCCACCCTTCTCTGCCACTCATTGATGGACAAGTGGAGAAACTAGGCCCCTGGGAGGCGAAAGCTCACTGTCGAGTGCCTTCTTCCTTCTCCTTTCTGGATACAACTGAGCACCCTTCAGTTCTGTCAAATCATCCCTTCCTCCCACCCACTCCCCTTAATCAGTGCTGATCCTCAGGTGTGACTCGCTCAAGGAAGGTGCCACTGATTCATTTGTTCATTCACCTATTCCTTCATTCATTCAGGATGAGTATACTTACCGCCTTATTACTGAGCATTGTGTTCAGTTTTGAAAAACGTAGTTGAACATAACACTCATTTGCCCTGAGAGAACTCAGTCTAGTGTGCAAAGCAAAGTTACAAACAATGATTTCTAAGTTTTCTTCTGGCCCTTTCTATTCAGTGAATGTCTGCTGCATAATTAAAGTATCTCCTAATTAGTTGCCTTCTCCAGTCTGTCTCTGTCTCTCACTTCAGGAAACGAGCTGTCAGATTAATCTTCTAGAAAAGAGCTCTGATTCACTCAAAATCCTCAGTGGTTTCCCATTGCCTGTGAAAAAATACAAACTCCTGCACCCCTTTGGATCTCAAATCCATCATATCCTGGACAACATGGAATTCTTGGTTGGCCCCAGAGCATGCCCCATGCCATGGGTTCTTGTTGGTCAATGAGCTTTTGCCTCTCCAGGCCACAGTTTATCCACCTGGCAGGCTTCTTTCCCTGTCCCCTCATGCAACTCGGACCCACATTTTTTAAACTTTAATTTTAGGTTCAGGGCTACATGAGCAGGATTATTATATAGGTAAACTCATGTCATGGGGGTTTGGTGTACAGATTATTTTATCACCCAGGTATTAAGCCTCGTACCCATGAGTTATTTTTCCTGATCCTCTTCCCCCTTCCCACCCTCTACCCTCTGATAGGCCCCCGTATGTGTTGTTCCCCTCTATGTGTCTATGTGTTCTTACTTCTCATCATTTCGCTCCCATTTATGAGTGAGAACATGTGGTATTTGGTTTTCTGTTCCTGTGTCAGTTTGCTAAGGGTAATAGCCTCTAGCTCCATCCATGTTCCCACAGAAGACATGATCTCATTCTTTTTTATGGCTGCATAGTATTCCATGATGTATACGTATCACATTTCCTTTATCCAGTGGCATTTAGGTTGATTCCATGTCTTTGCTATTGCGGATAGTGCTGCCATGAACACATGTGTGCATGTGTCTTTATAATAGAATTTATATTCCTCTTGGTTTTTACCCAGTAATGGGATTGCCAGATTGAATGGTAGTCCTGTTTTTAGCTCTTGGAGGAACTGCCACACTGTCCTCTCCTCCAGGAAGACTTTTCTGAACATTTTCAAGAGGGGAGATCCCTCACAGCTCTGAACTCTTCTCTGAAATCCGCTCAGCTTTTGGCTTTATAATCCTAGAATTCTTAGCTCATACTTAAGCCCTACATACCTTAGTTTCCTCATCTGTAAGATGGGAAACTAATAATGCCCTTGCCACCTGTGAGGACAGACTATAGGTGTGCCAGCTGTAGCAGCTCATCTGACTCAGCAAGCATTAGTTACTGGAGTAATTATTCCTGCTGTTGCTATGGAGCTTTCTGATTAGCGTCACATCCATTTATTGTTACACTTCGCAGCACCCGTAGGCTGCTCCTTCCATGTAAGCGAGACCTGGTATCTGGCTGTTAAATGATACCAGTGTCATTTAAGATGCTCATCCATTAATAGAAGAAAAGTGCACTGGTTGATGACTGTGATATCCTGGGTTCTGAGGACCCAGAGGGGAAGGAGGCACAGGCTTGCCCTCCAGCAGCTCATAGTCTGGTGGGAAGATAAACATGAAGCACAAAATAGGATGCACTGGGATGGGGTCATGGAAGGGACAGGATGGTGAGGGCCCTGGGAGCTCGAGCCGGGGACTCATTCTGCTTGGGAATAATGACAGTTACAACTAACCTAATGATAAGGTAAATGGTGGCTTTTTGTTACCTAAATTTGGCCAAACCTCCAGGGTTGAGAACAAGTGGTATTAAGTGGTTGCAGATCCTAAAAAATGATGATGGATAATTTATGAACTTACTAAGGTGTGGCCCCCAAATCAGTTCAAAAACCCTAACTCGTCACTTCCCTGAAGGGTAGGACAGAGTCACTGGGAAGTTGATCGGTAGGAAGGTGAGGGCTCTCTTTAGGGAGAATGTCACATGCTGGGAATTCCTGTGTCCTCCTCATGGGGCAGGCACGCAGGCTTTCCCCCACGTTATGCCTGGTAAGGGAGGAAGGGCTCCCTGAGCACCCTGTGGAGAGCCCTGCCTCTGGTACTTGGAGGTAGGCGTGGTGCCTGGGAATAGAATAAGGGACATGTGGAGGATGCAGGGCCAGGGAGCCAGCTATGGGCCCAGGCATGTCCTGGGATGGTCCCCTGGAAGCCAGGGGATGAGGACATCAGAAACCATGAGTGAGAAGTAGCATCACCCAAGCTATGGGACTGCAGTCATGGGTCCCCAGTGTATACATCTCCAGGCAGCTCACAAAAGAGCTCCATTTGGGAAGGGGTGAGCATTTAGACACCTGTCCCACCCATAGCACGTCCATGCTGGATGGCAACTAGAGTCAAAGAGGACATTTTACGCCCCTTATCTCTCCTCCCAGTAGTCTCCCTCCATCTTCCCATCCAGGTCTGGAGGATCCAGCAGCCTCCAGGGTAGAGGAGGAAGAGAGGAGAGATAGTGACAGAGCTGGCACTGCTCTTTCTGCAGAACTGGTGTCTCAGCCGAGGACAGGTGGATATTTGGGAAGAGATGTTTTAAATAGGATGAGGCTTTCAGGTTTTGATGTTGGACTGGACTGGACATTTTAAAAGCTACAACATGAAATGATTTGTTAGTACCTAAGGACTGTCTGAGAGTCAGAGTCCTTTCCTCCCCCAAAACCAAGGAGTGAGTCAACCCCACAGGGACGAAAGGCAGAGGTGGGAAGAACAAAGCTGCCTTCTACATGTGCCCTGCTGCGGCTGGCTCTCTTGGCCACAGTTACACCCTCTTAGCGGGCACCTCTGATGCCACCCGCCGGGCTGGACATTCATCTGCAGCAGTTCACTTGATCTTCACACAACCTTGCAAGAACAGTCTAACAATCCAAATCTTCACATAATGGAGGAGGACAAAAGCCCAGAAAGGTTAAGTAACTTTCCCAAAGAGACACAGCAAGGAAGTGGTAAAGCTGAGTCTTGAAGACAGGAATGACTCCCATGCTCTGTTGTACACACAGTGAGGAGGCAGAGGAGCAGTGAGCACCCAGGGAAAAGCCACCCCTTCCCCCAGGCTCAAAAGATAACTTAGTTTTGACACAGGACATCAGAACAAAAAATGATTCCAAAGTGTTGAGCCAGAGACTAGTCCCTAAACTCTTGGAGCAAATGGAGAAAAGAAGCCACAGGGAAGCAAATACAGAATTGTCAGGGGAGAACTCAGTGGGTGGGGGCAGGGTCCATCCTGCAGCAATTGCCTTGGAGACTTTTTCCATCTCCAGGGCTGGGACGGGGGAGGAGCCAGCATTTGAGGTTTGAGGGGCCCTCACATAGGTCCAGCTCCCTGTTTATTTACCATTCCTCTGGGAGGTCAAATTGTACCATTCCATTTTGGTAGAAGAGAAAAGGGGACCTTAGGAAGGATGGAAAGCACACCCAAGGTGACACAGGTATTGAGAAACACAGCCCAGATTTGAACTCTGGTCTGTCTGGCTCCAAAGCTGGTGCCCCACCATTCAGGGGGAGGAAAGAGGGCCTTGTGGCTAGCTCAAACTGCCCCACTATCAGTGACTTTAACAGCAGGGTTGCTTCAGCAAAATAGTGACTCAGAAGATGGGAGAGAGATGGGCAGGCCCCGTAGACCAGCCTGACTCCTGGGAGCTCTGCCCTCCTCCTTTTGTCTTCTAACCTGGGAGGTTAAGTAACCTAAGGTCACAGGGCAATGAAGAGGCCAAGCTGCAATGGGAGGGTCTCTGACTGACTTTTATTCACCAGTAAAGTGAGAATGATAACCCCCTCTCCCTTAAGATTAAATCAAATGTGGAAGCAGAAGTGAGCTATGCCTTAGAATGGTGGAGTGAGATGGATGCAGAGATTTGGATGTGTTTGGAAGGAGGGTGGGGGCCCTTGGCCTTGAGGTCTGCAGGGTCTCTGCTCAGAGGAGAGACAGCAGCACCTCCTCCCCTGGAGTCCTTTTCTCTTCAACGCAGTGAGCTTGGCTTGGCAGGGGATGGGGGAGAGCAATTTCCAGGGATTTTCTAGCACTTCACTGAAGTGCTTTTAGGCAAAGCAGCAGCTGTTCACACTGATACTGTAAGCATTGGAGAACCCAAGTGTCAAAGCCCGAGAGAGCAGAGACAGAAGAAAAACTGCTGGAGAAAGATGCAGCTGAGCAATTCAGTCATTTCAGAGCCACTGAGTCAAGCACTGCAGTTTGAGGTGGCTGGAAAGTGAGGCTTCAGGGGGCACAGGCAGGGTGGGGTGCAGGGAGAAGTTACCTGACTTGGGGAACTGCAGCTGTCAACGCACATGTGTTGTGAGCTAAGCCCTGGAGGATAGGAGATGGAAAGGATGCGAGCGTAGCCCTTGAAGAGCCCTTAGATGAGTTAGGGAGTCAGAAAAATGAACAGAACATTACAATACAGAGTAATAAGTAGGGGAACACAGGGAGTGCGGGTGCTCAGGGGAAGTGCAATTAAAATAGAAGAATGCAAATAGTCCTCAGCCCGGGCTGCATATTAAAATCACCCGGGGAGATTTAAAAAGATACTGTTGTCCAGGTCCCGTCCCAGACAATTAATTCAGTATCTCTGGTGGTGGGACCTGAGTGTCAGTGCTTTTTTTTTTTTTAAGCTCCCCACAAGATTTTCTTTTGCAGCAAAGATTGAGAGGACAATATTGGGCTGAGGGATGTGGGAATGATTCTTACAAAAGGCAGAGCTTTGGCTGGTCTTTGGCAGAGAGGAGGAGGAAGATGAGGCTATCTATGTGAAGGGCTTTCTTGGAGGAAGGGTCAGAGGAGTGCAGGACCTGCCAGAGGAAAGGCCAGCAGCTCTGAGTGACCAAGGGCAGACTCTGGCGTGAGGCGTGGTCAGAGGAAGGGGTAAGTGGGGGCTGGAGACTGCATCAGGAACAGCCTTCTGTGTTCAGCCAGAGTTGAAGGCTTTCTGAAAGTTATGAGTTTCAGATGCATTTTATTTTTCATTTTTGAGATGGAGTCTTGCTCTGTTGCCCAGGCTGGAGTGCAGTGGCACCATCTTGGCTCACTGCAACCTACACCTCTCAGATTTAAGCCATCCTCCCACCTTAGCCTCCTCAGTAGCTGGGACTACAGGCACATACCCTCATGGCCATTTTTAAAATTTAAAAAAAAATTTTTTTTTTTAGAGACAGGGTTTCACTATGTTGCCCAGGCTGGCCTTGAATTCTCAGGCTCAAGTGATCTGTCCGCTCGGCCTCCCAAAGTGCTAGGATTACAGGCATAAGCCACCGTGCCCAGCCTTGCATTTTAAGCTAGGGATGACATCATTAGGCTTGTGATAATTTTTTTCAACTTCTATTATGGATTCGGAGGTACATATGCAGGTTTGTTGCATGGGTATATTGTGTGATGCTGAAGTTTGGGGTGCAGTTGAACCTGTCATCCAGAAAGTGAGCATAGTACTCAATAGGTAGATTTTCAGCCCTTGCCCTTTCTCTCCCTTTCTGCTTTTGGAGTCTGCATTGTCTGTAGTTCCCACCTTTATGCCCATATGTACTTATTGTTAAGTTCCCACTTAAAATATGGGGTATTTTGGTTTTCTTTTTCTACATTAGTTTCCTTAGGATAATGGCCTCCAGCTGCATCCATGTTGCTGCAAAGAACGTGATTTCATTCTTTTTATGGTTGCATACTACTCCACAGTGTATATGTACCACATTTTCTTTATACAATCCACTGTTGATGGGCACCTAGGTTTGTTCCATGTCTTTGCTATCGTGAATAGTGCTGTGATGAACATATGAGTGTATGTGTGTTTTTGGAAGAATGATTTATTTTCCTTTTGGTAGATACCTAGTAATGAAATTACTGGGTCAAATGGTAATTCCATTCTTAGTTCTTTAAGAAATCCCCAAACTGCTCTCCACAGTGGCTGAACTAATTTTCATTCCCATCAATAGTGTAATAAGTGTTCTCTTTTCTTCACAGCCCTGCCAACATGCTGCTTTTTGACTTTAATAATAGCCAGTCTGACTGGTATGAGATAGTATCTCATTGTGGTTTTGATTTGCATTTCTCTAATGATCAGTGGTAATGAGCATGTTTTCCATATGCTTTTTGGCTGCTTGTATGCATCAACTGCATCTCTGATCCACGTGGTCTTCCTTCTGTCACTGGAGCTGAAGGTGAAGCCCTGTCTTAGGCTTGTGGCAGAGAGAAATAATAGTATTATGTAATGGCCCTTGAATGGCTTCTGTTTAGAAGTGGCACATGTCACCTCCACTCATACACCATTGGCCAAAAAAAAGTCACACGGCCAAGCCTGGCATTAATGTGACAGGAAGTGTAATTTTATCTCAGAGAGGTGCAGCAAATATTTGGAACAAAGAAACAATCTACTAGGAGGTGCAGGAGAGACAGGGAAGACTCTATATGGACCACAAGCTTTGTGAACTCAGTGGCTGATGATGCTATACCTCTCTACTGGACTCAGCTCCCGCAAGGGTTAAGACAATTTCTCTTTGCATCCATGGTACTATGAACAGCAGAAGCTCTCCATGTTGCATAGGGCAGCTCTGCTTCAGCCTGCGGTGGCCGGAAAGCTCTGCCTCATGGGTCTCCCATCTTGCCCCAGGACCAGCAGGCTAGCTGGTGCATGCCCCTCTCATGGCAAATGGTAAAACTACAAGAAGGCAAGCAGCAACATGTGAGGCCTCTTAGGGCTTAGGCTCAAGACTGTGGTTTTGTCACGTTTGCAACTGACCAAATCAAGTTATATGGTGAAGCCCAAAGTCAAGAGGCGGGGAGTACAGTTTTGCCACAATGAGGCCATGCAAGATGAGGCTGTGTGTGTCATGCTGATGGTGAAAACTAGGGCCGAAGATTCAGTGTCCTCCGAGTTCTAATATATCTTCCAGACAATAGGTCTTTAAATGTGGAAACATAGTTCCATCCACGCTTAGCTTCTTTGTTCCCTTCAGTCATTTCTTATCACAAAGGTAGCTTGGAGCTCTGGGTGAGGAAATGGAAGTTCCAGGAGAATAAAATAGGTCTCTTACATCCCACAGGGTTATAGGAAGAACCAAGTGAGGAGATTGTTATATAAGTATTTGGTAAATTATGTTGGTCTATGCACATGTTATAGTTTCTCATGGCATGGAATATAGTATTTTATCATGTATTTTATTAGTATCATATCATTGCATATAGTATTCATGTATTTTATCAGTATCATATCAGAGCACCCTCTGGTCATATGATCCTACATCTTCACACCTTTCTGGACCTAATATCCAGATGTGACCTCATCTGTGTGGCATTACCCCTCTTGTTATGAAAACAATACGCCCAGAAATTATATTCCATTATGTACATTCATGTCCCACTTCTAGCAGTGTGGTGCTGCTGAGAAATGCAGACATGCTGGAGGAAATGAGCAGGATGAACAAGAGGCCCAGGCGGTGCCACCAAAAGTGAGAGGAGGAAAGAACTAGGCGAACAGTAAAGGAATGGGTGGTACAGAGCCACAGGCCTGAAATGAAAATCAAAGCCCAGTCTTGCCCAGATGCAGATAGAGGCATTGTCCTAAATAGGAATGGCACTGAACACTCTAGAGACTGAGGTACTATGCTTTGCAAATTTCAATGTGTTTCACATATATGGCCTTACTGATTAGTAAGTTACCAGGAATTATAGTCAGAAAGGATCAGAACATTTTTCAATGGAAGGTAGGCAAGTTTGGGACCCAGGCCGGCAGCATGAGGGATGCTTTACAGGGTACCTCTGTCTTAGGCCAGGGGTTATACTGAAGGCCCCTTAAAGTCCCTCTTGATTGGAGTTCACTGATTATGTTCGCTTCTGGCACATTATCTAGAAGCCCCATAATGTTCTCCAAAGGCAGAACTGTGTTATTAGTCAAAACTGTGATATTAGGAAAAGCTTCAGGAAACTTGGGCTGTAGTCCCAACTCTGCCCATCATTTTCTGTGTGACACTGAGCAAATAGTTTAATCTCTCAGATTCATCTTTATGACCTCTAGCATGAAGGGACTATGAGAGACATGGAGGCGTGCCATGCAGATCCTCCTTCAAGGCAAGACTAGCTGCTCAGGACCGGAGCGTGATCAGAAGTTGGCCAGATTACAGTAAGAAGACAGCCTCCAGCTGTCAGCTCGTTCAGGATCAGCTTCATTCTAAGTCACATCCTCCAGCAGGGGCAGCCACATCTTGTGAGTAATTGAGGCATGATATTAAGTCCTGGTCACTTGGGCCTGACACTGGACAACTCTAATGGGCAGCTTGTTCCAGAGTTCCGTGCTGGCTTGGCTGAGGCTTTGTCAAGCTTGTCTTGCAGTTCACCTTCTCCTTTTGCCTAGTCTTGCTTCCTCCCTTTCCTTTCACAGTGCACATTCCCACTAAATATCTCACACCCCAATCTCTATCTCAGCATTTGCTTCTGCAATACTGAATCTGTGACAGAAGCTAAGATGGGGTTTTGGAGCTGGGTCATTCACTTCCCAGCTGACCGTGTCAACCCCATTGCTGGCAGTGGCAGAGCGCAGACAGTATATCCACTTCCCATCACTGTTGTCACAAACTGCAGCTTGAAACAACACAGCCTTGCTATCTCACTGTTTCTGTAGGTCAGAAGTGCAGTGTGGGTCTCTGGACCTTGGGCTAAACCAAGGCATCAGCAGGTTACCTTCCTTTCTAGAGATTTTAGGGAGAATCTGTTTCCTTTCCATACAGGTTGTTGGCAAAATTCGGTTCCTTGCAGTTGTCGGACAAAGGTTCCCCTTTTCCTATAGGTTGTAAACTGAGGGCTGTTCTTGGCTTATAGAAGCCCCCAAATTTTTATTTTGCCCGTAACCCTCTTCTCCCATCTTCAAAGCCAGCAGCAGCAGTTGGAGTCCTTCTCACACAAGAAAATCTCTCCAGCCTCTTCTTTCACCTCTGCATGCCTCTGACTCTCTTGCCTTCCTTTTCCACATGTAAGGACTCATGTGATTCAATTGGTTACTGGGATAACCCAGGACGGTCTTTGCATCTCAAGGTCCTAACCTTAATTACAGATGGTGGGGGTATCAGTGATGGGAACAGAGACACCATGTAGCATTTATGGCAAGCTCCAAAGGGAGAATCAGCACAGCCTGGAAATGGGGAGAAAGGCCAGGCCATCCCCAGCAGGGAATGCTTCACTTTATGAAAACAATGCCTGTCATGCTTCTGGGCCCTGTGAGAGATAAATCATCTCCCCATGAGACATCAAGCTGCCAAATAACCAGAACTGGGTATCACGAGCCAGGTCCTAGGCGACTCACTGAGTTATAGCATTGGGCACACCCAGTTTTACTCTGCAGTGAGTTAGAATTGGTCCATCTGGGACCGAGCCTGAGTAGAGGCAGAAGGACAGGTAAGGAACATGAGTGGGTCATGCAGAAACCCACAGCCCTGTCATTGTGCCATCAGCACCCCCCACTCAGCCCATGTCTCTGGCTGTTTGGGACAGTGCCCTATAACCAGTTGAAGGAAGAGGAAAAAGCCTGAGATTGGTTTTGGTATCAGTTGTGACTCCTTAGATCACCTCCTTAGATGTGACTGCAAACTGGAATTGATAGCCTCACTCAGGGGTGGCCTTGAAAGACAGTGGTGAGAGAAAATTATCCCAAAGGGCTGAAGTTCAGGTACAGCCTCTGGTCATCTACATTGCATGGGAGGAGAAGAGGCCTGAGGCTATGTATTAGTCCGTTTTCATGCTGCTGATAAAAATATACCCAGGACTGGTGATTTATAAAAAGAGGTTTAATGAACTCACAGTTCCACATGGCTAGGGAGGCCTCACAATCATGGCGGAAGGTGAAAGTCACATCTTACACGGTGGCAGACAAGAATGAGAGCCAAGCAAAAGGGGAAACCCCTTATAAAACCGTCAGATCTCATGAGACTTATTCACTACCATGAGAACAGTATGGGGGCATCTGCCCCCATGATTCAATTATCTCCCACCTGGTCCCTCCCACAACACATGGGAATTACTGGAGCTACAATTCCAGATAAGATTTGGGTGGGGACAGAGCCAAACCATATCAGATTAGATGTATAGAGATTTATGGGCAATGGCAAATGGCCTGGGTGGTGGTCTGGAAGGAGAGCAATTAGAAAACCAGAGCAACAGAGTCTCAGGGGGAGGCAGGCAGGCGGGTGGGTAGAGGGAGTGGGCTCAATCGTTGAAGATCTTTGTCTTACAGTCTAATGCCCATCAGAGAGCACACATCATCAAACAACAAGGAGACGCAATGATCCCCCCATTTGACAGTGGCCTGTATCTGTCATTGTCACCCCAGCCTGGGAGGATGGGGATATGAATAAAGTGGCTGTAGTGCCTGAGAAGAATGCTCCACATGGAGAAGTGGACCTGAGAGGTGCAAGGAGGGGCCTGGGGCAGACATGGAGATGACCCCAGATACTCCTTCAAGAGAGGATTCGATGCCCAGCTGGGGCAGTGAGGCCAGCAGGCAGCCTCCAGCCATCAGTCCCTCCAGGATCTGTCTCAACTGCAGAGAGCTGCCTCACCCAAGGTCTTGCCCTTCCTTGGGAGCCCGCATCTGTGGCTGCGTGAGGCAGGGATATAATGGTCTGGCCAGTTTGGCTAGATGCAGGGTGTTTCTGGTGAGCCATACTCTAGAACTGCCCCCATGATTGGCAAGACTTTGACCAGCTGGCATCGCAGCTTGGCTCCTCCTTCTGCCTAATCCTGCTTCTTCTGTCTCCTGTCTCAAGTGATGATTCCTGTTATGTAGCCTACATCACAAACCCCGTTTCTTGAGAAACCGTTATTGAGATGCATGAATAGATAGATGTGGCTATGGGCAGATAGAGATAGAACTGAAGTGATAAAAGGTAAGTGGAAAAAATGTTTTTCAATACCCCAAACTTTCCCCTTTTCAAGGGTACTTGCCAACCAGGGATCTGATCCTCTGCAGGCATCTGAGCCTGTGGCTAGAGTCACCCAACTCACTTGGCTCTGGACCCAAACATGCTAAAAAGATGACTTCCTCTGACTCCAAGCAAGTGGGAGCTTCTTTTGTGAGCATCCATGAAGAAGTCAGGCAGCTTTTCTTTTTCCAGGCCCTGTCTTCCAGAGGGTGTCATCCACTGTACTCTGAGGACCTCCAGGGCAGCAGGGAAGCCGTTGAGCTCATTTAATAGATGAAAAAACTCTAGTTTCTTGTGCAGAGGCTTCAGTGACTTTTATATTTGGGAACCTTCCTGAGGGCTGTCTGGTCAGGTCCTTCATGAGCACCACTCCTGGGCAGCCCCTGTTTATTAAACCTTTTCCCTTTGGAAAGATTTTCATTCTGGCACAAGTGAGTTGGTCATGGAATAGCTGGGACATAGAGAAATAAACATGAGCAGCGAGTTTACCAGATCTGGGCTGAGCTACAGCCCTTTCACTTACTATATAACTTTGGTCAGTCCCTTGACTTCTTTAACCTTCAGTTTTTTCTTTTCTGCAGTGGGGTTGCTAATAACCCCCACTCTGCAGAGTGGCTGTGAGGGCCGGATTCAATGCTGACTGCATGGCCCTGTGCTGGGAGCTTGGGCTGCCGTCCTATCCAGACAAACTGGGTGTCCTGCACACAGCTCCTTGTCTACCTCTTGCTTTAGCTTCAGTGGTGGTGGACAGTTCTGGGCTTTCAGACTTACCTTGTTTTGACAGCCTGCAAGTGCAGGACATTAACACCCCAGGGGTGAGGGTTCTGCCACCAAGGTACAAAAAATACTGGTGGGTTAAAACTCCCACCCCACCCCTCTCCTACAGAGGACAGCTCTGGAAAGCATCTGACACATCGAACTGAGCTCCTGTTTGCCACAACCACAGCCTTGAAATGCATCCTGATGTTGGCTTTTCATTTGTAGCTGATCCCACACTCCTCCTTTCCAGAATCACCTCCTAAGCAAACTACCTGCATTTGTGTCTTTGCCTTAGACTCTTTTTGTCTCAGCCATGTTAAGATGGCCCCAGGCAACACCCAGACATTGCCCTTTGAGGAGCTCATGGCATGGTGGTGGGGTCAGATGAGTGTAGTGGTAAATCCAACACAGTGATACACAGCCAGTGATGGGCAAAGCAAAAAGGACTTTGGGCAAGTAAAGGAGAGGTGCCTGGACCTATCTTGGGGTGTTATGGAAGACTTCCTGGAGGAAGTGGTGTTTAAGTTGAGACCTGGAAATTGGGAAGATTCTGGCCAAGTGAAGAGCATGTGTGTAGGTATAAGGTGATAGCAAAGGGTGGAAGGAATAAAGGCTATCCAGACAGAGGGCAGAGGGTACTCCAGGGAAGCCAAGAGACAGGGTGGCACTGACGGGGACTTGCAAAGAGTTACATGAGCTTGGACTCTACAGTGAGAGGATACAAGTGGATCTGCTTGGGGACACTGCTGTAGAGGCTGGCAGTTGCTCTCACACATGGCTTTTTTTGGGCCACTGCATCCTGAACACCATAGGACACTACTGAAGGGGTTATTACTATGAATTCCAGCTCTGTTAAAGATATGTGAATTTTAGGTGACTAACACAGGGCCTGCACAGACATTGCCTTAATAATGTAAAATTTATTTATCATTCATTCACCTTGAGGTCCTTTCCCCTGTTCCCTTTGCCTATAGTCCCTTATCCTCCCCTACAATTTTGCCTTCACTCTCAATCTAATTTTTCTGCTCTGTGGGAATATCCAACTGCTTCTAAGTTCTTAGTACACACACACAAAAAAATCATCTCACCCAAAGAGAGAGTCTGTAGATTCTGCCAGCTGGTCCCTGGCTCCTTCAAAGGCAGGTAGGGATTGGTGGAGGAAAGGAAGGTCTGTCTCCCGACAGGTGGATGACATTTTATGGGGATAATAGGACAACTTTTGTCAAGCAGCCATGATGGGTCCTAACAATGTTTGGGTGTGGATATTTGAGTGAGGCCCTGGGCATATGAGAAAATTCCCAGGGGGAGTTTCTTTCTTAACATGTGTGATGCGCTTCTGAGGCTGGAGCCAGGAAGAATAATAGCACTGAGAAGAGATCCACTGGCTTCCCTAAACTGCCAAGAGGCTAATGAAAAAACAAAGTTGAAGAACCCTGCCTTGAGCCACCTTTGGGTCCGTAATCCTGGCTCAGTGTCTGCCTTGGAGTGGGGATGTCATTTACAATTAACTGGCCGGAAAGGGAAGGGGTGCATGTATTTATTGATGACCTACCATGGCCAAGGTCTTTTGTTACTATGAGAATAATGATGATGTGAATATTGTTAGTCCCATTGAACAGATAAGAACATTGAGGGCCAAAGTGAAATGTTGAATAAAGTGGCCAAAGACAAACTGGAAAATCACTAGATTTTCACCAGATTTTGGAAAATCTGGTGATTTTCCAGTTGCCAAGACAAGATTTGTGTTCAAGCTGGTCTGATAATCCCCTTCTCAATATACCTTCCTCCCTTCTCTGGAAGGGTCAAATTAAGTCAAGACTTGACATTTTTCTATCCTGTCTTAAAAATAAATCAGGGCCAGGCACGGTGGCTCACGCCTGTAATCCTAGCACTTTGGGAGGCTCAGGCGGGTGGATCACTTAAGACCAGGATTTCGAGACCAGCCTGGCCAACATGGTGAAACATCATCTCTACTAAAAATATAAAAATTAGCTGGGCATGGTGGCACACACCTGCAATCCCAGCTACTTGGGAGGCTGAGGCACAAGAATTGCTTGAACCCAGGAGGCAGAAATTGCAGTGAGCTGAGATCATGTCACTGCACTCCAGCCTGGGTGACACAGCAAGATTCTGTCTCTAAATCAACCAATCAGACCCCTGTGCTCATTTTTAGGTTTCCTTTCCTGTCTTGCTTTTTCTCAACCTTGACCCCAAGCAGCAAACAAAGACACAAAGCAGCCCTGGGAAGCTGGCACTGCAGCTGCATCCATGGATCCCAAGTGGCCCTAGATGCCCAAACTGAAATTATGCAATGACTTCTTGACCTCTGCATCCTTCGAATCAGCTGCATCCTTTGAATCTCAACCAAGTTAAAGCTTATTTTCAGAGAAGAGGAGGAAAAGGATTTCATAACCTTATAATGATCAAATACTTAAATAACCATTGCAATCACATGACAGTTAAAAGTATGAAATCTAGAGTCAGCGTTCCTGCCTTCAAATGCTTGTTACTCCTCTCAATAGCTGTGTGACCTTGGGCAAGTTTCTTAACTGCTCTGTGCCTCAGTTTGGTTATCTGTTAAATGGGGATAATATAGTTCTTGACTTCTAGAGTTGTGAGAATTAATTAAAGGCATAAAGCACTAAGAATAGAACCTGGAATAGGGTTAAACACAGAATATATATTAGCTTATTTTCTTCTCCTCCTCATCCTCCTCCCTCTCTTCCTCTTTCTGATCATCATCATTTCATCATCCTATCCCATACCTCTCTACTCCCTAGACAGAGGCATCTTATTGGAAAGGTACACTTATTCCAAGCTCCCAGGACTCCCTGGGCTTAATGTTTCTAGGCTCTTTTCACACTGAATTTCAGCTGTCTGCCTAGTTGTTTCCTCCTCTTTTGAAAAGTGTGCTCCTTGAGGACTGGAGATATTGTCTAAATTGGGGTTCTTATCCTGGATCTTTTGAATTCAGGGCTTTTATTAACTTGGATGGGAAACTTACATCTTTATTTTCATAACCACTTCTCTGTCAGTGGTTCTCAAATGCTCAGAATTACGTCAAAGGCTTCCTCAAACACACACTGGTGGGTCTCCACTGGGGTGAATAACCATCCTGGTTTGCCTGGGTCTAAGGTGTTCCTAGGATGTGGGATTTTCAGTGCTAAAATTTGGAGCATCCCAGGCTAATCAGGATGAGTTTGTCACCCTACTTCTAATCCCAGAGTCTCTGATTCAGTCTGAGGTGGGGTTCGAGAACATGGATTTGGAATGGTTTCTAGATGATACTGATGTTGGGATCACAGTCTGAGGACTCTGCCCCAAATTTTATACACTACTATTATAAATGGATCAATACACTGCAATATTTTCCTTTTTTTTGAGACAGCGTCTCACTCTGTTGCCCAGGCTGGAGTGCAGTGGCACAATCTCGGCTCACTGCAACCTCCACTTCCCAGGCTCAAGGGACTCTCCTGCCTCAGCCTCCCGAGTTGCTGGGATTACAGGCACATGCCACTACCACCTGGCTAATTTTTGTATTTCTAGTAGTGATGGGGTTTTGCCACATCAGCCAGGCTGGTCTTGAACTCCTGACCTCAAATGATCCACCTCCCTCGGCCTCCCAAAGCGTTGGGATTACAGGCATGAGCCACCGTGCCCAGCCCACACTGCAATATTATTAGTAGTACCTGTGGCTTTACCACAACCAAAAATTGTATATATTTTCTTTTCTTTTCTTTTCTTTTTTTTGAGACAGGGTCTTGCTCTGTCTCCCAGGCTGGAGTGCAGTGGCATGATCTTGGCACGTTGCAACCTCTGCTTCCCTGGTTCAAGCCATTCTTGTGCCTCAGCCACTTGAGTAGCTGGGATTACAGGTGCATGCCACCACACCTGGTTAATTTTTATATTTTTAGTAGAGACAGGGTTTCGCCATGTTGCCCAGGCTGGTCTCGAACTCCTGGCCTCAAGTGATTGGCTCACCTGGGCCTTTCAAAGTGCTGGGATTATAGGCATGAGCCACTACATCTGGGCAGAAATTGTATATATTTTCTTATCACATTATAGTTGTTACAGATAGCTCAAAATATCATTTACATTCATTATGTTGAAATTATAGTTGTTATGAGACAGCTTGCTCAATTTATTATTTAATGAGTTAAATAAAGATGCACATATATTACTATACTACCACTTCCATTTTTAATATTTTGATAGCTACATTTTAACGTAATTGATTTCCTTTATAATCTTAAATTTATTTTTTAAAAATATTGTTCTGAGAAAGGGTCTGTAGAATTCCATAGATTGCCAAAGAGGTTGATGGAACAAAAAGATTAAGAATCTTTGCTCAGGGCCAACTCTGTGCTCTGGCACCAGGCATAGGGACTAACATGCAGTAGGAACTCAATAAAAGTTTGATGAGTGAATGAGACATCTTCTGGGATGGTTGTCTCTTCATTAATACACAAAATATTTATGGAGCACTTAATAAGTGTTAGGCATATAACCATGAATAAGCAGGCCCACTTCCTGCTCCTCAAGCATTTATAATCCACCCAGGAACATCTATAGAGAAGCAACCAGATGACATGAAGCCTGGAGGCCACGCAGTGCCAATTTCTTTTCTGAAGTTTTCGTGATTTCAAATGCCTTCCTCACACTCCACTTCCACACCCTCATTCTGCCCTCCATGCTCTGCCTGCACAATCTTTCTAAGACATACATGGAGTCCTTTCACATCTAACCTTAATGCCATCTGGTGGCTCTCCCAGTCCAGGGGAGAAAGCACATACTTGATGGCAGGGCTCACCTGGCCTCCCTCTCTGTCTCCTACTCCCACCCTCACCCCATCTCGAGCTTCTGGTGGTTCAAGACATCAAGTTATTCCTACCTCCAAGCCTTTTCTTAGGCAGTGCCCTCTGCCAGGAGTGGCCTCTCAATTTCTTACTCTGTTTTGCCAGACTAACCCCTACCTATCTTTCAAGACTCAGGGCAAGTTACCCTTTTCTACTTACCTACTGATTCTACTAATCCCAGCTACTCAAGTGGCTACCCTTTTCCTTTTCTCATGCTTCCTCCCACCACAGTGGAACTGACCCCTCATGGGGTCATGGCCTGTCATGATATGCCTTCTGTGCCTCCTTCTTCTTCTGACACAGCTCAGCCACCCTTCATGGCACAGATTATCTTTCCTATCTCCCCTGGGGCACACTGCCCATCACCAGGTGGGTGATACTAAGTTGGAACTTGCAGCATATTGCCTGACACCCAAAGAGGCTTGCAAATATTACAATAATCATTATTATATCCGTTCTTTCTCTACCTTTCCCCCACAGGAGACAACAATTCTGGCAAGTAACCATCCTTGACAGTCATTTTGCCATGCCCTTTGCCCAATCCAGAACCTTGGATGGCATCTACTTCTTTGCTTGTCAGAACCTTCTTCTCAAGAAGGCTATGAGGGAGCTCTGTGATCAGCCAGCTTCCTTGCTAGTCACCTTGTTTTTCCCACTTTTCTGCTCCAGGAAAGCAAGCCTGCCTCTTCTCTCTCCCAGGGACCCACCAGACTAACTCTGTGTCTCCATTCATGGTTGAAATGCTATGCTCTCTCCTTCCTGACTAGTCAGAAAGAATCCTCTCCCATTAAGGTGGGCTCTTTCGGACGATTTAGTGATTTGATGACTGTATTAGTCCATCTGCGCTGCTATAAAGGAGTACCTGAAACTGCCTAATTTATAAATAAAAGAGGTTTCTTTGGGCTCATGGTTCTGCAGCTTGTACAGGAAGTGAGGTGCCAACATCTACTGGTGAGGGCCTCAGGAAGCTTACAATCGTGGCAGAAGGTGAAGGATGAACAGGCATGTCACATGGTGAGAGAGGCAGAAGCAGAGAGGGAGGTGCCAGTCTCTTTTAAACAACCGGATTGCACGTGAACTCATAGGTTACAGTGAGGGCAGTACCAAGCATTCATGAGGAACCACCCCCATGACCCAAACACCTCCCACTAGACTCACCTCCAACATTGGAGGTCAACATTCAACATAAGATTTGAAGAAAACATTCAAATCATGTCAGAGATTCCTTCAAAGACCCAGGTATTCACCATCTCTGTGCCTGCTGTTCCAGGTTGCTGGCATCATGTTCACATTAGGAGTATGGTGGCTTGCAGAAGTTTCACGTGTCATATCCCAACAACAGATTATTTAGAGGAAGAAAAAAATGTCATTCCTTGTGGCTCTTCCCTATGAAGGAAGAAAATTCTCCCAGATACCCTCCCAACAGGCCCCCTCATTTCTCAGTGGTCAGAATTAGGTCATATGCTTATCCCTGGACCTATTATTGGCAAGGGTCAGGATGAGCAGGGAGGCTGGGGCCAGTTCCGGAAGGTCAGTCAGTGGAACAGCAATGTCATCATCACCTGGGAGCTGATCAGAAATTCAGATTCTCAGACTCCAGCCAAGAACTGTGGAATCAAAATGTCTGGGTGTGGCCTCCCTCCCAAATCTGCATGGCTATTAAGTGGAGATTATGATGCTAATTTGAGAACCTGTTTGGATTGACCTCCTGGGATGAAAGGTTTGCTGAGATTAGCTACAATGATGAATTCAATTATCTTTATCACACATCACTCTCCCTCAATACCAATCCACATGCAGCTTCCAGAACTTGCCATATTCCTCTGCCACCCTGACTTTACTCAAGTTGTGTCCCCTCCAATATGCAATATCTCTCGTTGACCATTGGACACATTTCTGTCCGTCCTTTAAGATACAATGTATCAACCCTCCTGTGATGAGCCTCTCCTCTGTGCCCAACAGACCCCTTCCAACCTCGCCCTTTGGGCAGCCAGCATTACTTGCTAGATCTCTTTACAGACCTGTTTTTTCCTCCACTAATTTGATCTTAAAGAACATATCCTTCTTACCTTTGTGGCCTGAGCACAGAAGGAATGCTCCATACTTATTTGTGGAATGAAGAAGATGGCTTAAGTTCTTTTTTTGGGCCTTGGGAAGGTTGGTGGGTGAATGTTTATCTTACCTCTTCCACATCTGATGAGGATTGTAGTGGGGAGACCATAGACCTGGGAATCAGACCAGCATGACTTTGAATGCTACTCTGCCTTAAAAGCTATGTAGCCTTGAATTAATTCAGCTTATTTGAGCCTCAGTTTCCTTAGCTGTAAAATGGGGCTGGTGATGTCTATCTTCTATGACTGCTCTGTGGATAAATGAGAAAGTGGTAACAAAAGCCCTGGAATGCAGAAGGCATTCGGCCAACAATAGTTGATTGATTCCCTGCCTACTCATGACTGAGGCTTGCCCCCTTCAGCCCTCTCCGTCCAAGTGGTAATTTTGGTAATTGGATGCTGGAAAATATTATGTCATTTCTTGCATTTCTTAGTCCTCTCAGTTGACTGTGGGCATCTACCTCTACTTTAAAAGGTGAGTAGTATCTGAAAGAAATTGCTCAATGATTCTCTCTCTCTTATGTGTGTATGTGTGTGTGTGTCAGAGAAAAGAGAGAGATAGACATAAGAACACAAACACACACAGAAAGAGAAAGGAGGAGAAACAGTATGACAATCTTCCTTTTGCAAGCCTAAACAATAGAGTTGAATATTGTCAATTTTACACTGTTGTTGTGCTTTGCCGGGAAACACATATGGTTCCTCCCTTGAGGGCATTGGACTGGATGCTACTCTGCCTGCAAGGTCCTTGCCTCTTGTAAGTGGTCACTTGTGCAGCATGCTTGAGAACTCACGATTCCAGAGGAGAGTTGGTAGCTGGCTTGGCACAGACCTGGAATTAATTGATCACTCATAGCCGTTGAAAGGCTTGGTGAAGAATCACTCATCAGGAATCCCAGCTTCCACAGTGTCCTCTCCTGGGAGCTCTGTACAAAAAGAGGTGTGGTGTGGGATGGTGGCAAGAGTCCCAGTTAAGGAGTCTGGAGACCCTCGAGCCTAGAGGTTCCCTCTGGTCACTCACTGTCCATGAGAGGTCGAAAAGTTTCTCAGCCCTCTGGGCTTCTGGCCCTTTGTAAGTACAAATAGGAATAGCCACGTGGCCACAGCCAACCCCATAAGGTAGTTATGATGGATAAAATGCACATATTTGGTGAAAACATTTTGGAATCCATACGCGCCTGGAAAATAATAATAAAATGGTAACAACAGCAACAACAGCGATCCTATTACTAGTTACTCCTGGGGCTAACATTTGGCTGAGTGTTATGACAAACTTTTAATCAGTCAGTGTCTGAACTTTACTGCTTCCTACACCTTTTGAATTCCCCCGCTTTGCCTCAGACCTCAGAGATTATGTGTTCATGGACATGCAGCTTCCGGTGCGGCACTGTTTATCTTCGTCTACCCCCATCTCAGGGTTTCCCTAAAATCATCCAGAAGATTTCCTTTCTCCCGATACCCAGGTGCTGGACTAAAAGGAGCTAGCTGGGAGAAAAAGGAAAGGAGGGGTTGACATTTTTAGAGGCAGGATGGTTTTCAAGGAAGAGTTTTTTTTTCTCCAATTGCAGGTGAAGTAAAGCAAGTGAAAGGGTAAGTGGGGAAATGATTGAGGAGGGGGGAGGGGACCAGTCACTTTTGTCTACGAGTTAAGAATATCTTCCTGAGTTTTCCTTTCTAAAGACATCTGTGCATCAGCAGAAAATGATCTGTTAAAAAAAAAAAACATAAAAAATTCTTTTAGCTTCTAGTCAGAGCTATGCAATGTGCATACTCAGTTGCTTGTGGGAAACTGGAGAGGCTCTCTGGAAATGAGTGTGTGGCCATTCAGTCTTAGGAAACTGGGGCCTTGGTATAGAAAGTTCTTAGACTATAGTAGAAAATTGGTAAATTCATTAATTCATTACACAGACCTTTATTGAGTTCCTGTCTGAGCTTGAGATGTTCTGAACTTGAATTTTTCTCATATCCCCTGGCATGGGGGCTGGCTCACCATGCAGGGATTGCAGTGTTTTAAGTGCTCAATAAATGCTTCTTAGAAAATCAGATAAAAATGGATAAAGGTGGGTAAGTGCCCCAACCTCAGCTGGCTTCAGAGGTTCCCAGTTCAATAGCACTTCCTTGTATTCCTTTACAAAGTTATTTCATGCTCCCTTCAGCCCATTTTCCCTCAACAGGAGCCTAAAGGAAAAGTATGCTGTAAGATGGATTCAAAGCCATTTCCCACTGCAGTATGAATAAATGACTGGATGTGGCTCATGTTTGTTCCTCCTACAATGGTTTGTAGGGTTACAGTAAGAAATATGTTCTGTGAACTCTAGGAAGCGGCCGCTCAGTAACAAGAGTGTAGATGCAGAATGGAAACACTTGGGTTCTAGACCTGCCTAGACATGAGTTGTGAGGTTACGACCAGTCTCTCTTTTCTTACCTATAAATTGGGTGTGGTAGGCAGTAGAATGGTCCCCCAAAGTTGTCCATATCATAATTGCCAGAACCTGTGAATATATGATCTTACATGGCAAAAGGGACTCTTTGCAGATGTGATAAAGTTAAGGATCTTGAGATGGGAGGATTATCTCAGGTGATTGGAGTGAGCTCAATGTACCATTGGCCCTCTGTATCTGCAGATTCTGCACCTGCATATTCAACCAAGCACAGATGAAAATATCTGGGGAAAAATACAACAATAAAAAATAATACAAATAAAAATAATACAGCGTAACAACAATTTACATAATGTTTAATTGTGTTAGGTATTGTAAAGAACGTAGAGATAATTTAAAGTACATGGGAGGACATGTATAGATTATATGCAAATGCTCCACCATTTGATTTAAGGGACATGAGCATCTGTGGATCTTAGTATCTGAGGGGGTCCTAAGACCAATCCCCATGGATCTCAAGGAATAACTAATCATAGGGTCTTCATAAGGAGGCAGGAAAGTCAGGGTTAGAGAAGGAGATGTAATCACAGAGACAAAGATCAGAGAGAGAAAGAGAGAGAGAGGGAGAGAGATCTGAAGATGCTACACTGCTGGCCTTGGAGAAGGAGGAAGAGGTCTTCAGCCAAGGAATGAAGGCAGCTTCTAGGAGCTGGAAAAAGCAGGAGCACATTCTCCCTTGGAGCCTCCAGAAGGAACACAGCCCTGCTGACATTTTGATTTTAGCCTACTGAGACACATTCTGAACTTTTGACTTCCAGAACTGAAGAATAATAATGTGTTTTATTTCAAGTCACCAAGTTTTTGGTAATTTGTCACAGCAGCATAGAAAACCAATGCACTGGTATTGTGATATCTCTCAGGTTTTTGTTTGTTGCAAGTAACCCAGGCGGCAGTGCCCCATGGGAGAGATTTATGAGCAGTAAACTGATACTGCACTAATACCAACTACCATCGTTTGGATGCCAAAGGGTTTGAGTTCTAGTGGGGGAATACCAGGCATCAGCAACAGGCAATGTATATTTTGAGGGGCAGCACCTCTAATTTTGAGGTGACCAGTGTAGATGATCCTGTCAGTGCCTCATCATATCCCTTAAGCCATGCACTCCTGCCACCGTCCAGCACCAGGACCTCATCTTCATGCCTGAGAGATATTTGTTTCAGGAACCATAAAAAGCTCCTCTGCCTAAAAGGCCAAAAATGCCAGGGCATCAGTGCTCCCGAGGAACAGCATCAATCTTGCCTGTAAATACCCCAGCTCCCTTGCCCCTCAGGTGGGATTCTTCCGAGCATGTAATTCATACAATTTCCCTGAATTTCCTGGAAGGATAAAGGCCCTATCCCATGCCCGTCCCAAGAGCTACTAGAGTCACTTACTTTGTTAATAATGCACCATGTATTGGCTGCCTTGTCTTCCTCCCAAATCACTTCCTTACACCAGTGCATTTTTCCTGCACTTTCCAAAGAAACTAGTTGCCCTCAGATCCTTTTTTCAGGGCCTACCTCTGGGAAAGTCCAAATGAAGGGTCCTTAAAATCTCACTGCCTAGGCTGTTGCTAATGCTGGCCAGTATGGTGCCCCACACCCGTGGTGTCTTCATTTTGTTTCAAGGCCTAACTTGAGTGACAGGCAACATGGCACAGAAGAAAGACCACAGAGGGGAAGCGAGCCGGGTCAGGGACTGTGCCTCCGTGCCTCATTCCCATCTGACTGGGATGTCATGGGTTTCCTGGGTAGCCTCTTTGGACCACAGTATTCACATGAGGCACTCTCCTCCAAAGGGCTGACCTATGATTGGCGAGTTCTGAGCAATAGAGGAGAAGGGTCCCGTGACCCTTTGGTAGGCTAAGACACGTCCTTCTGCTCTCAGATGGCTACTCTGGGGCAACCCATTGCAGTGACTAGGATCTTGGCACAGCCATGGGACAATGTGTGCTGAGAAGAGACTCCAGAGGGTGAATGCCAGAGTGAAGGTGGTCAGAGTCTGGGGAGAAATCCAGCTTCCCCCCAGCCCCACCGCTGTGCTTCTTCTACCTTTGTTATAGTGGACAGATGCAGCTGCAAGGCATGCTGGGACCTTGGCCCAGCCCCAGTTAGGATGTGGGAGGAAGCAAGCCAGTCATTGGGGCCAACAGGGCGAATGAGGAAGCAGGGCGGAAAATGCTTCACTGAGGGCTGGAAGGGGAAAGGAATCAGAGAAATGTCCACACAGATGTGCAGGAGGCAGAAGAAGCACAAATTAAACAAGTAAGCAGACAAATCAATCTGTAATTACAAATCATGAGAGAGTCTATGAACAAGAATGGGGAGTGTCACAGAGGAAATTAAGTTTGAGCTACAGCATGAAAGATAAGAAGAGCTATCCATGCAGAAGCTAGGGGCAGAGTGTCAGAGCAGAAGGAGCAAGCCAGATGGCCCCGTGGAGAGGCGAGAACATGGCCACCTTTTTCACCCTATTCTGAAAGCTGCTCAGTGAAGCCAAGAAGGCAGAGGGAGCCCGCAAGTTACCTCTCTCTCCTGTAAGTGATCACCCCAAGCCCCAGACGTTTTCTGCAACACACAACAGGAAGGAATGAAGGAAGGAAGGAAGGAAGGGAGGAAGGGAGAAAGGAAGGAAGGAAGGAAATTAACCTTTGCTGGACGCTTACTTTGTGTCTGCTGCTTAGAGATACATTTTTTTCTTCAATATATATTCACCAGGACTTTGGACCTGGGTAGGAATTTGACAGTTCGTTAAAAGAGCAAACTAAACCAAGGTGGTAGGCGTGGCAAAGCTGATAGGCATTGGAACCAAAATTCATCTTAGGTTCCACGTGACTGTAAAGGCTATGTTCTCACTTTCCCTTGTGCTTCCTCTAGAAAGTGAAATGGGGACAAATGCAGTTACGAAGGTTTGGCACCTCCTGGCTGATAATACTGTGAGGTTCATTAACAGCTTCTCCATCACCGGCTTTGTCACACTTCCTCTCTGTCTCTTCACAAGGGTCCCAGTTTTCTCACCCACAGTCTGTTCTCCTGTTACTATCTTCTCTCACCTCAGAGAGCTATTTCCTCTGTGATCCTCGGGAGTCAGAAAGGGGTCGCAGGGGATGAAGACGTGTAATGGAATGCCACAGAGGTAATAATAACGGTCCCTTCCTGAGAGCCCACTCTGAGCCTTTTCAAGTGTTTCTTCTCATAGAATCCTCAAAGTGTCTGTTCAGGAAGTCATGAATCCCATGCATTAGTTTTATCTCCTGTGCCTGCAAGTAGTAGAAATAAGGCCAGCCTAATTTAAACCCTAGACAATGTGTGTGGGAGTTGTTATTAAGATAAAAGAGTGTCTCGGCTGGGCGTGGTGGTGGCTCATGCCAGTAATCCCAGCACTTCGGGAGGCCGAGGTGGGTGGATCACCTGAAGTCAGGAGTTCGAGACCAGCCTGGCCAACATGGTGAAACTTCGTCTCTACTAAAAATGCAAAAATTAGTGGGGCGTGGTAGTGTGTGCCTGTGGTCCCAGCTACTCAGGAGGCTGATGCAGGAGAATTGCTTGAATCCAGGATGCGGAGTGAGCTGAGATTGTGCCACTGGTCTCTAGCCTGGGAGACAGAATGAGACTCTGTTTCATAAAAAAAAAAAAAAAAAAAACAAAATAGATAAAAGAGTGTTTCATGCAACCTAACAGCAAGAATCAGCACACTTCAGGGAGGTGCTTGAACCACAGCCTACAAAGCTGGGTGGTCTTACTCCCTGCTGTCCCTATCTCTGCTCCCCTCTGAAGAGCTTTCTTTCTGTTTCTCTCTCACTCTCTCTCTGTCCAGATAAGCTTGCCCCAAACGTCACTAAAGAAACATGGTAGCATCATGTCTGTCCTGAGTTTACATGTCATGAATTCAAACACTCAAATGGCCTTTCTCTTTGTTCTAATTCCAAATATTCAGAAAGGGTCTAATCATCTGCAGCTGGGGAGAAAAGGCATTGCAACAAAAACCAGGACTGCTGTAAACCCCTTGTAGTGGGAGAGTGGCAGGATGGGAGAGGCATACAGTAATGCTTACAGAGTACGGGCCAGGGAGAAATGGCAATAGGTGGCCATTACACCCCACTATGATGGAGAGGAAATGAAGCTTCAGACAGGTCAAGTTTATAATGTCATACAGCTTGTCTGTAAGCACATTATCTAACTAGTTCCCCAGCCCTTTTTTTTTTTGTGCCGTACTAGTATTTTTCACAGTGTGGGACACATGCCAAAGACAGTATTTATGATGATTTTAGGTGCTACACTAATAGATATTTACAATTTCATGTATATTAGGGATATAATTCGGCTGTGTCCCCACCCAAATCTCCTCTTGCATTGTAATCTCCATAATCCTCACGCACCGTGGGAAGGATGTGGTGGGACGTGATTGGATCATGGGGGCGGCTTCTCCCATGCTGTTCTCGTGATGATTAGTAAGTTCTCATGAGGTCTGATGGTTTTATAAGTATCTGGCATTTCCCCTGCTGGCACTCACTCTCTCTCCTTCCACCTTGTGAAGGAGGTGCTTGCTTTTGCTTTGCCTTCCACCATGATTGTAAGTTTCCTGAGGCCTCCCCAGCCTTGCAGAATTGACTCATTTCATTTCATGAGTCAATGAAACCTCTTTTCTTTATAAATTACCTAGTCTCAGGTATTTCTTTATAGCAGTGCAAGAATGGACTAATACAATTAGAAAAATGATAACTGTCACATAAAACCCATAATATAGCACTTTTTATTAAAAAATTGATGTGGTGTTGGTGAAAGTAGGCAAATAGAGCAGTGGAACAGAATAGAGAGCCCAGAAGTAGATCCACATAAATAAAGTCCACTGATCTTTGGCAAAGGAGCAAAGGCAATACCATGGAGAAAAGATAGTCTTTTCAACAAACAGTGCTGGAGCCACTGGACGTCTATTATACATGTAAAACATGATTATGGGCATAGACCTTACATTCTTCAGAAAAATTAACTCAAGATGCATAATAGATCTAAATGTAAAAAGCAAAACTATAAAACTCCTGGAAGATAACATTGGAGAAAATCTAGATGACCTTGGGTTTGGTGATAACTTTTTAGACGCAACACCAAAAGTATGACCCGTGAAAATAATTGATAAAATGGACTTCATTAAAATTAAAAATGTCTGCTCTGTGAAATACATTGTCAAGAGAATAAAAAGATAAGTCACAGGCTATGAGAAAACATCTGCAAAGCAAATAGCAGATAAAGATTTGTTATCCAAAATATACAAAGAACTCTTAAAATTCAACCATATGGGCTGAGCACGGTGGCTCACACCTGTAATCCCAGCACTTTGGGAGGCTGATGCAGGTGGATCACGAGATCAGGAGATCGAGACCATCCTGGTTAACATGGTGAAACTCTGTCTCTATTAAAAATACAAAAAAATTAGCTGGGCGTGGTGGCGGCTGCCTGTAGTCCCAGCTACTCGGGAGGCTGAGATAGGAGAATGGCGTGAACCCGGGAGGTGAGCCTGGGCGACAGAGCAAGACTCCGTTACAAAAAAAATTGAACCGTAAGAACACAAAAAATCAAATGAAAAAAGGGGCCAAAACCTTTGGTGTCCATACACCTCACCAAAGATTTTTTTATTTTCAAATAAGCGTGTTAAAAGATGCCCATATGTCATCAGGGAAAAGCAAATTAAAACAACAATGAGATCCCACTACACACCTATTAGACTGGGAAAAATCCAGAACACTGACAACACTAAGTTATGGGGAGGATGTGGAGCAACCAGGATCTCTCATTTGTTGCTGGTGGAATGCAAAATGGTATAACCATTTTGGAAGACAGAGTGGTGATTTCTTATAAAACTAAACATACTCTTACCATATATATGATTTAGCAATTGTGCTCTTTGGTATTTATCCAAAGGAGCTGAAAACATGTCCACACAAAACCTGAACATGGATGTTTATAGCAGCTTTATTCATAATTGCCAAAACTTGAAAGCAATTGAAATGTCCTTTGGTAGGTAAATGGGTAAATCACGGCACATCTAGAAAATTGAATATTTTTCAGTGCTAAAAAGAAATGAGCTACCAAGCCATGAGAAGACGTGGAGGAATCTTAGATACACATTATTGAGTGAAAGAGGCCAATATGAAACGGCTACCTACTAAATGATCCCAGCCACATACATTCTGGAAAAGGTAAAACTACAGAGACAGCAAAATATCAGTGGTTGTCAGGGCTGAGGGGGAAGAGGGGATGAATGGGTGGAGCACAGGGGATTTTCAGGGCAGTGGATTTCTGTAATGGCAGAGTGGATGCATGGCATTATGCATTTGTTCCAGCCCATAGAATGCCCACCACTACCAAGAGTGAACTGTACTGTAAATTATGGATTCTAGGTTATAATGTTATGCCAATGAAGATTCATCAATTGTAACAAATGTACCACTTTGGTGGGAAACACAAATAACAGAGGAGGCCATGCATGTATTGGGGCAGGGAGTCTATAGGAAATCTCTGTACCTTCTACTCAATTTTACTGTGAACCTAAAACCTCTCTAAATAACAAAGTCTATTTTAAAAAATGTAAATAGAAAGCAAGCCAATTAAAAATATATTAAGTAAATCATAGTATAAATGGTGTAGTATATAGGTATGACAAAAATTGGGACAGTTGTTTGCAAAGGACTAAAGTTTGGTAAATATCAGCAGGAAATTATCATATTTCCAAATTATCATTTGGAAATATCAGCAGGGAAAAAGCCACTGGGTCTTTTTTCCTCCAAGGCCCAAAGATTTCACTGTACTATTTATTCTTTGGTTCACCAATCTCATCTTCTCTCCTCAAAACAACGACAACAGCAAAAACAAACAAACAAACCACCAAAACCAAATCCCCAAAAACAGAGTGTAGGCCCTCGTTTCTTCCCCTTGTTTCCAAAGCAAAGCAACGCAACAGATGTCCATTGAGCATCTGCCCTTTATTCATGTGTCATGCACATCACACATGTTGAATCTTTTGATTCTTTGTGCAGGCTCCATTCTTTGTGGGAAGGGTTTGGCTTAGGCCACCAGCTGGGGTGCAAATACATACCCTAATTTATGCAAACAAATTTGTTATGAGATTCCTCAAACTTCTGAGAAAGTACATAGCTCTCTCTAGAGGTCTCTGGAGTTAGTTGTGGGGCTTGCTGGACTGATGAGAAGATGAATCTCTAACAGTTTCTGTCACTGCCAGAGAGTGCTGCCAATGGAAATGCCCATCTATTGTTATGCCTGCCTGGCTGGTACAGATCTCTGTGGGAGTCACTGGGGTGTACCAGAGGCTAATGTTTGCAAGCCTGGCAGTGATGACTGGATCTGGAGTGGCTTCCACGTTTAGCTAAACTCTGGTCCCAAACATCTCTCATTTACCCCTCTCTGTGCTTTGCCTAGGACACTAGCCTAGTCCATTCTCCTCTCATCCTTGGAGTAACTGCCTTTTTTGGGGTCCTTGGTATCCTTACCTGTCAGGAGACACCGTCTGGGCCTATCCCATGTCAACACAACAGGTTTCTTTAACTTTTCATTTCTAAATGGGATGGGACTTTTGGGTGTTTCCCTTTAGAAAGCCTGGCTTTTTTTCTGTAAAATGACCTCCAGAGCTCTGCCAACTCCAAAATGTTTAAAGGGGGCCCTGATTCAACTTGATGATAATCCATCCACTGAAACTCAGCTTGAACATTGATCAGTTTGCCAAAAGCCCATTTTTGTAAATTATCAAATCTTCTGGGTAACCAAAGAAACACTGATTTTAGTGATTCGTCAGTCTGTGGCAGTTTGTGGCATGGGGGCAGGGGGTTGGTTCAATAGCTAGTTCCTTGAGAACCTTGGTTGATTGGTTTCCATTTTGTCTCAGGGCAGAGTTTCAAGAAATATTTAATTAGTTGAAAGTTTAGAATTAGGGATAGTTCAGTCCTCCTATCAACTGCCCATCCTTCTATGGGCATCCAGTAGACACACCCTTTCAACATTCAGCTTTAGCTCCTAAATAAATCTTTAACAATTTAATATGTTATAAATAAAAGAAAATGCTAAACTGGATTGAGATTCATTAAACCCAAACCATGGAATGAAAACTATGAGCTCCACAGTTTTCTAACCTAGATATAATCCTATATTTGAGAATGTATTCATAGAGATAAAGCTGGATGGAAATTGACCCAAATGTCAATGAGTTTTTTTTTTTTTTTTTTTGTCTCTAATGAAAAAAAAATCTCTTCAGTAAGTTTCATTCATTTTGTAAAGGTAACACAAGTGTGCACTTTGGCAATTTGAACAAAAAAATAGAATAGGGTTGCTTATTTTCTTAATAAAGTACACCCTTCTCAACACTTTAGAAACGCTGATCCCTGGGGAGGTGTGAATTCATTTGCTGAGAATGTTAGAAGCCACGGTTGACAATATAAGGCAAATGAGCCAACATTTCCCCTTTTGTGGCCGGCAGCAGGTATTGCTAATTGCAGCTCTTTCCTGACAATCTCAGAGTACCTTAAAATCTTTCTCAAGGCTTTGTTCCCGATAAAAAAGACCAAATGGTGAGCTTTGGGATAGGGTAAAATCTATTTGTCACTCTAGTGCTGATTCTGCTGGATTATAATCTTTCACTGAGCTGGTACTACTTGCTGACATTCTTCTCCACTGTTCCATATTCCATATTTTACTCTGCTGCAATGGTTGCTTTCTTGGATAAGAATATGTACATCTATTGTAGAGAATTATCCATCATCCTGCCAGCCTTTGCTCATCCTTCTGAATTTATGTACAGAGAGTTGACAGCTCCATCTCCCCTTCTTCTTAACTTGCTTCTGAAGAAACAGAGCCCAGGGTGGAAGCAGAAAGCTTGCCTCCATTTGTTTCATGGCACACATTACATTACCACTGTGTTTTAGCAACACCCAACACAGTTCCTCTTGGGACACTGCTGAGAAGTTTCCTTGGCCACAGCCTACACCTCAGATTCCACTGTGCTCCAGGCTCTGGACCTGTGGTCTTTCCATTTATGGAGAGGCTAAGGCTGCAGAATTACCTGAACCTATGTCCAAAGAGCCCCCTTGGGGCTAAACAATTTTAGTAGACAGAAGTTTATTTGCCTGATCCTGCAGAACTGCCCACATGATTTGAGCAATATTTTCTTCTGAAAAGCCATGAAAGTCTCCAAAGTTATATTCAAGAGTATTTCTAACATCCTAATCGTTCATACATATCTTTTGTTTGTTTTGGCCTTTCTTGCAACATATTTTAATTCTACGTGTGTGTATCTTCATGCTCCCACATACGTGGGGGTTGGAAAGTTATTTAGGGCAAGAACAGTTTCTTTTTTATTTTTCACCTCCACATCATAAGGATAAGCCACATCATCTATTAATTAGTAGGCAACAAAATATACAGGACAGAACAGGACAAAGTATGCAGGACAGGCGTAAGCATAAAATAAGAGATTTGGGGGGTCAATTCCCAGTATTGACACACACTGATTGTGTAGTTGTGTGTGAGTTACTAAAGTCTTTTCTAGTAACTTGAATAGGTCACATGGCTTTACCAAAATTAAGTAAAACATTTTTATAATGAAAATGGCATCCTCTTCTGATCTCCCCTTCTCTGTCCTGCTCCTTATGAGCAATCACTTTTAACTCTTTGAACTATTTGTTCTGGTGGTTATCTCCAATTTCTTTAAATAATGGGCTTAAATTGCTCTTTTTGCTTTACAAATTTAGATAATATCTATTGACATATTGCCATACTGTATTAGGACTTAACTCCTTTAATAAATATCCCTTTAACCATCCCCACATTCTCTCAACAAATTTACATCATGATGTTTATTTAACTTTTGTTTTTATCAGGGTTTTCAGTATTTTAAACTTTGCTCTAGAGCCAGGTGGTATGCTGTGATTTTATTTCCTTCCTTCTGCAGTTTTTGTGCCGTTTCACTTTTTCTAAAATTTCTGATTATTATTCTTTTTTTCTTATTGCAATATCTTCTTTAGAATTTTCCTCCATATTTTCCCTGCAGAGCTCTAGCCAGTCAGATAGTCTGCTCAGCATTTTTTATTAAAGTTCCTTTGCAGGTTGAACCAGTTTCCATTCTGGGATGCATGGCCATCATCCTGGAAATCCCTTGTACCTGCACCTAGGTGGGACCTCTGTTTTCTGCCTTCTACTCCCTTCTTTCTTGGGCTATTGCTCTATTTTGCGAGCGCACATCCTTCTTTGCTGCCAAATAAGCAAAAGGTAGGCAAACGTAGGCAAATTTTCAGAACCTTGCATGTCTGAACATGAAGATATTTTCTAATTGAGCTAGGTATAGGCTAGAAATGATTTTTCTTCAGTATTTAAAATATGCTCCCTGGTCTAGCATTGAGTGTGCATGGCAAGACATCCACCGCCATTTGGATTATCATTCCTCATAGAAGACCATTATAGGTTAAGTTGCAGCCTCCAAAAAGATATGTTGAAGTCTCAACCATTAGTTCTTCAGAATGCGACCTTATTTGGGAATGGAAGCATTGTAGATGTAATTAATTAAGATAAGGTCATAGTGAAATAGGGTGAGACTTTAATCCAATATAATTGGAGTCCTTACAAAAAGAGGGAAATCTGGACGTAGACACAGTGAAGATGGAGGCTGTGATTAGAGTTGTACTGCTGCAAGCCAGGGAATGCCTGGAGCCAAGAAGCTGAAAGAGGTAAAAAAGGGTCTTTCCTGAGAGGCTTTGGAGGGAGCAGAGCTCTGCCCACACCTTGATCTTGGACTTCCAGCTTCCAGAACTGTGAGAGAATAAATTTCTGTTGTTTTAAGTCACCCAGTTTGGGGTACTTTGTATGGCAGCCCTAGACAACTAAATGAATACAGGAACTTCCCCCTCACCAACCCCCGCCCCAGTTTTCTGGAAGCTCTTATTATCTTAAAAAGGTGTTATTGCAGTTGAAGTATTGCTATAGGCAGTTTCAAAAGTCAAATAGTGTTTAAGTTCTGTAGAACTCTCTAGAAGCACAACTTGAGAAAGGGATTCTTGTGGGGGTGATTTACTGAAAAAGTGACCTCCAGAAAAACCCTCCAGGAAGTGAGGGAAGGAGAGAGGCAGGTGATTTCAGCTGAAGTACAGCCTCAGCCTTATCCCATGGAGAGATCAGAAGTGCCCAGAGAGCTGTCCTTCCTGGAGGCAAGTATCTCTGCATCCCAGTCCTTGGCTGGTACCTGCCCATGTGTGTGTGGCTGGGGCGGGGGTGGGGAGAATGAACTCCCAGATATTTCCAGGTGCAGCAATTCTTGTCATCTGAAGTCAATTCTCTCTAGACAGAGGCAGCTGTGAGCCATTAGCCATTAAGGAATAGGTATGCTGACCAGTAACAGGGATCTGGGCAGAGCACCACCAGCCTTTATTATAGTCCCCTTTTCCTCTGCCTGGTATATTGGAATTCACAAAAAATTTACTTCATCCACACACAGCTTTTCCAGGATTCTGATGGGTCATAATTTCTGGGGAAATTTAGATTAGGAGGGTCGGTGGGATGAATGACAGTCCCCCCTGTTACAATTGGATCCATATCTATTACTCATCACCTCCCTCCTCTCCTCATTCTAGATTCCGTCTCACTCAGATAGCACTTCTGCTGGGCTAAGTGGCTTCCTGGGTGGGGTGATCCAGATCTTCATCCCTGAGGGGGCTGAATCCCTGGTCATCATCATAACTTATCAGGCCATGGTTTTTATATTGCTTATTTACAGTTAAAACTGGACAAGGGAAAGGCAAGAGTTGCCAAGCAGATCACCTGAGCGCCATCTGTATTCCTTCTGGCACCATCTTGTGGGAGCAGGACTACCTCCTCCTCACGATGGTCAGGACCAATGACCCTACTAGTGTGGTAAGGCCATAGTGGTCTACTGGTCTACTATTATAAGGTGCTCAAGCTGACTGGGCAACAGCCATAGCTTTAAATTTAGGGGTATCCTACTCTGTTTTCAGCTAGATGCATTGCCTCCTCTCCTTCCTCCATTTTGGGAGCCAAGATCTCTCATCTCATAGAGTCCAAAGTTGCAAGGATCAGAAATCCAAATTCCTCAAGTGGGTTACTGAGACCGATACTGGATGGGCCACTCCTACTTCTTCCACTTGGTTGCATATATGGATTCCCACACCCATATATTTTAACTACTTTTGGGCACATGCCCATGCAATGGCCATGGTTTAAGGGTATCACCCCATCCCTACAGGGTATCATCTCCAAGCTGGTGCCTTAGCTGTTCCTTCAAGAGGCCATTCTTTTGGCCATTCAGGCTGGCAGCTTCTGGATGGTACGGCGTATGGTATATAACAGGTCCAGTGGCTTCCATGTCATGTTAGCACTATACTTCCTCTGCTACACAGTATGTCCCTTGGTCTGAGGCAATGTTATGCAGGGAATCCCAGATCAGCAGATCAGACACCCCATGAGCCCTCAGATAGTGGCACTAACTAAGGCCTTGTGGTGGGAACAGCAGACCCATAATCAACACCTGAGTCCATCCCAAGCAGGGTATATTGCTATCCGTTCCAGACTAGAGGGGACTGTGATGTAAACAACCATCCAAAGTCTTGTTGGTACCATATCAGGGACTCAGCATCAGTCTATGTTGTTTGAAGTCAGACTTTCAGTGTGTCAGTAGCTGGATAATGCTTGCGGAGAGGAAGCCCATGCATTCCCCCTCCTTTACACCATGGCTGCTCTGTTTATGCATATGTTTGCTGTACAGAACTAGGGTAGCCAATGACAGAGGTCAGGGACATGTCCTGGTTAAGTCATCCCGTCCCACAGTTGTGTAATGCTGCTTTTGTGGGGTGTTCTCTGACAGGCTTTGTGACATGCTCTGCAAAGATTCTCTCCCCTAGATCCACCTACGTGCCTTATTCCTATACCTCCTTGTTCCCAGTCTTCTAATTTTGCTTTTAGGTCATTGACAAACCAGCCAAACCATCTAGCCCTGCTTTATGTCTATCCTTCCTCTGGTTACTTTTCTGTCCATGTAAGTGAATGAACAGGTACTGCAGCTTCTTTGGTGTACAATACCTAGCTTTGCTCAGCAGGCAGAACACAGCCACTAAAGCCAAGCTGAGATTTGGTCCCTGTTGTTTGTCTGGTGGCCAGGAAGAAAGGCAGGACTAGGTCTTGGCTGAGACTTCAGTACAGTGGTCAATTAAGTGGGAATACTATCTAAAAAGGGAGGGAAGGTAGGCTACTTCTGCAGGCCCTATGGATTAAGGGAAATCTTATAGTTCAAGATTCAAAAATGGGTCTACTAGCAAAACACTACCAGTGATTGGATTCACACTGCTAGCAGCTGGAAAGTAGTCTACCTCCATCCTTAGCTTCATAGAACCACTAGTACCAATTGCTTGAGGATGGGTTCCTTAGAAACCAAGCCTAAGACAGGGATTCGTGTGCAAGTGAGTCATCAAGGGAGCATACTCAGGAGAACTCCATTAGGAAGTGAAGGAAGCAGGATAGGGAAGGGGGAAATCAAAGCAAAGAGGTGGCTTCAGCTGAAATCTAAACATAGTCTTATCACATGGGGAGCCCTGAAGCATAACTGGCACCCCACAGTTTTTCCAACTTGAAGAAAGGGTGATGATAGGCTTTTGAAAATTCCATATCAGGCTGTCATTACCTTGTGGCTATTCTCAGAGGGAAGGCATAGATTCCTAGACATTTCCAGATAATGCTGATCCTGTTGGTTGAGTAAAATTTTCTGGAAAAGGGTGCAATTGTGAGCATTAGTGGCCACTGTTACAATACTGGGGGTTAGGTACATCCCCTGAGGAAAGGGGACCTGGGCAAAGAACCAGTGGAATTTACTAGAGGGCTACAAAGCTTATGACAAAACCCATTCACAGCTTCACAGGCCATCCCTTTGAACTCTTTTAGTCATTACTTCTAATAGGTAACTTCATAATTCTACATTTATGTTTATTTATTAGGTAAAATTTTGGGCACTTTCTACTGATTTCCTCTCGTGGTAAGGGAGGAATTATGATTTTTCTCAACTTATTTACCTTATCCTCTCAATAGAGTAATGTCACATTTTAAACTCAAATTTATTATTATAATTATATACAGGTTTTTCACTGCTGAGCCTAGTAGTATGCAATAAATACATTTTAATTTTTTCTCTAAGTTTTCAGTTTTTCCTGGAGTTAACAACTGCCTATGTTTTTGTTATTTACTTAGTTTTACATATGCAAATTGATAAGAACCAGGGTCTAGAAAATAGTAAGCATTATTTATGTGTTTGCTCTTATCATTGGGCTGTTTTCTTACACCCTATAACAACTCTGTTATACCATATAGAATCAGCTTTTCACATTGTCAAACCTGTCAAATACTTTATGCATTCTAAATTTTCTCCTAGAAATTCTTGGTGCCTCCATCCTCCTGTTGCTATATGGGACTAATTGCTCTCTAAATATGCTCCTCAGCTGTGGTCCTAGACATCCATGAGCCATGATCCTTGGTGTTCCCTTCACCCCACCCCTGCAGTGGTTTCTCTGTTCCTTGGTTTACCCCTCAGTTTTGTTGAAATACTTCCTCCAGTAGCTTCCTGAGAAGAAGTAAAGTAAGTCGAAATTGTATTTTTGAAACTTAGCATGTTAAAACAAATGTTTGCTGTATGCTCACACTTGATTTACAATCTGGATGGCTATAGATGTTTAAAGTGTCAGTCATTTTCCCTTAGAATTTTGAAGTAATTGTACCATTTTCATAGCTCCCTATGTTCCTGTTGAAAAGCCCAAATGCCATTCATATTTCCATATATATATACATGGAAATATATACATATTTTTTTTCCCTCTACAGAAGCATTTCAGATTTTCTTTTGTTCTGAATTTCACAGTGATATGTGTACTTTGCTTTGGGGCTTTGAACTTTTAAAATTTCTTTTTTTACTTATTACTCAGAGAAAACTTGTGTACCTCCATTCTAGGAAATACTCTGGCATTTTTTTTCTGCAAAAATGTCCTCCCCTTTATTTTCTCTGATCTCTTTGAAAATTTTTATTAGTAAGATGTTCAACCTCCTGGATTGATCGTCTAATTTTCTCATCTTTCCTCTTCTATTGTTATTGCTTATCTTTTTATTCTCCTTTCAGGGAAAATTTCTTGACTTTATTGTTATGCAGTTATTTTGAATTTTTTTTAAAATTGAGTCATCATATTTTTAATTTCCAAGAACTCTCACTTGTTATCTAAATGTATTTTTTAATGAATGCATTTTTCTTGTTTTATGGATTATAACATCTCCCGTTATTTCTCTGAGGATATTAATTACATTTTCTTTGAAGTTTTTTTTGGTGCTTTCTGCATTAATTCTGTTGCCTCTGTATTCTTTGTTCTTTGTTCAGGTTTCTTCAAGTAGGATAATTTCTGCAAATTTTTAGTACTTCTCAATTGTCTGTTCATACTAATGAGTAAGATGCTAAAAACTGGAAGCAAGCTGTGAGTGCACTGGTGGGCTCCACTGTAGAGCGGTGTGAAGTCAGATGACACTAATTCATTAGGGATTTGTAGGTCTTTTCCTGGTACAGGCTTATTGTTCTCTAGAAAGATACTTAAATCAAGATTCCCTCCCCCTATTTGCATATCTAGACTTTTACCTGTTTACGGACTCAATACTCAACTTAGTACTCCAGGAGAATAAAATATGATGCCTTGGGTCAGGATGGAGACCTGGGTGTCTAAATTGTTACTCAAACTTTTCAACCACACTTCTGTGTCCGGCATTTCACTCCACCCATCTCTTATTGCCTTCAGTGGTACGTGGTACTTTCAGTTTCCAGTGACAGTTAGAAACGTTCTGTGTTCCTGGAGGGGTGAATTGGGTGGCTTCCTCTCCTTATAGGGACTTAGGATTGAAACATTCTCTCTGCTAAGTGCTTTGCTTTCCTCCTTCTGCTGTCCATCTTTCTATAGAGTGTGTTAAGAAATACATAGCTTTTTTTCTAGTTCTTCTTGTTATTTTTGGAAGGGGAAAGTAGCAGAAATGTATTTACTCTGGCATCTCAAAATGAAAATGCTTCTCTGAGTTTTTAAGAACTTTTCTTTACAGTGGTATTTTCAAATGTGACAATATGTTAGTAAATTATTAGACCATGTCACTATGTCTCTTTTCTTTCATATTTTTTAGTTCTTTATATTTTGAGCTACTGTGTTCGGGGAATCCCAAATTCCCAACTAGGAATCTTTGTGTGTGTGTGTGTGTGTGTGTGTGTGTGTGTGTGTGTGTGTGTTTCAGGAAATAATGTCTTTAGTTAAAAAGAACACCTTGGATGGATGTTCTGCCTGCAGTGGAGGTGTGTCATTAAGAAGGCAGATTATACACTTGGCCAACTAGAGATGTAGCTAAGGAGGAAGAGAAGCTAATTTGGGTCCAGTTTTTCAGCAAATTCCCCTGGTCCCCGTCCCCTGTATTCGTGTTTCTCTTGGTCTCACCGAGCACTCCCAAGTCCTGGACTTTTCCAGAGTTTTTTATTACAAGATGTGACTTTTTCATGTTCACCTCACTATGCTAACACACAAAGCTGTGGCTCTATCTGCTTTGTAACATCAATTGCCATTCTCTGTATGTTTTTCAGAATGTTGATGAAACCCCTCAACTGCTAATGGATTTTCTACAGGTACTATCTTCATTGTGGGTCTAAATACTTTTTACCTGTTTACAGTCATAATGATAGGGACAAGGGGCAGCAGAGAAATTCTAGGCAGACAGGGGTGGTTCCCTGGAGAAGCCCCACTCTCAAGCCGAAAAGCTTGAGACTATGGCCCAAAGTGAGAACTTATATCCCTGTTTTCCTGCTCAAACATTGCCTTTTCCAAAACCACCCATGGTCCTGCCCTGCCCCCTACCCTGTGCCTATAAAAACCCCAGACTTAGCAGAGAGGGGAAGCAGCTGGATGTCAGAGACTACAGCTGGACATTGGAGAGAAGCATCTTGACTTCAGAGGGACAGCTTCATGATACAACTTTGGAGAAGAATCTGGCCAGAGACACCTGGACTTAGGGGAAGATTACCTTCCTGCCTTTTCCCCTTTTCAGCTCCCCTTCCTACTGACAGCCACTTTCATTGGCAATAACATTTACCATCCTTCAATTCATTCATGTGACCTCATTTTTCCTGGTTGCTGGACAAGAGCTTGGGAGACACAAGTGTAGATACAAAAGACTGTCACACTGACACTTTGCCCTCACTGGCAGAAGGCAACTGCCTCACGCAAAAAGGCAGAGGGCCCATTGAGCTGTTAATACTTAAGCTGTCCATGGATGGAAGAGCTGAAAGAGCACTGTAATACTCCCTCTGCAGCTTCAGGGGTTGCGGGTGCCCCTTCAGACACTGCTGTGGGGTCTGCGTGAAGTTTTCCTGCTGGTGCCCAAAAGCATTCACCCCAGCTCCTGTACCCACTCAGCTGCACACTCAGTCCCATGAGGGGTAGAGTGAAGGGGGTCCAAGTGAGTGGAGTTCACTCCTGCTCGTGCCAGAGCAGCTGGCTGGTCCCAGCATTCATGCACTCCATTTCCTGCCTTGTTTGCTCACATGCTCTCTCCTGTGAGGAGTTGAAAGCTGTGGACTGGGTGCACAAGGCACCCCTGTTGCAAATGCTGTAAAGGGGTCAGGGAAATATCCTGCTTCAGTAAGGACTAAGAGCATAAGGTCTGAAGATACATGACTGGAAAATGCCACTATGTTTTAGCTGTGTATCTTTAGATAAGGTATTTAGCATTTCTCTGCCTCAGTTTTTTCATTTGTAAAATGGGAATAATAATAAGACTCTCCTTGTAGGATTTTGTGAGCATTAAATTAGGAAATGCAGGTAAATAAACTAAAATATGATATGTGGTAAGGTGACTCATAGTCACCCTTCCACAAAAGGTAGACTCATAGTCACCTTTCAAAAATGTCATCCATTATTATTTTAGTGGAATTTTAGGATGGAGAGAAGATAAAGGCTTGTTTCTATCTTCTGTTGTTAACTGGAAGCTGCTTGACTTCCCTGAGATTACATATTTTATGGAGTTGCTTGAGGATTCAGGGAGCTAACATTTAGAAAACACACAGCATATGGCAGGCACAGAGTTATTGATACTTCTAGACACTTGATGGGTGATGGTTGAATGACTGCTGAAGAAAAACTTTATACATGAAAGAAATCCCAAGCCTGGATATAGATAATCTGCATTTAGTCCTGATTGCCACTCACTTTCGTTCTGTGACTCATAGAAGGCAAGGAACCTTTCTGATCCTATTTCTTCATCTGAGAATAGGGATAATCATGGCAGATACCTAACAATGCTATGGCAAAAATGCATATTGATAGTGACAGGAAGCAGCTAAATGCCTAGGCAGATAGGGGTGGGTACCCATTGAAACCCCATCTCCAAGCCGAAGACAGTTTCAAGCCTGAAAGCAAAACTACAAGTTATTAATGAATCCTTGGACAAGATTGAGAACTCATCTTCCTTTTTGGCATGCTTTCCTCTGATTGGTCCTCACTCTTCATCTAGTTTACATACACCTACCCTTTCCTAATTGGTTTTCTACACTGTTGTGGCCACCTTTGAGTGATGTCTTCACTTTTAACCTTTTGCGCATACTCACAAACCAATCAGCATGCGCTTTCCATCCTGTGCCTGTAAAGACCCCAGACTCAGTTGGTAGAGGAGGAGATGGCCTGACTTTGGGGAAGAGACAACCTGACTTTGGGAAAGATGATCTGCCCTTCCTGTCTCCTCTCCAGCTCCTCTCTGCTGAGAGCTGTTTTCATTGCTCAATAAAATTCTCCGCCATCACCACCCCTCAACCATCCATGTAACCTCATTCTTCTTGGATGCTGGACAAGAGCTCAGGACCCACTGAGTGTGGATACCCAGAAAGGTTGTCACACTGGCCCTTTTCCCTCACCATCAGAGGACACCTGCCCCATGTGATGAAGCAAGGGGCCAACTGAGCTACTAACACACCACCATTTGCAGATGGTGGAACTAAAGGAACACTGTAACACCCCCTCTGGGGCTTTGCGATCTCAAGCACCCTCACCTGGGTGCCACCACGTTCCCCTTGAGGTGACATGCCTGGTCTGGCCATAGGTCCTGCACAGAACTTGTTCCTGTGTCAGCACCCAGAGTGGCCAGAAACTGTAAAGTACTTTATATATTATAAGGTATGTGTAGGTGTGCGTGTGTTACTAAAATGCCAAGGGTTTAGTCTAGGTCTTGTTGCTTGGGCACAGATAGCCAATCACTGAGACAATTATTATCACCGGGGAGCAGGGTTTTATTTGGGTGCTGCAGCTGAGGAGATGACATATCAGTCTCAAATCCATCTCCCTGACCAATTAAAATTGGGGGTTCATATAGCAGGGAAGAAATGCAACTACATGTGGGTAAACAGGAAGGAGGGGCTAAGGAAATCATGAAGGATGAGGGGTCTGACTTCTCATTGTCTGGATGTGGTGACCTGGTGAGTTTTAGTTCCTTGATACTATCTGGGTCCTGAGGGCTGGGTTTCTGAGGAAGGAATTCAGATAAGACAAATGGAAGTTTCAAGCTTTAAGAGCAGGAGGGTCAATTTCTATGTTTACTTAAAAAGATTGTAAACATCTGTCCCAATGTTCTGGGAACAACTGGGCTGGTTTCCCATGCCTGCTTGTGAGCCTGTTATGAGGACCAAAAGACAAAATGAGAATGGGAAACATCTACCTGGTGTTGTCTCAGAGATGCCAGGAGGTTCCATCTGTTCTAAAAGATGTTGCACTTTCCAGATGTGGTGACCCAGGGCCTTGTGCCCAAGAATAGCCAATCAGCACCAGGGTCTCCAGACTGGGAGTTGGTGCTCTCCTGTTGGCTGTGGCTCTTAGTGAGTCCCATCACAGGGGGAAGTGCTGCCCTTCACTGATCACAGTGGAAGATGAGTCACTTCCTTCCAAGTTGCATCTTTCACTGAAATATACTGAACACAGTTTTGATGATAAGGAAAATACTAGAGGCCACCTGTCTCTGATTCTGTGCATGGAGACACAGTATTACAAATTAATGCCTCTGAACCAAGAGAATTTCGAGTTTTTTAGGAGCAGGGAGGGGTGGTGGACTTTATCAGTGGCTTTTATTTTTGTAATTTTTCTCACTTGGCACTAAGCAATGTTCGGAAATGACCAGCAAGAGAATAAGAGAATGAGCTGGAAATCCAATCTCATCACTCCAGCAGCTCCCAGTGAGCTCCCTTGAAAAGGCTGCTTATATTAACTTCTGAGAGATCCGTCCCCAGCACCCGCATCAGCCCTCCCTCCTTTAGACAGACTCGTGCACTAACTTCCTCCATGGAGCCTGTTAACAGGGAAGCTAATTATTTTTCCTTGTGCAAAAGCCCACTTTTGACTTTGCAGCTGTGCTCAGCTTCCTAGGGGAAAACAGATCCGAATTTCAGCATTTCCGACTGTACATCGAATGGCCTAAAAATACTCACAAATTGGTCTTTGCTTTCCTAACTAGTCTGGGCCCTAATCGAAAGGCAAACTCTTCTGAGAATTCCAAGGGACTATTACGTCCCATGGATGGCATCATCTATAAATAGTAGTGCCTTCCAGGTAGTGAGCTGCTGACTGGCAAAGCTCTGGACTTGCATTATTCCAGGGAAGATTTAAGGTTGCTGGAGGGTTCTGGGAGCCAGAAGCTGGCCTGCAACTTCCGGGCTTGGAGGAAGTCCCACTGAGCCTTCCTGCAGCCCCTTCTCAGCCCCAGCCCACCAATCTGGGCTTATAAGACAATCTCTCGCTTTTCAGGATCTCATAATAGAGAGCACCACTGTCCAATAGAAACATAAGTCATGGACATAATTTTAACTTTTCTAGCAGCCACATTGAAAAAAAATTAAAGAAATGGGGAAAACTAATTTTAATAATGTATATTATTTAACCCACACTATCCAAAATATTATCATTTCAACACGTAGTCAATATAATAATGTGCAATACTTTACGTTCCTTTTTTATATGAAGCCTTTGAAATCTGGTGTATATTTTATGCATTTAACAAATCTCTATCTGGACTCCAACTTCTCATTGAAATTACTTGATTTGTACTTAAATTTCATAAAATTGACAGCAGAAAAAGTACATTCACAACAGCCCAGGTTGTTTCAAACATTCTTGAAAGTTTCCCAATAACTGACTTGTCTTTGTTTTTAAATTTATATTTAAAATAATTAAAATAAAAAAATGTAGCTCCTCTGTTGCACCAGCCACATTTCAACGGCTCAGTAGCCACATGTGGCCAGTGGTTGCTACACTGGACCATACAAGCCTAAGGAGGCCATAGGGTGAACCCACTTATGTGGAGTAGATCTCAGGTCCACCACTCACTGGCTAAGTGGTTTTGGGCAAATTACTTAATTCTCTTTCTGTGTCTTCGTTTTATCATCTTCAAAAGAGAGACAACAAAAATGCCCATCTCTGGGGTTTCCGTGTGCATTAGATACATTGAGAAGGTCAAGTGTTTGTCATATTGTAAGTGTTGAAAAAGTGTTAGCTATACTTCTTACAGTCAAGCACAGGAGATGAATGCAAACATTATTTTAATATATCATGTGTGCTGTGAGTTAGAGTCAAGTATGGAGTGCTATGAAAATACAGAGGGAGGGGTATCTAATTCTGCTTGGGGAGAGGAGGAGGCTTCTCAGAGGCGGTGGCATTTAGCTGGATCTTGAATGATCGCCAGGAATTTGCCAAGCAGACCAGAAAGAGCTGGGACGGGGAAAAGGCAGGAAGACAGGGGAGCACTGGTTGTGCCCAGGCAGGGGAGGTGTGTTCAGTGTGCTTGGAAGGTGGGAGGTGAGAGTTAGGGGTGAGTGATGAGGCTGGGTGGGCCCTGCTTCCCAAGGACCTTAAAGGGCTCACATATTTGTTAATTTATGAAGCTAGTGTTTTTGGAGTAGGGATACAGGACCAGCAGCATCAGCATCCTACGGGAACTGGTTAAAAGTGACTGGCTTGGGTCCACTCCTGAGGATCTCTTGGGGCGGGGCCAGCAATCTGCAGCATACTAAGCCCTCCAGCTGATTCTGCACACTTTGAAAGCCTCTGCTAGGGCAATGGAAATGATGAAAGTTCCTGAGCTAGGAAGTGACATCGTCGAGATATGCTTTAGAAAGGGTGTGATGGTAGCCCCTGGACAGTTCTGAGCAGATGAGTGATTCTCACTGCGGAGTTAATTGATTATTTGTCCCTCCTCATCTGTGAACTCCACAAGGGATTTGTATGTACCTGCCTTGTTCACCACTTTTATCTCCTAGCTCAGAGCTGTGTACAAGAATACTCAATCAATATATGTGTTTTTTGTCTTTAAAACTGTTTTTTTTTTTCAACTATGAAGCACTACCTGAATGTGAGGAGCTGTGGCTCTCCTAGGACTACAGGTACCCCTACAGCTGGAAGTGAGGTCATTGGAGCAGCCACCTGATCTGCAGCTGGGACTGAATGCTGAACCTCTGCCTGATTACAGAGGACTGGATCAAAAGGGATGCTCCAGTGACTAGCAAAGAGGGGTGGAGCCTTACATTAGAAGAACGGACTTGTTTCCATCCCAGAGCCAGTGGGCTAGCGTGGCATGGTGGAGAAAGCACAAGCTTTGCAGTCCCAGTTACTGGGTTTAAATCTCGGCTGTGCTGTTTACAAACTGCATGATCAAGGGCAGGTCACCTGGCCTCTTTGAGCGCCAGTTCTTCCTCGGTAGAAAGGGGCAGATGCTCATTTTATAATGTGACTGTGTTGGGAACTCTCATAGAACCTAAATAAATAGCAGTCATGGAGTTCTGTGGTGTATTGGACCCAGCCTGTGCATGGCTTCTAATCCTCTCGGCCTCTGCTCTTATCCCAGCAGCCAATACTCTGCACAACTTCCCACCAGCTTTAATTCAAGGCTTTGCAGCCTCATAAGGTCTTGTCTTGGGCTCAGCCTCCTCTCTTTTGCTTCCTGTTCTAGGATTCCTCTGGGATGCCCAGGGGAACCTGCTAAAGCTCTCACATGAGCAGCCCAGAAGTGCAGGGGACGTGACACCTCATGGGGCCATCCATGATGAAGGGGGATGGAGACCAGTGGCGATCAAGCACCAGTTAGCCTCAGCTGTAGCCAGTTGATGACGCAGTTTATATCGGCTTTTTCTCCTAATAGGAGTTTCATCCCCTGTATTAGTTTCCTAGGACTGCTGCAACAAAATACCACAAGATTGATGGCTTAAAACAGCAGAAATTAATTCTCCCACAGTTCTGGAGGCTAGAAGTCTGAAGTCAAGGTATCTGCAAGGCCATGCTCCCTCTGAAGGCTCTAGGAGAGAATTTTCTGTTTTATCTCCCAGCTTCTGTTGGCTCCTGGTCTTCTTTGACTTGCGGCAGTATAACCACAACATCAGCCTCCTTCTGCCCAGGACTTCACATGCCTCCTCTGTCTCTGTGTGCCACAACTCTCTCTCCTTTCCTTATAAGGACACCAGTCATTGGATTTAGGGCTGGCATAAATCCTTTATGGTTTTACTTCATAAAGATATATGATTTTTTATGAGATTCTTAACTAATTACATCTGCAAAGACCCTATTTCTAAATGAGGTCACATTCACAGGCACTGGGCACTAGCACACACCTTTTTGGAGGATGTAACTCAACCCACTACATCCTCCTTATCCCTCATTTGTTCTTCCCATGATGGTATCCCTCATGTATTACATGCATTAAGTCTTTTGCTCAGGCTCTGCTTCTGGTGTATTGCCAGAATTCAAACAATGTTGTCTGCTATGTTTCCCAGACTCCTTGAAAGTAGGAGTGGCTTTGTTTCTTATAGCTAAACTCTGATGGAGAGAGGCATTTAGTCTACCCTGAATTGAGGGACAGTAAAATGCTACGTATGACATTTAGGCTGGGGAGATTTGTGGGTGTTCTCAAATGGGACATAAAAGACAGATTGCACCTGTTTTCGTGTGGTCTCAAGAACAAATGGATGCAAAAGATATGAATTGGGTTTTAATTAATTAATTTAACAAATAGTTATTGAATAATTACCATGTAACACTTGCCATTCTAAGTTCTGGGAATATGATGGCAAACAAGAAAGAACCTTACTTTCACAGAGCTTAGAGCTCAGCATTTTGAAGGATATTTCTCTGCGGAAGCGCTGTCCAGAAATGGCGTGGGCTTCCTCAGGAGGCCGTGTATTCTTTCTCCTGGATGCCATCTCACTGATTTTGACAGAAGCAGTCTTTGATTAGATTTGTTCCTTATATCTTTGTTTTTATTTCTTTGTTTTAAATTACTTTAGGAGTTGGGGGAGAAAGTGGCTGTCTAGGAAAGAATCTCCAGGAACAACTCTTTGTTCTAAAATATCTCCATTTCTTTGCCAAATTTTCAGAAACATTACCATTATCATATTCTTCTTTAAGGCCTAAAAAGATTCTGGGTTGCTATGAGGCTTTCCTAAAGGGCAAATATTCCCAATAAGTGCTGTTGATGGAGGTGGAGGTGGAGGTAGCGGCATCCTCTTCTCTTTGGTTCAGTTTTCAGAAGGTCAAGTGGAGGGAACACCCCTGGTGGAGGTTCAGTGATGATTTCCAAGCCTTCCTAGGGGCTGGGCTGGGAAGACATAAGCAGTGTGGTGGGTTTCTATTACCTCCTTCCCTTCAGAGCAGTGCCAGAGTGCACTGAGAGTGTCAGCTCCATGCTCCCTGCCTCTGGGTACCATCCAGGGCCCAGGGTGCTGCTCTGCACATCCTGAAGTGTCCTCACAGCTCCCAAACCTGCAACAGTCTCTGTGTTAGTGCCCTGCACAGCGGTCCCATGTGCCATAGGAAAGCCCCCATTCCCCAACACTCACAGTCCTCCAAGGCCATGCCCATCACTGGCTGTCTGAGCCACCTGCCAGGGCCTCCATCAGCTCTGGGAATGACATGCCTTGTGCCAAGACAATGGCACTTGGAATGAGTCTTTTCCTCGACTTTGTGTTGTAGCAGAAGGAATGGCAAGTTCTCCCTATTGTCATTCCCCTCTTCCTTCTCTCTGCCCTCCTCTCCTTTCTTTCTTTCTCTCTCTCTTTTTTTTTTTTTTTTTATGAGATGGAGTCTCACTCTGTCACCCAGGCTGGAGTACAGTGGCGTGATCTCGGCTCACTGTAATCTCCACCTCCCAGGTTCAGGTGATTCTCCTGCCTCAGTCTCCTGAGTAGCTGGGACTACAGGTGTGTGCCACCATGCCTGGCTAATTTTTTGTATTTTTAGTAGAGATGGAGTTTCACCATGTTAGTCTGGATGGTTTTGGTCTCCTGACCTTGTGATCCACCTGTGTTGGCCATCCAGAGTGCTGAGATTACAGGCATGAGCCACCACGCCCGAGCCTTCTTCCCCTTTCTTGTACACACTTCTTAATCCTGCATTGTCCAAGGAATGACTTTCCTCCCTATGTGTGCCCTCAGGGGCCCTAATTCCATGGTAAGAAGCCCTCCCCTTCTTCCCAATCTCCTGCCCCACAAAGAACCTCACTCTCCCCCTAGGACCTTGCTTTCCAGGGATCCTCTCAGGGAGAGGCTGCCTATTCACCACAGCTCCCATTCTCGGGTTGGAGAAGGGAGATTTCATCCTCCTGTGTTGACAGCAATTCCACTCCCTTTCACTTCTCATTCAGTGACTTCCTGGTCACCTTCTTCTAATCATTAAAATATTCAAAAGCTGGCTCAATGGCTCAATGTCTTCCTCTTTGTCTTATTTTCTGCTATGAACAAGATGTTAAAGTTCTTGAAGACCATCCTGATTCCCCTCACCTTGGAATCCCTTGTCTCAGTGGCCTTCTCATTCATGCTACTTTACTCTCTGTTCAGGCCACACCCTGGGCTTTGTTTCCCTCAGCTCTTCTTCCTCTTGACTCAGACATTTCACTCTGATGTCGGCTTCCTTTCCCACCCCGTCCCAGTCTCCAGTTCCACCCTGCAGGCACTTATAACCTGGCCTCCTGAATGCAATGCTATGCACTGTGCAGTGCAGACACGACCAGAAATGGGAAATGAGAAATGGTGGATGAACCTTCAGGATCCTCTCCATTTTCTCTTGCTGTTCCTTTGTGTGCTGCTGAAGCTGGAAAGCAAAAGCTATGTTTCCCAGACTCCTTGCAACTACGAGTGGTTCTGTTTCTTATAGCTAAACACTGATGGAGAGAGGCATTTAGTCTAGCCTGAATTGAGGGACAGTAAAAGGAAAGGCTTCACGGAGGAGGTAGCCTGCCAGCAGTCTTGATGGCTGAGTAGGCATTGGCTAAGGGAAGGAAAGTGGAAAGATGTTCTTGGGCAGGGATGTTTGAATGGACCAACATTGAGGATGGGCAGAAAGCATGGAGCATGGTATCTCCTATAAGTTCAGTAGTATTAGAGGGTAAAGGGCAAGACAGAAATAGTAGGAGCTAGTGGACCGGAAAGGGGAAACATCAAGGAAGACCTTAAGGAGGTGCTGAGTTTTTGGGCTTGGGCTTCCATCTGCTGGAGAATCTTTGTGGCAGCTAGACTGAGCCGGCAATTCCCCTATCTGGATGAGGTTTGTTGGCCTCTGTCCTGGCACAGAACCACGCCTCCAAGGGCAGAGGGATCTCAGGAGAGCCAGACCTCATGTCTGGGCCAGAGATTCTAGATTCAATGTGTTCCCTGGCACTCTTCCTCCTCCCAGGATTGAGAATGGTCACAGGACAGTTCAAAGATCAATCAGTGCATAACAGGATTTGAGAGCTGAAAGCAACCTTAGAAGACTCTTCACTTTCTAAATGGAAATTGAGTCTCAGCCTAAAGAAGTGATTTACCCAGGGCATGCAGGACTGAGTACTTGTGTCTCCCACTTCTTGGGCCACTGGTCTTTCTGCCTCACTGTTTGTTTCTCTGGAACCTGTGAGATGATCTCTTGGACTCTGCATGACACCTGGGGGCAATTCTGAAGAGAACAGACCGGGCACATCTGCTCATCCATAGACCCTGAGTGAAAGATGAGACTGCCCTTTCCTCTGTCTGTCTCCTCCATCTGCCATTGCTGCCTGACCAGGCATGGTTCGGGGACTCTGGGGACTGCACAGTCTCACCTTATCTCCGGATGGCTTCCTGGCAAAGGCAGCACAGGGGAGAGTACAGCTCAATTTTTCTCTCTGCGTTATTGTTAACAACCAATTAGAGCCAGTCCAATAACAAAATACACTTACTAATTCTACCTGAAGTTAAAAAAAAAAAAAAAAGAAAGAGAGTTCTTTAAGGGACATACCTAGGACCTCTGGGAAAGCATCTTCCTCATGTCTCACTTTGAATTTTGGTCAGTTATTAGGACTTCTAAAGAACCATGAGAAGAGAATAATACCTCTGGGATAAACTGCATATTTAGTGAGTGTCTGCCACAGGTAGGGGCTCGGGGCATTATTCTGCAACTGAAGGAGATTAAGGAGTATCAGGTAAAGAAGGCTCTGCTGTGGGGAATGAGAGACACCTCACTTAGTGCAGGAGGTAGGACTGATGCGGGTGAAAGAGATTTCTGAAAATGTGGCTGGCTAGCTACAAATGAAGACTCCCCACCCCTTCTGCTGACACTGTTGTTCAAGATGTACCCATCATCGACCCATCAACCACACCGCAGGCCTGAGGAAGCATCCTGATTTTGTGTGAGGTCTCAATTCTTCTCACATCTTAGTCCCAGGTATCTCGAATACTTGCCACTGCCTCTCCCTCTTTTCCTCTTTCTCTCCCATCCTTATTTTCATCTACCCATTAACCCTTTCTTGCCACTAGGCATTCATACCCCTATACTGCATGCCAGGAATTTGTGTGTTTATCCACTCCAAAACCCAGCATGGTATGGCCAAGGACTAGAGGCCTTGGGATGAGTTGTGCCTGAGTTAGAACTGTGGCTCCCCCATTCACGCTGGGCAAGTTGCTGAGCAATGAAAAAGACATTGAGCAAGACCGAGGGGGCTCTCTCCCCTTCTCTCCCTGGCCTGGTTCCTTCGGAAAAAAATCTAAAGAAATCCAGGTGGCATCATCTTCTTGCCTGGCTGGCGATGCCATCTCATCATAGCCAGCAAGGCCAGCTGGTGGGAGGTGGGAGCAGATGAGGGAAAGGAGGGAAAGGGGGCTGGTCAAACAGTCTGGGGGTGCTGATTCTCAGGGGTGGGTGATGCTTGGGCAGGAAGCTCAAAACAGATATCCCCAAATGGCAAGTCCCTTCTTATACCGCCCCCAAAACATGGCACACTGCTGGAAGGACCACAGATGGAGTCCCAGTCACTCAAAGAAGAAAAAGGGCAAGGAACTGGTGAGACAGCTGGGCTGCATCAGAACTGTTATGCTAACCCACTCTCACGCATGCTTCAACACCACTGCAGAGCCTGCTTTCAGGTAGGAGGACACAGTTGAAGTCCTGTTTTAATTTCCCGTTTCTTTGGCCAACTGCATTTCTCCTCTGAACTGAAGTGAGAGCTGATATTTGTTGACAGTAGCAGGCACTTCACTGTCCTGGTTGCATTTGTTTTCATCTTTGCAATAACCCCAAGGCAGCAATTACTCTTTGCATTTCAACACTAAGAAAGTTAAGGCAAAGAGGAATTTAGTAATTCTCTTCAGGTTACCCAGTCAGCCAATTTGAATCCAAGTTTGTCTTACCTCAAAGCCTATGCTCTGTCTTTTAATTCATTTGTTTATTCATCTATTCACCCACAGAGGTAAGGAAGACAGAAAACTTTCCTGCTCACATGGACTTTATAATAGGAGGGGTACAGCTGTTAAACAAGAAACAAACTGGCTGGGCGCAGTGGCTCATGTCTGTAATCCCAGCACTTTGAGAGGTCAAGGTGGGTGGATCACAAGGTCAGGAGTTTGAGACCAGCCTGGCCAATATGGTGAAACCCCCGTCTCTACTAAAAATACAAAAATTAGCCTGGCATGGTGGTGTGCGCCTGTAGTTCCAGCTACTTGGGAGGCCGAAGCAGGAGAATCACTTGAACCTAGGAGGTGGAGGTTGCAGTGAGCCAAGATCACACCACTGCATTCTAGCCTGGGCGACAGAGTGAGACTCTGTCTCAAAAAAATAAATAAATAAATAAAAATAAAAATAAAAGAATAAGCAGATAAAAAATTATTTTATATCATGATAAATTTTATGAAGCTACAATATGAATGGGATAACCGTGGAGAATGTTTTATACTGAGTAAGTCAGAAAAGTCTAAGGATTTAGTATTTGAGTTGACACATAAATGAGAAGTAGTAGTCAGTCCATGAGAAGACATGAGGCAGAGATCTCCCATCTCACCCCATCCATGTCCCATCCCATCCCATCCCATCCCATCCCATCCCGTGTTGTCCCATGCTATCTTATCTCATCCCATCCATCACATCCTGCCCCATTTCATCCCATCCTGTCTTGTCCAGTCCCGCCCTGTCTCATTATGTCCCATCCCATCCCATCTCATTCCATTTTATGTCATGACATTCCATTCCATTTCATTCTGGTCCATTTCCTCCCACCCGGACAACCTGAACTCATATTTGTATAGAAACACAATGGCCCTCTTTTCAATCTAATCGTCAAGTTCTCTCACAGTCATAGAAACTTAGAAGTCAAGACTAGGAGGGGCCTTAGCTGCCATTTCATCCCACAACATGTCACATTTCAGTGCAAGGCTTTGCAATTTGCAATTGTCATATAATATTTAATAAGGCACTGTCAGGAAGGAAAGCACGTATTTTTGCCCCATTTTTTTCAACTAAAAAGCAGGAACAGAGGGGTTCTCCCCCACTAACAGCTGCCCATTTCAGGGCAGCTCTTTGAACTTACAATTACTTACCCTCTGGGCAGGGCAGGGACTGTGCTTATTGACTGCACCTGGCACATAGTAGGAACTCAAAGGCTGTTAGCCGAACAGGGGCCCTGATATTGTAAACTCTTTCCTGATTGCTCAGATCCCTGTAATGCACTCTTCTTCTCCAGCAGAGTAAATCTACCTTCTGGAGAGCTTACTGTGCCTTAGAGTTATGCTTCTCCTTTTTCCTTCACCAAAATTACCTGATCCATGCTCAGTCTCTCTAAAACTTGAAGTGAGAGTTGTTAAATTGTAAAATGTATATATTTATATTTATTTATTCCAAGCTTCCCCCACCCAAAAAAAAGTATTTGAATTTGGCTTAAAATTAAATCTTCTAACACAAAAATATTAAAATAAAATATAGAACAGAGACTCTTGGGTAAGGTAAAAGTAAAAGACTACATGTTAATCCTAAAGATGTTATCTCTCTGCTTTCCCTCCTGTTACAGTGGAGAAACTATTTATGAACAGTCTTATGTAAGGCTAGCTTCCACTTCTGTTCACTAGACCCCACACCCTCTTACAGATTCAATGAATCATTTCACAAATTCTCTTCTTTCCATTGGGAGTGGTCCAATTTTCCTCTTTCAATTGGATCACTCCCAACAGCATGTATATAAATTCTAATTTTGGTCATCATCAAAAACAAAAACAAAACCCAAACCTCTCTCAAACCTATATTACTTTCTAGCTACCGACATATTTTCCTGCTTTTGAAAAGACTTCTGTTAGTGCATACACATTTATGATTCACCTATTAATATTTAGCATTAGATAATTTCCCTCTTTATCTTGGAGTTTATTCCTTGTTTTGAGATAATCTGATATTTGTTAGATATCTGTCTGGTATTTGCCTGATATTAATATAGACATGCTATCTTTCTTTTGTATTCATATGGTCTATTTTTTCTTATCCATTTACTTTTGGCATATTCATTTTTAATTGAATTTCTTATAGAGTTTTGTAGCATACTGTTGGGCCTGGCTTTTAGAATCAATCTGACCCCATCTGTCTTTTAATTTGTAGGATTAGATCATTTATGTTTAATACAATTATTGTTATGGTTGAATTTAAATCTAGCAGTTGTTTTCTATTACTTTCATCTTTTTTTGTTTCTTTTGCCGTCTTTTGCTGTCTTCTTTTGGATGACTTGAAATTTTTTTGTGTTCCCATTTTATATCTTCTATTGGCTTATTATTTAAACCTCTTTAAAAATGTTTTACTAGTTGCCCTAGTGTTTACCATATGTATCTTTATCACAGCAAAGCTTTCAATAATATTATATTGTTTCGCATGTAATGTCAAAACCTTAAAACAGTATGTTTCCAATTTCTCCCTCCCACATTTTATGCTGTTTTTGTCATATATTTCACTTTTACTTATGTTATAAATACACAATACATTGTTGCTAATTTTGCTTTAGAGAATCAGTCATTTTTTAGAGCAATTAAAATAAATCTTTTATTTACCTAAATTTTAATAATTTCTAAAGCTCTTAATTTTTTGTGCATATCCAGATTAATATCTGGTACTATATTCCTCTGTCTGATTTATTTTCTTTAATATTTATTGTAACACAAATCTTTTTTTTGTTTTTTTGAGACAGAGTCTGGCTCTGTCACCCAGTGCAGTGGCGCAATCTTGGCTTACTTCAACCTCTGCCTCCTGGGTTCGAGCGATTCTTGTGCCTCAGCCTCCTGAGTAGCTGGGACTACAGGCACGCACCACCATGCCTGGCTAATTTTGTGTATTTTCAGTAGAGACGGTGTTTCGCCATGTTGGTCAGGCTGGCCTCGAACTCCTGACCTCAGGTGATCTGCCCACCTTGGCCTCCCAAAGTGCTGGGATTACAGGCATCAGCCATCATGCCAGGCCATGTACACAAATCTTCTGATAATTAATTCTCTTAGCTTTTATTTTTATGAAGAAAAATATTTCTATTTCTATTTCACTTTTATTATTGAAAGAAATATTTTTGCTAGGTATCTAATTCTAAATTAAGAGAGTTTTTTGTTTGTTTTTTCATTTAGTACTTTAAAGGTGCTACTCCAGTGTCTTCTGGATTCCATAGATTCAGATGAGGAATCTGCTGTAATTTATATCTCCTCTTCTTTATGTAATTTTTTTTTTCCCTTTCATCTTTGGTTTTCAGCATTTTGAATATTGTAAGTATGGTTTTAAAAAATATTCACCTTTTGGGGTTCTCTGACCTTGTTAAATCCGTGGTTTGATGTCTTTCACTGTTTTGGAAAAATTCCTGGTTATTATCTTTCCAAATATTTTAAATATTTTGTTTTCTCAGCCTTGTGCTTTAGGGATTTTATTAAATATATGTTAGATGTTTTGGTATTGTCCCACAGCTCTTGGATAAGCTGTCATGCCTTTAGTTTGTACTTCTTTTTCCTTTGTTTTTCTTTTTGCATGATATCTCTTTATCTATCTTCACATTCACTGATTTTTTCCCTTAGCTATGTTGAATGTGCTAATAAGCCTATAAAAGACATTCTTCATATTTGTTATTGTATTTTCTTTTTACTTCTAGCATTTCAGTTTGATTCTTTCTTATAGCTTAATTCTTGCGGCTGAAATTCTCTATCTGTCGTGGATATTGTCCAGCTTCCTATCAGAGCCTTTGACATAGCAATCAAATAATTTAAAATTTTTGTTTGACAGTTACAATGTCTGGGTCACCTCGGAGTCTAGTTTTGTTCGTTAATCTGTATCCTTACTATAGGTTGTTTTTATGTGCTTTTTGTGTACGTGTCTCTTAAGTTTTGATTGAACACCAGGCAGTCTGTGTAGAACAGCAGGGACAGGGGTAAATAGTATTTACGTCTAGAAATAGGCATGCTTCTTCCGCTAAGCTATTGGTGTGTGGGTTTGAGTCAATCTAGTCAGAAGCTGTTGCTATAGTTATCTTCAGTGCACAAATGGTTTCAAATTTCTCTATTGAAATAGTGTTACCTTACGCTAAGGATGGCAGCTGGGATGCTGGAGGGTTTTTCTCAATGTTCTTGCTGTATCCTCAGATGTCTGTGCCGTAGGGGGAGTTTCCTTCCATGCTCTTGCCCTTTCCACGGTGCTGAAATACTGTTGGTTGTTAGTGTTTCTTAGCCCGTTGGTGGGTGGGGGTGGTTTGGAGTTCTCTGTTGCTTAGATTTAGTCTCACTCTTAGGGCCTGTGTGCTTGGATTTCAGGGTTAATGCTTTCTCATTGGCTCTGCCCTCCTTTTCCATGGCATCCAAACTCTGCTTTGCGTCTTTAGTGGTTCTCCCGTGTGAGAGAGTTTTGTGCTTCTTTTCTGGTGATGAGTGACGTCTAACAGCATTGATAGAGAATCCAGGGCCCAGGACTGTTTTCTGCCTCTTCCCCTGAGTAGAAGGTTTATTACTCTTTAATTTTCTCCCAGCAGCAAAGAGTCTTCACCTGTGCTCTGGGGCCATGGGGTTTGCTGCTCCCCCTGCACCACCCCCTAGTATTTCAAGATTTCATTCATAGAGGATAACAGCCTGCGTGCAGTTCTGTGCCTTTCCCACAGGACTGCTGCTCCCTTCCTCCAGGATAGCACCATGTTGGGAGGCTCTTTCCTGTCTCCTGCACTCCCTTCAAACTTTTTTTTTTTTTTTTTTTTTTTTTTTTTTTTTGAGAGAGAGTCTCGCTCTGTTGCTCAGGCTGGAGTGGAGTGACATGATCTTGGCTCACTGCAACCTCCGCCTTTGGTTTCAAGTGATTCTTCTGCCTCAGCCTCCAGAGTAGCTGAGATTACAGGCATGTGCCAACACGCCCGGTAATTTTTGTATTTTTAGTAAAGACAGGGTTTCACCATGTTGGCCAGACTGGTCTTGAATTCCCGACCTCAGATGATCCACCCGCCTTGGCCTCCCTAAGTGTTAGAATTACAGGCATGAGCCACCATGCCCGGCCTTGCTTCAAATCTTCTTGTGGCTGCTCAGTGGAGGCCTATGGAGAAAATCCCAATAGCGGGTGCAAACTCCCTCTTGTTTGTGTCTCTCAGCATTTTATAACTTCATTTCAGCCCACATTCAACCTTTACCTATTTGTTAATTTTTTAGCCACTTTTATATGGTACCCTGGTTCTCTTTCTACCTGTGATCTGTTACAGGTGCACCAGATTTCAAGGTCTGTTTTTCCTTGGATTTCAGGCTACTTGGTAGCCCTACGTTCTGAGCTATCTGATGGGTTCAAGAAAAGTTATAATTGTGCGGTTCATTCAGCTTTTTGTTGTTGTTAGGGTGTAAGTGATGCTTCACTGGTGTAAACACTGTGTTCCAGATGTTTACATTCTAGGCTTGAGTTCTCTGCTTGTTTTATAGCAAAACACCTGGAAAGAGATGTCTGTACTCACAGTCTGCAAAATATCTCTCTCCACTCCATCTTGGATCTACAGCAGTAAGGCAGTATCCTCATCCTTCCACAACAAATTGTTTTTTAAGGTTACCAATTAGCTCTGTGCTGATACCTGCAGTGGTTAGTTCTGAGTCCTTATCTTACTTCACCTGTCAGTATCATTTTGTATGGATGGTTTCTCACTCCTTCCTCATTGCAATACTTTCTTTCTTTCTTTCTTTTTTTTTTTTTTTGACTTAGCTTCCAGGACACCACATTCTTGAATTTCCCCTACTTCAATGGCTGCTCCTTTTCGATCATCTTTTTTGGGTTCTTTCTCTTTTCTTGACCCCTAAACATTAGACATTAAGCGCCCAGAGCTCAGTTTCTGAACTTCTTTTCTTCTTTAACTATACTTATATTCTTTTTGTGATTTCAGCTAGTTTCAGAGTTTTAAAAAGCATCTCGCCACTGACAACCTCCTCTAAACTCCAAATTTATATACTACTAGACATCTCATTTGAATGCCTAAGAGACATCTTATTTTAACATGTCTAAAACCAGATCTTCCCCCAACAAACCTGCTCATCCTCCAGACCTCCCAACTTAGTAAATGTGTTCTCAGTAAAAGTCCTTCTAGCTACACAGACCAAAAACCTTGGAGTCATACTTGGCACCTTCTCTCGGATCCCACATCTAATCCATCAGCAAATCTTGTTGACTCTGCCCTCAAAACATATCCAGAACTAACTGCTTCTCACAGTCTCCACTGTTTTTACCCTTATCTAAGCCACAGTTACTTGGGCTTGGATTCACGTAATAGAATTCTAACTGTTCCTATTTTTCTGCCTTCCTCTCCTACCTAGTCTATTCTCAACAGTGTACTCAGTAACACAGATTAATAATAATTATAATTAGTAATGTGATATTGGGCAGGCCACACTCTCCCTATGTCTCATTTTTCTCATTTGCAAAATAGGAATACGGCTGGGTGCAGTGGCTCATGCCTGTAATCCCAGCACTTTGGGAGGCTGAGACAGGAGGATCACTTGAGCCTAGGAGTTCAAGCTGCAGTGAGCTATGATTGTACCACTGCACTCCAGCCTGGGTGACAGAGAGAGACCCTGTCTATGCCTGTCTCTAAAAAAAAAATAAAGGAATGTGGGCAGAATTCTAAAATTGTGTCCCCAAAGTTACGTTTCCCTGGTTATTCAATCAAACATTAATCTAGGCAGTATTGTAAAGAGATTTTGCAGATGTAATTTATGTCCCAATGTAACCAATGTTATCTTAAGATGCAGATATTAACTGGATGGGCCTTACCCAATCAGGTAAGTTCTTTAAAAGCAGAAAGTTTTGTCCAGCTGATGGTAGAGGAATAATTCAGAGATTTGAAGTAAGGGGGCAATTCAATGGGCCATTGCTGGCTGTGAAGATAGAGGGACCATGTCCCAAGGAATGTGGGTGGCCTATAGGAGCTTAGCGTGGTCACAAATGGAAGCCAGCAAGGGCCTCAGCCTTCCAGTCACAAGAAACTGAACTCAGCCAACAACCTAAATCAACTTGGAAGCAAATGATTCCCCGTAGCCTCCAGAGAAGAGCGCAGTCTAGACCATACCTTGATTTTAGTCTTGTGAGACCCTAAGCAGAGTGCCTAGCTGAGCCTGGCTGGAATTCTGACCTACAGAACTGTGAAATAATAAAGGTTTGTTGTTTTAAGCCACTAACTTTGCGTAATTGTTCTGCAACAATAGAACACTATGCAAGAAATGAGACACTGGTTCTTTTCATGGTAATTAATTCATTTTCAAAGATAGGTCACGGTTTTTTCTTCTTCTTCTTCTGTCATTCTTCTTATCTCATATTAAATAAAAGCCAAAGATGTTAAAGGCTTCTGTAGGATTTGACTTGACCCTGCCCTGTCACCTGTTTGACTTAATTTACTGCTTTTCCTCATGTTCTCTC